>NC_000016.10:84505682-85130682 GCF_000001405.40 Homo sapiens | reverse complement strand
AGCCACAGGCCCCCCTTCCCTCTCGGCTGGCAATTCTTTGGCCAAAAGCGAGCTTGGGCCTCACCTCTCCTCTCCCTCCTCCTCCTTCTCTGAAGTTTGTTGTGAACAAAACAAGACATGCCAAGGAGCTCAGAAGATCTGACCGGAAATTAATGAAACTCACCCAACAGCTGATGCTTTCCAAAAATAGAGAGGCCGGGAAAGCAGAGCAGGACAGCTTGTGGCACCCCCAAAATGACAAAAAGAGGGAGGGCAGGGGAGAATCCGAAGGGCTGTTTTGGGCCCTGCCTTGGCCTGGAAGAGAAAAACCTAGCTCTTTCCTCATCTAGCTCCGAACCCTCCTTTCTTGGCAGCAGAATAATTAAATATTCATGCCTTTTCTCCTTCCCCTAAGAAAGCGATAAGTCAGATTTCTGCACACACACACAGAAAAAGCGACCCAAGGTGAGGGGTTGGAGCCAAATTTCAGTTGGAGACAAAGCCTTCACTTCAATTTACGAATGAAAACACCCTTCACCTTTGCCGCTGTGAATTTCCTAGATACACATGGTCAAGACAATCTGAGAATTATGAGGCTCCAGGACCAATTAGGGCTGTTTGTGTTGACGTCAAGTCTGGGGGAATTTTTTTTTCTTCCCTTTGCAAGTATTTATGATACTGACAGATGCAGCAGGGAAAAAAATCCATGAACAGGAATGAGCCTCATTGGGCCACGTGGGTAAGGACTCAATGTGAAAAGCAGTCCCCGATATGGTTTAAACCACCAGATCTGTGCCCCTGCTCTGCCGGCATGAAGACAGGGAAAGAGAGCAATTATTGTGCATCTACTGTGTGCCAACATGCTCCCAGGCATGTTATGAAGACTGCATGGTTGGTTTGTCCGGTTTTTTTGTTTTTTGCTTTTTTTGAGACAGAGTCTTGCTCTGTGGCCCAGACTGGAGTGCAGTGGCGCCATCTCAGCTCACTGCAACCTCTGCCTCCCGGGTTCAAGCAATTCTCCTGCCTCAGCCTCCTGAGCAGCTGGGATTACAGGCGTGCACCACCACACCCAGCTAATTTTTGTATTTTTAGTAGAGACGGGGTTTCACCATGTTGGCCAGGTTGGTCTAGAATTCCTGACCTCAAGTGATCCGCCTGCCTCAGCCTCCCAAAGTGTTGGGATTACAGGCATGAGCCACGGCGCCCGGCCAAGTGCATGGTTTAATCCCAACAACAGACCCAAGGAGAAAGAGCTCATCCCATTCTGTGGGTGAGGAAATGGAGCAGCGGAGTCATTTTCTCAAAGGCCAGGGATGGGATTTCGATCCTGGCTCATTTCGCTTTTTTTTTTTTTTGAGATGCAGTTTCCCTCTTCTTGCCCAGGCTGGAGTGCAATGGTGCAATCTCAGCTCACTGCAGCTTCTGCCTCCCGGGTTCAAGGATTCCCCTGCCTCAGCCTTCCAAGCAGCTGGGATTACAAGTGCAAGCCACCATGCCCAGCTAATTTTCTATATTTTTAGTAGAGACGGGGTTTCACCATGTGGGCCAGTCTGGTCTCGAACTCCTGGCCTCAAGTGATCCGCCTGCCTCGGCCTCCCAAAGTGCTAGGATTACAGGTGTGAGCCACCGCGCCCGGCTTCGTTTAGCTTTGAAGACGGTCCCACTGTTTGCAATTCTATGCCATTTAGGTTCTCCCCGTGCAAAGCGCAGTAAAGTTTGCCGTCCTGTGGGAGGCTAAGGTTGCAGCCTTTAGGCTCTGCCTGGAGTCATATCTCTCCTGCACACCAGGAAAATCAGACAAGAACCTGGAGGGGCTGAAGGGCCTGGATCAGGCCCAGTGTCTGAAGGGACTTAACAAGGAGTAAAGTATCTGTCCTGCTGTCCCTTACAAAACCACCTGGAGAGGGACAGGGCTGGTGGTGTGGTTTAAAGCAGCCCACACTTTCACTCAAACATACATCAATTCGGCACCTGCTGTAGGCAAGGGGACAGTGCGGTGGTAAAGTGCAGCCTCTTCAATGCTGGCCCTGAATAAGGGGTCGCTCCCTCTGGACCTCAGTGTCCACATCTGAAAAATGGGGACAAGGAGAGAGGCCCCTGGCAAGGTTGTTGTGGGCACTGAGATGAAGCAGCAGAGGTCCCCTGTGGGCTTCTGCAGCCAGAGGCCTGGGTTCAAATCCTGCCTCTGGGTGGCTGTGGTGGCTCGTGCCTGGAATCCCAGCTTTGAGAGGCTGAGGCAGGAGGATCACTTGAGGCTAGGAGTTTAAGACCAGCCTGGGCAGCACAGCGAGACCTCATAGCGCTAATTTATTATTATTATTATTTTTTAATTAGCAGGGTGTGGTGGCCCACACCTGTAGTCCCAGCTACTCTGAAATCTGAGGCGGAAGGATCACTTGAGTCCAGGAGGTCAAGGCTGCAGTGAGCTGTGACTGTGCCACTGAACTCCAGCCTGCATGACAGAGAGAGACCTTGTCTCGAAAAACAAAATCCTGCCTGTACCTCCTGTGTGACTTCAGGCCTGCAACTCACCTCTCAGTGTCTCCGCTTCCTCACCTGGAAAATGCAATGGTAACAGTGGCTACCTCACACTATTGTTGTGAGGGGTAAAGGCATTTGTTTGTAATTTGTTAAACAGGGAAGGTCGTGGTAGCTCATGCCTGTAATCCCAGCACTTTGGGAGGCCAAGGCGGGTGGATCATGAGGTCAGAAGTTCAAGACCAGCCTGACTAACATAGTGAAACCCGGTTTCTACTAAAAATACAAAAATTAGCCGGATATGGTGGTGCACGCCTGTAGTTCCAGCTACCTGGGAGGCTGAGGCAGGAGAATCGTTTGAACCCGGGAGGCGGAGGTTGTGGTGAGCCGAGATTGTGCCTCTGCACTCCAGCCTGGGCAACAGAGTGAGATTCTGTCTCAAAAAAAAAAAATTTTTTTTTTTACTAAACAGTACATATATATTTTATGTAGTTTTTTGTAGACCTGTTCATAAGAATTGTCTGTGGTGGTGGAGAAGGGGCATTGCACACGAAACCCCTTGGCACAGTCCAGGCACACAGGCAGTCATCAGGAAATGTGCTGCTATTTTTATCCTGTAGATCAGTGGGAGCCATGGAGAGTCTTGGAGTGAGAGAGTCACATTGAGCAAAGTTCTATTTTAAGCATTTTAGAAGTGAAGATTTATGAGCCGAGACCACCAGTGCATGAGCTACCTTTGTGTGTGTGAGGAAAAGATGTCCCCCGCTGGGCAGACAGAGCCTTATGCCAGGGCACATGGCTTGTTGGATGGAGCCAAGCACCCTTGCAGAGTGAACAACCTGCCCAACAGTACCTGGCAGCTTTGGCCAAGAGGACATAATGGAGTGGTTGTTAATTAGAGCCTCTGCCACTGAATCTCTTTGCCTCTCTTGCTCAGTGTCCCCTCCCCCGCTCCCTACCCCACCAACCCCCCTGCATAGAGCGGGCAGCCCTGAGCCTGGAAGCCCACGCAGCAGATGGAAAGGCTTCCAGCTGGCCCCGGGCATGTGTGTGGGTGGGTGGAAGGGGGTGGGTGGAACAATTTCCTGTGCCCCGATCCCAGCTAGCTCACTCTCTGACCACATTTTTCCACCTCGCTTTTTTCCTTATAATTCGCTCACACATCTTACAATCTGGACTGTTTTTTGTGAATGGAATGTAACCTGAGAGCTGGGGAGGAAAGTCCCGGTGAGGCCGTACAGATGGAGAAGGCGCCCCTCTCCGTGTGAAAGGGGAGCCGGGGCAGGCACTGCGGGCTCCCTGGTGGCCAGGGCAGCCAGCAAGACGGACAGGGCCAGGTGGGGAAGGTCACGGCGCCCGCAAGGCCGAAGAAACAGGAGAGGCTGGGACTCCCCCAACCCCCTGCCGCCTGGCAGCTCCCCCAGCCGTGTTTTCTGAGCAGGACCACCCAGGGAGAATCTGACCCCTGCTGGGGTGGGGCACTGGGGGCTGTGGCCTCTTCTAGGAGGAGTCTGGTGACTTCCAGCGGCAGATCTGAAGTCTGTGGGCAGCACCCGGTACTAAGTAGCCCTCGTTCACTAATTCATTCGTTCATTAATTTGTTCAAAAATATTTATTGAGTGCCATGTGCCAGGCACGGCGCCAGGCACCAGGAACTGCTGTGAACGAGACAGCTGAGGCCCTGCCCTCGTGGATGGTGGGGAAAAGTAACCAGCACATGCCTCTGAACGCTGATAGGCATTAGGGGTTCCTCCGTGAGCTAAGCGCTTTGCGTGTGTTATGTCATTTCATCCCCAAGCAATTCTAGAAGTGATGTTGTCACTGCCCATTGAACACACGAGAAAAATCAAGGCCCAGACAGATTCAACAACTTGCCGACGAACAGAGTCAGGAAGGCTGGACCCAGGTCCTGTTGACCCCTGTCCTGAGAGTCTCACCACTGTGCCTCCCACAGCTGAGCCCCAGCTTCGGGCGGGTCCCAGGCTCCCGGGACTCCCTGGGCATGGCAGGTCTGGCGTGAGAGGCTTCCTGGCCCTTCCCAGTGGCGAGGCAGGCCTTGCTTTGCTGAAGAACTGGGGCCTGCCAGGGTTGCCCCCGATGCAGCCAGGGAAAGAGTGTGAATTTGAGGGACTCACAAAGCTTCCCAAGGCTCCTGCCTTCAGAAGCTGAGGTTAATGACTCCCTCACCAAAGAGTGAGTGTGAGGATGAAACAAGGTTCAGTTTAGGCAAAGTGCTAAGCAAGCTTTCTGGCATATGGTAGGAGTTCGATAAATGCTGCTTGCACAGTGAACAAACTGCCCAACAGTACCTGGCAGTACACTTCCCAGTGTCTTTCATTAAAAGGTGCTACAATTGAGCTGAGAGGTCCAGCAGGGGTTGGCGTTGAGGCTAGATAGATTTGGGTGGCGCTGAGAACTCTGGAGAGAAGCCAAAAGGTGGCTGTTCCAGACCCTGCCTGCCGCTTCCAACACGCCTGTCCTTTCTGAGCACTCACTGTGCTCACAGTGTGCCAGCACTTTCCCTGGGCAGCCCAGAGCCACAGAAATAGCCCTCAGCAAGAAGACCTTGAAGATGGGGCTACGGTCATTGCCTTCAAAAGGCTGGAAAGCTTCAAAGGAATTAATACGGTATATGCTTTCCTGGATTTGTGAGCTGAGAGAGCCCACATAGACTGAAAGCTCCCGGCCCTGGCCCTTCTGTCTGCTGAAAAAAAATGGAGCTATAATCCATATGCCATAAAATTAACAATTTTAAAGTGTGCAATTCAGAGGTTTTTCATATATTCACAAGGGTGCTCGAGTATCACCACTGTCTACTTCCAGAACATTTTCATCACCCCAAAAGATCCCATGCACTTAACAGTCACCCCATCCCCTCTCCCCCTGCCCCCCAGCCTCAGGCAACCATGCATCCACTTTATATCTCTATGAATGTTCTTGTTCTGAACAGTTCTTGTAAATGGAAACCTATGCCCTGCAGGTCTTCTGTGAACTGCTTCTTTCACTTAGCATGTTTTCACGATTCATCCGCACTATAACATGACTCAGCACTTCATTCCTTTTCGTGGCTGAATAATATTCCACTGTGTGGACGTACCACACCTTATCTCTTCATCAATGGATGGACATCTGGTGGTTTCCACTGGTTGGCTACTTAAGAATATTGCTGTTATAAACATTTGTGGACAGGTTTTGGTGTGAACAGATGCTCTCATTCGTCTTAGGTATAAGCCTAGGAGTGGAATTGCTGGGCTGCGTGCTAACTCTGTGTTTAAACCTTTTGAGGAGCTGCCAGACCGTTTCCACTGCAGCTGCACCACTGTCATCCCCACCTGCCACAAAGATGGGTTCCAATTTCTCTGTATCCTCACCCACACTTGTTGTCGTCAGTCTGTATGACCCCAGCTGCTGCACTGGTGGGAGTGAAGCAGCTTCTCAGTGCCATGTGGCCCTTCACTGGCATGTGCTTGTCTAACTGGGGGCTCTCATGAGACTGGCTCCAGCAGGGCAGGGCCCACGCATGCCTGTCACCTGTCACGTCCACCACTGGGCCTTCAGAGCCAAGCCCGGAGCAATTGCTCCATAAAAATGCGTTAAATGAGTGAGTAGCTCAAGAACTCCTAAAGTGCAAGCGCAGCCATCCTGACTGCATGTGGCTCTGAGTTCCAAGGATTTTTTATCATTTAGAGAAGTCCAAGAAACCATCACAAAATTGCCATCGTGTGGAAATTTCCCAGGGCCCATCTGATGACCTGTCCTCACTTCAGGCCCCCTGGGGCTGGACGTCGTCATCACAGCGGGCCCCCCTGGGGGGGACTTGGTCCCGAGGTGGGGCGGGCAGCGGGGGAGTGACCGTGCCAGGCCCACGGGAAGCAGTGTCTCCTTCCTGGACGGCACCCCGGCCTGGCTGGGGCCCAGTCCCCGCGCCTTGGCCTCTGAGGTGGTCGTCCCGGCCAAATGCACGGACACGTCACCTCATTGGAGCGGATGTGCCCGGGCCGCTCTGGAGAGAGGAAGCGCCCAGCTCAGCACTTATTGTTTAAAGAAGGTTTCACAAAGCCCCGAGGCCGAGGCTGTGAGTCGTTCCTGTGGAATCGGGGAGCCTGCAGGGAGGTCACCCTTTGTTCCCTCTGACAGAGGCGGCTTGGCTGGTGGCTGTGGTCTCAGCAGAACCCTGAAGTCAGCAGAGCTTGTATCAGGGACCTTCCCACTTTCCTTGCTCACACTCCCGGCCTTCCCTCCCTGCGGGAAGGCTCCCATCCCAGGCCCAGCCGGTGTCTCCTCTCCAGGACAGGCGCGGAGGAGGAGGCAGAGTAAAACCAGCCACCGCTCAGTGAGCACGTGCTACGCCCCAGGCCCCGGTGAGGCACCGCATTATTCTCTATTCCACTGGGGAGAGGAGGGGGGCTCTATTCCTATTTTACAGATGAGGAAACTGAGGCCCACAGCAAGTCAGAACCAGTCCACAATTCACAGCTGGTAGGTGGCGGAGCTGGGATTGGAACCAAGCAGTTTGGCTGTGGCAGTCCCTAAAATGGGGGCTGGGGGTCGGTGATGACTTGGGCCAGAGTTATCGGAAGCTCAAGACAGAGGAGGAAAATAAGGGCTCGGAGGCTGGGCACAGTGACTCACGCCTGTAATCCCAGCACTTTGGGAGACCCAGGTGGGCAGATCACTTGAGGTCAGGAGTTCCAGACCAGCCTGGCCAGCATGGTGAAACCCCATCTCTACTAAAAATACAGAAAAATTAGCTGGGTGTGGTGGCGCATGCCTGTAATAGCAGCTACTTGAGAGGCTGAGGCGGGAGAACCGCTTAAACCCAGGTGGTGGAGGTTGCAGTGAGCTGAGATCGTGCTACTGCACTCCAGCCTGGGTGACAGAGCGAGACTGTACCTCAAATTTTTAAAAAAGTGGGGATGGTGGGGAGGGCTCTGAATATTTAATTAATTAATTAATTTTAATTTCAATAGGTTTTTGAGGAATAGGTAGTGTTTGGTTACATGAATACGCTCTTTAGTGGTGACTTCTGAGATTTTGGTGCATAGTGTTTAGAATATAAGAGGTGAGGGCAGCTGGCCTTGCTTCTAAGGTTGTTTTTTTTTTAAATTGTTATTTTTTACCACTTCAGGAGCTTCTAACCTTATGCCTTTTGTCCTTTTATTAAAAAAAAAATTGGTGTGACAGTATTCTTTCTTTGAATAAAATGGTATGATAAGGAGACTTCACTTTTTGGAGTTTTAAATAAATGTTTCTTGGTACTGATTTTTTTTTTTTTTTTTTTTTTTTGAGATAGAGTCTTGCTCTGTCGCCCAGGCTGGAGTGCAGTGGCATGATCTCGGCTCACTGCAAGCTCCACCTCCTGGTTCAAGCGATTGTCCCGCCTCAGCCTCCCGAGTAGTTGGGATTACAGGCACCCACCACCACGCCCAACTAATTTTTGTATTTTTAGTAGACATGGGTTTCACTATGTTGTCCAGATTGGTCTCGAACTCCTGACCTCAAGTGACCCACCTGCCTTGGCCTTCCAAAGTGCCGGGATTTCAGGAATGAGCCACCATGCCCGGCCTTTTTTTTTTTTTTTTTTTTTTTTCAGAGGCAGGGTCTTACTCTGTGGCTCAGGCTGGAATGCAGTGGCACCATTTTGGCTCACTGCAACCTCTGCCTCTTGGGTTCAAGTGATTCTCCTGCCTTAGCCTCTCAAGTAGTTGGGATTACAGGCACCCACTACCACACCTGGCTAATTTTTGTGGCGCAATCTTGGCTCACTACAGCCTCCACCTTCTGGGATCTCAAGTGATCCTCCCATCTCAGCTTCCCAAGTAGCTGGGACTATAGGCGTGCACCACCATACCCAGCTAATTTTTTTTAACTGTTTTGTAGAGACAGGGTCTGTTTTGTTCTGCAGGCTGTTCTCAAACTCCTAGACCCAAGCAATCCTCCTCCCTCAGCCTTCCAAAGTGCTGGGATCACAAGTGTGAGCGACCACATCCAGCCTTAAGCAAGGACATTTTAAAAAAAAAGTAACACAACCACTACCATTTTGTACCCAACAAGACACACAAGACTACCACAAATGAAGGAATACAAATCCCTAAATTCTTTTTTTTTGAGATATAGTCTCACTCTGTCACCCAGGCTGGAGTGCGATGGTACAATCTCAGTTCACTGCAACCTCCGCCTCCCGGGTTCAAGTGATCCTCCCGAGTAGCTGGGATTACAAGCACCTGCCATCATGCCTGGCTAAATTTTTTTTTTTGTTTTTTTTTGTAGAGATGGGGTTTCACTATGTTGGCCAGGCTGGTCTCGAACTCCTGACCTCAGGTGATCTGCCTGCCTCGGCCTCCCAAAATACTGGGATTATAGGCATGAGCCACCGTGCCCAGCCCCTAAATTGTTTTAAAAATTTAAAACAATTTAAATTTTTGTCACTTTGTCGCTTTGTCAGTTCGCATTTTCCATGTTCTTCCCAGTTCACTGTGGACAGTGGCAGTGCCAGCCTGGCTCACTTTGCTGTGCGGCTGGCTTTCAGGGGTCCCTGGGCTGGGTGCCTCGGAGGTAGCATCCTACCAACAGATGCTTGTCGCTGGCTTCCTGCTGGCTGGGGAAGGCCCTGGCAATTTCATACTACAGAGGAAACAGGTCCCAAACTGTTGGCCAAAAAGTCCTCATGAAAACCCTTCCACCATCCCAAAGACGCCCGAGTACTAGGGAGGACTGGCTGACCCGCACACGGCCTTCCACCATTGGAAATTTCACTTCTCCCATGCCTAAGGGCTCCTTTACATCTCCCCACGCTCCTAGATAGAGTGTCCTTTGAGCAAACACATGACTATTTTGTTCACTGACGAGGCCCCAAAGCCTGTGAGATTGCTGGGCACAGAGTGGGCGCTTAATACATATTCATTCAGTAACTGACCGAGCCCAGACACGTGTGCCCTAGTGCAATACCACCCAGCCACTAAAACGAGCTTGATCACTGTGCAGACGCCAACACCCATCAAATCCAGAGGGTGGGCCACAAACTGCATGCTCTTCTTTTTTTCATTGTTCTATGTATTTGAAATCTTTTTAAATAAAAAGATAGAAAAATAACAAATATTGGCCGGGCACAGTGGCTCACGCCTGTAATCCCAGCACTTTGGGAGGCCAAGGTGGGCGGATCATGAGGTCAGGAGATGGAGACCATCCTGGCTAACACGGTGAAACCCCGACTCTACTAAAAATACAAAAAATTAGCCAGGCGTGGTGGCGGGCGCCTGTAGTCCCAGCTACTCGGGAGGCCGAGGCAGGAGAATGGCATGAGCCTGGGAGGCGGAGCTTGCAGTGAGCCGAGATCACGCCACTGCACTCCAGCCTGGGCGACAGAACGAGACTCCATTTCAAAAAAAAAAAAAGAAAAAGAAAAAAGAAAAATAACAACTATTATATTAGCATATGAGAATGCCTGTGATGTCAAAATTACGAAATCATATCAATTATTTCCTAAAGACTGTAGAGAAATGCATCCTCTGTTACCCACGGGTATCTCTGGATGTGGGATTATGCACTTTTCCTCCTGTACTTTCTACCTGTATTTCTGGATTTACTACATAATCAGGGAGGGAAAGGCTGGGCACGGTGGCTCACGCCTGTAATCCCAGCACTTTGGGAGGCCGAGGTGGGTGGATCACCTGAGCTCAGGAGTTAGAGGTCAGCCTCGGCAACATGGTGAGACCCTGTCTCTACTGAAAATACAAAAATTAGCTGGGCATGGTGGCACATGCCTGTAATCCCAGCTACTTGGGAGGCTGAGACAGGAGAAACGCTTGAACCCGGGAGGCGGAGGTTGCCGTGAGCCGAGATCATGCTGCTGCACTCCATCCTGGGCAATAGAACAAGACTCCTCTGAAAAAAGAAAATAATAATAATTAGGAGGAAAAACAGCTTTGTAAAAAATGCAACTTCAGGCTTACTTTCACCACCATCCTTCCCTTTATCTCCTGTCCTGGGGAGCTGCAAACTGCTTCTAAATTGCCTTCTCTTTGCCTAGGAGGGGAACAGGCTTTTTTCCTGTTCGGTGGAAATGTTTGTGCTGCCAAGAGTCCAGCAGAGGAGAGACAGGAGAGGAAGACAGCACCTGCATGGTCCCACGTGCGGGGCGTTTTGTGGGGAGCTCCAAGCTGGGAACAGAGGCCTTTCCCTGTTGCTCAGAAGGCTGCATGGAGGTCAGGGTGCAAGATGTTCTGGGATGTGGGATGGGGCCCCAGGGTGTCAGGGCTGGGAGGGCGCTAGGCCTCACTAGGCCCCACTCTCTCATTATACAAATAAGAAAATGAGACCAGGCTCGGTGGCTTAGTCCTGTAATCCCAGCACTTTGGGAGACCGAGGCGGGCAGATGGCTTGAGCTCAAGAGTTGGAGACCAGCCTGGACAACATAGCGAAACCCTGTCTCTACCAAAAATACAAAAAATTAGCTGGGTGTGGTGATGTGTGCATGTGGTCCCAGCTACTTGGAAGGCTGAGGTGTGAGGATCGCTTGAACCCAGGAGGCAGAGGTTGCGGTGAGCCAAAATCTCACCACTGCATTCCAGCCCGGGTGACAGAGTGAGACCCTGTCTCAAAAATTAAAAAAAGAAAGAAAATGAGATTCAGAGAGACAAAGTGACCTGCCCAGAGCCACACAGCACACCCGTGGCTAAGGTGGAAGTTGATCCCATGACTCCTGAGCCTCCGCCCAGCCCCTGCCAGGTCCCATTCACCTTTCTCCAGGGCCTCCACCCCAGCCTGTTTCGTAAACCCACATCGCAGTGATGCCAGCCACTTCCTCGCTTCCTTTGTCACCAGCTTTTGACATAATCACTGGGTTTTCCAAAGGGAAACATATTTTGGGGTTTTGTTTGTTTGCTTGCTTGTTTTATGAGACGGAGTCTCGTGCTGTTACCCAGGCTGGAATGCAATGGTGCGATCTCGGCTCACTGCAGCCTCCACCTCCCAGGTTCAAGCGATTCTCCTGCCTCAGCTTCCCGAGTAGCTGGGATTACAGGTGCCTGCCACCATGCCCAGCTAGTCTTTGTATTTTCATTAGAGATGGGGTTTCACCATGATGGCCAGGCTAGTCTCAAACTCCCAACCTCAGGTGATCCGCCCACCTTGGCCTCCCCAAGTGTTGGGATTACAGGCGTGAGCCACCATGCCCAGCCATTTTGGTTTGTCTTTTTTTCTGCTCACTCGAAGAATTCTGAACGCCCTTCCAAATTATTTGGTTGAGACTGGAGGCAGGCAGCGAGGCACACCAAAAACATGACAACAACCCCGGGGACCCTGCAGTCACTGCTGGCCTGGAGGAAGATGGGACACCAGGCCTGTCGCTGGGGCATGGTCAGCTCATGAGCCCGAAGGTCTCAGGAACAAGGGGCGTTGGCCAAGCTCCCCAGCCTGATTGTGGTCCCCTGCAGGAGTGGCTGAGGGAGTCTACACAAACTGCTCCGAGGCTGGGGCTTTAGCAGCTATGAGTGCCGACAGAGCCCCTGAGGAGGTGAATGGCCATCAGCCCAGCCAGAGTGGAGCCCTGCAGCCTGGTCTACCCTGGACATAATCCCTGATTTGTACCTGAGCCTGTACCTGAGATTACATTTCCCAGCCTCCTTTGCAGCTAGGTGTGGTCATGTGACTAAGTTCTAACCAACGGGATGTGAGCACAAAGTGATGTGCATAGCTTCAGTAAAGAAAAGGGCATGACCAGGCGCAGTGGCTCACTCCTGTAATCCCAGCACTTTGGGAGTTTGAAACCAGCCTGGCCAAAATGGTGAAACCCTGTCTCTACTAAAAATACAAAAATTAGCCAGCATGGTAGCACACACCTGTAATCCCAGCTACTAGGGAGACTAAGGCAGGAGAATTGCTTGAGTCCGGTGGGTGGAGGTTGCAGTGAGCCAGGATCACGCCACTGTACTCCAGCCTGGGTGAAAGACTCAGTCTCAAAAAAAAGAAAGGGGCATGGTCTCCTTTGCCCCTCCCTTCTTCTTGCTGGCTAGATGGTAGGTGCAATGGCTGGAGTTCCAGCAGCCATTTTGGACCATGAAGCAATTCCAGGAATAGAAATTGATAGAAGAATGAGATAGGAGAAGCCTGGGTCCCAACATCATGGAGCCTCACAGACGTGAGAAATAAATTCTCATCTTTTTAAAGACATGAGTATTTGGGGTTTTCTCTTACTTGTGGCCAATACTATTCCTGTACTATCTTTTGGTTGGGGAGGGGTTGCAGTCATTTACAGAGAGGTGGTGAGGGGACCTGCTATGGCGAAGGGCTGGGACAAGTCCTGACATGAGGTTGGTAATTCTTTTGCATAATACCAATTGCTGATGGGCATGTGTGAAACCCTTAGCCCAGGGCCCAGCACAGTTTAAGAGCGCAATAAATGTTATTTTATTTATTTTTCTTTTTGAGACAGAGTCTCGCTCTGTCACCCAGCCTGGAGTTCAGTGGCGTGATCTTGGCTCACTGCAACCTCCGCTTCCTGGATTAAAGTGATTCTCATGCCTCAGCCACCTAAGTAGCTGGGACTAAAGGTGTGTGCCACCACGCCCAGCTAATTTTGTGTTTTTAGTAGAGATGGGGCTTCAAATTTCACCATGTTGGCCAGGCTGGTCCACCCGAAATTCCAGGCGGTGGGCGGCCTCTGGGACTGACGCTCTGCAGATGGGTGGTGGGAGGAGGCTGGAAATTATGTCATGTGGGAAAAGGTGGCCTAGAAGCATCTAGGGTAGAGAGTCTTACAAAACAGAGGCAGCGGCAGATGCAGGGCGCGATGGCTCACGCCTGTAATCCCAGCACTTTGGGAGGCCGAGGCGGGCGGATCACAAGGTCAGGAGATCGAGACCATCCTGGCTAACACGGTGAAACCCCATCTCTACTAAAAATACAAAAAAATTAGCTGGGTGTGGTGGCGGGCACCTGTAGTCCCAGCTACTCAGGAGGCTGAGGCAGGAGAATGGGGTGAACCCGGGAGGCAGAGCTTGCAGTGAGCCGAGATCCCACCACTGCACTCCAGCCTGGGCAACAGAACGAGACTCCATCTCAAAAAATAAAATAAAATAAAATAAATAAATACAATAAAATAAAACAGAGGCAGGGCCCAGGGGCACCTCTGAGCCATCCTGCCATGACCTCAGCCTGAATCGGTGCTCGAGAAAATGGGCACCGAGGGATGTTGCCCAAAACAACTGGCTCAGAGTCCCCAAAACGTCAGTATCGCGCCTGCTAAAGGCAGCGGGTGGCTGTCCTGGGCCAGGAGACAATGGCTTGCCTGTTTGCTAAAACGGTGTTATTGAGACAACTGTAGAATCTGAATGAAGTCTGTAGATTGGGGAATGGAACATAACAGAGTGAATTTTCTGACGTTGATACTCTTACTGTGGTTATGTAAGAGACTGGTCTTGTTCTTGGGAAACACATATGAAATATTTGGGCAAAGGGGCTTCAGGTCTGCAACTGTTCTCAAGTGGTTCAGAAAATAAAATACACATGAGAGAGAGAGAGGGGCAGAGAGAATCATGAAACAAACGTGGTAACATGTCAACAACCGGGGAATCTGGGTGAAGGAGTTCTTATATTATTGTTGCACAACTGAAATTATTTCAAAATAAAAAGTTACAGAAACTTAAAAAACCAAAGTCAATATCATGAATGAAAAAAGGCTGAGAGGCCGGGCACCATGCCTCATGCCTGTAATCCCAGCACTTTGGGAGGCCGAGGTGGGCAGATCACCTGAGGTCAGGAGTTTGAGACCAGCCTGACCAACGTGGTAAAACCCCGTCTCTACTAAAAATACAAAAATTAGCCCTGCATGGTGGTGGGCGCCTGTAATACCAGATACTCAGGAGGCTGATGCAGGACAATGGCTTGAACCCAGGAGGCGGAGGTTGCAGTGAGCTGAGATTGTGCCATTGCACCTTAGCCTGGGTGACAAGAGCAAAACTCCATCTTAGAAAAAACGAAAACAAAAACAAAAAAAACTGAGAACAGTTTCTGATTCCAGGAGACTATGTAGACCCAGGTAGTCATTGCAGACCCCCCTGGATCCGGGGAAAACCGGCTGCCATGACGGCAGCGGCTGGATGTGGCAAGTGAGCCTATGGACAGTGTCAGATGCCAGCACGGCCGTGTGAATTTCCTGGGTGTGGAGTCACAGGTGGACCTGCGGGAGACGTCCTTACTCTTTGGAGGTGCTCCCTGGATTTCTTGATGTCTGCAACCCTCTCCCATGTGGTTCCCCAAAAACACATTTACAGGGCCAGGTGCAGTGGCTCATGCCTGTAATCCCAGCACTTTGGGAGGCCGAGGTGCGCAGATCACCTGAGGTCGAGAGTTCGAGACCAGCCTGACCGATATGGGGAAACCCTGTCTCTACTAAGAATACAAAAATTAGGCGGGCTGTGGTGGCACGTGCCTGTAATCCCAGCTACTCAGGAGGCTGAGGCAGGAGAATCACTTGAATCCCGGAGGTGGAGGTTGCAGTGAACTGAGATCGTGCCACTGCACTCCAGCCTACGCAACAGAGGGAGACCCTGTCTCAAAAACAAAAACAAAAATAAATACAAAAACATTTATAGGAGAGAGGGGGTGGGAGGAGGCCCATGGATCTGAACGGGGGCACACAGGAGAGGGGGTGGGAGGAGGCCCATGACATCTGAACCGGGGCACACAGGGCTTCATGCATCCCCCAACTTCGCCCCAGCCCCCATTTCTCAACTTTTCTTTCTCTGGCCGCTAGATGTCTCTGTGTTGTCCAACCAGGAAGTGGTTTTCTTTTTCTTCTTTTTTTTAATAGAGACGGGGATCTCACTGTGTTGCCCAGGCTGGTCTCAAACTCCTGACCTCAAGTGATCCACCCACCCCGGCCTCCCAAAGTGCTAGAATTACAGGTGTGAGTCACCGTACCCAGCCTTCATTTTTAAAAAATGCTTAAAGTTTCTAGGATGGTGAATTAAACTTTGCCCTTCCTCTCTGACCCTCCTCTCTCCCACCCTGTGTTAAGGTGGCCTTTTCTGAAACGAGCTGCTTCTCTGGTTTCCCCGGGGACCGCCCAGCCCACTTGACCTCTGCAGCAAAGCGTTTTCCACCAGATGGGTCTCTGCTGCCCTCCCGTGGCCATCGGCAGTAGCGCGGACCAGGCCAACTGGTGGGCAGACACCTGACACGGGTTTTGAAATGGTCTCTCCTGTCCTAGTAGAGCTGGGTCCGCAAAGACACAGAACCAATCGGACAGCGATTTACTTAAGGGATTGGCTCACATGACACACAGAAGACCCTCCGGGAGGCTGGCGCATGAAGGAATTAATTCACCAAGGGGATAATCCAAAACTCTCTCCAGGACCTGGCTGTTCAGCTGGAAAGTTAAAACACAACCCTCAAAGGGGCCGGGCACAGGGGCTCATGCCTATAATCCCAGCACTTTGGGAGGCCGAGGTGGGTGGATCACCTGAGGTCAGGAGTTTGAGACCAGCCTGGTCAACATGGTGAAACCCCCATCTCTACTAAATATACAAAATTTAGCCGGGCATGGTGGCGGGCACCTGTAATCCCAGCTACTTGGGAGGCTGAGGCAGGAGAATTGCTTGAACCCGGGAGGGGGAGGTTGCAGTGAGCCGAGATCTCACC
Organism: Homo sapiens; assembly: GCF_000001405.40. NCBI lineage: Eukaryota > Metazoa > Chordata > Mammalia > Primates > Hominidae > Homo > Homo sapiens. Next base: position 85,114,584 of record NC_000016.10, on the reverse strand, counting down.
ATTGCACTCCAGCCTGGGCTACAAGAGCAAAACTCCGTCTCAACAAACAAACAAACAAAACAAACAAAACCACAGCCCTTAGGACCGACAACCCAAAATTGCAACAGAGCAGAGCATTTACGTGAGGTGGACGTGGGGGGAGGTGATGGGGTGGAGGAGTGTGTTGGAGGAGGGGAAAGGGCAGGGGTGAGGTCAGGGGGCTCTGGAGAGACCCTGTGGGGTAGACCATAGGACGGCTTGCTCTCTTTGGACCCTGTGTGAGTGTCCTGGGGCTCCCATAGCAAAATTACCCCAAACTGGGGGCTTAAAATGACAGTAGTTTCTTCTCTCCTAGTTCTGGGGCCACAGAGTCCGAAATCAAGGATCTACGGAGGCTGCTGCAGTCCCTCCGGAGGCTCCGGGGCTGTCTCCGGCTCCTGGCAGCTCTCCGTGCTCCTGGCTCACACTGCGCCGCTCCCGTCCCTGCCCCATGGCCGCATGGCCATCTCCCCCGGGTGTGTCTCTGTCTCCTCTTCCCATGAGGACCCCGGTGGTGGGATCAGGGCCCACCCTCCTCCGGTGCGACTCAGCCAATCACATCTGCAGCCACCCTGTTTCCAAATAAGGCCACACTCTGAGGTCCCCAGGGAGACATACATTTGGGGGGACACTCTCCCACCCAGCACAGCCCCCAAGAGTGAAGGAAGCAGAGAGCAGGAGAGGGACTTGACTGGCGCTCAGCGACGGCTGCACGGCACAAAGGGGACACAGGACCCCACCACCCCACAGCTTGGCACAGAAAGGGAGGAGCCACGCTGACTGTGGAACCCCAGGGGGCTACTTAGAGCCATCCCGTGGGAGGTTGTGGGGGTTCATGCCCCAGACAGAGAATGGGGACCCAGCAGGGACAGAGCTGGGGTGGTCCATGCGTTGTTCGGGGACTCCGGGGAACACAGGGCAGGGCATCTGCAAAGGGACGATTGGAGAGAGTGTGACGATGAGATCACTGGAGAAGCGTGAGGAGGGGCCAGCCAGCCGGCACAGCCCAGTGGGCACCTGGGGATCGGTCACAGAGGGAAGCCGCCACCAGCCTGGGCCTGTGCACTGGGAATTTCAATGAGTTCTGGGTCCCCGCCCCAGCCTCTGTGTCTGTCCCTTCGCCCCCATGCCAGGGACTTACTTCTCCTAACTGAGTACTGTCATGAGCCCATTCTGCAGGGGAGGGGACTGAAGCCCAGAGAGGTCAGGGGACTTGCCCAAGGTCACACAGCAGAGCGGGGTCTGGGATTTGAACCTGTATTTAGCTGACCCTGAAGTCCTTGCTTTTATATATGCTTTAAAAACAAAACAAAACAAAAAACCCTTTCCATTTCCATAATGAAAGCCTCCAAACATACAAAGTAACAGAACGGCAGAGTAAGGCCTGGGCCGCTTCCTCTGCCCGCCTCCCATCCCCGTTCCTTACTGTCGTGATTTTTATGTTTCTTTTCTGAAGGTAAAGTGTCTATACATTGAGACATAGAAATCATACCATTAGTGGAATGTATTGGACTTGAGCTAGTCAATCTGACATGTGCATTTATATTTTCTTTCTGTGGTATCTTAATTATCTTACTTTACTAACAGTGAGCAGATAATGCTTTTATAATAAGGGAAAAAACAATGCAATTATGATAAAAACGTGAAAGACGCTCCTTTGAGCTGGTTCCTTGCCCCACCCTGGGGAGCCCGAGTTTACTCTGTGTGTCTGCACCCCCCACCTGAGCTTTTCCATGTCCCGCCCACCTGAGACTAGACCCCAGAAAGGCCAGTGGCAGGCTCGGGGCAGGCAGCTTCCCTGAAGGGAGGGAGGAGCCCAGTGGGCAGGACCCACACATGTGGCCGCACGCAGGCCTGAGCCCCCTAAATCTCTCCCTGCTACCTCCTGGGGAGCCCCAGCCACTAGCCCCATTCCACAAGAGCCTCCATCTTCAAAGGGAGAGTGTGGGCCTCTGTGGGGTGCCCTCTTCTCTCAGCAGCTCCTGAGCCAACGCGAGGCTGGGGAGGCCGGCCTCAGGGAGGCATTGCCCGGGCGACCGGCTCCTCCTAGGGCCTGCCGTGGGCGGCCCCATCGCCTAGCAACCGGGTGGCAGCGTCCCTTGAGCCCAGGCCACACAGCTGCACCCAGCCCTGCCCGGCTCCTCCCAGGCCTGCAGGACCCCTGGGGCCCTGTCCTTATTCCCCAGCACCGGGACAGCCAAAGCTCTGGTCACAATGAACATCGTCTTCTCCAGGTGAGTGGGCCAGCGCCAGCCTGGCTGTGAGGGAGGTGGAAGTCGGGTTTTGAGGCCCGGGGCACCAACAAAGATGAGGGCAGCAGGGCCTGCTGCTTGGGGTGGGGGTTGGGGGTGAGGGGAGCTCTCCCTCCCACGGTGCCTCCACCTCCATCCAGCTCAGGGAAGACAGGGCTTGGGACTACAGAAGCTTCCAGAATCTGGCCTCCGTCTGCTTCTCCAGCATCGCTGCCTGTGTATCTGGAGGAGTCAAATTCATCCCCTTTCCTTTCTCGCCTCCACCTGGAAAACCCCCATCACACCTCAACCCCAACCAGGCCTCCCCCTTCTGTGGGGACCCAGTCCACACTGCCCCGGCCCATGCCATCCCTGCTCTCACAACCTGCCTGCCCTGCCCCGTTCATTTCCACGCCTGGTTCCTCTGAGGTTCGAATTCCAGGCAACCTCTCAAGCAACCAATGTGTTTTTATCTTTTATTTTTTTGAGATGGACTCTCACTCTGTAGCCCAAGCTGGAGTGCAGTGGTGCCATCTCGATCTCGGCTCACTGCAACCTCCATCGCCTGGGCTCAAGCGATTCTCATGCCTCAGCCTCCCAAGTAGCTGGGACTACAGGCGTGCTATTACGCCCGGTTAATTTTTTGTATTTTAGTAGAGACGGGGTTTCACCATGTTGCCCAGGGTGGTCTTGAACTCCTGAGCTCAGGCAATCTGCACACCTCGGCCCCCCAAAGAGCTGGGATGACAGGCGTGAGCCACTGTGCCCAGCCTGGATGTGTTTTTAAAACGCAGCTTCTCAGGCCCCCTCCCAGGGATTCTGGTGCACATGCCTGGGGTCGGGGGCCTAGGAGCCCCAGTGTCTGACTTCTGACCCCTGTGCTGCTGAATCAGGGGCTGTGAGGACCCTACCTGCGGGAACAGAGGCTGTGTCTGGCTGTGTGACCGGTAGCAAGATGCTTCACCTCTCTGGGCCTCAGTTCACTGCATTTTCACATGGTGATACCAGCAGCACCTTGCTTATAGGGCGGTGCATGTGGAGTGTTTTGCAGTGAGGGTGGCAAGAGAGTTAGGGTCTGTCGGGACAGAGGGCTGCTCCTCAGGGCGTTTCTCGAGTCAGGGATTTGATGAGAGGGTTGCACGGGGGACTTTGGTCACAGGGAGAGAGGCAGGGACAGTTACACGCTGGGGATGAGGGAAAGGAGAGGGCGTGAGGAGGCCCAGGAGAGGCCAGGCCTCCCTGGCTGTCGTAGAAGCCTGAATGCGGTGGATCAGTCATCGCGCACCTGCTGCAGGGGGGCGCCGGATTGGGAGCCCTTAAAGGTGAGTTGGGGCCGAACGTGGTGGCTCATGCCTGTCATCCCAGCACTTTGGGAGGCCAAGGCAGGCAGATCACCTGAGGTCAGGAGTTCAAGACCAGCCTGGCCAACATGGTGAAACCCTGTCTCTACTAAAAATACAAAAATTAGCCAGGCATGGTGGCAGGCGCCTGTAATCCCACCTACTCAGGAGGCTGAGGCAGGAGAATTACTTGAAACCAGGAGGCAGAGGTTGCAGTAAGCCAAGATCATACCACTGCACTCCAGCCTGGGTGACAGAGCAAGACTCTGTCTCCAAAAAAAAAAAAAAAAAGGCCAGGTCTGCAGCCAAGCCCGCATTTATATTCCTGCCCACTACTGACCAGCCCAGGCAGATCCCCCTCATCAGCCTCAATGGCCGTGATGCTGCCACCTTGAGTGACAGCCTGTGGCATGTGCGTGCCACACCAGAGGCCGGCTGGTGGCAGCTCCTGTTTTCATAGCTATTGTCTGCTCTTGGCATGACCGGGGCCCTGCATCTCTGCCCAGAATGGCTGCTCAGGTCCCCGCCTCCACAGGGACAGCCAGGTGAGGGTGATGGAGAATACCGTGGCCAACACCGAGAAGTACTTTGGGCAGTTCTGCTCGCTGCTGGCCGCCTACACGCGCAAGACGGCCCGGCTGCGGGACAAGGCGGACCAGCTGGTCAAGCAGCTCATCGACTTTGCCAACTCCGAGAACCCCGAGCTGCGGGCCACCATGAGGGGCTTCGCTGAGGACCTGGCCAAAGTGCAGGATTACCGGCAGGCCCAGGTGAGTGCTGCCGGCCCGGGTCTGGGATGCTGAGGGGTACCCAGGCTCCAATGCCAAGGTCAGGCCTGAGGGCTGCAGGAGCCCTGCTGTGGCCACAGCCAATGGGTGTGTCTCCAGAGACATCCACCGACAATGGACATTTACACCCTTTCCAGGGTCACACCTCCACCTGCAGGATTGAGAGCCTAGGAGGCTTTGCTGAGTCGGATGAAGGGTCAACAAAGCAAGGAAACCCAGGAAGCCAGCCCTGGGGGCTCCATGAACCCCCGAAGGAGACACATCCAAGGCCTATGAGGGCCTCGGGAAGGAACAGAAATCCTGGTGGGGAGTCAGGGGCAAGGAGGCTGCAGGGTGTTCAGGAAATAATTAAAAATAGAAATTCCTGCCAGCCCAGAAAACTCCTCACCATGAATTGTAGAAAAGAATAAAAAAGGGCCAGGTGCTCACACCTGTAATCTCAGCACTCTGGGAGGCCTAGGTGGACAGACTGTCTGAGCCCAGGAGTTTAAGATCAGCCTAGGAAACATAGCAAGACTCCATCTCTAAAATAAATAAATAAGCAGCTGTGGTCCCAGCTACTCAGAAGGCTGAGATAGGAGGATCATTTGAGTCTGGAAGGTCGAGGCTGGGGCCATGATCATGCCTCTGCACTCTAGCCTGGGAGACAGTACAAGACTTTATCTCAAAAAATACCAAAAAACAAAGAATGGAACAGCTTTACAATTGAGTAAGCTTTAAACCAGATAGCAACGCATGTCATGGGCAGTCCAAGAAAGATCGCACAGACAGAAACGGCACTCTCTTCTCCAGGCAGGCAGACACAACCCACGATGCCCATGTTCTCAAGACAGATGACAACTGTCCCCCAGTAAGAGGCCTTGACAACCCCATTTCTCACCAGTACATCCTACTTTCACCTGGTAACGGGGTGGCCACCTGTACTAGCTAATTATCTTTATTTTATTAAAAAAAAAATTTTAAGAGATGGGGTTTCGCCATGTGGCCCAGGCTGGTCTTGAACTCCTGGGGTCAAGCTGTCCTCCCACCTCGGCCACCCAAAGTGCTGGGATTACAGGCATGAGCCACCATGCCTGGCCTAGTTAATTACCTTTAACCAAAGGAAAAATAAAACTTCTCACGGCTCTGTGACAAGCAGGTGGCAGAACTTGGAGCCAGGAGCCTACCCTAAACTCCCACGGAGACCAGAGGAAGACCAGGGCACCAGGAGACAGGGTGCCATCTTCCTTGATGTCTACGCGTTCACAGAGACGGCTCCTGGCCCTCACAAAGACATTCCCGATTGTAAAATTGGCAAGAGGCTGCTTTAGTTTTTTGTTGTTTTTTGTTTTCTGAGATGGAGTCTCGCTCTGTTGCCCAGGCTAGAGTGAAGTGTCGCAATCTCAGCTCACTGCAACCTCCAGCCTTGCAGGTTCAAGCGATTCTCCTGCCTCAGCCTCCCAAGCAGCTGGGACTAGAGGCATGCACCACCATGCCCAGCTAATTTTTTGTATTTTTAGTAGAGACGGGGTTTCACCATGTTGGCCAGGCTGGTCTTGAACTCCTGACCTCAGGTGATCTGCCCGCCTCGGCCTCCCAAAGTGCTGGGATTACAGGCGTGAGCCATCGCGCCCGGCCCCACTGTGACTCTCAATAAAGTCTTGTCCCCAAAGCAAGGCTCAGTTTTCTCATCCGCAAAGTGGGTTTGTCATCGCCACCCTGTGTGGCAGTTGGGAGACGGGGCCAGGGCTGTCGTGTAGAGAGACTGAGCACACACCAGGGGCCTGTCCTGCCCTCCTCAGTGATGACACTCCCTGAGTTCTGGGCCAGGCACCATCTTCCTACTGTCCTGAAACCCTGGTAGGTGCATCCATGACCTCATTTGACAGGTGAGGAAATGAGGCTTCGAGAGACTGAATGCGTTGCTGGAGCCCTCGGGAGGCAGAGCCGGGCCCTGAACCCAGCTCCGTGCCTCCAACACACCGGGAAAAGGGAGGGCACCTCGCGCTCCACCTCCCGCCGCACAGCTCTGGACACGCGGCTCCCGGGTGCCGGCTCTGCTTTATATGCCCAGGCTGGAGGCAGGCAGCACCCTGCGCTCAGATCCCCTGGTGTCCCCGCTCCCCCAGGTCGAGAGGCTGGAGACCAAGGTGGTCAACCCCCTGAAGCTCTACGGGGCACAGATCAAGCAGACACGGGTGAGCCGGGGCACCTCGGTGTGGGTGGCATCCCTGTCTTGCCCTGTGGGATCCCAGGAAACAACCCTCCTCCTTTTCTGCAGGCTGAGATCAAGAAATTCAAACATGTCCAAAATCATGAGATCAAACAACTGGAAAAACTGGAGAAACTGAGGCAGAAGTCACCCTCGGATCAGCAAATGATCGTATCCTTCCCTGGAAGTGGGGCCTGGGGCTGCCGGGCCAGGGTGTCCACTCACACTGATGTCTTCTGAGGTTTTCTTTGCCTGGGCCCGCTGGGCAGGGGCTGTGAAGGGGGCGGACCACCCCAACGGGGCTGCCTGGGCTTAACTTGGTTCCTTAACAGCACGTTTTTCAGTCCCAGGTGAGTGTCACATGTCTGTCTGGGGCAGGCAGAATCACACGTAGGAAATACACGACCTCACAAAACGGCCAGGTAGACTTTACCTGGTCTGAAGCAGGTGTGTGCAGGACCTTGCGCTCAGGTTGGGAAAGCCAAAGGTACCAGTAAAAAGGGGCTCTGGGGGTCTGGAGACCTGGGCTCTGTCCCATTATTGATACCATCAGTCCCTCCATGGGCCTCGGTTTCCCCTCCAGTTACCTGTTTAATGCTCACATCAGGTGGGCACTGCTAGCCTCATCCCCATCGTCTACAGGAGGAAACCAGGGCTCACAGAGACACAGTTATGGGAGCTCGTGGGGCACAGCAGGTGGAAGGGACCCCGCATGCTGTCTGTCTTACTGTCCTGCCCCGTGGGAAAGATGCAGGGGCCGGGAGGTAGAGTGAGAGCTGGAGGAGGGCTAGTCACCGCTGCTGTATGTGTAACTGATTTGTGACTGAGTGTGTGACCTCATCCAAAGAGTGCCCCCCCCCTTTTTTTTGAGAGACAAAGTCTCGCTCTGTTGCCTAGGCTGGAGGGCAAGTGGCAGAGTCTCGGCTCACTGCAACCTCCGCCTCCAGGGTTCAAGCGATTCTCCTACCTCACCCTCCCCAACAGCTGGGATTACAGGTGCCCACCACTGTGCCTGGCTAATTTTTATATTTTTAGCAGAGACGGGGTTTTGCCATGTTGGCCAGGCTGGTCTTGAACTCCTGACCTCAGGCGATCCACCTGCCTCAGGCCTCCAACATGCTGGGATTACAGGCCCAGCCACAAAGAGTGCCCCTTGATGGAGCTAAGTCAGCGGTCCTCACCTGGGGGCATTTCACTCTCTGGCGATGTTTCTGGCTCAGGATTGGAGAGCTCTGCTAGAAAGTGTTAAGTTCTTCCCACTGTTGTGAAAAATGACGACGGACTCTCACCGTTCAGGAGGTTAGAGGTTCACCGTGGGCCCACTGGGCCAAATCAAGGTGTGGAAAGGGCTGGTTCCTTCTGGAAGTTCCAGGGAGAGTCTGCGCCCTCGCCTTTTCCAGCTTCCAGAGGCCACGCACATCCCTTGGCTCATGGCCCCTCCCCTGTCTTCAAGCTGGCAGCCTGCACCTTCCCTCTGTAGTCACATCTTTCCCCTGACCTGCCCGCCTCCCTCTTCCACTTGAAAGGACCCTTTGATTGCACTGCTTGTAGCAGATAATCCAGGATCATCTCCCATGGCAAGGATGGCTGATTAGCAACCTTCATTCCACCTGCTACCCTAAGTCCCCGATGCCTTGGAAGGGGCATATTGACAGGTGCCAGGGATTAGGATGCAGACATCTTTGGGGGGCCGTTTATCCTACCTACCACCTGGCATCCAGTGGGAAGAGGCCAGGGATGCTGGATGCCGCTAAACCTCCCACAGGGCCCCGGACACTAGTGCTGAGCGTGGGGAGTCCTGACCTACACGAATGTGGGTCACAGCCCTGCCCGAGCACCTCCGGATTCTATCCTGGATCCCACCTGGGTCACCCACCGTCTCTGCAGCCATTTATTTGAGTGACAACAGCTTTCCCTTCTTTCCTGAGGGCTTCCTAGATGCCAGCCCCCAGCTGTCTCTTCCCATCTCAGGCGTTTCACAAACACGAAGGTGGTTTTAAGTCCCCATTTTAAAGAGGAATCTGAAACCAAGAAAGGTGACTTACCCAAGGTCACACAGGCAGTTAAGTGGCAAATTTCAAACGCAGCTCCAAGGTGTTTGACTCTAAAAGCCAGATTCTTCATGTCTGGGCTTGGCATGGAGTAAGCGTCTATAGATGTTGATCAAAGGAACGAAAGAGTTAATTACCTAAATGTGTTCCTCATGCAGAAATTAATTATCAATGAACGTGGAGCACCTGTCCTAAGGGCTCAGCAGGTGCTGCTGTTTAATTTCTACAACAGCCCTGCTAAGCAAGTCTCATTACTGTCTTCTGTTTACAAGCATGGAAATTGAGGCTCAGAGAGGGTAAGTGACTTGCCTGAGGTCACACAGCTAGCAAGCAGGTGTGTCTCACTCCAGTGACTGCTCCTTCAGCCGGGGTCCTACTCAGCCATTCCTTTGATGACCCAATTAGCAAGAAACGTCCCTTGAGGCAGGAGAACTGGCCTGAGAGAAGGGTTTAGAGACAGAGTGATTCAGAAAGGTGTCTAAGGGCCAGAAGCACCCCCATGACACTTTCTACGTCTTGTGTCCCTGGGGCCAGGCAGAGACCAGAGTGCAGAGGGCCGCTGTGGACTCCAGCCGCACCACCCTCCAGCTGGAGGAGACTGTGGATGGCTTCCAGAGGCAGAAGCTCAAGGACCTGCAGGTGAGGGTGGTTGGCCGGGATGGGAGGCGCCCTGGGCTGCCTTGTGTGTGTGTGCATGCACGTGTGTACACGTGTCTGTGTGCATGCTTCAGCATGAGTGTGTATGGGTCTGTGTACACGTGTGAGCACTGGAAGGCGTGAGTGAGCTTATGCCCACACAGGCTCCCGGCACAGTTAATCCTGGCCACAGGGCATCAGAGGCTGGTGCTCAGGGCAGCTGTCCCAGCACAGCCGGAAGCCACTGGGTGGCCCTAGGTCCAGCTCCTAGCCAGGAAGAGTTTGTCTGCCTCCACACACACTCCCCACTTCCTCTTCACACAGGATGGCTCTAACCTCTTTTTCTCCTCACAGCTCTAAACCCCCTCCCTGAACAAGCCACGTGAAGGCCCAGCAGCTGGGTGTGGGTGCCTTCCTCCTGCCACCCAGATCCCCACCCCAGCACCACAAAGCCCCGGGCCCAGAGCCCCAGCTCTTACAAAAGGAGCTCAGAGAGGCGGGGTCTTTTGGTACTAGCTGATCGCAGAGATTCCTTCCCCATCTCTTGAGCCCTCGCTAGTCCATTCTCCAAAGGTGCACACCACCATGGGGATTTTATTTTATTTTATTTTTTTTAGATGGAGTCTCACTTGGTTGCCCAGGCTGGAGTGCAATGGTATGATCTCCACTCACTGCAACCTTCGCCTCCCGGGTTTAAGTGATTCTCCTGCCTCAGCCTCCCAAGTAGCTGAGATTATAGGCACGTACCACCACGCCCAGCTAATTTTTGTATTTTTAGTAGAGATGGGGGGAGGTGGTCTCACCATGTTGGCCAGGCTGGTCTCGAACGCCTGACCTCAATTGATCCACCCACCTTGGCCTCCTAAAGTGCTGGGATTATAGGTGTGACCCACCGCGCCTACCCCAGGGATCTCTTAAAAGGCAGGTCCAATTCATCATCGCTGGGCTGAGCACCCTCTGGTGGCTCCCCTTGTTCTAAGGATTAGAACCAAAATCCCTTCCAGGCTCCTGAAGCCCTGGCTCAGGCCTGCGGCCTCATCCTGCCTGCGGCACTCCAAGCTCCAGTGCACAGAGCCCATTCCTACCCGAGGCCTTTGCAGGGTTGTGCCTTGATCTGCGTCCAGTCGGTGCCTCCTTCTCCTTCGGCTTCAACCTCATTCTTTGGGGAAAGTCACCCGGACCCAAGACTGGTCAGGCCCCTTGTTTATACACCCTACTCTGCTCCCACGGGGCTGCCATCCCAGGTGGAATGGTTAATTGTGTATTCAATTCACGTGTTACTTTAACAAGTGTGGAATGCACACCTACTGCGTGCCAGGTGCTGTGCCTGATGCTGGGTACACCATGCCCAACATACAAGGTCCCTGAGCTCACGGAGTTGACACCGTTGGGGCGGGAGGAGATGGACGGATCATGTGGTTTGTGGTGTGCTGTGTGCCATCCATCACATTCATCACGTCGTGGAGCAGAGAAGCCTGTGAGGTCACTGTGTGACACACTGCATGTCAGTGCCACAGGACAGGACCCCTGCCGAATCCCAGCCACCAGGGTCCAGGGCCTGGCACCTAGTGGGTATTCAGTAAATGCTTGTGGAATGAACGAATGAGTGAACGCCTGCATGAATGAATGCACAAGGGAATGAAGCGTCAGTGATTAGTGCTCACGCTGCCTACATGGCAAGGAGAAACTGAAACAGTCGGCAGACGTTATTCAGCACCTGATGTGTCTGGGGCTGGGTGGGCAGCACCAGGGAGCATGGACCACACGGTTCTCCAGGTCAGGGGCCAACAGAAGCACAGCTTAAAAGTGGGAGTGCTTTCAAGTTCTGGGATTAAATTTGTAAGAGATGTGAATCCAAACCATGCCTTGAAAGCCCTTCACATTTCAAAAGAGATAAAAGCAAGAACTTGAGCTAATCATCACCACCTGTCTTAGTCCATCCAGCCTGCGCCAACACAACACTTTAAGCTGGGTGATTTATAAACAACAGAAGTTTATTTCTCACGGTGTTGGAGGCTGGGGAGTCCAAGACCGAGGCTCCAGCAGATTCAGCATCCGAGGAGGGCCTGTTCCCCATGGCTGGTGCCTGCTATGAGTCCGCATGTGGCAGAAGGGGCAGAAAAGCTCCCTCCAGTCTTTTTTACAAGGGCACTAATCCCATTCATGAAAGTGGAGCCCTCCTGCGGATCACTTGAGGTCAGGAGTTCGAGACCATCCTGGCCAACATTGTGAAACCCTGTCCCTACTAAAAAATACAAAAATTAGCCAGGCGTGGTGGCACACATCTGTAATCCCAGCTACTCAGGAGGCTGAGGCAGGAGAATCGCTTGAACCCGGGAGGCGGAGATTGCAGTGAGCCGAGATCACACCACTTCACTCCAGCTTGGGTGACAGAGGGAGACTCCATCTCAAAAAAAAAAAAAGCCTCCTGTGAAGAGATCTCCAGGACCGATTGTTAGCAGGGGAAAAGCAAGCTCAGACCAGAGTGAAAAAGGGAGAAGAGAAGAGAATACTGGCTTATCTAAGGAAACAAGGCGGGAATACACAGAAACTTCTCAACGTGATCTCAGGAGGCAGAGGGGAAGTGAAAGAAGGGAACAGGATGGAGGATGGAGAGCAAGTCTCCTCAGTTGACACTTTGGCATACTTTATATTTATTTATTTATTTACTTATGTACTTAGTAGAGACAGGATTTCACCATGTTGCCCAGGCTGGTCTTGAACTCCTGGGCTCAAGTGATTCTCCTGACTCGGCCTCTTAAAGTACTGAGATTACAGGCATAAGCCACTGTGCCTGACCAATAGTTTTGATTTTTGAACCATGCAAATGTGTTCTCTATGAAAGAAAAATAAGTTTAAAATAACATGTCGAAACTCCCCACCTGGGGCCTGTCCCCACACGGACAGCCCTCCACACCCCCACCCCATCTGCCTGCATCCCAGGCTTCCCTGGGCTCTTTCTCACTGCGATGCTTACATTCTTTGGGTTTCTCTCCCCACAGAAATTTTTTTGTGACTTTGTAACTATTGAGATGGTTTTCCATGCCAAAGCGGTGGAGGTGTATTCTAGCGCCTTCCAGACCCTGGAGAAGTATGACCTGGAGAGGGATCTACTGGTGAGTCACAGACACCCCGTTTCCTATATGGTGGAGTGGGGCAGAGTTTCATTTTGGTTTTGTCTTGATAGAAGTCGTTTTTGTTGGTAACATTTCACAACTTTTCTAACTTTGAAGACTCATGCTGATGAAGCGTTGTCAATATCTGCCCCTGGGTGGGTGCCAAAGTGAGGATAATTTTTCTTAATGCTATTTGGAACATCAACATATTCATCATCACTGGGGTGTTTAAAAACAAATGGATCGGCGGGGGCATGGTGGTTCACGCCCGTAATCCCAGCACTTTGGGAGGCCGAGGTAGGCGGATCACCTGAGGTCAGGAGTTCGAGGCCAGCCTGGCCAACATGGTGAAATTCTGTCTCTACTAAAATACAAAATTAGCCAGGCGTGGTGGTGGGCACCTGCAATCCCAGCTACTCGGGAGGCTGAGGCAGGAGAATCGCTTGAACCCGGGAGGTGGAGGTTGCAGTGAGCCGAGATCGTGCCACTGCACTCCAGCCTGGGCGACAGAGCGAGACTCCATCAAAAAAAAAAAACAAAAACAAAAAAACACAAATGGATCAACAACAATAAAAAGCATTTCCTGGCTGATGCTTGATGTAGTTTTGAAATAGAAAGAAGTGCTTTTTATCCCCTTCTGATCTGGTTAAAATCTAGAATGAGCTGTTTGCGTTATCTGTAACACCCTTCCGCAAGCCTAGTATTGTAAAGCAACAATCAGTTATCATGATTCTTTTCTGTGGGTCTGGGGTTGATGGGGCTCACGTGGGCAGTTCTCAGGTGGAGGCTTCATGTGGCTGCCATTGGTCAGAGGCTGGGGCTGTCTTTTCTTAGCTTTCCTCCCTCATGTCTAGCAGAAGGTGGCTGTCATCTGAGCACAGGACAGGCCACGAGATTTGCAGGGCCCACTGCAAAATGAAAATGTGGGGCGTATCAACAATTACTAAGATCTCCACGACAGCAGCATCAGAGTGCTAAGCCAAGCACAGGGTCCTTCTGGGTGTGGAGCCCCAGGCAACTGTGTGAGCTACACCCCACAAAGCCTGCCATCCCTGGGTCTTCCTCGGGGTCTACGGCCACAGTGGCTGCCCACGGCTTTTCCATGGGGCCTGGGCTTCCTCACAGCAGCTGGTTCCAAGAGGGAGTGTCACCATTTTTTTTTTTTTTTGAGACGGAGTCTCGCTGTGTCGCCCAGGCTGGAGTGCAGTGGCACTATCTCGGCTCACTGCAACTCCGCCTCCCAGGTTCAAGCCATTCTCCTGCCTCCGCCTCCCGAGTAGCTGGGACTACAGGCGCCCTCCATCACGCCCAGCTAATGTTATGTATTTTTAGTAGAGACGGGGTTTCACCGTGTTAGCCAGGATGGTCTTGATCTCCTGACCTCATGATCTGCCCGCCTCGGCCTCCCAAAGTGCTGGGATTACAGGTGTGAGCCACCGCGCCCGGCACTCAATCACCTTTTATGACCTAACTTCAGCAGTAACCCAGTGTGGCTTTGCCATATTCCATTTGTTAGAAGTGAATCTCTGAGGCTGCCTGTATTCAAGGGGAGAGGAGTTTGATTCCAGCTCCTGATGGGGGAAGCATCAGATCATCTGAGTTACCAGTAAGCCTTAAAACTACCATGAGGTTTGATGCAGGTCAGAGGGGCTCTCTCGCATTCACTCACTTCACAATATTCTTTTTAGGGGAAAGGGGGATCTCGAATCCTGCTGTTATCCTGTGTGACGATGGTCATGTTACCTGGCCTCTCTGGGCCTCTCCCATCTGTAAAATGGGGTGATAATGCCCACTCACCGGGCTGCTGTAGATTATGTGAAATAAGAAACAGGAAGCTCCTGGAGAGGACCGTGGAGTTCCATGAGCATTAGCTGTCTCGGGCCTTCTCGTCCCCACCGTCTTTCCATCCCACTCCCCCAACCCACGCTGTGTTTTCCCATCGGATCCCACCCACCCTGGTCTCTCCCCGGCAGGATTTTAGAGCCAAGATGCAAGGAGTTTATGGGCATTATGACACTCGGCTGCTTGCCAACACCAGCCCCCCTCCATCTGTTCTTCAGTCTCTCGCCAGCCAGGTGAGCGTGTGGGTGGGTGAGGGGTTACACCTAAAATGTCGTGCACGGCCTGGAAGGCCCGTGGTAGTAACCCCAGGGATTAGAGGAGGGTGGCTGAGAACTCGAATTTGAAATGGGAGGCTGAGGAGGCAGGGGTGGTGGGAGCATGGAGGGCTGCCCGGGGGTCTGACCAGAACTTTGCCTTGAAGTAGAATGAAGCTGGGCACGGTGGCTCATGCCTATAATCCCAGCACTTTAGGAGGCTGAGGTGGGAGGATCACTTGAGGTCAGGAGTTCGAGACCAGCCTGGCCAAAATGTTGAAACCCCCATCTCTACTAAAAAAAAAAAAAAAAAAAAAAAAGCAAAAATTAGCCGGGTGTGGTGGTGTATGCCTGTAATCCCAGCTACTTGGGAGGCTGAGGCAGGAGAATCGCTTGAGCCCAGGAGGCAGAGGTTGCAGTGAGCCGAGATCGTACCATTGCACTCCAGCCCGGGTTACAGAGCGAGACTCTGTCTCAGGAAAAAAAAAAAAAAAGTAGAATCAATGAAGCCACGTCACCCAGTGTGGTAGGCCACACGGTCCCTGCCGTGGCTGCCATGGGTCCTGAGCACTCCCTGGAGGCACTCTGAGGTATTGCCACTTGAGAAACAGAGGCCCCCAGTCAGGTCCACACCTCCATCCCAGCCCGTGGGCCCGCGGGTTCCAGAATCCAGGGTTCCTCAGAGGTTAGGGAGGTGATTAGGTACATACATTAGATGTTACCTTACAGCCCCAGGAAGGCCTGCCATCAGGTGCATTTATATTTCTGCAGGGAACTCTGCAGGTCCAGCTGAGTAGGGCAAATGAAGACCCTGAACATCCTCATGCCAATCATGGCAGGTTTAGTCTCTGTGAGTGGGTGGTTAAGGGGCAGCCAGCCCACTGTGTGTGTGGGCAGGGTGGGCATCTCATGCTTCCAGGACATTCTCTCTAACGACGTAGGGTAAGTGCAATCCCAAGCCGTTTAAAATAATCCCAGACTGCCTGGAGGCTTTGTTCTTATTTTCTGATTCTTTTTTCTTTGTCTTTGTTGGATTGTGTTAATTCAAAGACCTTGTCTTCAAGCTCTGAATTTCCTTCTTCTACTTGTTCAATTCTGTTGCTGAGACTTTCCAGAGCATTTTGCATTTCTGTGAGTGTATCCAATGTTTCCTGAAGTTTTGATTGTTTTTCTTTATGCTATCTATTTCTTGGTCCGAGCCCACTGCTCCCGGCGGTGTGACCTTGGGAAAGTCTCCTAGCCTCTCTGTGCCTTAGAGTCCTCGCCTGCAGAGTGGCTTAGAACAGTAACCTCCGTGTAGGGCTGTGCTGAGTATCAGATGAACAGATCTATACGAAGCACAGAAAACCCGGCCTGTTGCGCAACAAACACTTGAGACTTGTTGCTGCCATTATCATTACTGATGTTGCTGTCGTTTTATTATTATTATTATTTAGAGTGCTCAGAGCACCATATGGAGCCCAGGAAAAGAAGGGGAGGAGAGTGAGGACAACTCCATGGAGGAGGCCCCCGTGGAGGACCTCAGGGCACTGGGGCAGGGACCCCATAAGAGAGAACTGCCCACAACAGTCAGAAGAACTTAGCTGGCCTTGGATCCTCAGGTGGGCTCTGCTGTGTGCCCTCAGGCAAGCCACGTGTCCTCTGAGCCTCAGTTTCCTCATCTGTACAACAGGGCCAATATCACTCACTTCACAGGTTGCTCTGGGGGATCGCTGTGCCTGGCATATAGTAGGTGTTCAATAAATGCCCTGTGACTCTCAGCTTGATCCCGGCTCTCTCATTCTGCCTTTAGTCTGGGGGCTTGGGTGGGACGTGCCTGCCCCTGTGTTCATGTTGCAAGCACAGTAGATTCCTTTCCTGGGCTGCCTTGACAAAGCACCACTGCCTGGGCAGCTCAAACCACAGAAAATCACTCTCCTGTGTTCTGGAACCCAGAAATCTGCGAGCAAGGGGTCAGTAGGGCTGTTTCTTTTTGGAGGCTCAGAGGGAGCACCCATCCCAGGCCCCCTCCAGCTTCCAGTGGCTCCTGTCCTTGGCACGCCTGGGCTTGTAGCCACATCCCCCGGACCTGGCCTTCCTCTTCATGTGGTGTTCTCCCAGTGTGCACTTGAGCCTGTGTCCAAACCTCCCCCTCCTATAAAGGACGCCCATCATCAGAGGCCCACCTTACTCCAGGATGGCCTCATCTTGACTAATTATATCAGCAAGGACCCCATTTCCAAATAAGGTCACATTCTGAAGTATGGGGGCAGGTAGGACTTCAACATAGACCTTTGGGGGCAAAATTCAGCCCGTAACACATGGACGTGATGTGCAGGGATGCTCTTGGGACAAAGATTGTCACAGAAGTCCACAGAGGTCAGAGGGGGATGGAAGTGTAGAGAGGGTTGGGGTGTGTGGACTGGGGGGCTGTCTGCTGGGGCCCCTGGTGCACAGCCGGGGAGCTAATCCTCTGGACCGTCTCTGAGGGCAGCCGAGATGAGCCTGCTCCTCCCAGCCTGGCACGACTTGGTGACATTGAGGCTTGGTGGAGATGTCTGGGTCCTAGAACTGGCTTCCGTGGCCAGGCACGGAGGCTCACACCTGTAATCCCAGCGCTTTGGGAGGCCGAGGCAGGTGGATCACCTGAGGTCTGGAGTTTGAGACCAGCTTGGCCAACATGGTGAAACCTTATCTCTACCAAATATACAAAAAATTAGCCAGGCGTGGTGGCTTGCGCCTGTAATCCCAGGTACTCGGGAGGCTGAGGCAGGAAAATCGCTCGAACCAGCAGGGCAGAGGTTGCAGTGAGCCGAGATCGTGCCACAGCACTCCAGCCTGGGCAACAAAAGCAAAACTCCGTCTCAAAAAACAAACAAGCAAACAAAAAAAACTGGCTTCCGTGCTTCCCATGAGTGTGGCCATCTCTGTCCCTCAAGGCCACACACTGCCCAATGGTCCCGGGTTGGAAGGTGCACCTGGAGCCTGCAGATACAGGCTGGCTTCACTGATCCCAGCACCCCCAACGGGCCACCCCCGGTCGGGGGTCCCAGCATCTCAAAGCCAGAAAGCAGCTTGTCTCTGTTGAGACAACGGAAGCCAGTGAAAGTTCCAAATGAGGCTAAATCCTCCATGAGGAGATGGAACAGCATAGAAGCTTCTTTCTACCAACTTCCTAGGTAGGATCACAAACCTTCCATCCTGGGGGGGCGCCTGTTCCAGCTGTGGAATCCTTTCGAGGGCCTGGGGTGGGGCATCCACGCTGTGGGGGGCTCATCCCTGGCTAGCCTCCTGCATTCTGAAGACCTTGGCTGGGAATGGTCCACCCGGTGGCCCCTCATGCTGCCCTCGTAGATAACCGCTGAGCTCTAGAGCCAGACAGCCCCGAGTTCGCATTCCCCACGTGGAGTGCCCTGGTTTTTTTCATTAGCAAAGTGAGGGACACACATCTTTCTCACAGGATCGAGGTAGGGTTGGCGTCTTCATCACAGTGATTTTTTTGAGACAGAGTCTCACTCTGTCACCCAGTGGTGCGATCTCAGCTCACTGAAACTTCTGCCTCCCAGGTTCAAGCGACTCTCGTGCCTCAACCTCACCTGTAGCTGGGACTACAGGCACCCGCCGCCACGCCTGGCTAATGTTTTGTATTTTTAGTAGAGGTGGGTTTTCGCCTTGTTGGCCAGGCTGGTCTTAAACTCCTGAGCTCAGGCAATCTGCCCACCTCGGCCTCCCAAAGTGCTGGGATTACAGGCGGGAGCCACCGCGCTCGGCCCACGGTGATTTTCATTACCCAAGATTTGGCTCCACGGCACCTCTTGGGGAATCCTTGACTCCCCCAGGCCAGGATACACACTCCAGAAATAACTTGACTCCCCCAGGCCAGGATACACACTCCAGAAGTAACTAAAACTTTCTAGATGTTCTATATAATCTGTATATTCCATCTATGAATGCTTTAGAGTGTATATTTGTATACTTTTATACGCATATACCTGTGTGTACACACACATTTGCTTATATGTAAATGTCTGTGTTTTCAGAAACCTCAGCTGAGTCCCAGCTCTGTGATAGTTTCTGAAGGACAATGACCTTGCTTGTCAGGGCTGTGGTCCTGGAATTGGTGGTGCCAATTTCATGTAAGGTCGGCTGGGTTGGGGGTCTCTCCCCTTCCCCTTTGGCCCCAGTGCACCAAAGAGACCAATGGTCCCGGAGTACAGGTGGGACAATTGGCCCAGAGCCTTCCCTGTCACTCCTTCTCCACTGGTCACTTGGGAACTGGCAAGAAAACTCAGAAATTCTCTCTTTTGGGGCCCTGAGGAGGCAGAGGTGGGGGTGGCCGCCTCCCACAGGGATGCCCTCCCTCCCTGCCTTTTTTTTTTTTTGAGATGGAGTCTTGCTCTGTCACTCAGGCTGGAGTGCAGAGGCATGATCTCGGCTCATTACAACCTCCGCCTCCTGGGTTCAAACGATTCTCTTGCCTCGGCCTCCCAAATAGCTGGGACTACACGTGCCCACCACCATGCCCAGCTAATGTTTGTATTATTAGTAGAGACGGGGTTTCACCATGTTGGCCAGGCTGGTCTCCAACTCCCGACCTCAAATGATCCACCCACCTCGGCCTCCCAAAGTGCTGGGATTACAGGTGTGAGCCACCGCACCCGGCCGAATAGTACATTTTAATTTATTCCTATAAAAATTAGAAGAGCTGGGTCCTTTTTCTTTCACTAGATAGGGAACTTCCTGCCCCTGTCTGAAGGGCAGCTGTGCAGGAAGAGGCCTGCCTGCATTTCCCACAGGAACGGCCTAGGGCGTGTGATGCTCTTCTTCCTGGTCCACAGATGAAGAAGCTGAGGCTCAAAGAACCATCTGGCTAAGGGCATACAGTCAGCTGCCGGGAGGTGGAACTGGATCCAGGCCCTTCCAGGTCCTGCCCCGAGCTGCCCAAACTCTTTGGGGTCTTCGCTGCCTTTCAGAGGAGTTTCTCCCCTCCCTGGAGTTTGCCTCCGAGTCTAACCCCTCACCTCCTGCGGGAGGAATCCCCCAACACCAGAGAAAAAGCCCAGATGCGACGCCCCAGGGCTGTGCACCCACCAGCCATGCCCGCCCCTCCCTGTGTGGCTAAGAGGGGGCAGATGGAGAGCCAGGGACGTGGAGGCTGCTCCATTCTTCTCTGCCTGGAGTGGCACTCCACTCAGGCAGCTGGGGGAGGGGGACCTTGCATCTCAGCCCTGGGGTCTGGGGGACACCCCTGTGCCCTGCTCCTTCCCCGGGCGTGAAGGGGACCCCTGCATCTCAGCCCTGGGGTCTGGGGGACGCCTCTGCGTCCTGCTCCTTCCCCGGGCGTGAAGGGGACCCCTGCATCTCAGCCCTGGGGTCTGGGGGATGCCCCTGCGTCCTGCTCCTTCCCAGGGCTCATTGCCCATCTGTTTAGGCCAGAGTATCAGAATGTGGCTGTGGACTTCTTACAATCAGAGAAAAGGAAAACCCCCCAGATGTTTGAAATACTTTTGTAGAACGGAGTTGGAAGGAACTGATGCAGGCGCCCTGCTCGTGTCGGATAGGGGCTGTGGTCAGGGCCACTGACCACCCCAAAACCCCCAATCAAAGAGGTAAGGTGGCTTTGGCTCTGAGGGGTAGGGTCAGGTGTCCAGGTGGAGGGGCTCAAGGCGCTGGTGGAACCTGGGCCGAGACCCAGTCCAGAAAGGGGGTCCCTCATTCATGAATACAGACTACCAACATGGCCAACGTGGCTGCTCTATCTGTTAAGACCCGGGTGCTCAGCCCGCATGGGAAAAATGTCTATTTGGCCTTAGAGAAAATGGTTTCCTTCTGAAAAGCTATGGGTATCACTGAGAAGATTGCAAATTCTGTAAAAAGTCCTCATGGATGTGTTAAAAATTAAACAGACTTTTTTTTTTAAAGTTAGTTTATTTCAGTTTCTACCTTCTGACAACTCAAGGTGCAATATATACACATGTTTTTCTTCACAGCAAACACCTTTGATTTTAGCACTGTTTTGAGATCTTCACCCTTGAAACTTTCTCAACCTTAAAACAGAGTTTGTAGAACATCACCGAGCGGGACACAAGATTGCAAAAATGCAACAGAGAAGATACTGGTGTCACTGCACGCCACTTGGGGGCTACCAACAAGGTAATGTCTGGATGTGAGCACCGCGAGTCTAGGAAAGAGAAAGCAGAGGGCGTGTGCATGGGAGACGCCACTGATAGTTCCAACGGGGGCCACCAGGTTCAAGAAGGCGGCAGGTCAACCGTGTTCTGACACATTTACATGTTTTAAGGGGATCCATGTGTGTTGTCTGAATTTCTAGCTTTTCCTAGTGTTCCAACGTTTGCCTTCTCTTTCTCCACGTGTCCACCCAGAAGACCCTAAGCAACAGCCCCAGGCTCACCGGGATGGCAGGGACTCCTCCCCAACAGCCAAAGCCAAGCCAAGCTGTCTCTTGCAGGGAGATCTGGAGTCCACCCCTTAGGGCTGCACCTCCCAGAGTGCATGCGGTCGTCCCCCACCTCTATTTCATGAGCAAATCATCTAGGATTAAGGAGGGAGCGGGCGCAGCCCCCCAGTTCTAGTCAATGCACAGGGGATTTACTGACAGGCATCCCCTTTTTAAAGTGCAAAGTCCCTTATAGCGCTGCTCAAGGGAGTTCAGGCTGCAGTGCACTCAGGCTCTGACTGTTTTGTCAGGTCCCAGAGTCTGCAGATAAAGTGGGGAGCTGGGTTCTCCCCAAATCGTACTGTCCTGCAGGAGGGGTGTAGAAGGGAAGTTGGAGTAAACAAACCCAGCCCATCGTCTCTCCCCTTGGATATGGTGAATTTTTCCCTTTCCAACAGTAACTAAGAAACCCCACCCCCACCCCCAGCCCCTGTGGGAGCGCTGTCCCACTGAAATCCCGTGGCCACGTGCATCCCCAGGCACAGCTACAGGCAGCGCCGCGCTCCCAAGGACTCTCACTCACTGCACTCTGCAGGCTAGAGACACCCACACAAACCCAATCCCTTGCCAGCACCAGAGGCAGGGCTCCCACGGCGGCACCCATCCTTGCGAGCCCATCGGTCACAGGATTGATTCCGTCCCTTTCCTGGAGAGCATGTGATACCCAGGCCCAGGGATGCACGGGGGACTGAGGCGCAGAAGGCAGGCCCCCTGAGGGCCTGTATGGAGGGCGGCTTCCGGGCCAGTGTTGGCCGCAGGAGAACAGTCTTGATGTGCTTCTTCCATTTGGTGTCTCAGGCACCAACACATTCCTGTTCCTGGCCCGCGGCAGCAAGGGTTCCTGGGGTGCGTGGCCTGTGTGGCTCCGGGAAGCCCTGCTCTGTCTGTGGTCTTAGCCTGTGCGAGCCAGGCGGGGTGCAGCTGGCATCCGACTCCCCTTTCCTGTGGACGCAGCTGGGAAAAAGTGAAACCTATCTCCAAGAATCATCAACATGAATACACGATTTACAGGACAAGGGAGTGAGACGGCTGCATCCTAAGAAAAATGGTTCAGCAGAAGTGAATGGCTCAGTGGGACTGGAAACGGGACAGGAAAAGGAGTGAGAACGACCTTGAGTGAGAATCTGGCCGTTTCGCCTTGTGGCTGCGGAAACTGAGGAGGGACCAGCCTCAGAACACCTGCCTGCTGGGCCCAGAGGGGGCTCTCCCTCCCCGTCCCTGAGGCTGGGGCTGGGCCACTGCCACCCTGCGAGCATCCCTTCCTCTGCAGAAAGGGACCCTCTAATTTTTAAAGTTCTCTTTCTCAAGCTCCACACTGTTCTTGGAAACACTACTGGGCTCCCTGGCTGTGCTGTGGTCTGGTTTTAGGTAATTCAGTAACAAAGCTGATCTAACCACACGGGCCTAGCTGGATCCTTCCTAACTAAAAAGCCAACAGAGGCAGGTGTGATGCCTCACGCCTGTAATCCCAGCACTTTGGGAGGCTGAGGTGGGGGGGATCACCTGAGGTCAGGAGTTCGAGACCAGCCTGGCCAGCATGGTGAAACCCCATCTCTACCAAAAATATAAAAATTAGCCGGGCGTGGTGGCGTGCACCTGTCATCCCAGCTACTCAGGAGGCTGAGGCAGGAGAATTGCTTGAACCCGGGAGGTGGAGGTTGCAGTGAGTAGAGATTGTGTCACTGCACTCCAGCCTGGGCAACAAGAGCAAAACTCCGTCTAAAAAAAAAAAAAAAAAAAAAATGCCAACAGATAGTGGGACCCAGGAAGGTCAGGCCTGTAGCTTCCAGCCCTGGCTTCCAGCTAAGGAACCCCAGTTAGACTGAAACCTTTCACAAACTCTTTACAGTGTGAACCTGCATTCCTCATGTCAGGGGTCTGGAATACCAAGTGCTCCAGGGTGATAAGGTAACCCACGCGGAACAGCCTAGGGAAAAGCGAATCTCACAGCTCCAGCCTTCTTTCCTCACAACTGAACTCCTCAGCATTACTGGGCTGGGAGGAGTGAGCGAGAGGCCTGTTTGGTTTCAACTCACAGGAAGGAAAGAAGACGAGACTTGGTGATGTCTGTGATTCCCCCACTGGGCCTCGGTGCTGGTTTTAAACCCAATGCGTGTTGCTTGGATTAACCTGAACATCAGGATTTTAATTTGGGTACAGAGCTCAGAAACTGGACTCTCCCTCTAGCCATTTTTTGGAAATTTCAGAGCTGTTTGGCCCCCTTTCTTTCTTTTGGCAATAGGAAAATCATACAGTCTACCCCATTTCACTTACAGAGAACTTACGACATCAGAATTGAGTTCTCTGGCCTGTGGTTAAACATGCGCATGCACAGGGCAGATGCAATCTATTACCACGGCCCCTCTTAGACATCAATGTTGCTAAAACTGTAACAAAGGCTAAAAACATACCATGCTGCCTGTCAACATGTCCTGTTTTCAAAGCAGGGAGCTTTTCACTTGTGTGAGTTGTTTGCATTTTGGTTCACTAGGATTGGCACAGCCCTCAAGGTCGGGCGGCAGAGTGCCTGCAATGGCCCCATGGATGACAGGCCTTCGTGCTCCTGGTTTTGGGCATTCTGCCTGCTGGGACTGGGAACCTCTCCCTAGGAAATCACCTGACACTTCCTGAGTTTACGGAGGGGCCACCAGAGCTCTCCTACACCCAGGTGGCCCTGGGTGTGCCCCTGGTGTGACACCTCCCCACGCAGGGACCTTTGAGCAGTGTGGCTGGGTCTGCTTGCTCTGCACCACAGCCCAGCTCATGCCTGCTCTGCCCAGGTCCTGGGGGAAGAGAGGAAACCTTGGTGGCAGGTGGTAAGCCCTGTCCCAGGCACACTGAGCCTTCTCCAAGCAACCCTGGCCAGAGCCACTGTCAGCCACAGCCGGAAGGAGACCACAGGCAGCCTCCAGAGCCACTGCCTGCTCTGCTCACAGCACAAGGGGCTGTCTCTCCGGCATCCTGTGTGGATGGAGCACAGAGGAGACCTTCTCTGTCAGCCTTCCTCCAACTCTGAGGAGCTAGATCTACAAGAACAGGTAGTAAAGGGGGAAACAAACAAACAAACAAAGAAAACCCCAACCCTTTCCTCCCCTGAAATGGCTATTTCAAGAGTCTATGTGGAGAAAAAAGTGTCAAGACCATTTCTGAAGTTAAAGTGCTTGGAAAAAAGCCCAACGAAGTCAGCGCTGCCTTTCCTTCCAGAGGCTGTGCACAAGCTCTCCAGCGTTCCCAAGAGAGTCTCAGAATCAAACAAAACTTTCATACAAAAATCCTGTACATACAGGGGTAAGTCCTGTGGGCACCGCAGAACAAAGTCTGAATGCATTTCAGCTAACACGAATAATGCATGACTAAGAACGCTGACGACGAGGCGGCTGAAGGGAGCGCCTGGACAGTCAGCCCTTGAGTGTGGCCTGAGTTTCACCGGTGCAAGGAGGAGAGCAGTGCCCTGGAGCCGTGGCTGGACGCTGCAGGAGGTGTGTATTATCTGCAGTTGGCATCAGAGCGAGGGGTGTCCACACAACCCTCGCTCTGACATTTCTCTAAATGGATTCGGTGGAGACATGCCCGTTGGGGCCCAATGATGGGGGAAGGGTCACCCCAGCCTGCACAACTCCCCAGCCCTGACCCAGCTCATGGCGAGCACACTGGCAGCATGGTCACGGTCTGGCCAGCGGCATCGCTAGGCTGAGATCACTCATGCACCATGCAGTCAGGGGCCCTGAGCCCCGGCTCCCCCGTTCTGCAGTCTGGCAGCATATGGTCCAAATGCATCAGATGACACCACGTTTCAGATAATGCCCCAGACACACATTCTGTGATCCAACCAATCTGCAGCACAGACTGTTGTCTCTAGAGAATGTTCCGTCTCTGGAACATTCCAGGGAGGCATTCCCCGGAGGGAAACCTTCCAAGCAGTGGCCGGGTAAGTGACTCTCAGGCGTTTCTGTGGTACTCACAAACAAGACGGGACTTATCTGACCGCATGTCAGAGGAGGTAGCCAGGAAGGGCGGGAGGGGAGGATGGCAGGAGGAGGGAGAGCCCCGCGGGCCTATTTCGCAGTCAGGGACCACGGCAGCGACAGGCAGGAGGCAGGGGACCCCAGGCGGCCTAGCAGTGTCCACGCACGGTGAAACAGAAGGCTCTGGACCCAGCATGCAGGTGTTGGGGTCAGGCCCCGGGCCCATGGGCTGGCCTGGAGTACCTGGTACAGACCCACAGAAGAGAAGGGCCGTGGTTCCCAGGCAGTAAGTGCGAGGTGAAGGGAGTCTCTGCAGAGGCTGGAGGAGCTACAAAGGTCTGGTGGGGAAGGGGCCCAATGCTCAGCGCTTAGAGGCAGAGGCCACGCCACTGGCTTGCCCTGCACGTTGCACAGATCTGCTTCTCTCCAGCCACTGTCACTCCCAACTCAGACTTTCCTGCCTTGTCTGGAATAAAGAGCAGCACTGTTTGCTTTCAGAAAGGGTGGTTGTCTAGTGGCTACTAAAGAAACTTCTCTTTCCTGTGCTTCTTGCGAGGGACACACAGCACAACGCTGCTTCGTGACCATGGAGGCTTCTCTGCTTCAGAAGGGAGCTGTCCGCCAGGCGGGCGCATTTCAGACGGTCTGTGTGGTCTGCCGCGGACACCTCGGCACTGCTGTGACTCTGGCGGAGACACACAGCTCCCGGGCCGTCTGCAGGCACACACACGTCCCTCTGGTGGGAGCCAGGTCTTGCTCCAGCCGGCCAAGAGCATCCTCTACACCGCACCCACTCTCTCCCTAACACAGGCGTTTCCTCCTCAAGGTTCCCGTCACTTCCTGTTCCTGCCCCACAGCGGGAGACTGGGGAATAGTGAGGACCAGCCACAGCCCCACGCTGAGAGGGCTGGATGGGAGCCGCGTGTGCACCCATTGCAGGGAAGGTGGCCCACGGCCACCCACCGTGAGTGGCAGCGCCGGCCCTCCACCACTGGGTGTGCCGGCTGCAGCCCCACCTCATGGCTGTCCTGCCTGCATCCCTTGCCCGCCCCCACCCTCGCCAGCCCTTGGCCCACGATGGCCCATGGAGTCCTTCCCCTCCTCCCTCTTGGTCTCATCTCACAAGCCTGGCACTCGGGGTACAACTGGTCACCTCGGCTTTAGCTGTGTGACCCAAGGGACACTTTGGCACATGGATGGGGGTCGCAGACACAGGCAGAGGAGATGAGGGAGGAACAGCGGATTCTTCTAACCGCTAGTTCTAGGGCAGCAGGAGTGGCTCTGGGTGCTGCTGGCTTCATGCAGGTCATCGGGTGGGGTGACGGCCGGGCGCTGGGCCCGGGAGAATGGCACATGGCCTCAGTCCTCCTGCGGAGTGCGACCTCTGGGGCCTACTCAGTGGCCATTTGCTCAATGTGGTCACTAAGCAGCTTGTATTGCTCTGGAAGAGAAAGTGATGTTATTTCTCAGATGAAAGACAGTGACAGGGACAGGTATATCCTGCTCTTGTCACTCGGACAGGGACGAATCGGGCCTCCCTGGGAGCAGGGCTGCAGCTCCTGAACCACACTGCCTTCTGCAGGCCACACG
Organism: Homo sapiens; assembly: GCF_000001405.40. Taxonomy (NCBI): domain Eukaryota; kingdom Metazoa; phylum Chordata; class Mammalia; order Primates; family Hominidae; genus Homo; species Homo sapiens. Next base: position 85,088,126 of record NC_000016.10, on the reverse strand, counting down.
GCTTGCGTGCTTCAGGGCAGGGCTGTGCCATGAGGGCGCATTGCACACACAGCCTCTTGGCCAGCACGCCGCCTGTGGGGCAAGCAGGTGGCTGGAAGCAGCCCTCAAAACTGGGAAACGCACCTTCTTATGAAAATGGTGTCATGGGGCTCAGCCCCTACAGCCTGTGAAAGGCAAGGGGCAGTCAGTCCAGCCAACCTGGGGAGCGGGAGAGGTGGCAGCATCCCCCTTGCCCTTTGCTAGTGAGGTGGGGCTGCGAGCAACATTCTGAGGTCGTCCAGCAGCCACTGGCACTCTCATGCCTCCTGAGGCCACTCCACCACAGATCCCTTGAATTAGGTAGAGAATGGGATTCTCTAAAGAATATGGGTCAATCCGTACCCACGCCTAAGTGTAAGTCCTTTTCGATGAAGAAGAACCAACGCCTGTGGCAGATGGCGGGGGCACACAGGGACGGGCCCCCAGCAAGGGGGGCGCCAATGTCACAGCAACTCCCTGCTGTCACAGAAGCCAGAGATTCTAGAAAAACCTCAAAACTCACTCCTCACCACCCTTGTCCCCCGATACTCATGATGGCAGTGTGGTCTGAGAAAGAAAAGGATGCCACGTGACAGCCATTTAGAAGGGGGCAACTTGGGGCCAGAGTTTGGCTCCGTGCAAGCTGAGTCCCAGTGCCGCGTCCCCCTTCTTCCTCTGCCCTGACTGTGAACACCCAGGCTATGGCCCCAATGCCCGCAATCCCATCTAGCAGAAATGGATTCCAAATGGAACGAGAGGTGTCCTGTGCGTCTGTCTATACAGACTGGGGAGAAAGGAGGGGCCGTCTGCCGAGAGCTCAGCACCACGTTTCCGACTGCAACACGACATGCCTTCTGGCAGTGCAGAAGCGCCAGCGGGCACAGCACTGGCTCCTGACCCCAGCCCTGCCCGCCTCCTGCCAGCAGCCTCCCCCAGACGCACCTTCATCCAGGTTGCCAATCACAGCCTGCTTCTTCAGGAAGTCATTGCACAGCTTCTTGTTCAGTCCAAAGGCCAGCATGTTGTGCGTGAATGTGCTGCAGGAGAAACCCCAAGAGCGTCACCCGCTGGCCTCCCAGGGGAAAGGGCCGGGGAGCTGGGCCCTTGTCTCTGGGACGCCCACCATGGCCTGCCTGGAATTGTCAGCAGAAACTAAAACGCACTGCTGCCTAATTAGCCACCAGCAACTCTCACTGTGGCACTGTGGCCACCAGGGGTCGTGTAGGAGGCGGATTAATTATGAGCTGGCATGGAGGCCAAGTGTGATGAACCCCATGCCTCAGAGCAGGCTGACATCACACCCCAGGGTGTGATACCAGGTGTGACAGCTCACAGGGTGGGCCCTCCCCCCTCTCCCCTCCCGCTTTCCCACTCTGGCCCTTACCCCAGCTGCCCGAAGGTGATGTTCTCGTTGAACCGGAGGCTGTCGTCGCGCTCCTCCTGGGTCATGTGGCACCACTTCTCCCTGCAAGCACAGGAGGTGACAGAAGCGGGGCTCAGATGGTGCTGTCCTTGCCCCAGCTCCTCGCCCTGTTCTGACCCGCAGGTGCTGGCGGCACCCATGTACGGCCCCCACCGGGCACAGAAGGGGGTGCCTTCCACCGGAGAGCCGTGTGCTGGGCCTTCCACAAGGCCTGCCGGGATCCTCACACCGCGCTTGGGGTCCCCAACATTCATCTCACTCTTCATAAGATAAAGAGACGTGGAAATGAAAGTGCTCTTTATGGCCCTGAAGGCACGGAGCACCACGCGGCTATCCAGGCACTCTACAGGCAGCGAGGGTGGCCCCAGAGCCTTACTACGGTTGGAGAGTGGGGTCTGGGCCTGTCCTCAGGGGAGAAACCTCCAGAGAGGGAGGGGACCTGCCCAACGTCCCAGGACAGCGGGCCTTGGTGGCCCAGGGAACGTTTTTAGACTCACACCTGTGTCTCCTGACCAGCCTGATGGGCCAAGCGAGGTGCGTCGTCCTGGGGCCAGCTGCGGATGGCAGCTTCCACAGAGGCTGAGGGCGCTGAGGGCCACACTGTCCCCTGTCTGCAGAGGGCTGTGCCCTGCTCAGCTGCGGTTTCTCCATGTTGGCTTTCTCGAGGCCCTCAATGCTCTCTCTAGTCCCCTCCCTAAATAACACAGACCAGGCCCCCACGCTTCCCACCAGTCTCTTTGACCGTGACCCTGTGAATGCTATGGACCATGGTGAAGACAGCACCCAGGCGTGAGAACAAAGTGCTGAAAACCCAGTAAGACGGCATCGGCCGAGGTTTGCACGAGCTTCAGGAGCCGGCGGGGACCCTGATGCGTTCTCCGCACAAGGCCTGAAGTGGGAGGGTGTTCTGAGCGTTCACCTGCTGCGTGCTTTAGACGGGAGTGCTGTTAATCCCTCACCTGTCCAGGGCAGAACAAGGGGGCTCCCCACCCCTCAGTGCCACAGAGCTTTTCTGTGTTGCCGGCTCCTTCCCCTCCCTCCAGGGCCTGGGGCCTCCCCGACCCTTACACAACTCCCTGGACACCACGTCCATCTGAGAAGCTACCTGCAGAAGCAGCTGCGAATGTGGAGACACTAATTTGAGCCCCTTTCCCCCTAAAAAGAAAACTGGATGGATGAGTCTGACTAAAATAAGGTTGAGAGGAAGATCAAAGAAAGGGGAGAAGGATGTATGAGAGGGTGAGAGGTTGGGATCATGGAGAAGCCAGAGGAAGAGAAACAAAACAAAGGAACATGATCTCCTGGCTCCTCGCCACCCCCTGGCCCACGAGAGGTCACTGGCACTGCTGCAGCTTAGCAGGGGTCACAGGACATCAGGGGCATGATGGGGGTGACTGACAAAGGTCACTCCCAGCCTCCTCGTGCCGATGGCAGGATGCCCACGAAGACACCAGAATATACTTCCAGGTACTCTGCAGAGTCCCATCCCATTTCCTTCCTACTGTCTTTCCCCGAAACAGCCACCCTGAGGGTTGTCCAGACACATAAACCCCCGCACCCCTCGCAGGCCTGCTGTGCACAGCTGTGCAGGTTGCGCCCTGCACAACCCCAGACCACACGGGAACGTCTCCCTTGGGAGTTGTACAGCACAGCAGCCCTGACCCCTCCTCTTCCTGAGCCAAATGAGGAGGCGATTCTTCTTGCCATGGTGAAGACGAAAGCTGGGACATTTAACCTGATGTCTCAAGAAAGAGGTAAATGGTCACTGGCAGTAGCAGATCAGGTAATGCCCACGATAAAATCACTTCTTACAACTGAGTTCAGGCCGGGTGCGGTGGCTCATGCCTGTCATCCCAGCACTTTGGGAGGCCGAGGCGGTCAGATTACCTGAGTTCAGGAGTTCAAGACCAGCCTGGCCAACATGGCAACTCTGTCTCTACTAAAAATACAAAAATTAGGCCGGGCGCAGTGGCTCATGCCTGTAATCCCAGCACTTTGGGAGGGTGAGACAGGTGGACCACCTGAGGTCAGGAGTTTGAGGCCAGCCTGACCAACATGGTGAAACCCCGTCTATACTAAAAATACGAAATGAGCCAGGCATGGTGGTGGGTGCCTCTAATCCCAGCTACTCGGGAGGCTGAGGCAGGAGAATTGCTTGAACCCGGGAGGCAGAGGTTGCAGTGAGCCGAGATCGCACCATTGCACTCCAGCCTGGGCAACAAGAGCAAAACTCCATCTCAAAAAAAAAAAAAAAAAGAGAACGAAAAGAAAAATTAGCCACGTGTGGTGGCGGGCACCTGTAATCCCAGCTACTCGGGAGGCTGAGGCAGGAGAACCGCTTGAACCTGGGAGGCAGAGGTTACAGTGAGCCGAGATCGCACCACTGTACTCCAGCCTGGGCAACAAGAGCAAAAGTCTGTCTCAAAAAAAAAAAAGAAAAAGAAAAGAAAAGAGAAATTAGCTGGGCATGGTGGCGGGCACTTGTAATCCTAACTACTCGGGAGGCTGAGGCAGGAGAATCGCTTGAACCCAGGAGATGGAGGTTGCAGTGAGCTGAGATTGTGCCACTGCACTCCAGCCTGGGCAACAGAGCGAGACTCCATCTCAAAAAAAAAAAAAAAAAAAAAAATTAGAAGAGTTCAATTTCCAGTACTGGTCAAGCTCTGACACTGGGCAGCGAGCTGAACATGCATCTACACCGCTACAGTGGGAATCTGGACGGGACCAACAGCCTGCTGAGAGGGAAACCTTCTGAAATGCAGAATCGTCTGCCTCTGTACACAGAGAGGATGATAATGGCATCTTGCTGTCAGCAGAAGTTACCAAAAAAGAGATGGCATGTTGGAAGCATGAGGTTGCCTGGGGACTTGGAGCCAACCTCGCCCCCTGCCACCTGCCTCAATCTCAAAGCAATATTCAGCCTTCTTCTGGGGAAGGCTCAGGGGCCGGTCAGAGATGAGGAGCTGGTGCACTGGTGCAGAGCTATGGGTGGTCAAAGCGAATCTGCCTCGGTGAGAAGGCCCAAGAGGCCAGCTGTCCCCTCAGCTGAGCTCAGGACAGACCACCCCTCCCCAGCAGTACCAACCAGCTCTCAGAGGACGCTGGGATGCTCCCAGCCCTCCTTGGGCTAGGGCTGTGGGGCTGACTCGTTCCTGGAAGGCTGGTTAAACACACAGTCACCCAGAGAGTCAGTGAAAACCTAGGGGCTTTGTTCATGAAAGGAGGTGTTTGTTAGGCCTAAGTCCTCCTTTGAAAGCCGTAAGTCTGCATAAGAAACACGATTGCTCATGACAATAAACACTACAGACATACCACTGATTAGAGGAGGCAACTTCATGAATCCTCCAACAAAAGAGCCATCGTCTCAGGGACTCTATTTAAAGAGGCAGATCAGCGACTCTAAAAATACATCACAAAGGATTCGAGCCCACAGAAAGGGGAACAGAGAGAGTCAGACCCCTCTGTGGGCTGGCAGGAAACAGCCCCATTCTCGGATTTCCTCGGGGGCCCCTCGCACCCCCATCCGAGTGGCTGGGAAAGTGGGAGTGTGTCCTTCTTCCGTGCCTCCCTCAAACTGGCGGCCCCAGGACACCCAAGAGTGGGTGGTGTTGCAAACAGGACAGGCTCTGCACCCCACCCGTGGCTTCCCAGATGAGCCGGGACCCACTTCTCCAGTGTGAACAGTAAGGCCAAGGGTGAGGCTTTCAGGTCTGCTCAGAAGGGGCCGGAGTGGCTGGTGGAGAGCACGGCTGGCTCAGAACTGGAGCCCGCTTTCCCCGGCGTCACCGCCTTTGCCTCTCGAGCTCATGCTGTCGCCAGGGCGTCTCAAGGTGTCACATTTGCTTTCTGACTATTTCGGAGTGCTCCGGCCTTGGCAGGCTCCCACCTGCCCAGTTCTGGGACGCATTGCCAGCCTGCCCTAGCGCTGGCCTCACCTCCCCAGGGCCGCCCTCCCCGCCGGCCACCAGGCTGCACCTGCGTCTGGGCTGTGCCTGCTGCAGCAGCTCAGCACAGTGCACAGCCCCCACCCTGCAGTGGCCTTCGCAGGAGCCCGCACTGTAAAATGGAACAAAGTCACGTGGACACACACACCTCTTCTCCTCCTCCTCTCCAGCATCCCCTCTGGAGCGGCAGCAGAAACAGGTAAACAAAGGAACATGTCAAAGTCATGCAAGATATGTGGATGGTAAAAAGAGAACAAGCAGAGGAGGGTTATTACAGGCAGAAACGGAGCGGGACAGAGAAAGACAGGAATATTCGAAATAAATTCACTTCCTAGAAGTCTGAGAACTAAAGAGGCAACGCCCCTCTGCCTAGGGGCATCTGAGCATGTCCCTGTTCTGGTCTCCTGGCACAGCGGGGTCTCTCGAGGCTCCTCGGGCAGTCTCAGCGTCTTTCCCTCTCCACGAGCCCCTCTGCCTCCCCAGGAAATGCGGCCATGGCACAATGCTCCAGGCCTCCTGCCCCCAGAGGGTTTTAGCTGCCTCCAGAAGAAAGAATTTCACTTGAGACACGGCAAGTGCTGGTAGACTCGAGTCTTCCCCCCAACAGCAGCCATCTGCCCACTCTCCTGACAAGAGTGAAGGGTAGAGGGTCTCCCCAGTGTTACAGGGGGAGGGATGTGCTTTATTAATGAGGAGACCAGGGCCCTGAGAGGTTCAGACTTCAGTCACATGACTGGAAGGGGCTCCCCCAGGGGCTGCCGTCCCTCGCTGTCATGTCGCTGCACATGGTGGACGGCAGCTTTGCTTGCTATGGCATCGGCCCCCGTGGGGTGGGTGCCAGCCCCTCCCCTCTGCCACGTGCGAGGTGGCCCTCGGTGAAGCTGGGAAGGTCTGCTCAGGCTGCAGACCCAAGAGGTGAGTTGCGAGCGGCAACTGCATTCCCCAGGCGCCAGCTCTCGAGGGCAGTCTCGGGGATGGTGGCCAGCCCTTCCTCCCAGGACCCTGCTCCAAGCGTTCATCCTCAGGATGCTGATTTTGTCCAGCAAACAGCAGGGTGGGCCCAGCAGCAGGGGTCCTGATGGTCTTAGTGGGAGTTTGCATTTTTAGGAGGGTCAGGCCAAGTCATGCCAGAGCCCCAGGACAGAAAGCGCTCATGCAAGCTGAGCACCCCCACCCATGAAGCTGTGACCCCTCAGGCAGCTTGCGAGGCACCAGGGCCATGAGGGGGTGAAGAAAAAACAGACACGTCCACTCAGCTGCTCTTCTGCTCTCCTCTTCCGAAACCGGGAAATAAAGCCACTCCCTGGTCCTTTTTCCTGAGGCCAAATGGGGCCACACTTTGCTCCTACCTGGTAGTGGGAGATCGCTTTGTCCTCTCACAATGGACAGCGTCAAAAAAGGCTGCATTCCAGAACCTCAGAGTGTGCCTGCAAGACAGAGCCCCAGTCACACTCTCTCCAAGGGGAGGCGGGGAGGACACGGGTTGTGGGCCCCTTGAGGGATAAACAAGGGCAGTGTCTCACATCTGTCTGAGCTTCTAAGAAGTCTCAGAGAGGTAGGGCTGAGAAGGAAAAACTGAGCATATGGCTTGATCTAATTACAGCTGTTTCCCTGGGGCTCCCAGCGGCTGCGTATCTCTTAGGAGAGATGGCGCAAGTGGGAGGGAAAGCTATGATAACCCGGGCTGCGCTGCAGGCAGGAGGGCACTGGCGGGCAAAGTTGAAGCCACCATCTGTAGGACACGGAGGTGGGTCGTTTTCTTCTTCTGCCTTTCCCGTTGGGACTCCCAAGACGAAGCAGAGGGCTGGGAAGGTGTGCTTTTCTACATCAGGGTCTAGTAACATCAATGGCAACCAGGCAGGGACTCCTCGTGTGCTGAGCGAACTAACGTTCATAGGGATACTCAAGGAAAAAAACATTCTTATTTTATTTATTTATTTATTTTTTTGAGATGGAGTTTCACTCTTGTTGCCTAGGCTGGAGTTCAATGGCACAATCTCGGCTCACTGCAACCTCTGCCTCCCAGGTTCAAGCATTCTCCTGCCTCAGCCTCCTGAGTAGCTGGGATTATAGGCATGCGCCACCACACCCAGCTTATTTTGTATTTTTAGTAGAGATGGGGGTTTCGCCATGTTGACCAGGCTGGTCTCGAGCTCCTGACCACAGGTAATCTACCCGCTTTGGCCTCCCAAAGTGCTGGGATTGCAGGCATGAGCCACTGTGCCCAGCAGAAAAATTCTTCTTAAAGAACATCAGGGGTTGGCAAACGATGGTGTGTAGGCTGAAGCGGGCCAGTGGCTTGTTTCTGTAAATAAAGTTTTATTGGAACAAGCCACGCTCATCCATTTATACAACGTCTCTGGTGGTGTTCACGCTACAACAGCATAGTGGTGTGGCTGCAGCAGAGACCATCTGGCCCGCAAAGTCTAACATATTTATTATCTGGCCTTTCACAGAAAAGTTTGCCAAGTGACAATGAAAAGACAGCAGCCAAGTCAAGGACAGAGGAGCTGAGCTGAATCACCAGACAGCGGGACAAAGCGGGCCAGCTTCTCCCCGTCCTCTGCTTCCATGGGAACCGGGTCCAGCCTCCTCAAGGGCCTTCCTGACAGCTCCGGCCCTGCCCTCTGCCCTCTGCCCTCTGGGTCCCGGCAGCGCTCCCTGGCCAAGCTCCTCAAGTAACCCTTGCTTGGTTAACGGGCAAAATGCACCACAGCCAACTGTGATCTTCAGGGGAGGGAGGGCCCGTCTGACACTGATTCCAGGTGCTAGCAAAGCACTCTAAAATATGTCGAGGAGAGGCTTCAGAGAGATTAACGCAGCACGACCATCATCTGCGGAGCCAGGCCATATGCCAGGGCGGCCAAGATTTCCCCTGCAACACTGGTCTCACACTTCAACCATGACCTCCATTCACGTATATATATGTAAGAGCTTAATTAGGATATAATTCACTTGCCATGAAATTCACCCTCTAAAACATACAATTCAGTGATTTTTAGTGTATTCACAGAGTTGTGCAGCCACCACCATTTCCAGAACATTCTCTCACCCCATAAAGAAGCCCCATCCCCATCAGCAGTCACGCCCTGCTCCCCATTCCCCACCCTCTGCCCGGGCAATCTGTCATCTGCTGTGTCTCTAGGAATCTGCAGTTCTGGACATTTCATAGGGATGATACAATACTTGGGCTTCTGTGTCTGGCTTCTTCCACTGAGTTTCACGATGTTTCCCAGGTCTATCCCTGCTACAGCGTGGAGCAGCATGCCATTGCTTTTCATGGCTGGCTAATAGTCCATGCAACGGATGGACCACATTTTGTTTACCCATTCATCACTGGACAGCCATGAAGGTGGTTTCCACCTCGGGGCCATAATAAACGACGTTGCTACAGACATTTGTGTACAAGGTTTTGTGAGGACATGTTTTTCTCTTGGGCGACTCCTAGGAGTGGAGCTGCTGGGTCACAGAGTAACTCTTGTGTTTCACCTTTAAAGGAACTGCCAGACTGTTTCTCAGCGGCTGCTCATTTACATTGCTCCTAGCCATACAGGAGAGCTCCAGTTTCTCCACATCCTCACCAACGCCTGTGAGTGTTCATCTTTTTATTCTGCCACTCTGGTGAGTGTGAGAATTCTGCCATTCTGATGGGGACAAAGGCAGCTAGAAGTGATCCCGGGGAGTGACTGCTGGCCCCGTCAGTAAGAGGGTGACGGGAAGCCGCGGGCTCGGCCTTACCAGATGGGCTGTTGCTTCAGGTGCGTGTACAGGTAGATCTTCTCCCCCTTCTTTTCGTCCTCGGGGCTGTACGCGGTCACTGTGGGAGGAGAGAGAATGGCTGAAAGCAGCTCTGGTTGCGCACCCACTGTTGGCAAACCCCGGGTGACAGCCTCCCAGCAGCCAGTTTCTCCCCGAATGTCACTGAAACACGTGATGCAAACCCCACCGTGGCTTTTCTGCTAGCCATAGCCAGTAACGGTGCTATTCCCACCCGGCAATAAGGACTTCTTCTGAGGGATGGTTCCGTAGCATGGCCACAGCCCCTCGCAGTAACCCTTAGCCTTCCTGGGATAAGGAATTTAGTTCCTCCTGAGAAAACTGGCTCTTCCACAGAAACTCAGTGAGAAAATACAACCACGGGAGCTGGGAAGCAACTGGGGCATCACCCAGGGCAAGGTGCCCATGCTCCGTGGAGGCAGGAAAGCCCCAGAGGCCGTGCACCTGCTTGTGTGCTGGCTGAGGGGCTGTGGGCTGGGCGTCTCCTGCTGCTGCCTGGGCAGACTCACCAGCCCTGGGCCGCTTCTCCTGGGGTTTGTTCTCGTCTTCCCTGAGGGAGAGAAGGCACAATGATGACACACGCGACTCACACCACACTTTCTCAACTCAAAGACGCTGTTCTACACTTCTAAGGTGGGACTGGGTACATTTAATACGGCTTGCTCTGAAAAGCCTTTTATGAAATCAAGGCTCTATTTGTCAACTGCCAGTGTTTCAGAATTCAGGAAATGTGGCATTGAGGTTTCTTTATGTCATTTTCTCTGAATCCAAAGCTGAATGGGGTAGAGGAGGAGGCCAAGGCACCCGGCTGTGGCCCAGCCATGAGTGGGAACAGGGGACCCCGGGGGCTCCCTCTGGCTGCCGCATCCCTCTTCCTTGTGGAAGTCTTAGCTTCTACGCGTCTACTTCTGATGTGCCCGTCCCCAAAGCATTCCTCGAGTGTCTGTCAGAGCCCTGCTCTCCTGGGGACAGTGTTTTTTCTCCTGCGACTCAAGACCGTGTTCCACAAGCACTCACTGTTGGTCCAGCCAGGGGATGGAGGGGACAGAGGAGACAGAAGGGAGGGCTGCAGTTCCCTCTGCCATCTGACAATCCCTTGGGCTCCTCATCAGTCCCAGGGAGTGTGGCCCCCAGGGACATCCCTGCATGTCAGTGGGGGGGGCTTGGCTTTGCAGACCATAGCAAGCCGTGGGGGCAGAAGTGGCTGGGCAGCGCAGTGTTCCTGACAGTCTCTGGGCCTCACCCGCACCCTCCCTGCTGCCCCCGTCCGAGCTCCACACCAGCCTCTCCCCAGTCCCCTGCAGGTGGGAGGGACCCCAAGGCCACACGTACTCGTTCCTCCTGGCCAGGGGCCCCTTCAGCTTGGTCTCCAGCCCCCCGAAGAAGCCCTTGACATTCTCAGTCCTGGCCGAGGTGTTCTTCAGCAGCCGCTCGGCGATGTCCTTCTTTTCGGCCAGCCAGCTGTTTGCGGATTTCAGGTAGGAGTCGATGCTGCCCGCGGGCTTCTCCCGGGACTCCGGGGGCAGCAGCTGTGGTTTTCCTTGGATGAGAGAGGGAACAAGACGAGGCCAGTGAGGCTGGGGTATGCGCCTGCTAACTGCAGAGGCCCAGAGGGAGCCCCGCAGGGGTCCTGTGCAGTGGGGATACGGGAGCCTCCCTCCTCAGCCGAGGACAGGGGGTGGTGCAGGCTCAGCCGGCCCAGGATGAGGAAGTGGGGGCCCTGCTCCCCGTGAGTGCCCCCAGCACCTGCTGTGCACTGAGAAGCCACTAGGAGCAGGGAGGGAGCAAAGTAGATGCAAGCAGGAGGAGCGAGGCCCAAGTGGCAGGGTCTGCAGGCAGGCGAGGGCAGAGGCCCGACCATGCCAGTGCCAGGGAGGCAGAAGCCAGCTGGGCACCAGGCCCCTGGAATGGGAGTGTGGAGACACCGGGTTGGGGGGGGGCCTGGAGGAGGAGTCTGGGCAGCACCCAAACTCCCTTAGCCAGTGGATGGACATGAGGCCCTGGCACCCCCACAGGATGAGGCACCCCCACGGGCCTCAGTGCCCACTATAGGTCAAAGGCCCTCTGCAGGTCCCAGTGGGGTGTCCTCGCTAGCTGAAGCTGCTGTGGGTGGCCCTGTCTCAGGAAGCAGTGTCTATTCATTATGTGTCTATCCGTTCTTCAAAAAGGAGGAGCCACAGGTTGTACTGGGGGGTTCCTACCCCACCCAAAGCAGCCGACGTGTGGCCTGGCAGGAAGGGCCTGCCCACTGGTGAGGCTGGGACACCAGCCATGGCAGTTGGACCAACTGAACTGAGGGGTGCGGAGAGGATGGCTGTGGGAGGGGGAGGGGATACATACACCCCAAGAGTGAGCACGCGGGTCCCGAGAGAGGAAAGCACGGGGGACCAGGGCCTAGCACCTCCCTGACCTAGCTCCAGTCCACGAGGAGGCTTCCAGCAACCTCCCACCTATGGTGGCCTGAATGAGTCCTGTTGCTGCAGCCCAAGGAGACTCACGCAGGAAGCCCTTGAGCTCCAACATACGAGAAAGTGCCAACGCAATGAGGCGGAAGAGATGTCCTAGCCTCAGCATCAAGCACAGTCCGCACTCCTCATAAGCCATCTCCAGCCCATCCCTGGGAACTCTCTGCAGCTTCAGATCCTACGCTGCTCCTCCCCACCACCCTCCAACAACCAACTGTGTCGTCTTGTTTTGGTAAAACATAAAACTGATAACTTCATGTCCAGCAGTTCCTGTTTCCACCATGAAATGTCCTGCCTAGCTTGTTTCTTTTCTCATCTCCTACCAGCTCAGGAGTTTCCTTTGCACCCTGGTCAGTCAACCTACTGCCCCAGGAGAGTTTCCTTCGTACCCTGGGCAGTCAACCTCCTGCCCCATGATTCGGACTGTGTTTTCTCCGAAGTCTCACTCCTCCCTAACATCAGCTTCCTCTGTTCTCTGGAGGCCCCATAGCTTTTGCTTTTTATCATGAAGAAAGCTTCCTCTGACACCATATTATCAGCAGACTAGCCTCAGGTGAGCCCCACATCAGCCCACCCATGTCTTACCGATGTGGTAGTAGGTGAAGCACATGGTCATGAGGTTCTTGGCAGGCCCAAAGTCATCCATCTGATGACACCTGAAACAAGAGGCAAGGCTCATGGCTAAAGATCGCTCCACCTGCTTCTTCCTGCAAGTCGGTCAGACATCACTGAGACACTTGACACATGCGTCCCAATTAATATCTTCCCCACTGGAGATGCACAAAACAATCTCCCCAAGTTCCATTAGGAGAACTACACGTAGGCACACGGCCTGGGACTGATTCTGAACGGGAAGGAGTTTGTGGTCTGCCTGCCCGGCTTCTTTCACTGGAAAGGTGAAAGCCCAGGCCTGGGAAGCTCAACTTGACGCCCAGGAGCAGAGCCAGGATGAGATGCCAGCCCTCAAGTCTCAGTGAAAACCCGTGGCTCAGGCCGCCCAGCCCTCCAGCCCTTGATTTCTCGGGAACTAGCAGTAAGCTGGATGACCTTCCCCGCATCCCTGGCTCTCAGGCTCCCGCCCACAGCATTCGCAGTGGGGTGTCAGGAGGTGGAGCCTCTGATTCAACAGGTCTTGGTCTTGGGTCGGGCCATTCCTTTGCCTTGTAGGTTTCTTTGCCTTTCTATCCTGATCCCTTTTAGACTTTTCTTTCCTGTTTGGGTTTTAACCTTGGACAATTATTACTTTACAAGTCAAAAGAAATTATCTAGACAGTGGGATTAAAGGCCATTTTTATCTTTTTATATAAAAAACTAATCAACTAAACTAGTAATAAAACTATAAAAGACTAAAAGTAAAAATTAACTTTTTACTTTAGATGTTTAACAAACTAAAGATTATAAAACTAAAAAATCCCATATTGTCTAAATAGTAAAAGGGTTTTTGTTTCACTTTGTTTTTGCAACTATACAAACATATATATGCTCAGGGACCAAGTGATGGCAAGAATTTTTGTGTTTTGGCAGGGTTGGGACTTTAATCCCCTCCCTCCCCAACGTTACTTATATAGGACAAAAAACTCAAAGGAAAATGGAGAATTACTTTTAGCCTAGTGCAAATTAAAAAAAAGAAAGAAAGAAAATGGAGAATTAGAACTATGCAAAATGGGACTTCATGAAAATGCCTGTGACTGCAAATGTCGGAAATTGAAGTATCTTAATTGCATGAGAGAATGTTTCATAAAAGGCAATCTGGAGGGCCTGTTTTAAACCACCGCCCTCTTGGCCAAAGGTGAGGGCTCACTCAACCTCTTTCAGTGGTTTCTTAGCCCTCCCCTGGCCAGCTCTGAAGGCCAGACCTCAGAGGGGAAATGGATCTTGGACTTGGGGTATCCTGAGCAAGAGCAGGAAAAATAGGGATACTCCTTTTGTTGGTCTTCTTCCAGTATATGCCCAAGTTCAAAGAGAAAGAGAGAAAGTGGAGAGACATGAAGCAGGAGAACTGGGACTCAAGAGAGCAGGCTGGGTGTGGTGTTTCACGCCTGTAATCCTAGCAATTTGGGAGGCTGACGAAGGAGGATCCCTTGAGCCCGGGAGTTTGAGACCAGCCTGATGACTTCATCTCTACTAAATATATATGTGTGTGTGTGTGTGTGTGTATGTGTGTATATATACGTGTGTGTGTGTGTGTATGTGTGTATATATATATGTATATATAAATGGAATATGGCCAGGTGTGGTGGCTCACTCCTGTAATCCCAGCACTTTGGGAGGCTGAAGCAAGTGAATCACTTGAGGTCAGGAGTTCGAGACCAGCCTGGCCGACATGGTGAAACCCTGTCTCTACTAAAAATACAAAAATTAGCTGGGCATGATAGTGCGTGCCCGTAATCCCAGCTACTCAGGAGGCTGAGGCAGGAGAATTGCTTGAAACCGGGAGGCGGAGGTTGCAGTGAGCTGAGATCCCACTGCACTCCAGCCTGGGTGACAGAGCAAGACCCTGTCTCAAAACAAAAACAAAAACAAAAACAAAAACAAAACAAAACAAAAAAAACGACACAAGAGAGCAGCTTTCTTTTGGTTGGGAGACAAGGAAGTAAAGGAGGGATATTTTTCAGGCCTGGAAGGACAAAACAAAGGCAGTGATGTGAGAAGGTGGCGATGGGATGAGCCAAGGACCAGGAGGGGACGTGGGGCCCAAAGCAGGGACTGCTTGGAGGCCTTCTGCAGGAGACGAGGATAGTGGGGTACAGATATGCCCAGATCAGGGCTCCCAGCCCCAGAATCCTCCTCTCGAGGCTCCGGGTCGGTCAGGCCACTGCCCAGCCTCCCCAAGGCCAAGAGGCATCCCCTCCATTTCACACCTTGGAGGCATGAAGCTGGTCTGTTGACCCCAGAGAGTCATGCTCCTGAGAAGAGGGTCTATGCCTCATGGGGTCTGGCTCCCTAATCTCACAGGTGAGCGGGGGCAGAGATGGGATTGGCCCCAAATCTCCAGCTGGCAGCCATGCCCTTTCCACCACCCCTCACCGCCTACCAAGGGCTTCCTGTGATAAAAGGCCCCAGCAGTGCCTAATCAGTGTTCGCAGGGAAAGCTACAGTCCTCCCAACATATCATTAAGTGTTTATATGCTAGTGGGGTGGGTGGTTGAGTTTGAAGTACTCTACAATAGGAACTCGGGAAAGTACCAGATCTCCCGGGGAGGGCAGGGCCACAGTGCACCATCACCATCTGGCCCTGAGGACCCACACAGAGGATGCTCCTCACACGCAGCGGCAGCCCTCTCATTCGCTGCCAGCTAAGGACTGCCAGCCCTGCTCCCGCGAGATGGAGGTCACGACTGTGCCTTTTAGCTGAATGCTGGGCGTAGCAGAGCAACTGCAACCTGATGACTAGTGTGGATATGGTTCACAGCTGGGTTATGACACGGCTGGGTGGGGAGGGAGGCAGGGAGGGAAGAGGAGCTTGCCAGGACAAAGGCTTTGTGCCACGGCATTACTTACTCGAACAGCACCACTGCAAAAGACTGCACCAGGCGGTAGAAGGTTGCCTCTGAGACACACTTGGAGTTGCAGCGCTGTCCAGAAAGAGGCAGACACATCATTGAGGTTCAGGGCGACACACGCAGCACTCAGTGAAGCTGCAGGCTTTGCACTCTCAGTGTTTCCAAATGCAGCTGGGATGGGGGCCCAGGATGTCTGCTGCCTCTGCACTATAGAACCCACCCCTTCTGCCAGGACCCGGGCAGAGTGTAGCCACCTGCACCCAACCATCACTGGGCAGGGCACATGCAGGGGTTCCCCTCGGTGTCCTTCCCAGATTTTTAAAAGTAGGAACTTCATACACACCCACACACAGAAAGATACCCCACAGTGACAACACTGGCTGTTTCCAAATTGTGCATTTGTGGGTAATTAACTTCTCTTTGCTCATCTGCATTTTCTAACTTTTCCATGAAAAATAAATTATTTGCACTAAAATACTCAAAAACTAAAAACTTAGGCCACTCAGGAAAAAAAAAAAAGAACCTATTGGATATTTACAAAATTTAATTCTTTTCTAAACTTTGTTAATATATTTTCTTCACATGGCTGTCATGGTCTTGAATATTTTTTGTTTTTTACAAAACACTGAGTATTATGGGTTAATAAAAATATGCACGCACATAATTCACATGCTTGCCTTTAAAAACTGAGCTTTTCCGGAATTTCATAAAGTTGAAAGCCCAGTTTCTTACTCTTTCCCTTGAAGTGCGACATCCAAATGAGCTACTTCCTGTTTCTCACTATTCTTTTTTAATTTTTAGAGATGCGGGGAGGGGGGACCTCACTATGTTGCCCAAGCTGGTCTCAAGCTCCTGGGCTCAAGCGATCCTCCCACCTCGGCCTCCCAAACTGCTGGGATTACAGGCATGAGCCACTGTGCCCAGACTGTTTCTTACTATTCTAAACACTCCTTTTCAGAGTATTTTTGGATAAGTTTTACTTTTTTTACTGTTGGGTCCTTTCCCTTGACTCTTTTCTCCAGAGTGTCATTGTAGGATAAAGTCAAATTTGTTATGCTTCACTAGATTCTTCCTTGAGAGTAAACGCCCATCCTTCCCATCACCTCGCCCTTACCTGGGCACTCACGTATCGAGCAAACCACTCCCGGCCTTTTCCATTTTCACTGCTGCAGTACTCTCCAAACTTGGCTTTCTCCTCCTGATCCAAGTCCTCCCTAAAAAAAAAAAAAAAGAGCAGAGGAAAAAAAAAAAAAACCCTTTTCAATCCCCTGGAGCAACAGGGGAAGAGCAAGGAGAAGGAACTAACGAAATATTCCCCAGCCAAGCACAGACCCCAACTCCCATCAGCTCATCTCAGCCTCCGGGCGGTCCCATGAGGAAAGGGTGTTACTATTATTTCAAAGGCGAGGAGCCTGGCTTGGAGAATCACACGCCGGCTTGAGAGTGGTGAACCAGAGTTCCATCCAGCCTTCCTGGTTCCAAAGCCCATGTCCTTCCCCTGCGCCTCCTGACCCCTGCCTGGGGAGGTCTGAGCCTGGATAAGGGCACGAACCCTAAGAGGTCTTGGTTCTCCAGCTCTCTGACTTCCCACTAGTTTTTGATGCTGAAGTCAGCATGGAACCAGCCCCTGAATTTAAGACATCCTGAATTTGCTCTGTCTCAGCATACTGACGCCAAGGTCTGAGGCCAAGAAGAAAATCACCTCCCACGTATCAGCGGGGCGCTCGCTCATCCCTCTGCACTTCTGGAGCGAGGCTGCTCATGGTTCAGGCCATCCCCTGCTGTGTGTGAGAGGGATGGAGACCGGGGACCTCCATCTTGGTGTCGCCACCACTAGGATGGATAACATGCTCACATGATTTCAGGCCACTTCTCATCACTCTTTGCAAGGGGCCAACACTCTTTCCCAAATTTAAAGACTCAAAAATGGAGCAGAAGGCTGAAGATCACTTGGCTTATGCAATCTTCATTTATGTTTTGTAGAAAACATCTTGGTCCTTATTTACTCTCAATAACAGCATCAGATGAAATATGTGTATCTGCAGGCTTTTGCAGTAATTTCTGGAACGCTTGTGAAGATGCATCTGACTCAGGTGTCCACATTCCGTATTGCTGATGGGCTACTGCAAATAGAGGCTGGCTTTCCTGGCAAATGAACAAACTTCTGGGCATTTTCCCCTTTCGTTAACCAGCGTGTGCTCAGAGAAAGCGCACCCATCTCAGTGTTGGTCAAACAAAACGAGTAGGAAGCTACATCTGCTCTCCTAAAATGCACTCAAATTAAACATAAATGCATTTTTATTTATCAATTTTTTTTGAGACGGAGTCTCGCTCTGTCTTGCGCAGGCTGGAGTGCAGTGGCGCAATCTCAGCTCATTGCAACCTCTGCCTCCTGGGTTCAAGTGATTTTCCTGCCTCAGCCTCCCGAGTAGCAGGGATTACAGGCACCTGCCACCACGCCCAGCTAATTTTTGTGTTTTTAGTAGAGACGGGGTTTCATCATGTTGGCCAGGCTGGTCTCAAACTCCTGGCCTTAGGTGATACACCTGCCTCGCCTCCCAAAGTGCTGGGATTACAGGTGTGAGCCACCGTACTCAGCCCATAAATGCATTTTGAGACAGTCAGATATTTGGATTATCATATAACGGTTCTCTTTTCTAACCACATAGAAAACTGAGGCTGGTCTCCATCAAATGAAAAGCACCCATGAATAAGGCGGAAGTCAGCCCTTGACAGTTTACACATGCGGGACTCAAATCACGGTGGAAACAATGGACTCTGCAGAGTAAAACGCAAAATTTCTTTCTTTTTTCTTTTTTTTTTTTTGAGACAGGGTCTCCCTTTGTCACCCAGGCTGGAGTGCAGTAGTCCGATCACGGTTCACTGCAACCTAAGCCTCCCTGGCTCAATTGATCCCCCAACCTCAGCCTCCTGAGTAGCTGGGACTATGGGTACATGCCACCATGCCTGGCTAATTTTTGTGGTTTTTTTTTTTGTAGAGAGGGGGTTTCACTATGTTTCCTAGGCTGGTCTCAAACTCCTGGGCTCAAGCGACCTGCCCGCCTCAGCCTCCCAAAGTGTTGGGAATACAGGTGCAAGCCACTGAGCCTGGCCACAAATTCTAATTGTGTTAATGAAACTGGAAAACTTACCCTTAAGCCAGTGCCTCTCAGACGCTGACGTGTAAGAACTGTCTACTGATCTTGTTAAAGGGCACGTTCTCACTCAGTGGGGCCAGGCAGGGCTCAAGACTCTGCATTTCTCACAAGCTCCCAGGAGATGCCAATGCTGCCGGCCCACACACGACACAGCAGCAAGACCATCCTTATCTAGTGTGCTGCTGTGAATGGTGGAAGCTCCACAATCCACACCTGAACCCCATGGCTCCGGGGTGTGTGTGCGTCCTCCTTCCCCTGGCTGAGATATTAACAGGCAGTGAACCGGGGTAGGGAAACATCAGGCTGATGCACAGATTCCCACTTCTCAGTGGACGTCACAGCCCCGAACTCTCCCTTCCTGCTGCTCCAATTGTCAATACTCCTTATTTTACCCTCAAGAACCACAAAAGAACGGCCATCCAGGGAAGGGCCCCATGCAAACAGCTGCTTCTGAATCAGCTGCTGGCCAGTATAGTGGCGCACTGCTGTCATCCCAGCACTTCGGGGAGTCGTGGCAGGAGGACTGCTTAAGGCCAGAAGTTTGAGGCTGTGGTGAGCTATGACTGCACCACTGCACTCAAGCCTGGGTGACAGAGTGAGACCTTGCCTCCAAAAAGAAAAAAAAAAAAAACACAAAAAAATGAGCTGGGCATGGTGGTGTGTACCTATAGTCCCAGCTACTCGGGAGGCTGCGGTGGGAAGACTGCTTGAGCCTAGGAGATGGAGGCTGCAGTGAGCTGTGATTGTGTCGCTGCACTCCAGCCTGGGCAACAGAGTAAGACCCTGTCTCTCTAAAAAAGAATCTGCTCCTTATGAGCACACCAGTATGGCTAACCACAGCTTTATTATCTTACGTTGGCCCTATATTTAATTTCAGTGAATCATTGCAACCTCTTAGCCAACTATAGCTGTGACAAGGAGCGCTAGGGAGTGGCTAGCCTACACATGCTCAGATGGTCCCACAAGCAGAACAAGTGCCCCTTGTGTTTAGCAACAATGAGGTGAGACAAGCGTTGGCGGAGGGAAAAGAAAGAGACAGTCCCTCCAAAGCCTTGTTTAAGAATGCATGGATGGCCGGGCACGGTGGCCCACGCCTGTAATCCCAGCACTTTGGGAGGCCGAGGCAGGCGGATCACCTGAAGTCAGGAGTTCGAGACCAGCCTGGCCAACATGGTGAAACCTCATCTCTACTAAAAATACAAAAACTGGCCAGGCGTGGTGGCTCACACCTGTAATCTCAGCACTTTGGGAGGCTAAGGCAGGCGGATCATGAGGTCAGGAGATCGAGACCATCCTGGCTAACATGGTGAAACCCCGTCTCTACTAAAAATACAAAAAACTAGCCGGGTGTGGTGGCGGGCACCTGTAGTCCCAGCTACTTGGGAGGCTGAGGCAGGAGAATGGTGTGAACCCAGGAGGCGGACCTTGCAGTGAGCCAAGATCACGCCACTGCATTCCAGCCTGGGCCACAGAGCCAGACTCTGTCTCAAAAAAAAAACAAAAAAAATACAAAAATTAGCCAGGCGTGGTGGTGCACACCTGTAATCCCAGCTACTTGGGAGGCTGAGGCAGGAGAATTGTTTGAACTCAGGAGGTGGAGGTTGCAGTGAGCTGAAATCGCACCACTGCACTCCAGCCTGGGCAACAGTGTGAGACTCCTTCTCAAAAAAAAAAAAGAATGCGTGGATAAAATTCAGGAACAACATGCACTGGAAAATAACAGAGCTCAGCCGGGTACGGTGGCTAACGCCTGTAATCCCAACACTTTGGGAGGCTGAGGCGGGTGGATCACATGAGGTCAGGAGTTCGAGACCAGCTTGACCAACATGGTGAAACCCTGTCTCTATTGAAAATACAAAAATTAGCCAAGCGTGGTGGTGGGTGCTTATAGTCCCAGCTACTCGGGAGGCTGAGACAGAAGAATCACTTAAACCTGGGAGGCAGAGCTTGCATTAAGCTGAGATCGCACCACTGCACTCCAGCCTGGGTGACAGACCCAGACTCTGTCTCAAAAAAAGAAAAAAAAAGAAAAAAAGAAAAGAAAATAAACAAAAAGAACATAATGGAGCTCACGGGGATGATGGGGACCTGTGAGCTGGGCACTCCGGAGCGTGTCCCTCCAGGGATTCTCTGCATGGTTGCCCTTCCAAATCACCTGGGAGCCGCACATACTTTGATGCTGGGCCTCACCCTAGAGAACTGATATAACTGGTCTGGAGTGAAGTCCAGGCTCAGGTATTCTTTTAAAGTTCTCCACGTGGCTCTGCATGCAGCCTGGAGTGGAGTGAGGCCCCTGCAGTCGCCACCCCTGGCTGATGGGGAAATGGAAGCTCTGGTCCCAGGTGGCACCCTGGGGAGAGGCAGAGCCGAGAGCAGGAGGCGAGTCCCCTTGGGCCCTGTGGCCACACCAGGCTGTCTCGTCCACACAGGCCCCTTACCCTCCAGAGAAGATCTTCTCCACGTAGCCACGCATGAAGTCCCTGAGTGCCAGGGTCTCTTCATCCTGGGTAGACTCGGTGCTCTGGTTGGAGGAGAAGGACTCGTTGGAGGAGGAACGGCGGTCTTGGTCCCAGGACGGGTGCGAGGGCGACTCGCCCATGTCATTCTCACTGTCCGCAGACTCAGTGGTCTCACTCTCTGATGCACCGTCCCCCAGGGAGCCATCGCCGTCCTGCAGCACAGGGGGTGGTGCCTCCAGGGGAGAAGAGGTGGGTGCCTCAGGCCCAAAGTCGATTAGCGAGCCCACGGGGACCTCTGGGGTCTCCATGGCTCAGGGGAGCTGCTGGTGAGGCTGCCTGGAGGGGAGGCTGCCTAGAGGGGAGCCCAGCAGCCTGGTGTCCCAGGTGCGTTAGTAGGAGCCCACCAAGCTCACAAGTTGCCAGTAACTGCCGGCTACCAAGAATGAGTCCTTCACAGCAGCTCACCTGGCCCTACGGCATCTAGAATGGAAACACAGACACAGACATTAGCGCCACTCCTCACCAGAATCCCGACCTAGATCACAGACTCCCCAGAAAGAGAATCTCTGCTCTTCCGGAATTTGGGGTGCCTCTTTGCTATCATCTTCCTACTGTCCGCTTTACTGTTCAACACCTGGTCCATGGTAGGTCCTCAATAAATACTTGTGAAATGAATGAACAAATAAACACTGACATCAGCATTTCAGACTGTCAGCACACGGCCTCTGCTGGCCTCCTCCCCGCTCCAGCCCCAAGACTGAGCCCATCGCCAGGACAGAAAAGGCCCATCCTGGGCTGGAAACGGAGGATCACCAGGGACAATCCACCTGCCCGCTAGCTGTCACTGGAATCAGTGGCTACGGAAGAACCTCCCTACTGAGGAAGACACACCTCACCTCCTGAGCTCTGACCTCCTCCTTCCTGGGCTCTGTTCTCGTCAAAAGCATTCCCGGACTGTCACAGGTCTATCTCCTCTCAGCATCCTTCTCAAACCCTATGATGGTTGCTAAGCACAACATTTGCCATCTGGACCTGTCCCCTCTCCCAGCACTGCAGCCCCGCTGGACAACGACACACCCCTCGGCTCCTCAGCCTGGGCAGCCCTCTCCCTTCTCCATTCCCCAACTTTTTCCTCCGCCATTCCCACCCTGGAGTTCTATTCACCCCTCAAGCCTCTGCCTCGGCCACGTCTTCTGAGAAGCTCCACTCTGCTCCTATTCAACATGAATGACTGACTCCTCTGTGGGCTCCAGCATCTTATTCAGCCTCATTCATCATCCTGCTTGCTTTACTGACAGACACCAGTATCTCTGTTTACCCGTAAAGTATACGCCCCTCCAGAGGGACCATGCCCTGGCACCACCGTAGCCATGCTGTGCCCAGCGAGGACTCCTGACTACGTGCATGTGTGTCGTGTGCTTGCTGAACGAAGGAACAGACCGGATTGTGAACATGCTCACAGGGTCAGGGGAGCTGGCTACATAGGTCACAGGGTGGCAGAGCTGGGATCTGAATCTTCGCTTCTAACCCAGGTCTCCTGACTGCTGGTTTAGAAGGTACTGGGGAACCTTCCTCACCAGTACAGAGGCAGACAGCTAGGCGGGAAGGAGACGCCCTCCTGACAGCCCCTCAGAGCAGAGCACACCTCTAACCACAGCCCTGTCCCTGTTAGACCCCAAATATCTAGGACAATGCCTGCCAGTGAGGTGGCTGTGAAACTGCTGAACTGAACGCATCTTCAGAGGACAATTCAATAGCAGAATGGCCTTTTCTGCCTCTTAAGAGCTTAATGCTCACCCATTGATGATGGATTCCTCCAAATTCTCCAGCCTGGGATATTTTTAAATACCCTGAGTCAGAAAGAGAAAAGGCTGGTTCCAGGTCACCAGCGTGGTGCTAGGCGTGTTCAGGGGAGCCCCGCAAAGCAAGCCTCCGTCCACAAGAGAGAAGCATAAACCTCAGCTCAGTAGAACTTTCCAGGCCAGGACAGCACCAAGGACTCTGATGAGCTCAAAAGGCAGTGGCTACAGCTCAGGGACCTGGAGAGCAAGGAGTGGCCGGTCGGGGTCTCCCCTCGCCAGCTGCGTCCCCGGCCAGGGCGCCTAGTCTCTGATGGGTCCCCCCTGGCCGAGGCATCAAGATTGGATCAGAAACCCAAGGCCCTTCCACAAGCGCATTCTCACTCACCAAAGAACAGAAAACCACACACACAGTAACATGCCCGGCATTAAAAATGAAAAACCACACACTAGTAAAATGTTTACAGTAAATATAGTAGGAACATTAAGCTAGTGCTGTCTGTACTACAAATTCACACAACTCTAAAAAGTCTATATTCTAACAGCTACACAAACCACTCAAATAGGCAAGGCACGCAAGAGGAAATACAATTATAGGCCGGGCGCGGTGGCTCACGCCTGTTATCCCAGCACTTTGGGAGGCTGACGCGGGTGGATCACCTGAGGTCTGGAGTTCAAGACCAGCCTGGGCAACATGGTGAAACCCCATCTCTACTACAAATACAAAAATTAGCCAGGCATGGTGGGGCTTGCCTGTAATCCAGCTACTCAGGAGGCTGAGGCAGGAGAATTACTTGAACCCAGGAGGCGGAGGTTGCAGTGACCCGAGATGGTGCCATTGCACTCCAGCCTGGGTGACAGCACAACTCCGTCTCAAAAAAAGAAAAAAGAAATACAATTATTAAAGGCGTAGACAATTCTTCAACCCATACTAATAACCACGATATAAATATGCAAATTAAAGCCACAAGGTACCATCCCATACTTCTAAATTAGCAAAAATTTAAAAACTATCTAAATACTGGTAAAGTTATGGTAAAATTAACATTCTCAAACACTGCTGGAATAGGGAGAGATAATACTTCAAAAGGCAATTTCTATCATTCTTATTTTTCTCTCTTCTGATTCAGGAATTCAAATGCTTGGAATTTATCCTAAGAAAATAATTCAAAACACACAAAAACTTACATAGAGAAAAATGCTCATTGCAACAGTATTTATAATCCTGACTAACTGGGGAGATGGGTAGAAAAAATACCTAAATATAGTAAAACGGGCCAGGCACGGTGGCTCACTCCCGTAATCCCAACACTTTGGGAGGCTGAGGCGGGTGGATCACCTGAGGTCAGGAGTTCGACACCAGCCTGGCCAACACGGTGAAACCCTGTCTCTACTCAAAATACAAAAATTAGCCAGGCATGGTGGCGCACGCCTGTAATCCTAAACACTCGGGAGGCTGAGGCAGGAGAATCGGTTGAACCTGGGAGGCAGAGGTTGCAGTGAGCTGAGGTCAGGCCACTGCACTCCAGCCTGGGCGACAGAGCAAGTCTCCACCTCAAAAAAAAAAAAAAAAAAGTAAATAAATAAATATAGTAAAATGGTAAATACATGTGAAAAAGTTGCAGTAGTGATCAGTGTATGATACAATTCAGAAAACGTTCACTTTCTAGTGAAGTAAACAGAATATTCTTCGGTCAGCCAAGGTTTACTGAGTGCTCCTGCTTGCCACCCCCTGTTCAGAGGCCTGCGAATACTGAAGTGAGAGAAATTTAATTTTACTCTAATTACAATCATGTATACATATGCAAAAGCGATGGGAAAGAATGTAGAAATGGCTGGCGGTGCTGGCATCAGGGTGATTTCCTCTTTCATTTTGTTCATTATCCTAACACTGCATGGCAAACACTCACAGTTCAGAGGGAAAAAGGAAACAAGTCACTGTCTCCGGAAGCCGTTCAAGCAGTAGCAGGGCCATGTCTCTCTGCCCACACACAGGAGGTTCAAGATCAAGCTGGGGCTGGGGGCAGTGGCTCACGCCTGTAATCCCAACACTTTGGGAGGCCGAGGCGGGTGGCTCACCTGAGGTCAGGAGTTCAAGACCAGCCTGGCCAACATGGCGAAACCCTGTCTCTACTAAAAACACAAAAATCAGCCGGGCGTGGTGGCAGGTGCCTGTAATCCCAGCTACTCGGAAGGCTGAGGCAGGAGAATCACTTGAACCGGGGAGGTGGAGGCTGCAGTGAACGGAGATCGTGCCTCTGCACTCCAGCCTGGGAAATACAGCGAGACTCCATCACAACTAAATCAATCAATCAATCAATCAAACTGGACGATCGTGGCTATTTCTGATCCAGCCTCAGGCACTCTTGGGCCGTTCAGATGCTCTCGTGAGTCACCCTCTCCCAGAAGCCCTGAGTGCTGGGTGCCGCCTTCCTCCGTGGGCTCAGCACGGAGGCGATATCACAGGAGAGGCACAGAGTGAGAGGAAGCAGATGGGTGGCAGGAGGGCTGGTCCTGCACGCCGATAGCTGTGGCGTGCACCACCCCTGTCCCCGGACCCCTCAGCTCAGGGATCTCAGCTGTCTGGGGCTCGCTCACAGATCTAAGATGTCACAGCAGTGACTGTGTGTAGTCATGGCAAGGGAAGCAACCCCACCCTCTTCCTCTAAGAAGGAAAGGTCATTGTGGGCCTCTAGGCAGGACAAGGTCATGGCCACTCTCACATTGCAGGGTCACAGTCTTGGCCATCTGGCGAAAACAGAGGAGGTGGTCCAGCAAGGAGCCACACTGTCCCTGCTCAGAGCCAGCCCGGTGCTACCATTTGGGAATGTAGACCCAGGAGTATCAGAGCTTCTACAGGTTTCTAAGGAATGCTGAAATCCCGTTACATGAAATCTTCTGATTTTTCAACACTGGCAACTAATTTAAATTTATTTCAAAACACGCTGGGAGTCAAAAAACCCATCTGTGGATTGCATCCCAGCCCATCTGCTTCGTTCTACATTCAAGGAGGTACTGAGGCCCACTGCAGGTCCCCAGACTCTGAGAAACCGTGTTTTTGGCCACAGGGGAATCTGTGTCACCGCAGATAGGAACATGCTGGCCTGCGGGCCTGAAGCACTGCAACCCCCCTGCGGTTACACTTTGCAATTCGCATCGTAGGCCCCATGATGGAGGCTTCCACCAACCAAATTAGGCTAAAATTCTAAGTCAACCTGTACCTTCCAAAGCCCTTATGAGATTCTGCAAACATCCAGTCATTCTTCACACATGTACTGAGCATCTACTATGCATCGGTTACTGTGCAAGGAGCTAGAAATGAAGCCATGAGTGAGACCTTATGGGGTGTGTGTGTGTGTGTGTGTGTGTTTACGTACGTACCAGGGGCAGGGAGAGGGGAAGATAGAGTTAATAGAATAAAAAACCAAACAAGAGCTTCTGCAGCACTAAGTGCTACAGAGACGATCTGAAGGTGATGGTCCTGAGAGGGCTGAGAAGTGGCTTCTTTGGACGGGGAGGTTGGGGAGGCAGACCTCTGAGCTGAGATGGAAAGAGGGAGAACCAGCATTGAAAAGGCTTGAAGGTGACCCAGGCAGAGGGAACATGAAGCATGCAGGCCCTAAGGTAACCACTTTAGAAAGTTCAAGAACCGGGAAGGCCAATGAGGCCGGGGAGCCACCGCTCATGGGAAAAGAGGCCACAGCGGTCTGTATTCTGGAGGGGGTTTCCTAACCTCCTGCTGCAACCCCTTCCGCCCCACTTCCCCCACTGCTTCTTCCCACCCAGCAGCCTCCAGCTGTAGAAGGAACTCACGAGATTGCCCCGGTGTGGCTGCTCTGCCACTTCCCCATGGAGCTGTGCTCACACTGATTTCCCCAGCATCCCGGAACAACCAGAGCTGTGGCTTCTCCAGCAGGTTGGCCTTGGGCAATCAGACAAGAGCTCCCTGCAGGGAGAATCTGGAACTTTCTGTGAGCCTGCCCCTTCCCATCAACCTCAAGACTCTCCTCTCTTTTCGTGTCCCCAAGAACTCCCAAATGTGCTGCTCCTCTCACCCAGAGTGTGCAAAACCTCAGGCAACACACAACACACACACATCACACGCATGTGCACCTGGATTGTCTCCCCTGTTGAAGCTGCAGTAAGGCAAGGCGGGGAGAGGCCAGGAAGAGACCGGGCAAGGAACCCGCACACAGGTCAGCTGGAGAACCAGGGGCCCTGATCCCCACGTCATCCTCACCTCTTACAGCGACATCTCAGATGCTTGAGGAGGCATTTCTAGATGTGGAATTGCTGGCCAAAGGGTGTGCGCATTATTAAGGCTTGTGATAGGAATCACCAAGTTACTTTGCCAAAAGTCTGTCTGCAGCAATATATACTTGGTGGGCTTTTACCTGAAACTTTTCTTTCTTTTTTTTTTTTTTGAGACGGAGACTCACTCTGTCGCCCAGGCTGGATGGAGTGCAGTGGCGTGATCTCGGCTCACTACTACCTCCGCCTCCCGGGTTCAAGCAATTCTCCTGCCTCGGCCTCCCAAGTAGCTAGGAGTACAGGCTCCCGCCACCATGCTGGGCTAATTTTGTATTTTTAGTAGAGATGGGGTTTCACCATGTTGGCCAGGTTGGTCTCGAACTCCTGACCTCAGGTGATCTACCCACCTCTGACTCCCAAAGTGCTAGGATTACAGGTGTGAGCCACTGGGCCCAGTCTTTTTCTTTCTTCTTTTTTTTTTTTTTTTAGATAGGTTCACGCTCTGTTGCCCAGGCTGAAGTAGAGTGGTGCAATCTTGGCTCACTGCAGCCTTGACCTCCTGTGCTCAAGTGATCCTCCTGTCTCAGCCTCCTGAGTAGCTGGGACTATAGGCATGTGCTACCACACCTGGCTAACTTATTATTATTATTATTTATAAAGGTGAGGTCTCACTATGTTGCCCAGATTTGTCTCAAACTCCTGGGCCCCAGCAATCCTTCCAACTTGGCCTCCCAAAGTGCTGGGATTACAGGCGTGAGCCGCCGTGCCTGGCCTGACCTTCATTTCAACTGTAAGGTGGAAACATCACCTAACCCCAGCCTCACAGCTGGGGTCCCTGGGTTTTGCTCCTGCTGTCCGTGAAGGGTGCTGTGCAGGAAGGGCAGGTGCACTGTGCACATGGGGCACCGGGACCCCGAGACACCACCTGTGTCTCTGAGGGAGGCCTGAAGTTCCCTCCTCTCCACCGCTGACTAAAGTACCTAGTTTGCCAACTCCCTGGCAGCCCAAACAAGGAAAAATGCACCTCTTCGTCCTTGAGTCTCAGCTCCATCACAAATCAACCTAAGAAAGCCGGGCACAGTGGCTCACGCCTGTAATCCCAACACTTTGGGAGGCTGAGGCAGGAGGATCACCTGAGGTCAGGAGTTCAAGACCAGCCTGGCCAACATGGTGAAATCCCGTCTCTATTAAAAATACAAAAATTAGCCAGGCCTGGTGGTGCATGCCTGTAATCCTAGCTACTCGGGAGTCTGAGGCATGAGGATCGCTTGAGCCCGGGAAGCGGAGGTTGCAGTGAGCCAAGATAGCGCCACTGCACTCCAGCCTGGGCAACAGAATGAGACTCAGTCTCAAAAAACAAAACACACAAACAAACAAAAAATCAAACTGGGAAATCATTTGAATCTGTACCCTAGTTTTCCTCTTTGAAAAATGTGAAGGAGAATTGCTCTTTTCCCTAATCAGTAGGATTATCACAGGAAGTGACGCACTACATGAAGGGCCTTAGAAGAAACACTTTGGGGAAATAGGTTATGGTCCTCCCAGCTCGAAGGGCGAAGCTGAAGATCTTCCCTGGCCGTGCTAACATGAGACAGCTCAGAGGAGAAATCAATGACCCTATTATCAGAGCAGTTCATACCTTTCAAAGTGCAGCACTACACAAAACCATTTCATTCAGAACAACTTCACACCACTGAGGCAGTATTATTGCTTTCACTCCCAGTTGAGAGATGAGAAACGTGGGGCTGGAGAAGAGGGGTGTGTGCGGGGACCACCTCCAGGCAGACCTGGCATCTGATAGCATCTTAAGCGTCATGTTCGCACTCGGGCACCCCACTCTTTTCTGGAGCCACCTTAGCTGGATACTGCCTCCTATGACTAGAGGAGACAGCCTGGCTCAGGGGGAACCCCAAATCCTCACTACATGAGGCACAGCTCAAGGGGCTGAGAATGTTTTTAACCTAGAGTTGTGGTTCCCAAACTGGCACCAGGGCACCCCCAGAACACCTAAGCAAAGTTATAGGGACACCACAGCATAGATCAATTTTTTGAGGGAAACACAGCAATACTGGATACCTGCAAGACGCACATTACTAGCTTGAAGCAGTTCACTTCTACCATGAGGTCATGTTTACATGTCTTTTGATGACACCCTATCTGAGCCAAAAAGAGATTTTTGGCTGTTTCAGACTACTAAGCAATAGTTGGTCTAATAGTTGGTCCAACAGTCCATGTCAAGTCACAGGAAATTTCAATGTCCTTTTAGATGTGTGTGTCTAAATCCAATGTCAGTGTGTTTGCGTTGCTGTCCAGACATAGATTTATACTCAGTCAATATGGATCTAGAGCAACTACGAGACGGTGGAATCAACCAAATTCATTATGGCAGTTGGGCAGTAGATTTAGTTGAGTTTCTTGGCAGCCAAAGCAAAAAAGAAAAGCATCCTTGCTCATAAAATTCTCTTGATCTGACAAATTCATCTGCAGAGTAGCTTTCTGCAGATACTGAATTTGGAAATGCACTTGTCAGGAGGGTCTTCGTATGCAATGACACTGATTACTGTGATGACAAGGTCTCTAACAAGATCTATAAAAGGTAAAGAGATGTTGAAATCAGCATTTCTTTCTTTTTTTGTTGTTTTTTGTTTGTTTTCTTGTGTGTTTTTTTTTTTTTTGTGAGATGGAGTTCCGCTCTTGTTGCCCAGGCTGGAGCGCAGTGGAGCAATCTTGGCTCACCGCAACCTTTGCCACCCGGATTCATGCGATTCTCCTGCCTCAGCCTCCCAAGTAGCTGGAATTACAGGCATGCGCCACCCCACCCGGCTAATTTTGTACTTTTAGTACAGATGGGGTTTCACCACGTTGATCAGGCTAGTCTCGAACTCCTGACCTCAGGGATCCACCTGCTTCGGCCTCCCTAAGTGCTGGGATTATAGGCATGAGCCAACGCGTCCGGCCAAAACAGGCATTTCTTTAAAAGACTCTCAAAAAATCTGAAGGCATACATGAAATCAATTTGGTACAGGTATTTGTCTGGCTGGATCCCGCTACTAGGTGAAGAGAAGAGCTCCCTGATACATGAGGCGTGACAGTGAACATGCCCGTGAGGGTGCCTCTCCTCCAGTGCCAGATGCCTCAGTAGGGCTTTTGACAAGTGTCAGACCACAGACCATTCATGCCTGAATTCTCTGAAGAGGGCCTGAAGTGCCGAGGTTCTGATTTGATAACCAAAATAGCATCCGCGTGCTGTAGTCACCGGGGAGGGAGAATTGTCATTCTGCTGTGAACATAAGAGCCTGGCTTTATTCCCTCAGACACAGACAGCAGCAGCATCTTAGCCATATGTAGGGGCTACTCCTGTGGGGAGCACTGCCCAGTAAAGACAAAAATGTTGGGGTCACCAATGAGGAGGGCAGTGGGGGCAGCTCCAGCCCACACCAAGCCGTGTGCAGACACACCAGGTCCCACACAGAATGACCTACTCACAGGTGCTGGCTTGAAAGAGGCAGCCTCAGCACCACAGGAAAGGTAAAAGGAGAGAGAGAGAAAAAAAAAAAAAACAAAAACAAAAAGCAGAGGCAGCCTCTCCAGTGGAGATCCTCTAAACCAGGCACTGGCATACGGGCTAGCTCTGGCTGACTGCCTCCTCGTGGCCCAGGACTGAAGATCCCAGGACAATACTCCACCAACACAAGTTCCCTGGGAGTCAGGAGTCGTGTGTGTTTTCTTCACTGCAGTATTCCCGGGACTGGAACAGGGTCAGGCCCATAAGAGATGTTGTCAATGTGTTTTGGTTGAAAACTCACAGTGCCAGCAAAGGTGAGCTCCACCCAAAGGGGCTGCATCTGAACTGCTCCTTCCTCCACACCTGCCATAGTCTGCAAGGTCAGTTGCAGAGTCCAGCCACTGGGGGCCCAATCACACCACACACCTCCTCCCGTCGCCCTGTACACTTGGTGATGGGGGAGAAACAGTTTAAGGAAGACTGTCAGTAAAATGCCCTGCTGCTGATTTATTTTGTAACTGAAAGGAGAAAAAACTATATGATCATTTACTGGTCTTTTGATCAATAAAATGCATCAGCCTGGACTCTACGCCATTCATCTCGGCTGCATGAAAGTGTACACGCCACAATTCCTGACCACAGGGGGTTTACAATATAACCCAGGAGGCAAAGAAAAACCCATTCAACAATTCAGCTGACTCGCAAACAAACATGCTTTCTGTGGAGGTGCTATGTACAGGGCACTGCGCAAACAAGAACAACTGACAGACTCAGTCTTCAGACACTGTACACCCAGTAGGAAAAATAAGACAAGTATCTCGGCTGGGTGCAGTGGCTCCTGCCTGTAATTCCAGCCCTTTGGGAGGCTGAGGCAGGAGGCTCGCTTGAAGCCAGGAGTTCATGACCAGTGTGGGCAACAAAGAGAGACCTTGTCTCTACAAAATATTTAAAACATAATTAGCCAAGCATGGAGGCATGCACCTATAGTACCCAGCTGTCTGGGAGGCTGAGGCATGAGGATTCCTTGACCCCAGATGTTCAAGGCTACAGTAAGCTATGATCACACCACTGCATTCCAACCTGGGTGACAGAGTGAGACCCCACCTCAAAACAAGAAGACAAGCATCTAAATAATTGGGCAATTGAGCAGAGGGGGCCAGCACCGTAACCAGTGAACAAAGGGCTCTCGGCGAGCGCGGCCCGGAGGAATGCAAGAGCACACCCAATGGCAAGGAGATTCTCAGGGAAGACTTGGGGAACTGTGTCTTGGAAGGCTGGGTGGGTTTTAAGTGGAGCTGGGAAGGGAGGCTTTCCTGGAGAGGGACCCACATGGAGAAAGTCAGGCATTTCCCGTGGGGTGGGCTGTGAAGCTGCCCTGGCTCCCTCTGGCTGCTGTTCTGTGGAATGGAAAGAGCTACCGCTGCAGTGTGGTATGATGGGGAACTTACTGACGGGCTTCTCCTGAACCTAACTTCCAGGGCGTTTGAAAGACTTCTCATGGCGGTGTTGAGAGGGGGCCTCGGAAAGGCGGGCTTTTCTAACGCCGCGCTGATGGGAAGGAGCAAAGGGTGGGAGGCTTAGGAAGGCATGGCTCCTATGGCAGTTTAGGATCCATGTCTGGGATCCTGGATCCCCACTGCAGACCGTCGTGCCGTCCATCGCAACCAACCCCCAGCTATCCTGAGTTCAAGGTGCCTGCTGGCACGTGCTTCTCACATGGACAGGAGAAACTGCTGGCTGTGGCTTTCAGGGGGGTCTGGGCTGAACCACAGGCACAAACAAAGCACAGAACCATTTAGAGTGCAGAGAAGGGCTGAGCTGCAGCACTGGCAAGGCCAGGATGGGGACTGGGGGAGACACTGGAGGGAAAGAAAAAGCACAGATTGCCCCGCAGCACCACCCAAGCACCAGCTTAGAGTTTGAGTGGGCCCGAGAGCCCACGCTTGTTGGGAGGCTGGCTCCGAGCACTCGGCTGTCACACTGATGAATTACAACTCACAGGCTTTACAGAGGAACTCTCTGAATCACGATTTCTCATCTCCGAAAAAACCAAGATAACAGGCTGGGGGAGAGGTGAGAAGAAGGGCAAATGGAAACCTCATTTCAAAAGGAGAAGGTGGCGGATTCTGTGCAACAGATTAAGTAAGATATCCATGTCAGTAGGTGTCTAGAAAGAGGCTACCAACACGACACTCTGCAAGCACCAAGAAGGGGAAGTGGTGAGGGCTGAGGTCAAGAGCTGGTGCCAGACTAAGCCCTGCAGTTGTTTGTGTGTGTTTGTTACAGACTCAGAGATCAGGGAGATTGTCCTGTCCTGTAGAACAGTACACTGAGTTTTAGCAAGGGACTTCACTTTCACTTTCTGTCTTTGAAGACGAGGCAGAACATGGCCTAAACAATGTGTAATTTCATGGATTTAGAAATATTGTATTTCATTATCCTAAAATGCATCTTATTTTCTTTTGCACTTTAAGATATCTGAAATCACATGTGTCTTACCACTGTTTCAACCAGCCCATCATGGTACTGTCTAGAGACAAGAGTGGACACTCCTTTTCTATTTTTAAGCAATCAAACAAACAAAAAAAAACCACAAAAAGAGGCTGGGGGCGGTGGCTCATATTTGTAATCCCAGCACTTTGAGAGGCCAAGGCGGGGAGGCTCACTTCAGTCCAGGAGTTTGAGACCAGCCTGGGCACACAGTGAGACTCTGTCTCTAAAAAAAATAAACTAAATTAGCTGGGCGTGGTGCCACACACCTGTAGTCCCAGCTACTCGGGAGGCTGAGGTGGGAGGACTGCTTGAGTCCAGGAGTCAGAGGTTGCAGTAAACCGAGATTGTACCACTGCACTCCAGCCTTTGTAACAGAGAGAGACCCTGCCTCAAAAATAAAATGAAATACAGAAAATACATAAATCATAACGATGCCGTTCAATGAACCCTCACAAAGCGAATACGTCCATGCAGCCACCACCCGCGCCAGGACGTACAACATTGCCATCCCCTTTAGGCCTCCCCAAAGGTAAATGGATGGCACATTCTGGGAAGGGCACACTGCTGGCGACAGGATGATACTGTACAGAAACATGGATTTTGGCTGGGCGTGGTGGCTCATGCCTGTAATCCCAGAACTGTGGGAGGCTGAGGAGGGTGGATCATTTGAGGTCAAGAGTTCGAGACCAGCTTGGCTAACATGGTGAGGCCCCATCTCTACTAAAAATACAAAAATCAGCCAGGTGTGGTGGTGCACACCTGCAATCCCAGCTACTTGGGAGGCTGAGACAGAGAACTGCTTGAACCTGGGAGGTGGAGGTTGCAGTGAGCCGAGATGTGGCCACTGCACTTCAGCCTGGGCAACAGAGTGAGACTCCATCTCAACAACAACAAAAAAAAAAAAAAAAAAGAAAAGAAAAAGAAAAAAAAGAAACACAGATTTCAATGGCACTGAGATAACTTCAGAAATATGGGTCTTTGAATGTGAAGAAGCTTTCGAAGTATTTTAACCAATTTATTTTGCTTATATTTTCTTTCTTATGGACCAAGGTGACACATAACAATCTATGTCTAAGTAATTCTAAAAGACATTCTTTCAATAAGGATAGAACAAAAATTCTAAGTGATAAGAAAATGTGTAATAGTGTAAACGGCAGTGTTTAATCTTATTTTTGAGACAGGGTCTCACTGTCACCCAGGCTGGAGTGCAGTGGCACAATCACAGCTCACTGCAACCTCCACCTCCTGGGCTCAAGTGATCCTCCCACCTCAGCCTCCCGAGTAGCTGGGACTACAAGCATGCGCCACCACACTCAGCTAATTTTTTTTTTTTTTTTTTTTGAGACAGAGTCTTGCTCTGTCGCCAGGCTGGAGTGCAGTGGCATGATCTCAGTTCGCTGCAAACTCTGCCTCCTGGCTTCAAGTGATTCTCCTGCCTCAGCCTCCTGAGTAGCTGGGACTACAGGTGCACGCCACCATGCCCAGCTAATTTTTGTATTTTTAGTAGAGACGGGGTTTCACCATGTTGGCCAGAATGGTCTTGATCTTTTGACCTTGTGATCCGCGCCTCCTCAGCCTCCCAAAGTGCTGGGATTATAGGCGTGAGCCACCGCGCCTGGCCTTAAAAATTTTTTTGTAGTGACAACTTCTCACTATATTGCCTGGGCTGATTCTGAACTCCTGGGCTCAAGTAATCTTTCTTAGTAATGTATAAAATAAAGATGAATCTTAGGACTGATGAGTTGTTAAGTTTGATAAAACATGATAGCTGAGCTGCCTTATCCAGAGAGTCAACCTGGAAAGATGTCTCCATCCCTAATGGGGCAAACTCTAGTCCAGGCCTATCCTTACACCCTATTAATTATTCAGATATGAATGCAAACAACATGTTGATAGAGAATGTGGGAACATAAAACCAAGAGATACAGTTAACTTACAGAATGACACAATCGAGACCCAAAAGGATTTTGGCAGGCTGCAGCAATGCGCTGGGTCTAAAAGATGCCTCTGGCTGGGAAATTCATTCATTCGCTGGGTGTTTCCTGAGTACCTTCCGTGTATCAGGCATGATGTAGAAACAACATGGTGTCTGCCTTCCAATAACTCATAAATGACTAGCGAGGTTATCTAAAAATTTGATCCAGGTCGGGCGTGGTGGCTCACGCCTGTAATCCCAGCACTTTGGGAGGCTGAAGTGGGCGGATCACCTGAGGTCAGGAGTTCGAGACCAGCCTGGCCAACATGGTGAAACCCTGTTTCTATTAAAAACTACAAAAATTCGCTGGGTGTGGTGGTGGGCACCTGTAATCCCAGCTACTTGGGAGGCTGAGGCAAGAGAATCGCTTGAACCTGGGAGGAGGTTGCAGTGAGCCGAGATCGTGCCACTGCACTCCAGCCTGGGTGACAGAGCGAGACGGTCTCAAAATAAAAAAAATAAAAATAAAAATAAAAATTTGATCCGAAGTTACACAAGCACGATACTGAGAGGCAGCTCACTGCTTGAGGGCGCGCTTGCTGAGTCAACATATGTGGAACTAATGAAAACAGCAAACTCTGAACCGACCTTCAGATGCACGGACAAAAGCACCTGCCCCCAAACCACAGTGATGATGCCATTCACTCTGCTTCTGCTGGTCAGGCTGCTCCTGGAACACTCTGTTCAATTCCATGCCTCAGGAGAAATGATCAACTTTCCACAGCAGTACTGTGGTTAGCCACGTCCAAGAATCTATACTCATTGCTATCCTGAAACCTTAAGCCCAAAGAAACCCATTAGGATGCATCGATTGATTGATTGACTGATTGACTGATTGATTTGAGACAGGGTTTTGCTCTTGTTGCCCAGGCTGGAGTGCAATGGCACGATGCAATGGAACCTGGGAACCTCGGCCTCCCAGGTTCAAGCGATTCTGGTGCCTCAGCCTCCCGAGTAGCTGGGATTACAGGTGCCTGACACCAGGCCTGGCTAGCTTTTTGTTGTTGCTATTGTTGTTGTTGTTGTTGCTTTTTGAGACAGAGCCTTGCTCGTTCTGTCACCAGGCTGGAGTGCAGTGGCGTGATCTCAGCTCACTGCAACCTCCACCTCCAGGGTTCAAGCGATTCTCCTTCCTCAGCCTCCTGAGCAGCTGGGACTACAGGCGTGTGCCACCATGCCCGGCTAATTTTTGTATTTTTAGTAGAGACGGGGTTTCACCATGTTGGCCAGGACGGTCTCGATCTGTTGACCTCGTGATCTGCCTGCCTTGGCCTCCCAAAGTGCTGGGATTACAGGCGTGAGCCACTGCGCCTGGCCAATGCGTCGTTTTAGAAAGGATAACAACCTTGCAAAGGCATTTTCATTTAATAAGTGCTTGTAAGACTTAAAAAATCATGAAAGGAGGCCAGGCACAATGGCTTATGCCTGTAATCCCAGCACTTTGGGAGGCTGAGGCTGGAGGGTCACTTGAGCCCAGGAGTTTGGGACCAGCCTGGGCAACACAGCAAGACCCCGTCTCTTAAAAAAAAAAAAAACATGAGAGGGAAAAGGCGAGAGCTACCAAGAACCTGGAGAGCATCCAAAGAAATCCCAAACAAACCCCGCCAGCATCGTTAGGGAGTCTAATAATCATATCACATGAGCAAGGGTGAGAAAGTTGAAATTTACCATGGGGGTAAGTAACATGGGAGACAAGATGGTGGTCTTTAAATGTGTAAGAGTCGCTGTGTGAGAGGAAGTAGAGAGTATGATTCTATGTGGCTCAGAAGGAAAGCTGAGCCTGCAGAGGAGTTCCAGCAAGGCGGAGCCACCACCAACCGGAACAGTTCTCTGGGGTCTCCTTTTGAGGGAAGCGGGAAGGGGAATGGGGATGTCTGCTTGTTAACAGGTTATTAACAGGGAGAGGCCATTGAACCTCTAGGGTTTCTTGCCATTTCTCTTCTGAGATAACATTTTATAAAGCTTAATGCAGTTCTTCTCCACTAAAACTGTCATAATGGCTATATCCAAAGATAGGTCCTATTTTATGACCTCCGGGAAGAGGAAAACATCTAAATTTGGTTCACAGTTCACAGAAAAAAAGAGATAAGGGGCCATCTGCTGGTTCCCCAACCCAGTGGGAGAATAAAACGCATTAAGTTCTCCACGAAGACGACCTCACAAAACTAGGGCTTCAACTGGGTCCTTTCTTTTTTCTTTTCCTTTTTTTTTAAGACAGGGTCTCACTCTGTCGCCCAGGCTGAAGTGCAGTGGTGCAATCATAGCTCAATGTTAACCTCAAATTCCTAGGCTCAAGTGATCCTCCCACCTCAGCCTCCCAAGTAGCTGCACCACCATGCCTGGCTAATTTTTTAACACATTTTTGTAGTGATGGGATCTTACTGTGTTACCCAGGCTGGTCTCAAATACCTGGGCTCAAGTGATCCTGCCGCCTTGGCTCCCTGAAGTGCTGGGATTACAGGCATGAACCAGTGCACCTGGCCCACTGGGTCCATTTGTAAACGCCTGTGAAGGGCAGGCTCTGTGCTAAGTGCTGGGCACACGGCAGGCAGTGCAGGGGATACATTCCTCACAGCACAGAGCACACAATCTACTGTTTCTGCCTTCCTTGACTCAGCAACAATGCACAAGGCTCCACAACAAACCCAACTCTACCACACTGCGGAAAACAAGGGGTGAGTCAGCCCCCAGGGGATTGGGGAGGGAAGAAAAGAAACACCATGGTTATAAATCAACAGCTCGGCTGGGCACGGCGGCTCACGCCTGTAATCCTAGCACTTTGGGAAGCCGAGGCAGGGGGATCACTTGAGGTCAGGAGTTCGAGACCAGCCTGGCCAACATGGTGAAACCCTGTCTCTACTAAAAATACAAAAATTAGCCTCCCAAGGCTGAGGCAGGAGAATGGCTTGAACCCGGGAGGTGGAGGTTGCAGTGAGCCGAGATTGCGCCACTGCACTCCAGTCTGGGTGACAGAACAAGAGTCCGTCTCAAAAAAAATAAATAAATAAATAAATAAATAAATAAATAAATATCAATCAACAGCTCCTCCAGAGTAGGAGTCTTTGAAATTTCTTGTTTTTTCAGAAGTTCTCCTAAGTCCCAACTCAAGTCACCTCACACAAGCACCTGGATTTACACTTTGCCCTTTAGTCATTGTTTAATTGGTCCTAGGTAATTCCTGAGTCGAGGGCTGGGCCCTTGAGTTTCAGGCACCGAGACAGTGCAGGGTGAGGGGTTGTTTACCATCAGCGATCACCATTGACTGAGTTGGTTCCATTGCAACTGCGTGTTAGAACCCGCCATAAGGCGCGCCCTCCCTGGGTGACGGGCTGTACTTCTTTCACAAAAGGACACAGCGGCTGACTCCGGGACAGCTGAATTCAACTCGGACAGAGACCGACTTGGCCTTCCACTCTTAAGTAATTTGGCAAAATAAATGAATATTGCCCCAACCCCTTGGCATGGAGACAGCCACACTTAATTACTGGACAGGGAGAGGCTCCCTAAGAGATGCAGGACTCGGGCCTTATGAATGTGAATGAGGCCATTCTTGCACTGCTATAACGAAATACCCGAGACTGGGTAATTTATAAAGAATAAAACCAAAGGTTCAATTGGATCTACAGGCTGGGCAGGAAGCATGATGCTGGCATCCGCTTGACTTCTGGGGATGCCTCAGGAAACTTATGAACACAGCAGAAGGTTAAGAGGGAGCAGCCACGTCCTACGTGGCAGGAGCTGGAGCAAGAGAGAGAATGAGGGGAGGTGCCACACGCTTTTAAACAACCAGATCTCATGAGAACTCGCTATCTCGAGGACAGTGCCAAGGGGGATGGCACTAAACCATTCATGAGAAATTCGCCCCCGTGATACAATCACCTCCCACCTCCAACACTGGAGATTACAATTCGACAGGAGATTGGGTGGGGACGCAGAACCAAACCGTATCAGAACCCAAGGTAGGTGAGGGTGGAACGGAACCAACCTCCACCGTCTTTGGATTTGGTGCTCAGCTCCCGCTGGCCCCATGAAGGGCCAAAGCTAACAGCTGTGCACTGAGGACATCCATGCCTCTATGGGAGGAAAGACTGGGCAAATCCTCCTGGATCCAGGGATGGCCTGGCGGGCCACAGTGAGCCTTCTGCTCAAGAGCCACTAGTGTCTGTCCCTGCCTACCCGTGACACCTGCCATCTCTGGCTGGGGCCCAAGGCGCTCTGCAATCTGGAGCTGCTTGTAGCTGCCCACGCAGTTTGGCAGGGAGCTAAGACAGAGGGGACATGGCCACCGTGCAAAGCAACCTCACAGAAGCACTCGGTGTTGGTGTCTTCAAGAAAGAACTTCTGCCCTAATCAGGCCGCTTTTCCCTCCCTCTCCCTCTCACACACACACTGCACCTTTGCTGAGGCTTTCTTAATTTCCACCACACTCCCCACCTCCCTCTGGGCTGTGGCCAACCCAAAACCTGCCCCTCAATGTGGAGAAATCGGAAGATTGTTATTGTGTTCTACTGTTTTCTACAGGTCATTTGTGGTCTTCTGAAATCCTCCCTTATCTGGTTGATACATGTTTAACAATATTTGATTAGTATTATTATCATCATTAGTAGAATTTGGAGACACAGTCTCGTTCTGTCACCCAAGCTAAGGTGCAGTGGCACAACCTTGGCTCGCTGCAGCCTTGAACTCCAGGGCTCAGGCAACTCTCCCACCTCAGCCTCCCAAAGTGCTGGGATTACAGGGGTGAGCCACCACATCCAGCTTCAGAAAGTCTTTTAACAGAGCCAGAATCATTCTTGCAATAAAAGCTTTGTTTTTTGAGAAAAAAAGGGGGGAGAGGGTGAGAGTGAGAGAAAGAGAGAGAGAGAGAGAGATCTGCTTTGAGACACTAAATTCTTTATCAAGCCCAGATCCAATCGTGCAGCATGAGGCTCTGCACATGGGTGACTACCTGGATACAGACACTTGATATCATGCATTAAAGACTCTTGACTCTTAGAAACCCCTTTCCATGTCTCCATCGATACCTTTCTGACACTCCCCGTGGAAAGGATAGGCTCGCGTGCTGACGGTCGAAGCCTTTGTCTCAACCTGGAAGGCGGGGTGGGTGCAGAGGGCTTCCCTCCTCCCTCTGCAAGGTGCACATGGAAAGATGGGTGAGGGAGTTAGGGGATGGGCTCCAGAGGCCCACAGGATCCTGCATATCAGGCGCTTCTGCTCACTCTCACCTAATCATTCACCCTTTACTTTATTCCTGACTTCCTCATTTCTGTTTGTAATCCCAGACGTTTCTGTTTAAGGCCTTTAAAACACATCTTCTCATTTCCTTATGGTTCTGGTTTCCTTATGGTTACTCCACAGGGTAAGCACCACCCCCGCCACCCTTCCCTGCCCACTGAATGTGGCTAAAAGGCTAGACAGGCACACAAAGGAGCTACTGAGGCCTCTGAGAATTGACCAGTAGCAGGTAGAAGGGGGTTGAAGACCAGAATTTGAAGTGCCACCAAGGTTGCGGTGAGTTTGCCATGTCCCTGACCCTGGTATCCCCAGCCTGGACTAAATACAACTCGATATCCAGAGGCGAGCAAGAGTGTGCCCGGGGGCTCCAGGAGAAGCATCTAGTAACAGGAAAGGGGTCACCTGGTTCTGAGACAGTGGGCCAGATCCCTGGGTTTTTTCCTTTCTCCCTGTCTCTCTGGTGCCCTGGTCCCCAGGAAATTCCACAGCGGCAGTGGTGGCAACAGTGACAGTGCCAGCAGAGGGGTCAGCCTGCAGGTGTCTGAAGCTCTGAGGAAACCTTCCTTTCCAGCTGGAGGAACGGTGGTCCAAAGAGGGTGAAAAACCCGCTGGCTTTTTTTCTCCGTGTCCTCTTCTTGCTTGGCCACAAAAGTAAGCTCAGTCACGGGAGAAGCGTGGCAGAGCTGATAACTGAAGCCCTGCCTCCTGGCTGAAGGGGTGAAGATAGGAGGCCCAGGAAACCGGAAAGTGCTCGAGAGATTGCAGAGAGGGAGGAGCTCTCGGGAAAACAACCCCATCAAGTTGTTACGAGCTCCTGGGCTCAGCCCTGAGCGAGGCATATGTAAACAGAGCCCTCAAGCACAGACCCTGAGCACTGAAGGTTAGGACGGAGCATGCCCGGGGCCCACACAGGCCATGGAGTGCTACATAGTGGACAGATCTGAAGAGTGGACAAAGGCTTGGAAAACGGCACCAAAACCCACAGCAGAATGGTAGGGACTGAGAACCTGAACCCAAGCTGGTGGAGTGCCTGCCACAACCAAGCTACCAACAACTCTCCAGAGGACTGAATCAGGAACCACAGCTTCCTAACGTAATATTCAGAATGTTCAGGACCAATCCAGAACCACTCAGCATACAAAGAAGGTGAATATCCTCAACTCGCATGGGAAAAGATGATCAACATCTTATCTGAGCTAACAGAGACATTGGAATTAGCTGACAGACTCCACAGCAGCTATTACAAAAAACACTCCAAGAAGTAAGGAGGGGTATTCTTAACATAAAGGGAATGATGAGAAGTCTCAGGAAAGAAACAGAAGGTATAAAGGAGAACCAAATGGAAAACTTCGAACTAAACATACAGTAACTGAAATTGTAAAAACCCACTAGATAGGCTCAACGGCAGAATGAAGATGACAAAGGAAAGAGGCAGTGAACACGGAGAGAACCCTGGGCTGCACACCCTTCCTGACAAGCACATTCTGGACCTAGGTTCCCTCTCAGTGTGTATCACCAGCTGACCTCGAAGGATGGCACCAGCCTACAGACGGGCCGTCCATCTGTAGAAGGGAAGGGATTCTTTCTTGTGAGAATGAGGAACATGAAACATAACCGAAGGGGACTAGAAATGACGAAGGCAGAGCAGACGGGCCTCCGCTGGGCTGACGCTTGTCAGCAGTAGGCTGAGCATCAGGTTATGTGGGAAAGGAGGTGGGAGAATTTAGGGAGTTCGCAATATCGGAGCCCCAAGTTTTTCCGTGGTTCTTCATCCTCTGTAAGGAGAAAGGTGTCATGGGCATGTAGAAAGCACTCCAGGTTAGGTAAGATGTTTGTTTTTAAACTGTACAGGGTAAGAAACTGCTAAGAGAATAGCCATGTGTGAAAGATGCAGCCGCACTGCCCAGAAAGGCATGGCGCGTGGTAAGAAGGACTTCACAAGAGACAGCCCCAAAGAGTTGACTCCTACTCGGCTCTCTATATAAAGCTCAAACAGCCAGAGACCAAGGGAAGGGCCGAAGCAGCTCCCTCAATGTGCAAAGCCAGAATGCAGGCAAGATCAAGGGCAACATCCTGGCTCGTTTCCAGGGGCTGTGGCACGACCCACCCCCTGCGACATTTCCTGTGGATCCTTCCTCGGGTGGTCGTCCCTTTGAGATGCACATTGTCGGCTGCCATCATCTGCCTGGCCCTGCAGGAGCACAGCCATGGGACTAAGATAAGTACAGAAAGTCCAAGCCAGATGGGCAGATGGAAGTGGGCTACTCACTGGAGCTCAACAAAGCCTTGCGAGGTGCCCGCTGATGCAGGTGGCACTCGTCCACACAGCCTGCACAGGCTGGAGCAGAGGCCAACGCACAGAGCAGAACCTGGTCCCCTGCCTGATGACAACTTAGGACCACTGACTCTTCAAAACGGATCCCGGTTCCAGGAATTCCATGTCATGTCCTTAAAACAAGGTCACTGGGGCTGGGTGCGGTGGCTCACGCCTGTAATCCAGAACTTTGGGAGGCCGAGGCAGGTGGATCATTTGAGGTCAGGAGTTCGAGACCAGTCTGGCCAACATAGTGAAACCCCATCTCTACTAAAAATACAAAAATTAGCTGGGCATGATGGTGGGTGCCTGTAATCCCAGCTACTCGGGAGGCTGAGGCAGGAGAATCACTTGAACCTGGGAGGCGGAGGTTGCAGTGAGCCAATATTGCACCACTGCACTTCAGCATAGGTGACAGAGCAAGACTGTCACAAACAAACAAACAAGGTCATTGGGTCTCTGCTTAAGTATCAAATATAAAGACTCTCTTCCCCCAAAGAACAGTGAGTGCTTGGCCATAAATCAGCCCTGATCAGCTGAAACCAGGCATGTGTGGTAGCCCCAGCCTCCCGTTCACCTGCTCTTTCACAGCACAGAGATGTCCAGAAACGCATCTGACTGCTACAGACCATTGACATGATGAGGGACAGATGCTTTCTTTTTTTTTGTCATTTATTATTTATTTATTTAGAGACGGAGTCTCGCTCTGTCCCCCAGGCTGCAGTGCAGTGGTGCAAT
The DNA here is from genome assembly GCF_000001405.40 of Homo sapiens. NCBI lineage: Eukaryota > Metazoa > Chordata > Mammalia > Primates > Hominidae > Homo > Homo sapiens. Next base: position 85,045,069 of record NC_000016.10, on the reverse strand, counting down.
CTCAGCTCACTACAAGCTCCACCTCCCAGGTTCACGCCGTTCTCCTGCCTCAGCCTCCCAAGTAGCTGGGACTACAGGTGCCCACCACCACGCCCGGCTAATTTTTTGCATTTTTAGTAGAGAGAGGGTTTCACTGTGTTAGCCAGGATGGTCTTGGTCTCCTGACCTCATGATCCACCTGCCTCGGCCTCCCAAAGTGCTGGGATTACAGGTGTGAGCCACCACACCCGGCCAAATGCCTTCTTTCTTAAGAGGAGCATTACTGCCTGGGCACAGTGGCTCATGCCTGTAATCCCAGCACTTTGGGAGGCTGAGACAGGCGGATCATGAGGTCAGGAGTTTGAGATCAGCCTGGCCAACATGGTGAAACCCCCGTCTCTACTAAAAGCACAGAAATTAGCCAAGCATGGTGGCACGCGCCTGTAGTCCCAGCTACTTGGTAGGCTGAGGCAGAAGAACCGCTTGAGCCTGGGAGGCAGAGGTTGCTGTGAGCTGAGACCGCACCATTGCACTCCAGCCTGGCGACAGGGCGAGTCTCTGTCTCAAAAAAAAAAAAAAATAAAAATAAAAAGGAGGAGCATTACTTTGTGGTGGTGGATGGACAGAGACTATGTTTCCAGAACAGCAGGGACCTCACTTCGAACCCCAAGAAAGGAAACATTGTCAACGTGTCCCCCTCTGGGATACTACGAGGGGCCTGATTTCTGAGTCACCTCGCTGAATGCTGTGACCTGCCCTAGATGACACAGGGGACACTCGACATGCCTTCCTGGGGACTAGAGTCCCTGCACACACAGCGGGCACCACTGGTTCACCTCTCCTCAGTTACAAACCAATACGACTGACCCAATGTCTTCACTGTTGATGGGACAAGGGCCCAAGCCACAGAGAACTTAATGAGTGACTACAAAAGGAAAAGATAAGGTGGGCTTCCTTCTTTCTGTCCTATTGAGGTTTTTAAGAAACAAAGATGGAAAAACGTTCATGCCAGTCTACAAGCAAGAAGGTTCAAGTAAGGCATTTCTCTTTTTTTTCTCTTGAGACTGAGTTTTGCTCTTGTTGCCCAGGCTGGAGTGCACTGGCGCAATCTCCACTCACCACAACCTCCGCTTCCCGGGTTCAAGATTCTCCTGCCTTAGCTTCCCGAGTAGCTGGGATTACAGGCATGCGCCACCTCGCCCGGCTAATTTTGTATTTTTAGTAGAGATGGGGTTTCTCCTTGTTGGTCAGGCTGGTCTCGAACTCCCGACCTCAGGTGATCCGCCCGCTTCGGCCTCCCAGAGTGCTGGGATTACAGGCGTGGGCCACCGCGTCCGGACTCAAGTAAGGCATTTCAATCCATTAAACATCATTTCCTGGCCAGGCATGGTAGCTCACACCTGTAATTCCAGCACTTTGGGAGGCTGAGGTGGGTGGATCACTTGAGGTCAAGAGTTCAAGACCAACCTGGCTAATATGGTGAAATCTCATCCCTGCTAAGAATATGAAAGATTAGTCGGGTGTGGTGGCGCACGCCTGTAGTCCCAGCTACTCAAGAGGCTGTGGCATGAGAATTGCTTGAACCCAGGAGGCAGAGGTTGCAGTGAGCTTAGATGGCACCACTGCACTCCAGCCTGGGTGATGGAGCGAGACTCTGTCTCAAAAAAAAAAAAAAAAAAAAAAAAAAAATCCAAGAAGCAACAGGCTCCAAACCCTGCCATCTCATGCCCTGTTTGAGAAGGACGCCTCATCGGTGTGCACCATAGACGGAGGCTGGAGGTTGTTTCAGTGCGCAGGTATGTGTGGTGTGTACCTGGGTAAGAGAACTTGTTTTCCAGGTTCGTGCTTTCAGTTGTAGCTGGGGGTAGTAAATCGAATTGTTTTAGTAGGTCCTCACAAGGAATAACTACACAGCTGTTTTTTCAAGTGCTACTGTACCTATCAAAATTACTATTTAAAAAGTATTTTTATACACTGCTAGTCTAAAATTGTATTTCGGTTTGTGCCTGTTATGACATATTAGCAAATGTAAAGAATTATCTTTCCTACTACTTGTTTATAAAGCTCGTAGTTGTTAAAAATAAAGATGTTTATTCCACCCGTTAGAGAAGTTATATACAATCACAGTTTTCTAAAAATTGTGTCCTTAAAAACTTATATTTGAATAAAAGGATGGCAATTTCAGACATTTCAAAAGTCTCTGCTCCTCCCTCTCGGGGAATGTCAGAAGCCTGCCTGCCTCTGAGTGCCACGGCGAGGCCTGGCACAAATGCCCTGCAGAAAGGCCAAGCCGACTGCTGCCTGCTGCTGCCTCTGTGCACGGCACTGCTGAGAGGGAGCCATGCTGGTCTGGACTATTCTTTTCCACAATGCCCAGCATTACCATTATTTACTACTTTTTGATAATGATATAATAACTACAACTCACCTTTATTGTATATTCCCTACATACTAGGCATTAATTATCTGATTTCATTCTCCAGTAACATATGAGCTAAAACTATTATCCCCACTTTATGGAGGAAGAAACTTTAAGGCTTAAAAGGGTTAAACAGTTGCCTAAGGCTACAGAGCAAAGATGGAAGTGTCTAGATAAACCCAAGCAGAGGGGGAGTCCACAGCCTTACAATATTGCGGGTATGGACAAGGACCCTGCCCCCTATTTGCTCATCTGGGGGATGAATAAGGACCCTTTACATAGCTGCAGTACACCGGGGTGGATTAATACTCCCTCGACCAACACCATGGGAAAAGACTCAACCTATAGGTCTCCTCATTTGGAAGACACACAGACCGCACGTGATTAGCAATTTGATATCCCATCCAAAGCATTTGAACTTCTCTATTTCCCACTTTAGTAGAGACTGACAAACAAGGAGGGCTTAGCACTTTTCACCCATAAATGCTGGGCTTTCGCAAAAGTTACTCGCTGCCAAAAGAAAAGAGTTGAATGTTATTACAATAATTATAAGAGAATAAAGGATGTTTGCAAACAAGTGGGAACAAAACAGCTGTGCACTAATTAATTCTAGACTTTGTGTTACTCAAATAAAACCCCAGGATGTCAGGGTTACATGAGACTTCAGGCTTCTGGCAAATGGGTAGGGGCTTGGCAGACAGACAAGGAGGGACAGGAGTGCGCAGCATAGGGGCAAACGCTCGGAATCCCGGGAATCGTTTCAAGAGCGGGACACTGAAGCCCAGAGAGTGAAGTGACAAGGTGAAGCTGTATCCCCAAAGTCAGGCGGTGGTTTCCTCAGATGGGTCCAGAACCCCCATTTTCCACCCACCGTGTCACCAGCTGGGTAACACAGAGAAACAGGGGAACCCAGGGTCCCTCCTTCCCCGGGTGGCTTGTCACCTCTCTGCTCAGTGCCAAGTCCGGGAATTTCATCACCGGAGGCTGAAGAGGACAGCTGCTGTCTCTGCCACTTCTCCTTTCCTTACGGATGGAGGCAGCGCCCGAGTAGCGAGACAAAAGGTGTTACTTTGTCCAGTTCAAGCCATTCACTTGGCAACCATCTTGAAGCCCCTATCAAGCACTGGAACTGTGATAAATCCTACGAAACAAAGATGAATAGGACATGACCCTTCCTTTCCCAAGCACAATCCAGAGAGACGCATACAGAGAAGATGACAGCCACGTGCCATACGCTCTGACTCCAGGAGGCAGATGCCAGTAGGAGCCCAGGAGCAGAACTCCACTCTGCCTGGGGCGGTTTTCAAGGGCTGCGTTCTTTGGGTGAAATCTGGTAGAAGCCTGAGCCTGTCAGTCATACAACGGAAGATATTCCGGACAGAGGAAACAGTTGGCGCGAAGTGACAGGCGTGAGGTGGTTTGCTATCCCCCACATGGCTAATTCAGACTGATTCCGACCTAGTTGGAGAGTTGGGAAGGATTAAAAAAATACTGCCTAGTCTAGCACAACTTCAGTTTCTATTTGGAAGTATTCCCCAAAACCCTAAAACTGAAACATATATAATCAACCACTTTTCTACCCATAATAAAACAGGAGCTGAATTCTTATTTAGGGGACCTTAATATATAACAAGAATTAAAATACATCTCATTCTGCACTCTAGTCCTGCTTTGCAATATGCAAATGCATTTTTGAGGAGCCTGGAAATGGTGGAGTTGGCAGATGTTTACTTGCATGTGAGCGAAAAGAAAGAGGTTTCTGCGGCTGTTTTGCTTCAAGCGTATCTAAATAGGTTCCAAGGACTGCTTTAAGTGTATTGATCCACAGTTCTCAAGGCACACGCTTCTCTAGATGGCTTCTCTACAAAATTCTCATCTGTAGTTTACAAGTGGAGCCAATTTTCTTTCATCTCAAAACGCTTTGGCTGCAGGCGGCTCCCATTTAGTCTGTGCTTTTAGGAAAAGCAATGATAGCTTGGGGAGGGTTTAACCTGAACAGAGAGAAGGGAATGAAAAGATGGGGCCTGCGTGGAACCTCTCAAGTTTCCTGAAACTAAAAACTTTCCCAACGTTACCAGAGGTAATTCCGAGACAGCAACAAACGTGTACCTGCGATGATGGACATTGGAGTTTCTTTTTTTTGAGGCAGATTCTCATCCTGTCACCCAGGCTGGAGTGCTGTGGTGCGATCTCAGCTCACCGCAACCTCCACCTCCCAGGTTCAAGCGATCCTCCTACCTCAGCCTCCCGAGTAGTTGGGATTACAGGCGTGAGCCACCACGCCCAGCCAACAGTGGGGTTTCTTGACAATGACACTGTTAATATTTGGGCTGGGTCACTCCTTGTGGTGGGGGCTGTCCTTGCACTATAGGATGCTTGGGGCACTCCTGGCCTCCACTCGCTAGATGCCAGAAGCACCCCCGAGTTGTCACAACTGAAAATGTCTCCAGTTGAAAATTCCTGATCTATATTAACTCCAAGCAATAGCTTCAAAGAATCTCAATCTCTGCACTTGCTTCCTGTTGAAAACCCTTCTCTGGCCGGGCACGGTGGCTCATGCCTGTAATCCCAGCACTTTGGGAGGCTGAGGCGGGCGGATCACCTGAGGTCAGGAGTTCGAGACTAGCCTGGCCAACATGGTGAAACCCTGTCTCTACTACAAATACAAAATTAGCCAGGCGCGGTGGCACATGCCTGTAATCCCAGCTACTCAGGAGGCCGAGGCAGGAGAATTGCTTGAACCTGGGAGGCGGAGGGTGTAGGGAGCCAAGATGGTGCCACTGCACTCCAGCCTGGGTGACAGAGTGAGAGCCACCTCAAAAAAAAAAAAGAAAAGAAAACCTTTCTTTCTTTGGTATCAGCATCATCCGGAAAAACCAAACCCAATAAAGAGTAATCATGCCAGCAGTGGTGGCTCACACCTGTAATCCCAATACTTTGGCAGGCTGAGGCAGGGGGATCACTTGAGGTCAGGAGTTCAAGACCAGCCTGGCCAACATGGCGAAACCCCATTGCTACAAAAAATATAAAAATTAGCCAGGCATGGTGACGTATGTCTGTAGTCCCAGTTACTCAGGAGTATTCCCAAGTCTGTAGTCCCAGTTACTCAGGAGGCTGAGGTGGGAGTATCGCTTGAACCCAGGAATTCAAGACCAGCATGGGCAACACAGCAAAACCCCATCTCTACAAAAAATAAATAAAAGTAGCTGGGCGTGGTGGCACATGCCTATGGTCCCAGTTACTCAGGAGGTTGATGCAGGAGGATCACTTCATCCCAGGAGGTTGAGGCTGCAGGGAGCCCTGATCGTGCAACTGCACTCCAGCCTGGGCAACAGAGTGAGACCCTATCTCAAAAAAATTAAAAAGAGTAATCATACAGACCTTTGATGATACATAAGTCCCTACATAAAACAGTGTTTTGGGTTACAAGGAACCTTGCGACATTAAATGGGCCTGGTTAAAATAGGCTTCCAATGGCACTGACTATTCCGTGACCTCTATAGCAGCAGGAGAATTGAGGGTTTGTGTTTGGCCTCCGTCCATTCAATCACTCAACAAGTATTATTGAGCATCTACAGTGCACCAGGCATTGCTCCGGGTGAAAGAGACAAAAGCCTGGCCCTCAGGGAGCTTATGTCCTAGTCAGAGAGCAAAAAAAGCAAACAAAAATACTATAGCCATCATCTGTGCTATGAATAAAATACGTCACTAACAGGTCAGAGCTGTGCTACCCACTGTGGTAGCCGCTGGCCACATGCGGCCCTTGAGCCCATGAATGTGGCTCGTTCAAGCTGTGACCTGCTGACCACATCAGACTTCAGACTTTGGACAGAAAAGAGAATGTAACTACCTCATTAGTGATTTTTATATAGATTACATGTAGAAATAATAATATTTTGGATACATTGAGTTAAATAGAATCTATCAACAAAGATATTATTATTATTATTTTTTTTTTTTTTTTGAGGCTGAGTCTGGCTCTGTCGCCCAGGCTGGAGTGCAGTGGCACAATCTTGGCTCACTGCAACCTCCGCCTCCTAGGTTCAAGTGATTCTCCTGCCTCAGCCTCCCGTGTAGCTGGGATTACAGGTGCCCACCACCACGCCCAGCTATCTTTTTGTCTTTTTAGTAGACATGGAGTTTCACTGTGTTGGTCAGACCGGTCTGGAACTCCTGACCTCAAGTGATCCACCCACCTCAGCCTCCCAAACTTCTGGGATTACAGGCATGAGCCACTGCACCCGGCCAATTAAAAAATAAATTATACTGCTAGATACCCTTACTTGTTTAATGTGGCTGCTAGATTTAAAATCATACACGTGGTGCGTCTTGCATTTCTGCTGGATTGTGCTGGGTTAGGGAAGGCGGCTGGCAGCAAGGAGCACCTTCAGCCGGAGAAAGCGGGGAGGTCACTATGATCCAGAGGCCGTGGGGCCCAGCCCAGGGAAGAGGCAAAGTCAATGCTCTTCAAGGGCATGGACCTGGGCCATTCTATCTACGGCGACATAGTGTGGCCCAGTGGGGTGCACAGAGGTGGCGTGGAAGGAGCTGAGGGTGGGAGGGCTACAGGGACCAGCCCATGGAAGCAGGGACTTGCAGGCCAAGTTACAGACTTGGGAATACATCCCAGGAGCAACTAGAGGGTTTACACCTGGGGAATGCCATGACCTGAATTCGATTTTGGAAAGATGCTGCACTCTGGCCACTGTGTGGAGAGTGGACTGGCATGCTAGCAAGAACAGATGCAGGACCACAGGTAGGACGTGCAGCCTCACGGGGCCCCTCTGCTCTTGGCCACTCCAGCTCACTTGGGAGGGTTCCCTGGAGGAGGGAGAGAGGACGTGAGAGATGCTACTTCTTTCCCACAGCATAGATGACTTTGTTAATTCTACTTCCATTAAATTTCTGATTATGTAGAATACCGCTTGCTTCCACAAGAGCAGACTCATAAAGTGTTTTTTATTATCCAAATTGGGCCTTGGGATTCTAGGAGTGATGTTGTTCTGCATAATGAAGTTCAACATAATCTGCCTCTCACTGAATAGAGTGCGGATTAGACTAGTTTTACTTGGTTAACGGGTTTTCTATTTCCTTCTAACCACTGCAAATTAAGTTTTTAAAAAATTACGGGAGGCAGTCTTAGGTTTGACATTGACATATGGACACTGTGTTCGTCTCATCTCATTCTTTTATTGCATTCTCGATACTTACTATTCACTCAGAATGTGGTTCTCTTCCCTCATGAGGCTTCCACCCCTCCTTTCAGGGTCCCATTTTGTATCCTAGCGTCCTAGGTTCACCCGATATCCCCTGACTCAAGGAAGTCAGCGTCACAGCAGCCGTCCACACGCACTGACTCTGGCATTTTCCATTTGTTCCACTGTTCCCAGATTCTCATTTTCCCCTAGCTCATTGGTCACTTTTGCCACTGAGTCATCTGCTTGTGAGTCACGCCTGGCTGTGATGTAAAGGCCAGGAAAATGTCTCCAAACACACCTGGCAGAGAAAAGGATGTCACTGAAGAAGATGGTCTGCCAGGCGCATGCTTTCCTACATGGACTTAGTCATGAAGAGAAAAAAATAATCCCCTTCTCTCTCCTTTCCTTCTTCTAATTTACCATCCCCATCAGCCTTGGCTAGAAATTATTCCTACAGTGCTATGGGTCCTGGCCATGCATTTCTGATATTTAGAGGCAGGAGAAAGTTTCTGGAATAAGGCCAGAAACCCTGCAAGAATGAAAGCAGGATTTTCTCAAGTCAGGTTCTTCCTCTATTGAGCAAGGCGGGCCTCAGACACACGCTGCCGCTGCATGGCTTTCCTTCTGGGAGCTATGAAGATCCCGTGTTACATGGAGACCACCAAACTGTGTGTGAAATAAGGAAAGGCGGGAGCTGTCCCCGGGCAGGGGGTGCTGGGCTGGTGTGACCACATGCAATGTGGTCCCCTGGACTGGATCCTGGAACAGAAAGGAAAGTACGGGAACACTGTGACAGTCAAGTAAGGTCTGTGGCGTAACACATAAGCACACCCAGTAGGGCTACTGCCTGCTCGTCCACCCCACAATCAAAGGCTCCATCTGCAAGAGGGCAGATGGAGACGAGTGCAGAGGGCCAGAAGGCACCGGCACTCTTTCCCAGTACTAGACAATCACTAAAAACATCCACACTAAAAAGGAACAAAGGATGGACACGTGCTACAATAGCAATGAACTAAAAATGAATCTAGTTACAAGGCCACATACTGGACAATTCCAGGTTTACGAAATGTCCAGAGCAGGCGAATCCACAGAGTCAGAAACTGGATTAGTGGTTGTCAGAGGCCAGTTTGGGAGGCAGGGGCAGAGACTGCAAATGGGAAAGGGGTTTCGTTGATGGAGTGATGGAAACATTCTGAAATTAGATTATGATAAGGGTTGCATCACTCAGTAAAGTTACTAAGAATCACTGAATTGTACAATTGAAATGGAAAAATGTTATGATATCTAAAACATACTCAATAAGCTGTTAAAGAAACAAACAAAGAAGGAGGAAAGAAGGCTGTTTAAACACTCTAAGCAGGCCAGGTGTGGTGGTTCATGCCTGTAATCCCAGCATTTTGGGAGGCCAAGGCGGTAGGATTGCTTGAGCCCAGAAGTGCAAGACCAGCTCAGGCAACATAGTAAGAACCCATTCCTTTTTTTTTTTTTTTTTTTTGGGACGGAGTCTCGCTCTGTTGCCCAGGCTGGAGTGCAGTGGCACGATCTCGGCTCACTGCAAGCTCTGCCTCCCAGGTTCATGCCATTCTCCTGCCTAGCCTCCCAAGTAGCTGGACTACGAGCACCCGCCACCAAGCCTGGCTAATTTTTTTGTATTCTTTTAGTAGAGACGGGGTTTCACTGTGTTAGCCAGGATGGTCTCGATCTCCTGACCTCATGATCCGCCCGCCTCAGCCTCCCAAAGTGCTGGCATTACAGGCGTGAGCCACCGCGCCCAGCCAAGATCCCATTTCTACTAGAAATAAAAAATAAAAATAAATTAGTGGGGCATGGTGGCACATGCCTGTAGTCCCAGCTACTTGGCAGGCTGAGGTGGGAGGATCACTGGAGCCCGGGAGATCAAGGCTGCAGTGAGCGGTGATTGCACCACTGCACTCCAGCCTGGACGACTGAGCAAGATCTCATCTCTAAAAACAAACAAACAAACAAAAAACAAAACAAACAGCGTAAGCAAAGTGAGAGAGATTCTGACGCTAAAAGACTTGAGGTTAAAGCCTTCCTTTTACAGCCTGGGAGAGGAGGGTCCCCACAGAGCCAGGTGGAGACCAGGGCTTCCTAAACCACCAGCTGCCTGTGCTACCAGCGTTTCTTCGTCACCTGCTCCATGCTGAGCACTGGGCTAGGCCTGGGGAACCGAAGAACGAGCAGGACAACACAGAACTTGCAGAGCCACTTCTGACCTGCTCAGAGAGGAACAGGCAGCGAAGGGGGCAAGAGACAAGTGCCTGCCACGGAATGGGGGACAGACCCAGCACCACCATGGCCATGCTCGGAGAACTGGGGGCTCCGGGAAGATGTCCTGGGGCCTGGGATTTTGACAGCCAGGTGGAAATCAGAGGGCTGAGAGGAAGCAGGGTACCTGACGGCTCGGCCTGGGGAAGGGGGGCAGAGGTAGGTGCACAGGTGTGGGGTGGGGCTTAGGGGCCCAGCGCCCTGCAGAGCACTTGTCTCCGGTGACAGGGGGTCTCAAAGGTGACCTGCACTTTCTCAGGAGAGGCAGCACAGGGGAGAGGCAAAGAACCCAGGTCCAGAGATGGGCTGCCCTGACCCATGTGCTGGCGCTGCCCCTACACACTGTGTGATGGAGCCATGTTACTCTGCCTCTCTATGCCTCAGTTTTCTCATCTGTGAAATGGGGACGGTAACCTTGGCTACGTTATACTGTTTTGGTGAGGGCTAAAGTGACAGCCCCATAAGGCACTGGGCACACAGCTGGGCGTGGACAGAGGAAACCCTATAAATATGAGCCATAATAACAACCACACTATTTTTATACCTCAGCCACATAAGATAAACTGCCCCCATCGCCTTCCTTCCGGTGAGTCCTCTGTACTTGCCCTGGACAGGGCAAACCCTACCGAGTGAAGTCTAAGGCACAAGACTACGAAAACCACCCCATAAATAAAAGCCCTTTCCCCACACTCTTGCCCCACATTTACCTCTACAGACTCATTTCTGCTAAGCACCTTCCTTCCCCAGATAAACTCCTTGGCAGGAGTACAGTCATCAGCTTTTTTGTTGTTGTCGCTGTTTATTGAGATGGAGCTTCCCTCTTGTCGCCCAGACTGGAGTTCAATGGTGTGATCTCAGCTCATTGCAGCCTCCACCCCCCAGGTTCAAGCAATTCTCCTGCCTCAGCCTCCTTAGTAGTTGGGCTTAGAGGCACCCACAACCATGCCTGGCTAATTTTTGTATTTTTAGTAAGAGAGAGGTTTTCACCATGTTGGCCAGGCTGGTCTCGAACTCCTGACCTCCAGTGATCCACCTGCCTCCGCCTCCCAAAGTGCTGGGATTACAGGCATCAGCCACCATGCCTGGCCTCATCAGCTCTTAACATGGGAAACAAGTCATCTGTCCCAACAGATGTGCTGTGGCGAGGTTGGAGGAAGGAAGGATTGAGGGGAGGGATGGCGAGCATGGCCCACGGGGTGAGGGGGATGATGGTAATTGGGGACATTAAAAGGACACTGGATCTCTGGAAGGAGACACAAGAAATGGGCAGTAATGCCACTGGGGAGGGTAACTGGGAAGTGGGGGGTGGGGCAGGGAGAGACAAACTACGACATCTTTCTGTATCATTTGAATTTGGTACCATCTGCACATATTACTTAGTCAAAAATAAATAAAGACGGGCATATTGAGTATCTGGGTGACAGAATGAGGAATTGAGGCATCTCCAGGTGCCAGTGCCAGTCACCAGATAAGTCAGCTGGCGACGGTCCTGCTCTACCCTCCCCCATCCCTGCCCCCACCCCCAGCCCAAAGGGAGAAAAGTTGCTCTATGAACTCCCTGAGGGCTCACCCTTGGTCAGATATGAGATGCAGAAGTGCAGAGCTCTGGAGGCCTTCGTGAACAGCCCTTCCAAATTACACACGGGAGGAGGCTTCTACATACGCCACCGCCTCTGGGCAGCATTGCCTAAGTGGCAGGGCATCGTATTCACCCGCGCCATTTATTTCACTGCTGGACGCCGATGAGCTGTTCCTCCACTACAAGGACCAGTGCAGCAAAACGCAAAAGAAGGGAATCATCTCTCTGGGCCCCTGCAGAGTGCATCAGAGAAACCCTGCATCCTGACCTGAAGCAGCTGTGGCATCCCTGCTGCTGTGGCGTCCCTGCTGGGAGGGGTAAAGATGTTGTGGGCTCTGCAATCAGAAGTGAGGAGATTCACTGTCAGGAGCCGCATGGCCTCGGGCAGGTCGCTGGATTGCTCGACCTCTTCACGGTGAAGCACAACGGTCAGTACTTGTCTCGCAAATCATAAGGATCATGAATGCTTCTCGTAAAAACGTCCACATCCCTGTCATTATCCCTAAAAATAACTGAGCACCTCCTGCCAATCCCTTTAAAACATCACTGCATCTTGATGCTGGAAGGCATTATGGATTGAATTCAGGCACACCCGCCGCAACCCCTGGACCCAAAAGATATGCTGAGGTCCTAACCCAGGGAATCTGTGAACTTAATTGAAAATAGGGTCTCTGTGGGGCCGGGCGCGGTCTCTATGCCTGTAATCCCAGCACTTTGGGAGGCCCAGGTAGGCGGATCATGAGGTCAGGAGATTAAGACCATCCTGGCTAACACGGTGAAACCCTGCCTCTACTAAAAATACAAAAAATTAGCCGGGAGTGGTGGCAGGCACTTGTAGTCCCAGCTACTCGGGAGGCTGAGGCAGGAGGATGGTGTGAACCCGGGAGGCGGATCTTGTAGTAAGCCAAGATTGTGCCACCGCACTCCAGCCTGGACGACAGACTGAAACTCTGTCTCAAAAAAAAAGGGTCTTTGTGGATGTAATTAGTTAAGAGGAGGTCATCCCACCACTTGAGAGGCCAAGGCAGGAGGATCACTTGAGGTCAGGAACTTGAGACCAGCCTGGCCAACATGGCGAAACCCCATGTCTACCAAAAATACAAAAATTAGCCAGGCGTGGTGGCACACACCTGTAATCCCAGCTACATGGGAGGCTGAGGCAGAAGAATGGCTTTAACTTGGGAGGCAGTGGTTGCAGTGAGCTGAGATCATGCCCTGCACTACGGCCTGGGCAACAGAGACTCTGTCTCAAGAAAACAGAAGGTCACAATGGAGTAGTGTGGACCCCAGGTCCAATCCGACTGGTGCCCTTTTAAGAGGAGAAGAGAGGCAGACCCACAGGAGGAGACATGAAGTGGAGACAAACATGCAGGGACAAGTAGGCCATGTGGCCACAGGGGCAGACCCTGGGGTGATGCAGCTGCCAGTGAGGGGACAACACGGATCACCGGCCACCAGTAGAAGCTGGGAGTGAGGCACAGAGTCTCCCTCTGAGTCCCCAAGAAGGAACCAGCCCTGTCGACACCTTAATTTTGGACTTCTGTTCTCCAGAACTGTGAGAATAAATTTCGGTTGCTTTAAGCCCCAGTGCGTGGTTCTTTGTGAGAGCACTCCCGAGAGAAATAAAGGTGACCTGGCATTACTGTCTGTCTAGTGCCTGAATTCTCTTGCCCAGTGGTCCGCTAGCCAGGCTAGGTTTCACCGTCTCTAGTAAAAGCATTCTCCATTAAACAAGGTCATTTCTGATATTGTTATGAAGAAAATAAAACACTGTAATATGATAGAGTGAGTGGGCAGGGATCAGAGGAAAAAGGAACATTATTTTGACTATTAGGGAAGGTCTCACTAAGGATGTGATATTGCAGCAGTGACCTGAATGACAGGAAGCTGGCCATGGAAAGGGGAGGAACAGCCCAGGCAAAGGTCCTGAGGCAGAGTCATCTTGGCACACGGAAGGCACAGGAAGAAGGCAGGACCGTGGTGAATGACAGCAGCAGTCAATGAAGCTGGAGAAACAGGCAGGGTCAGTCAGCACCTGTGCAGTTGCCCTAGTTGACCAAGGTCCTGGGAAGCTGCTGGGGACAGACAAGATTTAACTCAAGAGTTTTTAAACGACCACTCTCGCATAATCACGGTCTTAAAACTGAAGTCTGGGGTGCAGTGGTACATTCTTAGCTCATGGCAACCTCCACCTCTGGGGCTCAACTGATCCTCCCACCCCAGCCTCCCTAGTAGCTGGGATTACAGGTTTGCACCACCACACCTGGCTAATTTTTGTTTATTTTTTGGTAAAGACGGGGTTTTGCCATGTTGCCCAGGCTGATCTTGAACTCCTGGGCTCAAGTGATCCGCCCACCCTGGCCCCTACAAAGTGCTGGTATTCCAAGCGTAGCCACCACACCCAGCCAAGGCCAAGTCTTTCTAACGATTACTTTTGTCCTTCAGTTCTTGGAACCTTGGGCCTCTACAGAATGAGCTTAATAAATCACAGTTCCCAAGCTTCTCCAGGCTTACATCTAATTCATTCACCACTGTAGCGGTTTCCAATTAATATGCTTATTTTTTTCTGCATCCTTCATTACATGTGATGTCCAGAAAAGAACACAATGTTCTAAGCATGGAGTAGATTGGAACTATCACCTGTTTCATTCCAGACCTACACTTCTGTTCGTGTGCTGGGGATTGCCTTGGCTTTCCATTGTTTTATACCACTGACTTGCCGAAACATTTACTGGCCAACCTCCCCGTGAATTCCTTTTTAGGACTCCTCCCCATGATGCCCAGATTTAGAAAGTGGGATTAAAACTTGTCCTTCCCTCATGAGAACACCATGCCTTTATTTTTGTCTTTTTTTTTTTTTTTTAGATGGAGTCTTTCTCTGTCACCCAGGCTGGAGTGCAGTGGCGCGATCTAGGCTCACTGCAACCTCCGCCTCCTGGGTTCCAGTGATTCTGCCTCAGCCTCCTGAGTAGCTGGGATTACAGGTACCCGCCACCATGCCCAGCTAATTTTTGTATTTTTAGTAGAGACGGGGTTTCACCACGTTGCCCAAGCTGGTCTCGAACTCCTGACCTCAGGTGATCCACCTGCCTCGGCCTCCCAAAGTGCTGGGATTACAGGAAAACAACAGCCACCGCGCCCAGCCCTATGGCTTATTTTTCTTAAGTGTCACCATAATGCATACAATGCCACATATAAAAAACGGTTTCGAATAAACAAAGTTACTGGGTCAGCTCCCTTGGTTTCACAACCACCGCATTTCTCTTTTGGGTGGGGGACAAGGAAAACGATTCTAGCAGGCTGCCGGAGAACTGCGTGCTCTCTTGCCTCACACAGCTGAAGACACCTGGGCTATTTGGAAACACAGAGACTTAAGCAAAAGACGCTCTTTGCAATCATACTTCCTACTGGATTTCTCAAGGACGTCTAAATAAATCTGAGTCCATGCAGACTACCTCAAGCTTGGGGCGGGCGCAGGGGTGCTGCGGCAGACTCGGTAAGCCGGGGAGGTGGTGGAAGAGAAGGATGTTTTGCAAGCCTCTGGGGACCCCTCGTGTGAGGCACAAACCACCCGGATCCGCCCCACTTCCCATTCCACAGAGCGGTAAGGGCTGCTATATCCAGCGTCAGACGGTTGGGTTAAACACTTCACTGTGCCCCCAGTAGCAAAGAGACCCTGGGCAAGTCACTCAGCCTCAGTTTCCTCATCTATGACATGGGAACGATAACAAACCCACCATGACTGCCAAGCTTATAATGAAGATCAGCCAAGAGTCTGCATGGGAAAACCCTTGGGAAGTATTAAAGTGAGGGTTATTACGGGCAATAGGGTTTTTACTCCTGCCTTTGCATGTCTTTCCTGCTGCTGGTTGACTTCTCAGGACTTTTTTTAAAAAACTGCCCCAGGCTGCTGTTCGTGTTTCTTTTAACCTGATTACTTTTGCTTTATGAGAGAAAGGAGGGAGGAGGTGGGAGGAGAGAGAAGCAGACAGCATGACTCATCCCACCCCTTCCTGGGGACTGTCCTAAAAGATGCTCCTCAGAGCCGCTGGGGCTACTATAAAGCAATTCACCTTTGAAGAAGCAGTTATTGTCGTGAAAAGAGAGCCACATTCAATATCTATGGAAATCGACCACTTTCTGGGATTTGGCAGCAGATTATTTAAGGCTTGTGATTTACTCAGTCACCTAGTGGCTTCTCATTGCCTTTGGCTGTTACATCTCAAATAATGCAAACCAACCTTCACACTAACTGACACATCCCATACAAAAGGCAAACAGGGCCAGAAACGTCAGAATGTAACACAGAGAGGTTAGTGATGATCTGATCGCAAACGCTGCCTACATGTGAGTCCCACGCCATCTTCATCTCTTTAATGGAAAAAAAATCTCATGAGTCAACTTTTTCATTGCGAGCCAATTTCAATAGCCTTTCGTCCTGTGTTTCAAAGGCGTAAGCAGTCCTATTTCTGAACAAAGTGGAAATAAAAACAAGTGACAGCCAAAGAGAGACACTGAACAATGGAGAACATACGCTTCCCAGGAGAAATGGGGGGAAGACAGGAAGGAACGCTCACATGCAATATTACCCAAACCTTTTTCCTTTGAACGATTCGGTGTTAAGCATCTCTCTGCCCTGCTTTTAGGCTGAGGGAGGAGGATGCCTCTAAGGAAATGAATCCGAAACATCAACATCGAGTCGCAGGCTGGCTAAAGCAGCCTCGGTCCTGACAGCTGTCAGCCTGCCTCTAACACTGACTCACCACAGCCACTACTTCCACGTCAGGGGCGCCTCACCTGTGCCAGCTCAGAGGCTGTTCCTGCTCAATCTGGAGGCTGGGACTCATGCCTGGCCCCTACCTAGAGAGGAATAGGACCTGGCTAGTGCCCCTGTAAAGTCTTTTTTTCCTCTTCCCCTTTTCATCTTCCCAAGTCTAATCAACCTGCAACCCAGGAAAGCACAAACCCAGGACAAGGGCGGGGGTGGGGGGCACGCACCCAGCTCCAGAACACTCAATTCTGTCCTTTGCAAGATCCTCTAAACGGGTTCAATTCTATCTGATCCAGCGGTCCTAAACTGAGCTGCTAAAACCGCATTTCCATTGCTATCCTCCCTGCAATCCTCCCCTTTGCTCACTGGCCCATCAAGAGCAGAGGGAAGACGCAGAATGGACAGGGGTGGCCACCCAGGCCAGGAAGCCCCTTTCTCTCACCCCCACCCTGCTAAGCCCCGGGAGCGGTGAGGCAGCAACTTCACACCCCGCACACACGCATGACTCGCCAATGTCTTTCCCCCGGGGTCCTTGCACCCTCTCCCCAGAATGCCCTTGCAGGAGTCCGGGGTTTCTTCTTCCCCCAAGACTGGGACACCAGCTCCATCCCAAAGCCACCTGCTGCCACCATCTGCCCCGGGGTTGGGGGCGCCTCCTCCAGGCAGCGGCCCGGGTTGCACTCATTCACGGGCGTCCGCACTGCCCCTCCGCCCGTGGGCTCCCGGCGACCTTCCCCTATTCCCTTTGCCTCCCAGCAGGCGAGGAGCCCGCGGAGAACCCCGGCCTGAGCCCTCGGCCCGCGAGGCCCCGCCCCCGCTCGCCCCGCGGACCCCTCCTCCCTCCCCGCGCCCCTCGCCCCACGGCGCTCCCAGCTGTCACCCCTCGCAGACCCCCATCCCGGGTCCCCGCCGTCCCTCCCGGGTCATCCTTCCCCTCATGAGCCTGTCAGGCCGGCCTGAGGCCACCCCACCGCACCTCTCACCGCGGGCGGACCGGGCAGCGAACCGGCGCCGTCAGACTCGGCTGCTGCGGCGACTGCGCCGCCCGCGAGCAGCCGGGTCCTTTCCCGGCGCCGCGGCGCGAGCTGTCAGTCAACCGGACGCGCCCGCCTCCAGCCCCTTCTGCGCAGGCGCGAGACGGCCCTCCCCTCGCGGGGGGCGGGAGGCGGCCAGCGCTTGGTGTCACGTGACAGGGCGGAGCCTGAGGGGCCCGAGGCCTGCCCACGCTCGGTGGGAGCGCTCTCGGGTACGCCCGGCGCCCCCTTGCTGGCTCTGCTTAGAGGCTGGGTGTTCTCGGACTCTGGGAGGAGTGGGTGGGGCAGGCCCGGTGCAAACAGGTGAGTGGGTTATTTCATGATTTAGTTGGGGGCATGGGAAGCGCCATCAGGGAGCTAGGAAATACCGTCGGATTCTAGTTGTTTCCTGGCCCTCGGTTTCCCTACCTTTAAAACAGCCGTGTCAGTTACCCTCCCTATCCCCTAGTTACGGCGAAGGCATGTTATTAACCAACATACCATTAAAATTAGTCCAGCGAGGCTTTGAGCAGGAGCTAAAAAAAATAATAATAAATAAATGGTATAAAAATTTTTCAAAAGAGATTTAAAAAAGAAAAATGTCCGGCTTGGATACTTGGTATGGAAGAGCAATCAGAGGCCAATTTACTTTTTAAAACGGGGCATCTTTGAGACTGGTAGATTCCATCTCAGCTGCTCCATAAATTCTAGGCCAGTCGGCATCTTTTCAGCAAATACAGTAAACACAACGTTCAGGCCATTCAGTTTCTTCTGTGTCTCCTCAATTAAAAGAAAAAAAGTTTTTAAAATAGAAGTGCTGCCTTTGGACGCCTTTTTAGTTGTAGAGGAAGTATAGAAACATAAACTGACAGCCCCTCCCTAGTAATGTGGGGGTTATGTCAAACTCGACTCCAGCACCTAGCAAAGTGGAGAATCTGGTTCTGGAGTATTGACTGACACCTCAAATTTTCTGAAGATATTTGTACAACTACATTCCAGTGCTATAATGCTCCTTCTGGTAGCTCCTTAAATGATCAAGCTCTGTCTCTAAAGAAATGCAGTGATATCTGAAATAGGGCTGAATGTCAATTTTAGAAAACGGTGGGTTTTCTGAAATTACGGGAGTTATGCAGGAGAAACAAGTTCTATCACTTAAGAGAAAAGATGACATATGGATCGATGATCAAGTACCTGTCCCACACCCCAAGCAGAAGTGGCAGTCCTTGGAAAGATGTAGACTTGAACTGTAGACTCCTTGGGAAAGTTTAAGGGAACACATGAAGAAAAAAGCTGGGAGCTGCAGTGCCGTGAGGGTTATGGAGCCTTCAGCACCATAGCTCCTTCTAGTACACTCCAGATTTGTTTGACCAACTGGGTGTGGCCACCATGCATGTGAAGCTGGAACTCAGGGTGTCTCCAGCTTGGTGTGAATTCAGTTTGTGTCCAATACCCCTCATTCCTTTACGTGGTTGCTACAGGCGAGTGGGTACGCTTTTGGTCTCTGCAGGTTCTGCCGTGAGTCCAGCAGGATGCAAGTGCCATCTTGTAGAATTCATGGGAATGGAGGAGGATGGATGCTGTGGCTGAATAAACTCCTTCCCTGGGTCAGCAAGTGAACCTAGCACAAGGCACCGACTTGTGCCATCCTGACCTGCCCTTGCATTACCAGCTGTTTGGGAGAATTGTAAAAAGGTGACTCATTTAGAGTCAGATTCTGTTTTAGGGGAATATCATGCAGACCCTCTCCTGACTTCGTAGAAGGTTTTCTGACCTTGTCAAAAGGTTAGAGAGAGGCAGATTACATGACCATTTTTTAAAAGAGGAAGAAAGTGAGTTCTGCAAACCACAGATCAGTGAACCTGACATTGGGCCTGGAAAATCTTCAGGGCAGATGACTTAACAAAAAAATATTTGTGACCTCTCCAAAGATGAAACAACAGTGACAAAGACCAAGTCACACTAGGTTAACCTTATTTCTTGATGTGAAATGTATAAATGTGTAAATCAAGGAAATATGGTGGAAATATATATCTGGGCCTGGAAGGTATATTTCCCAGTATTCTTTCAGTTATAGTGATGGAAACTCAATTCAAACTGGTTTTTAAAAGAGAGGGGGCCGGGCGCGGTGGCTGACGCCTGTAATCCCAGCACTTTGGGAGGTCGAGGCGGGCGGATCATGAGGTCAAGAGATTGAGACCATCCTGGCCAACATGGTGAAACCTGGTCTCTACTAAAAATACAAAGATTAGCTGGGCATGGTGGCAGGTGCCTGTAGTCCCAGCTACTCGGGAGGCTTGAGACAGGAGAATCGCTTGAACCTGGGAGGCAGAGGTTGCAGTGAGCTGAGATCGCGCCACTGCACTCCAGCCTGTCGACGGAGTGAGACTTAGTCCCCCCCCCCAAAAAAGGAATATGTTGGCAGACATAAAAGGCTCTGGGGTTGGCTCAGCAGGATCCAGGGGCACAAGTGATGTCATCAGAACTTGGTCTCTCCCACTCTTCACTGCTCCTTTGAGTTGGCTTCAGTCTCAGATTAGGCTCTTTTTTTTTTTTTAAATCATCTCACTCTGTCACCCAGGCCGGAGTGCAGTGACGCAATCTCAGCAACCTCCACCTCCTGAATTCAAGCGATTCTCTTGCCTTAGCCTCCCAAGTAGCTGGGAATGCAGGTGCGCACCGCCATGCCTGTCTAATTTTTGTATTTTTAGTAGAGATGGGGGTTTCACCATGTTGGCCAGGCTGGTCTCGAACTGCTGGCCTCAAGTGATCCACCTACCTCGGCCTCCCAAAGTGCTGGGATTACAGGCGTGAGCCACCACGCCTGGCCTCAGATTAGGTTCTTTTTACAGAGTGTCCTCCAAGAGCTCTAGGCTTATATTGTCTCAGCTTAGCAGCCCCCATGGAAAAAAGGATCTTCTCTTTCAATACTTTCAGCAAAAGCCCCAGGATTTGTTCTGAATGGACTGATGCACCTGTGTGTTCATCCCCTGGAACCAATCTCTGAGGCCAGATTGTTGGAATAACTGGATTGATCAGATCTGCACAGGAGTAGGGGTCAGCCCCACTCATACTACTTGAGTGGAGAGCAAGGGAACAGAGGCTCTTCTGAGGAAACTGAGGTGGTCTGGCCAGAACAAGGAGGGTCGTTTCTGGATAGGCAGGGAAAAGCTACAGATATCCAGGATGGAGCCTCTGCCGACATATCTCATGACATTGTACAAAGGACACGGGAAGGAGGTAGGAGAAGCAGTAAAGTTATTGGATGGCTAAATCAATATTTAAAAATATTCTGTCCGGGCACCGTGGCTCACGCCTTTAATCCCAGCACTTTGGGAGGGCAAGGTGGGCGGATCACAAGGTCAGGAGTTCAAGACCAGCCTGGCCAACATGGTGAAACCCCATCTCTACTAAAGATACAAAACATTAGCTGGGCATGGTGGCGCGTGCCTATAATCCTGCCTACTGGGTAGGCTGAGGCAGGAGAATCACTTGAACCTGGGAGGCGGAGGTTGCAGTGAGCCGAGATCGTGCCATTGCACTCTAGCCTAGGCAACAGAGCAAGACTCTGTCTCAAAAAAAAAAAAAAAAAAACAAAAAACTCTGAGACCAAGTGTGGGGCCTCATGCCTGTAATCTCAGCACTTTGGGAAGCCAAGGCGGGTGGATCATCTGAGGTCAGGAGTTTGAGACCAGCCTGGCCATCATGGTGAAACCTCATCTCTACTAAAAATACAAAAATTAGTCAAGCGTGGTGGCACATGCCTGAAATCTCAGCTACTTGGGAATCTGAGGCTGGAGAATTGCTTGAACCCGGGAGGTGGAGGTTGCAGTGAGCTGAGATCCTACCATTGCATTCCAACCTGGGCGACAGAGCGAGACTCTGTCTCAAAAAAAAATACTTTGAATAGGTTGGGTGTGATGGCTCATGCCTATAATCCCAGCACTTTGGGAGGCCGAGGCAGATCACCTGAGCTCAGGAGTTTGAGACCAGCATGGGCAACATGGTGAAACCCCGTCTCTACCAAAAATACAAAAAATTAGCTGGGCATGGTGGCGCATGCCTGTAGTCCTGGCTACTTGGAAGCCTGAGGTTAGAGGGTTGCTTGAGCCTGGGAGGTCAAGGTTGCAGTGAGCCAAGATTGTGCCGCTGCACTCCAGCCTGGGTGACAGAGGGAGACCCTGTCTCAAAAAACAAACAAAGAAATACTTTGAATAGAGGATGAGTCCAAAATACAACTATACAAAATAGCAGGTGATATGCATTAGCACCAGTTCTGTGTGTGTTTGACTACCATGCCTATTTTTCCTTTGTTTGTAACAAATCACCACAAACTTACTGGCTTAAAAACAACACAATTGGCCAGGTGTGGTGGCTTATGCCTGTAATCCCAGCACTTTGGGAGGCCGAGGCGGGTGGATCACCTGAGGTCAGGAGTTCAAGACCAGCCTGGCCAACACGGTGAAACCCTGTCTCTACTAAAAATACGAAAATTAGCCAGGCATGGTGGTACACCTGTAATTCCAGCTACTCCGGAGGTGGAGGCAGGAGAATTGCTTGAACCTGGGAGGCAGAGGTTGCAGTAAGCTGAAATTGCGCCACTGCACTCCAGCCTGGGCGACAGAGCGATACTTCGTCTCAAAAAAAAAAAAAAAAGAAAAGAAAGAAAAGAAAACCATAATATATTATCTTACAGTTCTGGAGGTCAAGTCCTAAAATTGAGGTGTCAGCAGGGCTGTGTTCCTTTCAGAGGCTCTAGGGGAGAATTGTTTGTCTTCTCTGGCTTCTAGAGGCCACCTGCATTGCATGGCTTGTGGCCCCTTCCTCTGTCTGCCTAGTCAGTCTCCTTTACTCTGGAACAGTTCCTCAGCTTTTCTTTGTCCTTTAAGACACTGATATTGACTAAGAGTGCAGGCCAGTTGTTCCATAGGATGTCCCTCCATTTAGATTTTCCTGATTGTTCCCTTATTATTAGAGGCAGGTAACACAGTTTAGCAACAGCAATTCATAGTGAAGTTGTGATCTTCTTAGTGCTTCATATCAGGAGGCACATACTGTCTATTTGTCTCATTATTGGTGATACTATGCTTGACCAATGGTGATATATTTCTCCATTGTAAAGGTACCTTTTTTCCTTTGTAAGTAATCAGAAATTTGTGGGGAAGATACTTTGAGACTATTTAGATACCCTATCTTTCAACAAACTCAATGAACTTTCAGCTAGTGGTTTAGCATCCATTAATGATAAGTCTATAGTGGTCCCCAAATGTTGAGTTGTCTTCTTCTCCTTCTTCTTATTATTAAGACAGAGTCTTACTCTTTTGCCCAGGCTGGAGTCCAGTGGCGCAATCTCAGCTCACTGCAACCTCCGCCTCCCACGTTCAAGTGATTCTCCTGCCTCAGTCTCCCAAGTAGCTGGGATTACACGCATGTGCATCATGCCTGGCTAATTTTTTTTGTATTTTTAGTAGAGTTAGGGTTTCACCATGTTGGCCAGGCTGGTCTCGAACTCCTGACCCCAAGTGATCCAACCGCCTCGGCCTCCTAAAGTGCTGGGATTACAGGTGTGAGCCACTGTGCCTGGCTGAGTTTTCTAATTCTATTGCTCCACCTACATTTATTAGTTGACATTTCCCTGTATCTGTCTTTGCCCTTTTTTTTTTTTGAGACAGAGTTTCGCTCTGTCGCCCAGGCTAGAGTGCAGTGGCGCGATCTCGGCTCACTGCAAGCTCCGCCTCCCGGGTTCACGCCATTCTCCTGCCTCAGCCTCCTGAGTAGCTGGGACTACAGGCGCCCGCCACCACGCCTGGCTAATTTTTTTTTTGTATTTTTAGTACAGACAGGGTTTCACCGTGTTGGCCAGGATGGTCCCGATCTCCTGACCTCGTGATCCAACCGCCTCGGCCTCCCAAAGTGCTGCGATTACAGGCGTGAGCCACTGCGCCCGGCCTGTCTTTGCCCTTTTCTAATCTGTCCTCCACAAAGCAGCTGGAGGGCTCTCTTTTCTCCTCTCCTCCTCCTCCCCTCCCCTCTTCTCTCTCTCCTCTCCTTATCTCCTCCTCTTTCTCTCTCTCTTGTTCTCTTTCTCTCTTTTTCTTTCTTTCTTTCTTTCACAGTCTTGCTCTGTTGCCCAGGCTGGAGTGCAGTGGCACAATCTCTGCTCACTGCAACCTCCGTCTCTTGGGTTCAAGTGATTCTCGTGCCTCAGTCTTCTGAGTAGCTGGGATTATAGGTGCATGCCACCATGCCCAGCTATTTTTTTGTATTTGTTTTTCTTTAGTAGAGACAAGGTTTCACTGTGTTGGCCAGGCTGGTCTCAAACTCCTGGCCGCAGTTGATCCACCTGCCTCAGCCTCCCAAAGCTCTGGGATTATAGGTGTGAGCCACCACGCCTGGCTTTTTTTTTTTTTTTTTTGGATGGAGTCTCGCTCTGTCACCAGGCTGGAGTGCAGTGGCATAATCTTGGCTCACTGCAATCTCCGCCTCCTGGGTTCAAACGATTCTTCTGCCTCAGCCTCCTGAATAGCTGGGACTAAAGGTGTGCGCCACCACACCCAACTAATTTTTGTATTTTTAGTACAGACAAGGTTTTACCATGTTGGCCAGGATGGTCTCCATCTCTTGACCTTGTGATCCGCCCACCTCGGCCTCCCAAAGTGCTGGGATTACAGGTGTGAGCCACTGTGCACCCCCCCCTTTTTTAATTTTTAATTTTTTTTTAAGAGAGGGTCTTGCTCTGTCACTTAGGCTGGAGTGCAGTGGTGTGATCACGGCTTACTGCAGCCTTGACCTCCTGGGCTCAAGCGATCCTCCCACCTCAGCCTCCTGAGTAGCTGGCACTACAGGTGTGTGCCACCTTAACTGGCTAATTTTTGTATTTTTTGTTGAGATGGGGACTCACTATGTTGCCCAGACTGGTCTCAAACTTCTGGGCTCAGGTAATCCTCCCCGCTCAGCCTCCCAAAATGCTGGGATTACAGATGTGAGCTTCTGTGCCTGGCCTGGAGTGACCTTTAAAAACCACAAATGTGCTCCAGTCCTTCAGTGGCTTTCCTCTGCCCCTCACATATGCCAGCGTCCTTCACCTGTTGCTAGGGCCCAGCATGACCTGGCCCTTCCAAGCTTTCTGTGTGGTCTCGAACCGCTTCCCCTTGCCCTCCACACACTGACCCTCGCAGGGCCTTAAAGAATCCATGCTCCTTTCTACTGTAGGACCTGCCTGCGTGTCCCTTTGCCCAGAACCCACTTCCTTTGACCTCAAGCTCCTTTGCTCAACAAATATCCATGTCTTTCACATGTCACATCCTAAAGGAATCCCTGCATGTGACCTCCAGACCAAGTCAGAGTCCTGGGTGTATCATCTCAGCAAATAATATCATCTTCCTCCACAGAAACACGTTTGCAATTATGCATTTGTGAAAATGGACTCTAAGCTCCATAACAGGCAGGAGCTTTGCCTAGCTTTGCTCACTCATGTGTCTGCAGCACTTAGCATGGTACCAGGTACACTTGTTGAATGAATAAATATGAGTTTAAAACCAGGATCGCAGGGAGAAGGTAGACAAGATGAGGACTGGGTTATTGTAGCCTGAGGACAAATGGGCAGGGGCTTGCTTCTGAAGGACTCAGTGGATGTGGTCATGGTACCCACTGTAGGAGACCCGTGCCTAAGGCAAGCCCTCGAGGAGGCTGGCTTGGCACAGAGCTAGGATTGTGGGCTCTTTCCAGAGGGGTGTGGCGCAGCCGAAACGGCAGAGCTTTCATAGCCTAGTGTTGCTCACCTGCCAGCTGGCTCTGCTCCTGTACTTCATTTGGTCAATGGCTTACATCTGACTCTCAGTTTCTGCAGCTGTACAAAGAGATTTCACAGGGTGGTGAGGATGAAGTGAGTCTACGAGGGGGTATAACAGCAGCTAAGAAGTTCAAGGCACATTTGGGGCGGCATCCTGGCTCTCCACCTCTTCACTGTGTGACCGGGAGCACACTGCTCAACCTCTCTGGTCCTGTTTGTCTAGAAAAGGGACCAATCATAGTGAGTTCACTCATTCATTCAGTGCAGATCTATTGAATGACTACTTTTTCAAAAGTTTTTATTATTTATTTATTGGAGACAGAGTCTTGCTCTGTCACCCAGGCTGGTGTGTAGAGGCACAATCTCGGCTCACTGTAACCTCTGCCTCCTGGGCACAGAGCCATTCTTCTGCCTCAGCCTCCTGGGTAGCTGGGATTACAGGTGCCTGCCACCACGCCCGGCTATTTTTGCATTTTTAGTAGAGACGGGGTTTCACCATATTGGCCAGGCTGGTCTCGAACTCCTGACCTCAGGTGATCTGCCCGCCTCAGCCTCTTAAAAGTGCTGGGATTACAGACCTGAGCCACCGTACCTGGCCAGATGACTACTTCTTTTTAGAGGCAGGGTCTCACTCTGTTGCCCAGGCTGGCATGCAGTGGCTATTCACATGAGTGCCTACTTTTGGACAGGCAGTGGGGACACAGTGAACAACACCAACAAAACCCCCTGCCTTTTGTGAGGCTTGCATTCCGATGAGGAATAGTCAACGGGGTAAGTGAAGGATACAGGTGAGACGTGAGATGTGGCAAGGAGTAAACCAGGGAAGGGAAACGAAATACGTTGCAGGAATGCGAGGGAGGGAGAAATTTTACATGGGGGACCGGGGAGGAAAACACTTTCTGAGTCAAGTCCTAACAGCCACGAGAGAATGAGCATGGACGACCTTGGTCACGCTTGGCACTCAGTGAGTGGCCCACACAAGGCTTTGCCAAGCACCCTACCTCCAATTCCAGACCTGCTCCACCTACAGCGGAGGTGAGGTGGCCTGCAGAAAAGGAATTCAGGGACACGTCACCCTCTTCGGGTTTAAACATCTACCACAGGTTGTGGAATTTCAGTCTTCTGGCTTTCCTAGCATGGCTGTTGAACTCAACACCACAAACTCGGTGGGAAAAATAAGAACCCAAACACCCGTCCGGAACAAGTCTCTGATTTTCCACTGCATAACCTTTGCGAGTTTCTCTCTCTCCCTGCCAGCATCTACTTGAAATAGAGAAGACACCAGCTGGGCGCAGTGGCTCATGCCTGTAATCTCAGCACTTTGGGAGGCCAAGGTGGGCGGATCACCTGACAGGGTTGGGAGTTTGAGACCAGCCTGACCAACATGGAGATACCCCGTCTCTACTAAAAATACAAAATGAGCCGGGCGTGGTGGCACTTGCCTGTAATCCCAGCTACCAGGGAGGCTGAGGCAGGAGAATTGCTTAAACCTGGGAGATGGAGGTTGCGGTGAGCTGAGATCGTGCCATTGCACTCTAGCCTGGGCAACAAGAGTAAAACTCTGTCTTAAAAAAAAAAAAAGAATACAAATAAGTGTACATAACTGAATGAATTTTTACCTAATGAACATCCGTATAACCAGCAGCCAGACCAAGAGATTGAATATTACTAGCACCCTGCCCCCCACGCTCCCTTCCCTTCAGTGAGAATCACTGCCTTGCCCTGTCTTCCTACACCGAAGATCAGTTTTGCCTCTTTTTATTATATTGCATGTACTCTTTTGTGTCTTCCTGCTTTTACTCAACATTATGAGACAAGAATAATCCAGGGTGGCCACAGGAGAATTAAATTCTGGGCAGTAGTTTCACATGACTAGAGGCTATGGACTTATAAGACCCTGAAACCCAGGATGTGGGTCAAACTGGCTGAGACCAACTGGACCCAACATGGCACTGGATGTGACCAGGTTTCTCCTAGGACCTCAATATACACTCATTAATATCCTAAACACACACCCACCCGTGTCTCGACAGTTCCAAGAACACCCAGGTTTGATGTAAAAATGGGTGGCACCACAGTTCCAAGAAATCTCCACCTTTTCCCAGGAATGTTCATGAATATCCCAGTCCTTGGTTAAAGAAACCTATAGAGGTAGCAACCTCAAACCCCCTTACACGTGACTTTTGAGTCCGCCCGCATTCCCTTGAGTGTGTACTTTTCCCTTTGCAATAAATCACTGTGCTTTCACTATTTTCTGACTTATCCTTAAATTCCTTCTCACGACAGTGTCAAGAGCCTGGACACCAGCTGGGGTTGAGGTCCCATTGGTGTTTGGGGATCTCTCCCAGCCCACGGGTATCAATTATATTTGTGAGATTGATTCATGTTGTTGGGTGTCGCATGTATGTGTATTGTCGTTGTGGCACAGTATTTCATTGCACAAATACGCCACAATTTATTCATTCTGTTCATGGACATTTAGGTTGTTTCAAGTTTGGGGCTATTATGGATGGTACTGTATGAATGAACATTCTAGTAGAAGTCTCTTGGTGAGCATAGGATGTGCATGTTCAGTTTGAGCAGCTCCTCCTGTGAGTTGTCCAGGGCAGTTAAACAATTACACTCTCACCAGCAGTGTGCGGAAGTTCGGTTGTTCCGCGTTTGGCCAACCCTTGGTGGTGTTTCATTCTAGCCATTCTAGTGGGTGTCTGGATACTATTTCATTGTGGTTTAAGTTTTCATTTCCCTGATGACTAATGAGAATGAGCACTTTCATATCTTTCAGATATTCTCTTTTGTAAAGTATGTTCAGTGTTTTGCCAATTATTCTATTGGGTTGTCTTATTTATTTGTAATTACATTTTTACATAAATTTTTTCATGTATGTAAAAATGAATACATGCTCATGATTAAAAAATTGAACAAGTTGGCCGGTGCGGTGGCTCATGCCTGTAATCCCAGCACTTGGGAGGCTGAGGCAGGGGAGTCGCTTGAACCTAGGAGGCAGAGGTTGCAATGAGCCAAGATCACACCATTCCACTCCAGCCTGGGCAATAAGGGTGAAAACTCCATCTCAAAAAAAAAGCAAAAGAAAAAAGAAATCAAGTCTAATCTCATATTTTAGAGATTATTTTTGTATAAAGCTGAGGCATACAAAGGGGAAATGACTGGCAGAAGACCACATATCACTTCCGTTGAGAAACAGATGAAGATCCTTGATAAGAATGGAATTATTTTTGTCCACTGCTGGCATCTCTGTTAAGTATTTTAACGAGACAGGTGTGGTGGCTCATGCCTGTAATCCCAGCACTTTGGGAGGCTGAGGTGAGAGGATCGCTTGAGTTCAAGACTAGCCTGGGCAATATAGTGAGAACATGGCCATCACCCTCAATCTTTAAAAAAAAAAAAAAATTAACCAGGTGTGGTGGCCGGCAGCTGTAATCTCAGCTACTTGGGAGGCTGAGGCAAAGGATCACTTGAGCCAAGGAGTTCGAGGCTGCAGTGAGTTATAACAGGGCTACTGCACTCCAGCCTGGGCAACAGAGCAAGACCTTGTCTCTCTCACCAAACAAAGATTTTAATAAATGATTTGATTTTTTAATTTCTTTTAGCAAGGGTACAATTTTACGCAAGCTATACCAGTAACTAAAAGCACAGGCAATGCAAATATAAAAGAACATTTCAGGACTGTAAGCCAAAAATAAAATTTTTGGCCAGGTGTGCTGGCGCATGCCTATAATCCTAACAGTTTGGGAGGCTGAGGTGGAAGGATCACGTGAGCTCAGGAGTTTGAGACCAGCCTGGGCAACATAGTGAGACCTCATCTGTATAAATTTAAATAATAATAATAAAATTTAAAAAGTTAAAAAAATAAAATTCTAAGCCCCCCAACCAACTGAATGGGCCCTTCCTCTTGGCCAAGGGCATTACAAAGCTCACCTGAAAAACTAGTTTAGGCCATGACGTGGTTGGGGGGGTGGAAATGCCTCACTATATATAATCCCTCCTCCTGTTGGAATTTAGGCACAGCTGACCAGAACTAACATTGAAACAGAGATCTTAAGACTGATGAAGAAACAGACTTTTTGTCATATGACACCAAATTCCAGCCTGACTCTATTATAGCATCACATGACAGATAGCAGGCCCTGAGAGAAATCAAAGTATATTTCTTTTTCTTTTTCTTTTTTTTTTTTGAGATAGGATCTTGTTCTGTCTCCCTAGCTGGAGTGCAGTGGTGGGATGATCAGCCTCAACTTCCTGGGCTCAAGCAGTCCTCCCACTTCAACCCCCTTGAGGAGCTGGGACTACAGGGATACGCCACCACGCCCAGCCAATTTTTAAATTTTTGTAGACAGGGTGTCATTACATTTCTCAGGCTGGTCTCAAACTGGCCTCAAGCTATCCTCCTGCCTTGGCCCCCCAGTATGCTGGGATTGCAAGCGTGAGCAACCGTGCCTGGCCCAAAGTATATTTATTTGACATATTTGGAAATGGCCCTGCAAAGCTGTCTCCTGTGGGGAAAGTCTACATTCTGTTGAGAATCCCCTTTTCTATTCAGGTGTTTTTCTTGATCCAGGAGATAATTTACTAAGAATCTGGCACCTTTCTTAGGTCTGTTAAGAGCTGTGAGGCCGTGCGTGGTGGCTCACATCTGTAATCCCAGCACTTTGGGAAGACGAGGTGGGTGGATCGCCTGAGGTCAGGAGTTCGAGACCAGCCTGGCCAACATGATGAAACCTCGTCTCTACTAAAAATACAAAAAATTAGCTGGGCATGGTGGTGGGCGCCTGTAATCCCAGCTACTTGGGAGGCTGAGGCAGGAGAATCGCTTGAACCTGGGACGCGGAGGTTGCACTGAGCTGAGATTGCGACATTGCACTCCAGCCTGGGTGACAAGCGTGAAACTCCATCTCAGAAAAAAAAAAAAAACAACAAAACTCCTAAGCCTGCTACTTGGAGGCTTCACATTGATGAAACCAAAGTCTCCACAACCCCTTAACTGACACATTCCTTTCTATTGGCTCCAGGTCTTTAGATAATAACTCTGCCAACTAATTGCCAATGAGAAAATCTTTGAATCTGCCTGTGACCTGGAAGCACCCCTCCCCCAACCTCACGACATTATTTCAGTTGTCCCACCTTTCCAGACTGAACCAATGTACATCTTACACGTATTCATTGATGTTTTGTCTCCCTAAAATGTCAAAAACCAAACTGTGACCCAACCACCTTGGGAATGTTCTCAGAATCCCCTGGGGCTGTGTCCTAGGCCATTGGTCACTCATATGTGGATCAGAATAAATCTCTTCAAATATTTCACAGAGTTTGTCTCTTTGGCTCTTTTTGTCAACAGTACCCTCTAAATTTGTCAAGGGGTAAGTTAAGCCCTGGAGACTGGATCATGTAGCATGTTTGCAACTTCCACTTCTTACACTGTAGGTTAACTCCCTTCCTCGCTGTTCTTGTTCTGTA
Source organism: Homo sapiens (assembly GCF_000001405.40). Lineage (NCBI taxonomy): Eukaryota > Metazoa > Chordata > Mammalia > Primates > Hominidae > Homo > Homo sapiens. The sequence continues at coordinate 85,014,557 of NC_000016.10, read as the reverse complement.
GTTGACTAGGAGAGACCTCCTCCCCTTCCAATCACTAATCTTTGTTACAGATTAACTGCCTTCTTTATTGTCCTGTACCTAACTCAACACCAGATGCCACAAAGACTCTATGGCTGTCACACCTTCACTGTGGAATGTTAAATAAACCTTTTCTAAAAAAAAGAGCACCTTGACGAATCAGATTGTTGTAACTGTGCATTAAGCCTGCTATAGAAAGATGTTGAAATTCTGTTAAGCTTCCCTAAACTATTTCTCTATAAACGATCCCCAAACTTCTACACTCCATACAGTGACTTCCATGCTTTGAAATCTATACTTCTCAGGTGGCCATCCTGAAACTTTGAGCTTGAATAAACTCTCTTTAGATTCCAATCCTTTTGATTATTTTGGGTTGACAAAAGTGTGGGGACTAAGAATTATGTGGTGAGGATCCCTCCACTCCTCATTTTTTGAGAAAACTTTAAAATGGGCGCAAAGATTATTGGGTGTGTAGGGGAGGAAAAGAAAACTCCTTATCTCTATCTACCCTTTTACATTCTTGGTTGGGGTCCCTGTAACAAAGACAAATTAGGCTGAGTGCAGTGGCTCACACCTGTAATCCCAGCACTTTGGGAGGCCAAGGTGGGTGGATTACCTGAGGTCAGGAGTTGCAGACCAGCCTGGCCAACATAGTGAAACCCCGTCTCTACTAAAAATACAAAAATTAGCCAGGTGTGATGGTGGGTGCCTGTAATCCCAGCTACTTGGGAGGCTGAGGCAGGAGAATTGCTTGAACCCAGGAGATGAGGTTGCAGCGAGCTGAGATCACACCACTGCACTCCAGCCTGGGAAACAGTGCGAGAGTCTATCTCAAAAACAAAACAAAACAAAAAAACACAAATTAATAAGAGAAAAACAGAAGTTTATTAACATGTACATCTCATATATTCATAAGAGAAACTTGGGAAAGAGTAACTCGAAGAGGTAGCTTGGAATGTGGTTTCACATAGTACCTTCGACAAAGAATAATACCTTTGGCCGGGCGTGGTGGCTCATGCCTACAATCCCAGCACTTTGGGAGGCCAAGGTGGGTGGATCACTTGCAGTCAGGAGTTCAAGACCAGCCTGGCCAACATGGCAAAACCCTATCTTTACTAAAAATACAAAAATTAGCCGGACGTGGTGGCGGGCCCCTGTAATTCCAGCTACTCAGGAGGTTGAGGCAGGAGAATTGCTTAAACCCCGGAAGTGGAGGTTACAGTGAGCTGAGATTGCACCACTGCACTCCAGCCTGGGAGACAGAGCGAGACTCCATCTCAAAGTAAAATAATAATAATAATAATAAAAGAACAATACTTTTGTAGAGAAATGACAGGACAAAGGAGTTTTGAGCTTCCAAAAGTGGCAAACTATGGAAAGGTTTATATATGGGAAGAAACTTAATAGAGTAAGGTTTGTTTGCAGATTCCTTTGGTGCCCTCTCTGGGCTAAGAAGAGTCTAGAATGTCCAGTAAAGGTGAATTTACACCTGCCCTTTAGGCAGAAAAGGGAGGATAAAGAGAACTTTTCCTGCATTTGTCGCTTCTTAATTGCCTTCAGCTGAAAATAATTTTTCTGTCGAAGAGGCATATTTTGCGGTGATATATTCTGGTTTTTTCTTTTTCTTTTTTCATTGAGATGGAGTCTCGCTGTCACCCAGGTTGGAGTGCAATGGCGCGATCTCGGCCCACTGCAACCTCTGCCTCCCGGTTCTCAAGCGGTTTCTCCTGCCTCAGCCTCCCGAGTAGCTGAGATTACAGGCGCCCAAAACTGCACCCGGCTAATTTTTGTATTTTTAGTAGAGATGGGGTTTCGCCACGTTGACCAGGATAGTTTCGAACTCCTGACCTCAGGTGATCTGCCTGCCTCGGCCTCCTACAAGTGCTGGGATTACAGATGTGAGCCACCACACCTGGCCTTATTCTGGTTTTCTTTAGGTGTCTTCATTGAACAAGTAGGTATTGTCTGGCATACCCTTCTGGGTTATCTCGTCTTATGGGGTCTTACTTTTGTCTTTAAGCTATCTAGAGCTCTAGTGGAGCATTGTATATATACCATCATTAATGAGTTAAATGGTATCTTTGACATATGTTCATTTTATATTTGTGTGAGAGTCATAATTTTATTTTAAAAAAAAGATATGCTTTTTTTTTTTTTTTGAGACTGTTCACTCTGTCGCCCAGGCTGGAGTGCAGTGGCTTGATCTCAGCTCACTGCAACCTTCGCCTCCTGGGTTCATGATTCTCCTGCCTCAGCCTCTCGAGTAGCTGCTGGGATTACAGGCGTGCACCACTACATCCGGCTAATTTATGTGTTTTTAATAGAAACGGAATTTCACCATTGTTGTTCAGGCTGGTCTCGAACTCCTGACCTCAAGTGATCAGCCTGCCTTGGCTTCCCAAAGTGCTGGAGTTACAGGCGTGAGCCACCGCGCCCGGCCTTAAAATACATGTTCCTACTTTCAAACACTTAGGGCTTCCTATATGGAAGGGACAGTGGCGGTGCTCTAGTGTCCAAGTCCCTCAAGGAGGAGGCCGGGGGCTCCGCGGACCTCAGGAGTCAGGCCTCCAATCCCCAGTTCAGGGCGCTTTCCTCTTTTCCCAAGTGCTTTCTGGCTCAGCCATTTCCACTCCCGCTCCCTTACTTTCCCATTTCCTTCGGTCACATCCCCGCATATAGTACAGGCCACTGGAGCTGCCTCTGAGACACCGCCGCGGGCGCGGGTACACACTCCGCTAAGGGCATTCCCAACCCGGTTCCGCAGCCTAACGGCGTGGCTTGGACCCTGCTGCAGCCCGTAGCCCCTATCCTTTCTCCTCCGGACTTCAGTTTGGCGGCATCTCTGTCTTAGCGAGAGGGGCTGTGACTAAAAGCTGCCTTTTCTCAATGAACTGCCAGTTTGTAAGAGCCTCCGGGTCCCCTCAAACCGCCTCGAGCGCCCCTCTCCGCGAGAGCTGCGCGGCCGGAACTGCGCCGGCGTGACGTCACTGACCTCGTCGGGTTCACTTCCGGCGCTCGCACCGCCCCGCTCTCCAGCCAAGGCTCCGGGCTGAGGCATTTGCTTGGCTGCAGCCTCCTTCCGACCTGCCCGGCGGGACCCAGGGGACCAAGCCGAGCCGAGCCGCGGGGCCCGCTCCAGCCCGGCCATGAGCGCGGCCGCATGATGCGTCCCTGCCTCGGCCGCTGCAGTCGCCGCCGCCGCCGCCGCAGGCCGGGAGGAGCCGCAGCGCCGGGCGACCCCGCCCGGGCCTCGGGTGAGTGCGGCGGGCTGGGCCGGGCGGGCTGCTCACTCCCGGGTCTCCCGGCCACTTCTGGCCCCCGGCGTGCCCTGTCCTTCCGTCGGTTCCGCCGCTCTGTCTCCACCCCGCCGCACACCTGCGACCTTCTGGAGTTCCTAGGGGCACCTCCGTGCCCGCACCTGACTTCCCTTCCAGGTGCCCCCTTGTCATTCCTTAGTTGCTCTCTCGGGATAGGGCCCGGATTGCAGCCCCAGCTTTTTGCCTGACCTTGGGCGTGACACTCAGCTCTCCGAGCCCTGGTTTTCTGTGTGGCTAATGACGGGGTGGTGGTTACAGAGCAGCTATAAACCCTGTGTAAGCTGTAAAGAGTTTTTTAATAGGCAGGTATTACAATGAGCAGTCTCGCACTTCGCGTTGTGGCTTCTCTTCCTCTTAAGCTGTAAACTTTTCTCTTTTATTCTCTGCCCATCTTCCTAGTTATCTTCCCTCCTGCTCCACGTCAGTCATCTTTGGGTGTTAGTTGCCTGAAAGGGCATCTGGGACAGTAAAGCTTTCAGGGCAGTAAGGCTCACCTCTCCTGGTGTGGTTCCTTCTACAACTTTGTCACACTCAGTTAGATAGACACACTTTATTAGCTTATGAAGAACCAGTTTATTGTGGCCGTTAAATTGGAGTGTAAGAGACAGTGTTGATGCGGCTACCTGCCTTGTAGCTTCTTTTACTGTCTGGGCTGTATACAGTGCTGGGCAAATCGCTGCTACAGTGTTGCATTTTCAGTCTGCTTAGTGTATGCACTTAAGCGCACGTATTTATCTATTTTACTGTTACTATCCCAAGGGGTTTAGAGATTTAGGTCAATGTGTATTAATATTTCTTTCTGAACTCTTCATCTCACAGATGAAGAATCTCTTTTTTGTTATGTTTTACAGTGTTTACATACCTGAAATCACCTTTTAGTCACTTTGTGGCCTGGTACGCACGCGGTGGCTCGTGGCTCATGCCTGTAATCCCAGCGCTTTGGGAGGCTGAGGCAGGAGGATCACTTGAGCCCAGGAGTTGGAGAGCAGCCTGGGCAACATAGTGAGATCCCCTTCTCTACAAAAAAATTAAAAAATTAGCCGGATATGGTGGTACACGCCTGAGGTCTCAGCTGCTTGGGAGGCTGAGGTGGGGGGATCACTTGAGTTTGAGATCATGCCACAGCACTGCAGCCTGGGCAACAGAGTGAGATCCCCATCTCAAAAAAAAAAAAAAAGTCACTTTGTTAAATTCGCTTGTTAAAAGTCAGAACTTGGCCAGGCACAGTGGCTCATGCCTGTGATCCCAGCACTTTGGGAGGCCGAGGCGGGCGGATCACGAAGTCGGGAGATCGAGACCATCCTGGCTAACACGGTGAAACCCCATGTCTACTAAAAATACCAAAAATTAGCTGGGCATGGTGGTGGGCGCCTGTAGTCCCAGCTACTCGGGAGGCTAAGGCAAGAGAATCACGTGAACCCGGGAGGCGGAGCTTGCAGTGAGCCAAGATCGCGCCACTGCACTCCAGTCTGGGCGACAGAGCAAGACTCCGTCTCAAAAAAAAAAAAAAAAAGAAAAAAAGTCAGAACTTGGTTAAAGTGAAAGGCTCTTGGGATATTTGAAATATGGAATGGAACTGAAATATTAACTAAATTGCAATTCTTGAACATTCTGGAAAATAGGTTAGGGGCCCACATTGGCTTCTGATTTGAGAGTTGAAGGAGAAGAAGACTATTTGAAAAGGTAATTCCCAAAGGATTCGCTAAGTAACAATGGGAACTCTTCTGCTACCATTGGCTCAGAGCCTGCCTCAGTTGACAGATTAATGAATTGAAACTTTACAGCCCTGCTAATCAATGAACTGTAAAAACAAATCCTCTTCAAGAACAGAAGAGTATTAGCATGAATAGAATGGCCCTCTCAGTGAGAAAGAAAGCACTGAAATGAACTTTATATAAGAACAATCTTGATTCAGTCAAAAGTATGAACGTACTTTTACATTCTTACTGAAACTTACCTGCTGGCTTGGATGCTTTGTTGATATAAATAATACAATCTTTGTTAAATTAACAAAGAAAATGGGTGTAGAAATAAGTTCATGTAGAAAGTTAATGTTTGGGATGAACATTGAATAGTTTTCGTGATTGGACAACTATACAAGATAATTTTACTAAAGCAGCTTTTTGGGGTATGTTTCTGTAATATTTTAACTTTAGAAGTACTTTTTTTTTTTTTTTGAGACGGAGTTTCGCTCTTGTTGCCCAGGCTGGAGTGCAGTGGCTCGATCTTGGCTCCCTGCAGCCTCTACCTCCTGGGTTAAAGCGATTCTCCTGCCTCAGCCTCCCGAGTAGCTGGGATTACAGGCCTGAGCCACCGTGGCTGGCTAATTTTGTATTTTTAGTAGAGACAGGATTTCTCCATGTTGGTCAGGCTGGTCTCCAACTCCTGACCTCTGGTGATCCGCCTGCCTCAGCCTCCCAGAATGGTGGGATTACAGGCGTGAGCCACTGTGCCTGACCCTTTTTTTTTTTCTTCAAACCCTAGAGCAGAACATAAAGTCAAAACTGTCATTTTCACTGAAATATCTTATTCCCAAAGTTAGTCTCCAGGGTCAGTGTTAACAACTTGCTGTGTGACCCTTCGGTTGTAACATCTGAGAAGAGTTTAGCTGGACTGTGCCAGTTAGCTAGCTATAAAGTTGAGTGGGAATAGTGCCAGTCCACACAGGACTGCCCTCACTTGTGATACCAACTGCAAGTTGGCTTTTTTTTGGGGGGGGGTGTAGGTGGTGGTTCCCAAAACCACCCTTGGGTGGAGTCCAGGGAAGTACCAGATGGGGAAGCACCAAAGGCACGATTGTCCTCTCCCTGTGGACTCAGAACACGTTACTTTTTTGGCATTGATGTGTGACAGTATGCATGGAGTATTGCCAGCCTGGGAAGCTCACCTGAGTCTTTGTAGTCAGTTTTTATTGAGGCCCCATTATGCAGGCATGATTGATTGATTGATTGATTGCCCACATGGTTGATATTAGTTCCCAGATAGACTGATACCCTGTGACGAAGAGCTCCCCCCTCACCCTACATCATATTGTTAGCTGAGGACAAAGGGCAGACCTCTTTTTGGGTAAGATTAAATAAGGTTAAATTGTTTTTTGTTTGTTTGCTTTGAGAGGGTCTTGCTCTTTTGCCCAGGCTGGAGTGCGGTGGCACAATCATGGCTCACTACAGCCTTGATCTCCTGGGCTCAAGTGGTTTCTTCTACCTCAGCCTCCTGGTTAACAGGGACCACAGGTGTACGCCACCCTGTCCGGCTTATTTTTTGTAGAGATAGGGTCTCACTATGATACCCAGGCTGGTCTGAAACCCCTGGGCCCAAGCAATCCACCTGCCTTGGCCGCCCGGAGGCATGTTATACTGTGCCTGGCCTGGTTAAATTATTTACTACATATCCTACTTCTTTCCTGGTCCCTTCCTACTTGAAAATCCTGTATACTACTGTGCTTTGCCATTGACAAATGACTGTCCCTTCTAGAACATGGAGGAGACACAGGCCACAGGGAGAGCTCTCAACCTTAGTTCCCTTTTAACTAAAATGTCTTCGAATATCCATCAGTCATTTTCTTCTGCTTTGCCTCTGAGGAAGAGACAGTCCCTCCTTCCTGATGTTAACGCTTGTGTCTGCTTTGGTCTGCTTGTTATGGGACTGTGAATTATCATTTACTATCTCTTGCCTTTTTGATTGTTTTTTCCATTTGCTGGTTTCTTCACTTCTATTTACAAACATATCCTTGTCTTAGTAATCTTGGCCCTGCTTGCTTCTGAGTTCCATTCCATTCCATTCTTTTTTTTTTTTTTTTTGAGATGGAGTATCGCTCTGTTGCCCAGGCTGGAGTGCGGTGGCGTGGTCTCGGCTCACTGCAACCTCCGCCTCCCAGGTTCAAGCGGTTCTCCTGCCTCAGCCTCCCGAGTAGCTGGGATTACAGGCACCCACCATCATGCCCGGCTAATTTTTGTATTTTTGTAGAGACGGGTTTTTACCATGTTGGCCAGGCTGATCTTGAACTCCTGACCTCAGGTGATCCACCTGCCTTGGCCTCCCAAAGTGCTGGGATTACAGGCATGAGCCACCTTGCCCAGCCTCCATTCCATTCTTGAAAAACTTTTCAGTAGAATCCTATTAATCCTCTAATCAAACCCAGACTCCATATGGGGCCCAGACAATGCCTTATTTTGGTTCAGCATCTTACGGTTTTGAAAACACCGTGTTCTTCTACGGTGTCTTATAGGTAGTGGGTGCTTGAAAACTGTTTGGTGAATGAATAATTTGGCAAGGCAGAGAAAGAATTCTAATTGGAGGAAACAGGAGCAAAACCACAGAGCTATGAAAGGCGAGGTAAGGGGAATCCAAAGGAGCACCATATGGAAGAGAGTGGGGAATGTTGAGCCTGGAAAGGTTGGGAGAGCCAGAAGGTTTCGCAACAGGTTGATTTTGTGACCTGTGCTGTGGTTTTGTTTTATTTAATTTTTTATTATTACTATTTTTGAGACGGTGTTATTCTGTCACCTAGGCTGGAGTGCAGTAGCATGATCTCAACTTACTGCAGCCTCAACCTCCTGGGCTGAAGCGATCCTCCCACCTTAGCCTCCTGAGTAGCTGGGGCTACAGGTGCATGCCACTGAAACTGGCTCCTTTTTTTTTAAATTACAGAAATGGGGTCAGGCCGGTTGCTCAGGCCTGTCTTGAACTCCATGTTGCTCAGGCTGGTCTTGAACTCCTGAGATCAAATGATCTGCCCACCTCAGCCTCCTAAAGTGCCGGGATTACAGGTAGACCGGTGCCACTGCACCTGGCCCTATATATTATTTTAAAATTATTTAATTTTATTTTTCAAGGAATTTTTATTTAGGTTTTTAATTTTTTTGAGACAGGGTCTCTCTCTGTTACTCAGGCTGGAGTACAGTGATGCAGTCATAGCTCACTGCAGCCTTGAACGCCTGGGCTCAAGTAATCCTCCTGCCTCAGCCTCTCGAGTAGCTGGGACTACAGCTGTGTACCACTGCGCCCAGCTAATTAAAAAATTTTTTTTGTAGAGATAGGGTCTCGCTATGTTGCCCAGGCTGGTCTTTTAACTCAAGTGTTCCTCCTGCCTTTGCCTCTCAAAGCACTGGGATTACAAGTGTGAGCCGCCACCTCTGGCCTGTGCTGTGATTTTGAACGGTGATTCCTGCAGCCATGTGGAGAGTCATTGGAATCTAGTGACCCTTGAAGTTAGCGTTCTGCAGAGGTACAGGCTAGAGATGAGGGCTGCCTAAATTTGGGTTGTGGGAAAGGTGAGAAGGATCAGAGCTGTAAGTGGGAAGTGTCGTCATACATGTAGGAATGGAGGAATTTTGTGTCCAGAGGCTAAAAGGTGGTGAATCAATCCTGGTTGCATGAGGAATGTCACTGATTTGGAAAAAGACGCTAGCTCTATGTTAAGCTGGTGGTTTGGTTCACCGGGAAACACTGCCGTTCATTTGCAGCACTGCGTGAGGAGGGGCAGTCAGCTAGAGAGGCTTCCAGTCTCATTGGAGACCAGCTTTTAGAGTTCACTGAAATGTTTTGAATTCTTAGATTCCATATTTCCAACATTCAATTTATTCATTACAGAATGCACTTTCTTAAACTGAGTGCTCTGGAAGCCAGTGTATTTTAGTGGAAGAACACGGGCTTTGGAATCAAAACAGTTCTGACTCCACCCTAACTGGCTGTGGATCTGAGCAAGGCACTTAGCCTCTAAGACTCAATTTTGTCATCCTGAAAATGAGCTCGTGATACGCCTGGCTTTTAGGGTGGTGGTCACGTGTGTAAATCTCCTGACAAACAGAGTAGATGCTCAGTAAATAGCCTTTCTTCTCACCTTCAAATGTTTTATGTTGTCATTAACTTGTAATTGAGGGCTAAATGTATTGTTAGCATGTCATATTTTCTTAGTATTTTGAACTCTGGTTAATCTGGCATTATAAAAGCTCATTTTGTATTAAACAGGGAAACTCTAGGAAGACAGGGAAGGAGGTTGGGAATACCAGCCTGATTGAGGCTCTGCTCTTCCCTGGGACAGGATGCTTAATGAGGTTTGGAACTCTAGAGTTCTTTTTATTTCTGGATTTAGATTTCTTGAGGGTTTAGTTACCATGCTGGGATTTTTAAAAATAGCTGCTCCATTTGACTGTCAAAGTTAGGTTGTGGCTCTCGTACAGGGATGAAAGGGGAACCTTTGGGGTACGAGTAAGCATTCCTTGGAGGCCACCTCATCTGGCCTGCGTGCTCTAGTGAGGTCCCGCGCACATGTTTTCTGGACCTGAAGTTGTGACTTGCCTACAGGTGGGGTTTTTCTCTTCACCCCCGTCTCCCTCTTTCTCTATAACCCTTGTGCATTTCTCTTCTACTCCTTTTCTGCCAGGCTCCTTTGGGCCTCTGGCCCACTCCCCTGGCAGATCTTATCACACGCCCCTGTCGTTTGCCTGTGGACTTCCTTTCTACTTTTTCTTGTCTCCCTCAAGCACCCTCCTTCCCTTACTTATTCACTCAAGAAATGTTTGTGGAGTGCGTGGTGAACCCGGGAGTGCTGGGGATACTATGAGTAACATTCCATTGAGGTGATGGCAGAACAAGCAGCCAGGGAGAGGCTGCTAGGAAGGGAGGCCAGCAGGCTCCAGATGGAGTGGGGCTTTCTAGGCCATGGTGGTGGGGTGGAGTGGGGGGTGGGGTGGGATTTTATTCGCACTGAAAAGGCAGTGATTGCATGAGCTTAGGGAGGGGAGTGACATGATCTGATTTACGTCTGTGGAAGACCACTCTGGGTGCTGCATGGGGGACTGGACTGTTGGGTGAGCAGAGGCATGAGAGTAGAGAGAGGACTGGTCAGCAGGTGATCTAAGCACTCCCCAGGTGAGAGCTCATGGGACCTTGGTCTGGGCGGGTGAGGAGGTGGGAGAAGTGGTCGGATTTGGGGTAGGTTTAGAGGTGCACCCCATAGGACTTGCTGATCAGCTAGATGTGGAGAGGTGGGGAATGAGATACATGAAGGGCGGGGCCTTTTTTTTTGGGTGTGGTGTGCCGTTGATTGAGATGGGAAAGAGTGGGGTCGTGACTGAGTGGGGGAGGTTCTGCTTTGACCCTCCTGCCCTGGAGTTGTTAAGTGGCCAGTTGGATAGACGCCCTTAGGGATGCATCGTCAGCCTGAGAGTTTTCCAGATATCTTTTTTTGTTTAAACTTCGTGAAACTGAGGTTCCCCATTAGCTCCTTTGTGGAGAGCATGTAGATGAAGGGAAGGCCGAGGACTAAGCCCGGGTGCTCCCGGCGTTTACATGGGTGGAGGAGAAGTATCCAGTCAGAGACCGGGTGTGGCTAGGGGGAAGGGAAGTCAGTGTTGTCCCCCAGGCCCCTCACTCCTGAGACTGGTGTTCCCTCTCCCACTTCCACGGTTCATTGTGTGCTGTGTGTGTTCCCCCACTTTGCCATGTTTTTGATCTGCAGTGTTCTGATCCTACTGTAGAGTGATTAAGTATTTTAATATGAAATGCCCTTCTAGAAAGGTCAGGCAATGTCACTATTCACCGTATGACTTACGTGCCAGCATATCATTGAGATCTGGCTTGAGTTGGGTTAATATTCTGGTGTGGATTTTTTTTTTCCTTAAAAGTAATATTCTGATCTTTGGATTCAGTAATTTGAGTAGAAAATCATGGTTTCTTAGAGCATCATTTCCTATGGTAGGATTTGAAAGGACAAACTGAATATTTCATGATTGCCAGTTGATGGCAAGAGCACTTAGGAGCGCAGTCGCCATCAGCTCACTGCAGTGGGTCAGCTGAGTGCTGCGCTCCTTTTGTGAGTTGAGGGAGGACGTGAGCTCCCTCTGTAGCCTTCCCCACCTTGACTCAGGTTCCCTGACTCATCCGGGCTGGTGGCATACCTGGGATGTGGCCCCGTTTGCACGGCCCATAGGAACCACTGCCTCCGGATCTTACAGCGCCCCCCTGGACCCAGCCTCAGTCCTGCCCCTCACTTCCTCTGAGTCTGTTTCTCAGGCTCCTCGGGCCCTCAGTGCCCTGAGTTTCGGTCACTTGGCTTACCAGGCCTCTCCTCCTGCCCCCTGGACTCTGAGGTTGGCCTCTCCCGCTTGCATCTTGGTCTTGCCTTCGTTACTCTGCTTTTCTAGCCCATCATCCTGGCTAATCTCCAGCCCTGGGTAAGTTTATGGTGCTGGGCTGGGCTTTTGGATAAAAGGACCAGCCATTCCCATCCTCTATGAGACACTTAAGGTGTCAGCATTGTCTGGGCCCTGCAGGGTGACAGTTCAGGCCCCTCTTGGCCGCCGCCTCTCCACCCCATTTCCATTTTGCGGTCTCCATAGGCCCTCCCAGCGCCGCAGCCCCGCTCCTCCTCTCTGCTGAGACACTCAGCACTCGTCTTCCTGAGTGAACTGCTTTCACTTCTCTTCATGCCCGGGTTTCCCCTTTCTTCCTCCAGGGAGGAAGGATCATTCCGCTTTGTCGACCATCCCCCCACTCCACCCACGCTTTCTCCTATCGATAAAATTCACACTTGATTCAGATTTCCTCAGCTTTTCCTTAATGTCCTTTCTCTGTCCCAGGATCCCACCCAGGATCACACAGGACATGAGTGGGCACATCTCGTCAGCCCCTCTTGGCTGTGGTGCTTTCTCAGGCGTTCCTTGTTTGGATGACTGGCACTTGGGAGCAGTGCTGTGGGTCAGGGATTTTTTTGTAGGATGCTCTTCTCTTGGGACTTGTTTGATATTTTCCTTATGACTAGACTTGGGTGATGCAGTTAGAGGGCCTGTCTCGCCACAGCCTGTCAAGGCTGTGTTCTGTCCACAGGACTCATTGCTATGGATGTGGCCTTGAACACCTGGCTGACTGAGGTGGTGTTTGCCAAGTTTCTCCTCAGTAAAGTTATTTTCCTCCTTTCCGTACTCCACTCGTTAGAAACTGTCCCTGTGAACGGCCATACTTGAGGGGTGGGGAGCAGCGTCCTCCCTGCTGGAGGAGGAGGAGCCACAGGCATTCCTCGGACTCGTGGCGCTGGGTATTTGTCTATTTTCTGTTTATTCAGCCACTGCTTTATATCAGTCTGGACTCGTGCATGTTTACTTGATGCTTCGGGTTATAAAGCAATACTATTTTATTTTCCTGGAAAAAGCTTTGGCCATTGGGAGCTCTTTTACTTGGTTCCTATATCCCTTTCATGAGCCCACCTGTCCCCATGATTGTGTGTGTGTATTGTGAACACTTCATTATTCTCTGGCAATACAAGATGCTCCAAGCTCATCTTGTATATATATTTATTTTTTTTGCCTCAGTCCTGGTTCCTTTTATTTATTAGAGAATGGTATTAAAAACCAAGATCTGTGGTGGCTCACACCTATAATCCCAGCACTTTGGCCGACATGGGAAGATCGCTTGAGTCCAGGAATTCAAGAGCAGCCTGGGCAACTAGCAAGATCCCATCTTGAATATTAAACAACAACAACAAACCAAGATCTGGGAATTAGGTGTGCTGGTGGCTGTTGGTGTGTTGCTTCTAGGCCGTCTCAGCTGACAGAGCAAGTAAATATATGTGTGGATGCTAACCCATGTGTGTATACATATCTGTAGATATTTCCATATGCAACTGCTTGTATCTTCCTTAAACCAAAAACTTAGGTCATTCTAGCTTCCTCCTCTTGCTTACCTGGAAACTTCCACCCCAACAGTGAGAAGCCTGGCTCTTGCCATCCATTTACTTAATTTTTTTTTTTTTTGAGACAGGGTCTTGCTCTCTTGCCCAGGCTGGAGTGCAGTGGTGCGATCTTGGCCCACTGCAACCTCAGCCTCCAGGGTTCAAGTGATTTTCCTGCCTCAGCTGCCCAAGTAGCTAGGATTACAGGTACTGGCCACCATGCCTGGCTAATTTTTGTATTTTTAGTAGAGACGGGGTTTCGCCGTGTTGGCTAGGCTGGTCTTGAACTCCTGACCTCAAGTGATCCACCCACCTTGGCCTCCCAAAGTGCTGGGATTACGGGCATGAGGCACCGCGCCCGGCCCCAGTTATCTTTTAAACCATCTGGTTTACCTAAGGTCTGGTGCCTCCCATTCCAGCAGAGTGAAGTCTAGAGTTCCAGGTTTCTTAGCGTGGCATTCAGGCTGTGGTTCCATTGGACCTCAGGCTTGTCCTTCTGGTCACATTCCCCTCTGGAATGCTGAATTCCCTTCTGTGCTGTGTCACATGATTGTCCTCTCTTGTCCATGTCTTTCTGGTCTGCTGGGGCCCACCCATGCTGTCTGTTGTCTTTATTGACACTTTCTCTGGTTCTTCCAGAAGTAGCTGTTTTCATTTCTCTCCCTGATCACACTTTGCTGCTAACTTGGGGAAAGCACTTTGCACATTGGATCCTCACCTCGCTGCTGTGTGCGCTCTGCTCCTGTGGCTCAGGCTGTCTTTGGCTGCACATCCTTGAGGCCTTGCACAGAGTACGTGCTTGGATGCTCACCCCCCAACTCCCCAGCCTGATGTTTGAATTGAGTGGACTGTTCATGGCAGGGGTTGAGTTTGTTTTGTAACCTTCTGTCCTAAAACAGGTTTGCTTAATTCCGTTTTTTATGGGGCTGAAGTGGGTGTATGAACAGTAAAGCAACGACAAGTTTAAATAGTATTTTAATATAAACATGGATACCAGACTCTAGGGTGGACATTCTTAGCAGTGCAGTGGTAAAAATAATTATGTCTTGGTTCTTTTCTGTAGTCACTGATCACCAGAGAATACTGGTATCTTTTGTTTACTTGTTTTCAGTGTGTTCCTGAGAAATACATTTTCTGTTTATAGCCAAGGAAAAAAGTAAAGGCGAAGAGCTTAAGACACTTGCTTGAAGTTACAGATACAAGTAAATCCAAGACAGGGTCTGGACTCAGGAACGCGGGTTATCCAGGAAGAAAAGTGACTCCACTGCTCGCTGGGACTTGCCTTGTGCCGCACCCTTGCACTATCACACCGGCCGTACATACCTGTGCTGGGTATTTTTTCTCCTGCTCATGTTTTTAATTGAGGCATGATTAATGTACAGTGAAATGCACAATTTTATTTTATTTTATTTTAGAGACAGGGTCTTGCTTGTTGCCCAGGCTGGAGTGCAGTGGCACAAACACAGCTCACTGCAGCCTCGACCTCCGAGACTCAAGCGATCCTCCTGCCTCAGCCTCCTGAGCAGCTGGGAGTACAGGCCCTGCCCAGCCAATTTTTAAAAAATTTTTTTTGTAGAGACAGGGTCTTGCCATGTTGCCCAGATTAGTCTTGAACTCTTGGGCTTAAGTGATCCTGCCTTGGACTCCCAAAGCACTGGGATTACAGGTATGAGCCACTGTGCCCGGCCCCACAATTTAAAGTGTATAGTCTATTGGGCTTTTTTTAAACAGCGAATTGTATTTTGTTTTGACAAACGCATATGCCTGTGTCACCCACTTCCCTCTCAAGATACAGGCATGTCTGTCAACTTACAATGTTACCTTGGCCCTCTCCACAGTCACTTCTACTTGTGCTCAAATCCTTATTCTGATTTCTTTCTAAATAAACGAGTTTGCCTCATTTAGAATATCATACACATAGAATCACACTATATATTCTTCCGTGTCTGGCTTCTTTCACTTAGCATAATATTTTTGAGATTTAGCCATGTTGCTTGTATCAGTAATATTTTCCTGCTTTTTTGCTCAGAAGTATGCCATTATATGAATACACCAATGTTTGTTATCTATTTCCTGTTGACGGGTTTGGGTTGTTTTCAGTTTGGGGGTATTATGAACAAAGCTGCTGTGAACAGTATCGGACAAGTTTTTGTGTTCATATTTATATTTATTTTTCTTGGGTAAATACCTGGAAGTGGAATCTCTGAGTCACAGGGTAGGTATTTGTTTAACTTTGAGAAAGTGCCAGACTGCTTTCCAAAGTGGTTACTTTTTAAAATTTATAAAATTAATTGGAGATTTGATCTCATTGTAGAAAATCTGGTGTAGACCTGATGCTTGCGATTCACAGTCCTGAATTTTGCAAACCAGTTTCCGATTTTAAGACATTGCTAAGATAAGCTCATTGGAAAACAGTTCAAAATATTACTAAGCATTTCAAGTTTCTGGCTGGTGCATAGATGTTTGAATAAAGTTACTATATATAAATGCTGCATTTAGGCTGGGCACGGTGGCTCACGCCTCTAATCCCAGCACTTTGGGAGGCTGAGGCGGGCGGATCACCTGAGGTCAGGAGTTCGAGACCAGCCTGGCTAACATGGTGAAACCCTGTTTCTACTAAAAATACAAAAAATTAGCTGGGAGTGGTGGCGTGCACCTGTAATCCCAGCTACTCGGGAGGCTGAGGCAAGAGAATTGCTTGAACCCCAGAGGCGGAAGTTGCGGTGAGCCGAGATCGCGCCACTGCACTCCAGCCTGGGCAAAGGAGTGAGACTCCATCTCAAAAAAAAAAAAAAAAAAAAAAGGTTCAGAAGGGATTGAGAGCTGGAGCTCTGTTGGGGAACCAGTGCTGTGTCAGTGTTTGTCTAGGGCCTGGGCAGAAGCTTGAGGGAAAAGCGACCCCTGAGGGATCTTGCAGTCGGTGTGATGGGCACAGGGACCTCCACAGAGCGGGCCCAGGTGGAGGCTTGGCACACTAGGGCGGGAGACAGCGAGCCATCTCGGGTTATCGGGAGGCACCCCAGAATATGTTTTCAGAAACTAGTCAGGGCTCTTGGTTTCAGACAACAGACAGTAGCTGGGGGTTGACTCAGGCAGAAAAAGCACTGTCGTGGAAGCATCTCAGCTACAGATGGAGTGGAGGAGCCAGGCAGCCGGCGCCGAAGCCAGAGCCGAAACCTACCACAAGGAGATCTGCTTGCGCCCTTTTCTCCCAGGGACCCCTGTGCTCAACCTCTGTTGTTTGGAAGGTGGACCTCCTGACCCGATCTTCTAATTTTTTTTTTTTTTTTTGAGACAGTCTCGCTCTGTCACCCAGGCTGGAGTGCAGTGGTGCGATCTCGGCTCACTGCAAACTCCGCCTCCCGGGTTCGCGCCGTTCTCCTGTCTCAGCCTCCCGAGTAGCTGGGACTGCAGGCGCCCGCCACCACGCCCGGCTAATTTTTTTTTATTTTTAGTAGAGACGGGGTTTCACCGTGTTAGTAGCTAGGTTGGTCTCGATCTCCTGATCTCGTGATCCGCCCGCCTCGGCCTCCCAAAGTACTGGGATTACAGACCCGATCTTCTAATTTTATTTTACATTCTCTTCTCAGTGTTTTCTCTCTGTCTTCTAGTTCTCCTCTCTGGGACATTTCTATTTTTTTTTTTTTTTTTTTTTTTAGACGGAGTCTCGCTCTGTCGCCCAGGCTGGATGGAGTGCAGTGGCGCCATCTCGGCCCACTGCAAGCTCCGCATCCCGGGTTCATGCCATTCTCCTGCCTCAGCCTCCCGAGTAGCTGGGACTACAGGCGCCCACCACCACGCCTAGCTAATTTTTGTATTTTTAGTAGAGACGGGGTTTCACTGTTTTAGCCAGGATGGTCTCGATCTCCTGACCTTGTGATCCGCCCACCTCAGCCTCCCAAAGTGCTGGGGTTACAGGCGTGAGCCACTGTGCCTGGCCCATTTCTACTCTTTTGTCCAATTCTGTTTAAGAATATTTAGAGGCCGGGTGCGCTGTCTCACACCTTTAATCCCAGCACTTTGGGAGGCCGAGGCGGGCGGATCACGAGGTCAGGAGATCGAGACCATTCTGGATAACATGGTGAAACCACGTCTCTACTAAAAATACAAAAGATAATTAGCTGGGTGTGGTGGTGGGCGCCTGTAGTCCCAGCTACTCAGGAGGCTGAGGCAGGAGAATGGCGTGAACCCGGGAGGTGGAGTTTGCAGTGAGCCGAGACTGCGCCACTGCACTCCAGCCTGGGCGACAGAGCAAGACTCCATCTCAAAAAAAAAAAAAAAAAAAGGAAAATTTAGAATCTATAGACTGTTGTATTTTCGTTGTAGAATAACCAGGAAGTTCTTAAACTGTTCCTCTTTTTGTTTCACAGAACCAATCTCTTCTCTTATTTTGAAGAATATGAATTTTACCTATGCCTTGTTGACATTTTCTTCTCTGTGCATTGTGCGTGTTCTGGACTCTTACCCTTCATTTCTGTTTTGTGCTCTTTCATGAATCGTGTTTGGATTTAATTTTTTTTTTTTTTTGAGACAGAGTCTTGCTCTGTCGCCCAGGCTGGAGTGCAGTGGTGCCATCTTGGCTTACTGCAACCTCCGCCTCGTGGGTTCAAGCAGTTCTCTGCCACAGCCTCCCGAGTAGCTGGGATTACAAGCGCCCACCACCACGTCCAGCTAATTTTTGTATTTTTAGTAGCGACGGGGTTTCACCATCTTGGCCAGGCTGGTCTTGAACTTCTGACCTCATGATCCACCCGCCTCAGCCTCCCAAAGTGCTGGGATTACAGGCGTGAGCCACCGCGCCTGGCCTGGACTTTCTTTTTTTATAATGGAGCTACGACAAGCACTTGGAACCTCTGTGTCCGTGGCGGGGGTTTCCCTGTGGCCCCTGACTTAGGGAGGTCTGACAGTGAATCTGACCTTCTTGTTGGGTTTTCCCTACATCGCAGAGTCTTTAGACCTTTTTCTTGGGTCATGTTAGTGCCAGAGAGGATTCCTCGACCCTCCCATCTGTCAGGGTTCGGGGAGCTACGTGGGAGATGCGTGCCAGGAGTCTCTGCTCTCATTGAGTGGCCCTCACTGGGTTCCACTGTCTTCCTTCACCTCCTCGCCCCTCCCACAGCAGGGCCTGCCATTCTAGTCCACCCCTCCTGCCTCAAGTGCTCTGTCTCTCTGTTCTGTGATTCCTTTAATGTGGCCAGTAAATCAGCTTATCGACGGTAGAAGTGCAGGCTACCCAGATTTGGTCTGCCCTAGGGGATTTTTCTGGAGGGATTTTAGCTTATAGATCTGTATTTAACACTGGGGCTAAAAGAGCAGGAGGGTAAATGGAAATATTTAAAATAAATTACTTGATTTCCAGGATTGTGAATTTACCTAGTAATCAAAACTTAGAAGAGCAATGATTTCATACTTAAGGATAGTTCTGAGTGACAGAACTTGATGCGTCAAATGTTACGCTCCAAAAATTAATCATACCCTAAGAAATATGACACACGTCTGTCATAAAATAAATCACTTTTTCTAATCAGATTTTATTACCTTTCAGATCCGATCACATAGGACAGTATGCACCTTAAGATCCTGAAGAAACGGCACAAAATGTTCAAGTGATGTTTAGAAATAACTTGTGAGGTAAGAGTGTGATTATTTAGGGTCCAATCACTGTTTCCTTTCTCACAGCTGACACTAGCTTGTATATTACTAAAAAGGTAACCTGTGCATGTGGCAAAGCAGAGGCGTGGTGCCAAGCTGACAGGCACGCCTTCCTTTTCACCCGCTGCCTTCCGGTCCTAAAAGGAGGGTGTATCTGTGGAGGGGACTCCATGAATTGAATTGATGAGTTCTTGGCCAGTATCACAAGATGAGGGGAATACCCCGCTTTCCACCTGAAATGGAAAGTGGTTTGGTTTTTTTTGTCTGTTTTTTTTGAGATGGAGTCTCAGTCTGTTGCCTAGGCTAGAGTGCAATGGCGTGATCTTGGCTCTCTGCGACCTCTGTCTCCCAGGTTCAAGTGATTCTTCTGCCTCAGCCTCCCTAGTAGCTGGGATTACAGGCACCCGCCATCATGCCCGGCTAATTTTTATATTTTTGGTAGAGACGGGGTTTCACCATGTTGGCCAGGCTGGTCTTGAACTCCTGACCACAAGTGATCCACTCGCCTTGGCCTCCCAAAGTGCTGGGATTACAGGCGTGAGCCACTGTGCCCGGCCTGAAACGGAAAGTTTTTGCTTGTGTGGTTGTCCCTTTAAATATGGAGATTTGTAGTGTTGCTTTTGGTGTTCTGGGAAACAGGGCTTTATTTAACATGCCGAGAAAGAGCTTAGGTTCGGGAGTGTTGAGAAAATCCCATTAAATCGGCCATTAGGGTAGAAGAGTGATGCTGGGGCATCTGTGTGAGAGTGCCCAGTGTTTCACGGTTCCCTCAGAAACTGTCTTGAGTATGAAGTCAACGGTGGTTTTGGAATTCAGTGCAGAATAAGGCTGTGCCCTTGCTCCTAAGGAATGTGTACATTTTAATACCGCATCTCAAATGGCTGTGCTGTTTGCTTTTAGATTAGCTTCCATGTAAAGGAATGGTTTCTTCATTTCTTCCCCTCCCTTCCTGTTGCATTACTCAAGTGTAAATACAGTGACTCAGAGACACGAGTGAGTGCACTGTGTTACTGAGAGCTGTATTTGTCCAGCCTAACTTTGCTATATTCGTTTGTTGCTTTGTTGAAAATAAAGCAGTTTTTGGATTTCATGTTATTTTCCTGTTGACTTCTAATGGATCTTACAGATATGGCACTAAAGCCCTCAAGTATGATATGTCACCCTAATATGTGCTTATAGGAACGTCCTGCCATGGCCAGTGTTTGGTGTCTGTGGGCGCTCTCCTTACACAGCTGTGCCTGCCATCCGCACCCCCAGGTCAGGCATGGAGCCACAGCAGCATCCTGCACTCCGTGGAGGTCTTACCAGGACCTGAACCAGGAAGGCGGAGCTGAGCTGGCTCAGGTGTCACATGTGTGCCTTTAGAAGACTTTCAAGAGGCCCTGCTTTCTGGAGAGAGCTCAGACTGCCCAAACATTGTGCTCTGACAAAAGTATAGCTTGTTTTACTGCCTGGAAAGCACCCTTCCTTTTCTCATGGAACGTGTCCTATTAGAGAAGTCACCATAAAGCAAAATGGTTCTGCTCAGAGGAATTTTTCAGCTTACGGCCTTGATGTACCTGGGCCCACAGATAACGATTCACCAAGAAACTTAGATGGAAATCAGCAGGAGGTGATTGGAATCTGAGAGAGGGACTGCTTGCTTTTTGTTGCATCTGCCTTTTAGCAAACATGCCCTTGCTGTGCGCCAGACAGCATGCAAGGCATGAGGGGGACAGGGCAGGAGGAGACCCAGACCCCCCTGGAGGGGCTGACATCAGGCCGGGAGGTCGGACCTGCAAGAGCTCTCAGGTAGCAAGTGGTAAGTACCTGGGAGGGAGAGCTGGTGAGCGTGCCCAGGGCTTCAGCGGAGGCAGAGAAACTTCCAGGTACTTTCTCAGCCCCCTGACAGTCAGGCTTTACTAGTAGTGCAGGCAGAAGCAGTTTCAGCCTTTATCTCCGGATAGTCACATCTGATGTCTAGAGACCTCTTCGCAAAGTGCTCCTCAGAAGAAGAGAACTCCCTTTTCAGGTTGGCTTGCCTAGAAGAGAGAAAAGTTAGGCCCTGCAGGGTGAATGAGGTTTATGTAGAGGCAATGGTGCTGCAAAGGTGTTTGCAGGGGATGTTGAGCAGACAGATGCAGAAGATGTAGGTTCAGAAAATGCTGAAGGAATGGTTGGCTAAGGGGTCTGTCCAAATTCTTTTGATCTTTAGTTTTTTCTATTTCACTCAAATGATTATTTTTAAAAGTTTTTTTAATTAAAACAATTTTTTTGACATTGGGTCTTACTTACTCTGTTGCCCAGGCTGGACTGCAGTGGTGGGATTGTGGCTCACTGTAGCCTCAACCTGCCAGTCTCATGCGATCCTTCCACGTCAGTCCCCCAAACAGCTGGGACTATAGGTGTGTGCCACCATGCCTGACTATAAAAAAAAAAAACAATTTTGTTTTGTAGAGATTGGGTCTTCCCATGTTGCGCAGGCCAGTCTCAAACTCCTGGGCTCAAGAGATCCTCCCACCTTGGCCTCCTAAAGTGCTGAGATTACAGGTGTAAGCCACCACACTCAGCCTTAAGCATGTATTTATTTATTTTTATTTTTTGAGACAGGATCTCTCTGTCATCCAGGCTGGAGCGCGGTGGCATGATCATGGCTCACTGCAGCCTCCACCTCCCAGGCTCAAGCAATCTTCCCCCCTCAGCCTCCCTAGTAGGGGGGACTATAAGCGCAAGCCACCATGCCTGGTTAATTTTTATTTTCTGTAGAGATGAGGTCTTACTCTGTTGCCCAGGCTGATCTCAAACTTCTGGGCTCAAATGATCCTTCTGCCTCAGTCTCCCAAGTGCTGACTTGAGCCACTGCACCCAGCCTTAAACATTTTTTAAAGCTGCTTTTATCTGATTGAAAAATAGGGCTATTTTACTGACTTTGGAAAACAATTTCATTTTGCTCTTGTACCAGTCAGCATTTTTGCATCGAGAGGAAATTTTTTAAAGTATTTGGCGAATGAATCCTCACCACATGTTCATTCGGCAAATGTTTTCATAATTGCTATGTTCCAGTTGCATTTAAGAAAAGAAAAAGTCACACCCAGATTTGAAAAACAGCACCCAGTGCTGTTACTCAGTTGTAGTGACCTGACCTCTGAGAACATTCTTACTACACTCCTTTATTCACATTTCAGAAGCCATGGTTTCTGCACTCTGCCTGCTTAAAATATGAGGAGCGCTCCTGCTCTGAGAAGGTGCCCGGGTCAGTTCGTTAAAATATTTGTCAGTATTTTCTCCTCATGGCAAAGCTAGGTGAAATTGACTGTCTCTTCCTTTCCCTGGCTCTTTATCTGTGATATTACAACTCTCAGAGCAAACACCGATAAGAGAAGGGCGTACAATCAAAGAAGCAGTCAAAACAGTTACCAGGAAAAGTGCACTTTTTTCTTTTTGTTTCTGGAGAGGGAGTGTCACTCTGTCACTAGGCTGGAGTGCCGTGGTACGATCTCGGCTCACTGCAACCTCCACCCCCCGGGTTCAAGCAGTTCTCCTGCCTCAGCCTCCTGAGTAGCTGGGATTACAGGTACAGGCGCCTGCCACTGTGCCCGACTAATTTTTATATTTTTAGTAGAGACGGGTTTCACCAGCTTGGCCAGGCTGGTCTTGAACTTGTAACCTCGTGATCCACCGGCCTCTGCCTCTGAAAGCGCTGGGGTTACAGGTATGAGCCACCCGCACCTGACCCACTTTTTTCTTTTCTTTTCTTTTTTTTTTTGAGACTGAGTCCAGTGCAGTGGCGTGATCTCAGCTCACTGCAACCTCCGCCTCCCAGGTTCAAGTGATTCTCCTGCCTCAGCCTCCCGAGTAGCTGGGATTACAGGCGCACGCCACCATGCCCGGCTGGTTTTTGTATTTTTAGTAGAGACGGGGTTTCACCATGTTGACCAGGCTGGTCTCAAACTCCTGACCTCCCAAAGTGCTGGGATTACAGGCATGAGCCACTGTGCCCGGTCCTACTTTTTTCTTTAGTTTCTTTAGATCTTGTATGTTCTTAGAAATCAGATGCTATTGGAAATAGGGAAGAAGTGTCAAAATGATGGCTTGCAAAAGAATGGATTAATAAATGAAGGAAAGGCTGGGCATGGTGGCTCTACCTGTAATCCCAGCACTTTGGGAGGCTGAGGCAGGAGGATTGAGCCCAGGAGTTCCAGAGCAGCCCAGGCAACATAGTCAGACCTCATCTGTGAGCTGTGATTGTGCCACTGCACTCCAGCTTGGGCAACAAAGGGAGACTGTGTTCCCAAAACAACAAAAACAGGAAACTTTTAAAAGATTAAAATAGAGGCCGGGTGCAGTGGCTCATGCCTGTAATCCCAGCACTTTGGGAGGCCGAGGCAGATGGATCACCTGAGGTCAGGAGTTTGAGACCAGCCTGGCCAACATGGTGAAACTCCATCTCTACTAAAAATACAAAAAAATTAGCTAGGTGTGGTGGTGGGCGCCTGTAATCCCAGCTACTCGGGAGGCTGAGGCAGGAGAATCACTTGAACCTGGGAGACGGAGGTTGCAGTGAGCCAAGATCGCACCACTGCACTCCAGCCGGGCAACAGAGTGAGACTTGGTTTCAAAAAAAAGATTAAAATAGAGATGAAGGGCATTCTAGAAGCAGGGTAGAGTGTCAAGGAACAGAGATATAAAAATGGGAGTCTGCTCCAAAAACATCACAGATAAGCGAGGATAAACTGAGAATCAAATTGAGGAAAATCAGGTAAGACCAATGAGGTCAGTGTGTATGAGGCGGTGTAAAGATGAATAGAGAACCAGTGACTTACTCGTCATTCTTTCATCATGCTGCTTGCTGAAGTGTGTGCCGAGCACCTGCTTGGGAGCATTTAGGTGAGCTGCTGAGCAGAGCAGGAACAGGTGGGGCTCAGGGGAGCAGGCGCAGCAGTGATACAGCAGAGCTCCTCTCCACGCTGCCGGGGAACCCAGTGCTGGGACTTCGCGTCTAGCTTGTGCTTTCCATAATCTTTGTATGTGGCCACGGCTGGCCATAGATAGGTTTTGTATATGTAGGCATAACCTGTACTGTGGGACTTACTGTGTTGTAGTAAAGCAATCAATCAAGTCAGAGATTTAAAAATTCAGATCTTAGTTATGTTTTTATGTTCTTTCCCACTATGTGTATTTAGACTAACTTCATGAAATGGCCAAGGACAAACTGTAACACATCATATTTAAGGTAGCTTGTGAGCTTTTTGAGCCTTACCAGCTCTGTGTCGTCCCCCTCCCCAGGGTGCGTCAGGGAAATCATGCAGCCATCAGGACACAGGCTCCGGGACGTCGAGCATCATCCTCTCCTGGCTGAAAATGACAACTATGACTCTTCATCGTCCTCCTCCTCCGAGGCTGACGTGGCTGACCGGGTCTGGTTCATCCGTGACGGCTGCGGCATGATCTGTGCTGTCATGACGTGGCTTCTGGTCGCCTATGCAGACTTCGTGGTGACTTTCGTCATGCTGCTGCCTTCCAAAGACTTCTGGTACTCTGTGGTCAACGGGGTCATCTTTAACTGCTTGGCCGTGCTTGCCCTGTCATCCCACCTGAGAACCATGCTCACCGACCCTGTGAGTACTGGCTGCGTCTCTGGGTGGCTCTCTTGTGTCTGGTCTAGTGTCCTCGGGTGTGGCTGACCCTTTGGAGGAAGCAGTGCACAGGGACATATTGACATGGGTGTGGAACAAGAAAGGTGGATTGAGCTCATTTTGGGAGCAGATTCCCTTTAGGCTGAGAATAAACATAGGCCAGACCTAGCGCAGTGAAATACCCCTAGTTCCTGACGCCTTGCAGGCCACCAGATTCAGCTTCCAGCTGGGCTTTCAGGCTGTTCCTGAGTTTTGAGACATCCTTCAATCAGGGAGGGGCATTCGGGCCGATCGTACAGATCTTGCAGCTCAGCCATCCGTCACCTCTAGTAAGTGAGTTCCAGGCTTCCCACAGAGCTCGGAGGAGACGCCCAGCAGCTGCAGGCATGCAAAGTCAGGTATTAGCAGTCAGTAGATTTTCATTTGAAAAAAGTTCTTTCCACTGCTTTAAAACAGTGGTTTTAAACCATGGTATAGGGACTCCCAATTTGTCAATTTAAAATCTACTGGGTTCTTGTCTGTTTCTAAGCTTTCTCTAAAGAAGGTACCCAGACGTTAATAAGATAAGGACTTTTTTTTTTTTTTTTTTTTGAGACGGAGTTTTGCTCTTTTTGCCCAGGCTGGAGTGCAATGTGCGATCTTGGCTCACTGCAACCTCTGCCTCCTGGGTTCAAGCTATTCTCCTGCCTTAGCCCTCTGAGTAGCTGGGATTACAGGCATGCACCACCATGCCTGGCTAATTTTGTATATTTAGTAGAGACAGGGTTTCACCATGTTGATCAGGCTGGTCTTGAACTCCTGACCTCAGGTGATCCACCCGCCTTGGCCTCCCAAAGTGCTGAGATTACAGGCATGAGCCATCGCGCCTGACCAGGACTCTTTTTTGAGAATAAACTGAAACGGATCAGCTCACAGAATGTGGTCTGCACGTGGCTTTATCTGTCTTTGCTTTATCTGAATTAATTATTCAGGGTTTGGATGTACATTGTTTACTGTCTCCTGTTTTACTAGTAGAGGTCATGGGCAGCTGTCCTGGGAATGGGACAGTATTATAGGCCCAACCAGAGGGCAGCTGGGGAGTGGTACCTTGGGGACAAACTTGGAAGCAAAGTCTGCCAGTGGCTTTGTAGCCTGATCTGATGGTGGAGTCTTTGACCATAACTGAGTCTCTTCGATGGGTTTGTGCCTTCAGAGAATTAAAGCCTGTCTTGTCATTTCCTTTTACGCGGCAGGTCTCCCTCTAGGAGCCAGACCCTGCTCCTGATCCCTGTGTGTCTCCGCCCTCTCCTTCCTTGGCTGCAGCAGAAACCCCTTGTTTGTTGCCCAAAGTGCCCAGGCACTTCGACAAAGGAGAGGGCCAGCTACAGGGCCAGGTCCAGCTCAGCGATTTTTACTGGAATATTGCCTTGTAGGAAAAATCCAGTGACTGCCGACCATCTGCCTGCACAGTGAAAACTGGGCTGGACCCAACCCTTGTGGGCATTTGTGGTGAGGGAACCGAGTCTGTGCAAAGCCTCCTGCTTGTGAGTGTGGGGTAGGCACATGGGGGAGGGTCAGCCTGGCTGGGAGTCCTCAGCAGTTTGCTCCTCTTTGCTGACAAGCGCACTTGCCCCTTCCTCCTCTGCGCTCAGACTCTACAGCTACTCAGCAGTCCAGCTTCTGCTCCCACCCCGCTCCTGCTCCTGCGGAAAAGGCCCCAGAAGCCTGGAGAGCTGGAGGCGGCCAGGAAGTCAGGGTAGAAGGTGTGTGCAGGGCGTGCTGCCGCCCTGGTGGGCAGATTTCTTTTGCTTGTTGTATTACTGCAGAGAATGTTGAATGGAACATACTGAGGGAGAAGTTGGAGATCTTGGATGTCAGGGGTGTTTTGATTGAGATTTAATTCACATAGCACTAAATCCATCCTCGTGTGTAGTCCCGTGGTGTTTAGTGCATCCACAGAGTGTCCAACCATCACCCAGTCGGTTTTAGGACATTTTTATCACCTCAGAAAGGAACCCCACACCCCTTAGCCATCACTTCCCAGTTCCCCGACCCCACCACCCGACGCCCTCTGCCCCTGGCAACCACTCATCTGCTGTCTCTGTGGAATTTGCATGTTCACAGACTTTTTTTTTTGAGACGGAGTCTCACTCTGTCGCCCAGGCTGGAGTGCAGTGGCGCGATCTTGGCTTACTGCAACCTCCGCCCCCAGGGGTTCATGCCATTCTCCTGCCTCAGCCTTCCGAGTAGCTGGGACTACAGGTGCCTGCCACCATGCCCGGCTAATTTTTTTGTATTTTTAGTAGAGACGGGGTTTCACCGTGTTAGCCAGGATGGTCTCGATCTCCTGACCTTATGATCTGCCCGCCTCGGCCTCCCGAAGTGCTGGGATGATTACAGGCGTGAGCCACTGCGCCTGGCCGCCTGTTGAGGGACTTTCATAGTCATCTCGTCTGTGGCCTTTTGTGCCTGGCTCTCACCAGGCATTGCGTCTTCGGGGTCCATCGTGCTGTGGCATGATCAGTGCTTCATTTGGTTTAAGGCTGAATAATATTCCATGCTCTGGCCGGACCCTTCTCACCTATAGCCATCGTTAGTTGATGGGCATCTGGGCGAGTTCTGCTTTTCGGCTGTTACAAATCATGCTGCTCTGAACGGCCGCGTGTAAGTTTTTGTGTGGATGGGTGTTTCATTCCTCTTGGGTATATACCTAGGAGTGGAGTTGCTGGGACATATGGTGACTCTGTGTTTAACCTTTTGTGGAACTGCCAAGTATTCTCTAAAGTGTCCCCACTGGGGGAAAAAAAAGAAAATGGAAAAAAAATCTTGTGGGGAAGGGAATGATGAAAAAAAAAAAACAAACCCCAAAACATCGAAGCATCCACACCATTTTACATTCCCACCTGCAGTGTGTCCACATCTTCAACACATTATTGCCATTCTTTTGTGACGCCGTATCTCACTGTCTTTGCTGTGTATCTCCCTAATGACCAACGATGTTGAGCATCATTTCATGGGCTTGTTGGCCATTTGTGTGTCTTCTTTGGAAGCATGTCTGCTTGAGTCCTCTGGTGACAAGTGACAGAAACCACCAGGAGTCACTGTAAATGAAACTGAGGAAGGGGGAGTACGCAGAGCCCCAGGGCAAGGATGCTTCTGGCTGCTGGCAGGCTGTGGAGTGGAAGGTGGACAGAGGGGAGAGGCTGGCAGCTGTCCTCAGGCTTTGTCTGTCTCTCTGAGTCCTGGCTTTCCTGCTGCCCAGGGAAGAAGGGCAGTCCTCAGAGCAGGTGGAGTGGCAGTCACTGATGTCCAGGTCTACTTTTCTGAAGGGGAGAGTGGGCATGGCCCAGCAGGGTCAGGTGTCACCTCTGTTCTCCCAGTGGGGAGTTGATTTCTTCTCTCCACAGATCATGTCTTTACCCTACCAGGGTCCAGTCCAGGCTGAACTAGAACCATCACATCACCTCTGAACTGAACAGTTGAGGGGTTGGGGCAGATACCCCAGTGGGACTTCATGTCATTTTTCTAAACCAATAGGACTGGGCAGTCCTCGCTGGGATTGCCCTGGACAATACAAATTGGGATTTGTATTGTCACTTGAGGAAAGTCATTGGTGCTTTGAGTGAGGAGTGGAGGGGAAGATGGGGTCAGAGGCCTACTGATAGAGCAATGAACCCTGCTGTGGAAGGATGCAACTTTGATCCCAGGCTTCACTTTGGGATCGTGAGAGGGCTGGGAGGGAGGAAGGCCACCCACGGCCCTGGGCCCTGCATCCCTTTACTTGTTAGAGCCTGTGTCTTCAATGCCAGCCCCGTGGATGCCTACGAGCCTTCTCGGCAGCCGTGCGAGTGCCTTCCGGAGGTAGCCTTCATGGGGCCGCGACTGCTGTCCAGGAGCTCTGCCAAAAGCGTGCTTTCCTCCCACCGTCACAGCAGTGCTGGGACGTAGGTGTAGCATCCGTGTGAGAACACGAGGCCTCGCTGTGCCAGTAAGAGGCCAGGCTGGGATTTGAACCAGATTGTCTATCTTCAGAGCCCCGGCCTCGAAAATTTCACTTCTTATGGGAAATTCCAAATGTGCACGGTAGGAAGAAAAGAGCGCTCCACCTTGAGCTTGTCACCACATCATGTGGTGGCCTCGCCCACGCCGTTCCCCTCCCCCAGATAACCCGCCTAAATCTCACTCATTCTTTTGTTTCATTTGTAAACGTGTGTATCTTTTAAAAGGGCTCTTTGTAAAAACATAACCTCAATACCGGTAGCTCATGTAAAGCAATGTATTTATACCACCTCTCCTGTTAGAGTTCAGATTTCCTCAATTGTCTCAATTCTTTTTTTTTTTTTTTTTTTTTTTTGAGACAGTCTCACTCTGTTGCCCAGGCTGGAGTGCAATGGCAGGATCTCAGCTCATTGAAACGGTTGCCTCTTGGGTTCAAGCGATTCTGTCACCTCAGCTTTCTGAGTAGCTGGGATTACAGGCATGTGCCACCATGCCCGGCTAGTTTTTGTATTTTTAGTAGAGATGGGGTTTCATCATATTGGCCAGGCTGGTCTTGAACTCTTGACCTCAAGTGATCCGCCTGCCTCGGCCTCCCAAAGTTCTAGGATTACAAGTGTGAGTCACCGTGCCTGGCCTGTCTCAATTCTTTTATAATTTTTTTCCCTTGAATCAGGATCCAAATAAGGATCCATACAGTGTGATTGGTTTATGTGTCTCTGACATCTCTTTTAATTAATCTCTCTGGTCCCTGCAATGTCTTTTTTTCCCTTGGGGTTTAAGTTGAAGAAACACAGTTCTTTGTTTGCAGTTTACATCCCTGTACTGGGTTTTGCTGTGCTCCTCGTCCCCAGCATTTTCCATAAATTAGGAGGCAGATCCACAGGCCCGGCCCCATTCTTACCTGCCGCTTAGTTAGGCCCTGGGGATCCAGAATGCATGACAGGGAGCTGGGGTGGAGAGCAGGGGAGAGAGGACCGGAAGCATGCTCTGCGAAGCCTAACTGCCCTGGAAGGGCGAGGTGGCACAGAGCGCCTTGCCTGGGCCTGGCTGGCTGCTTTGTCTCATCAGGGCTGACTGGAAGTGGGATGTGGGCAGGGGCACCAGAAGAGGGAACAGCCAATCAGGGAGCACCTCTGAAGGGAGGCCGCTGGGTGTTTGGGTGGGAGGGAGGAGCCTGAAGGCATCCCATGGCCTGGAGCCTATGGTCAGTCCCACAAGAAGATGAGTGGGAAACATTCAAGAAGTGTTTTAGAAAAAAACGTCCCGAAAATGGTTAAAATGGGAACTGAGGAATGTGCTCAATTACTTGGAAGGTTTGTTCTGGTGGGAAGAAGAATGCCCCATGGGTGCAGAGGAAACGGTGCTCCAGCCCCTGCCGCTGTCATCGTGGGCACATCCTGGCGAGGCCCTTTGAGATGGTGCAGCCGTGCACACCCCCTCTGCATATGGTCTCTGTTTCTGCCAAACCACATCTCGAAAGGCTCAGGATGAAAATGTAGGTGATAGACTCGGGGCCTCAGGTGGAAGGAACCCCTCCTTGAAACCCCCAGGACACCATGCCCGTGAAGAGTTTCACTGATTGTCTGCCCAAGGTTCTGAGCAGCAAAAAGGAATCCCTGGACCCAGCAAGTGCCTGAAATCCCACATAGTCTCAGGTCCCTGAGGATCACCCAATGTGTACTTGGCTTCCCCTTCGAAATGCCTTTCCTTGGTCATAAGTGACCAAAAACTGGGGTAGCGTTGGGGTAGCCGCTTTCCAGAAGTGTATCGTGCCACATCGTATCATATTTGCTGCTGCTGTGGAAAAGTGCATGCATGGCTCATAAAATTACGGTGTTTGGAGTTTTAAAATCTGGCCCATTTCCTCTGAGGAGATGTGTAACACTCGACTGTCACCTGGGGCATATATGCAACATTGTGGAATTTTATAAATCAAAGCAGTGTTAAGATCCCTAGATTGTTGGAGGAAAGTTGATTGAAGACTCCAGGCCAGGCACGGTGGCTCATACCTGTAATCCTAGCACTTTGAGAAGCTGAGGCGGTTGGATCACCTGAGGTCAGGAGTTCGAGACCAGCCTGGCCAACACGGCGAAACCCCGTCTCTACTAAAAATACGAAAAATTAGCCGGGTGTGGTGGCGCACGCCTATAATCCCAGCTACTTGGTAGGCTGAGGCAGGAGAATCGCTTGAACCCCGGAGGCAGAGGTTGCAGTGAGCCAAGATCACACCACTGCACTCCAGCCTGGGCAACAGAGCAAAACTCTGTTTCAACAAAAAGAAAAAAAAAAAAAAGACTCTAAATTGTAGAATGTAAGTTAAGTAAAAATTTTTTTTTTTTTTTTGCTGGAGTGCAGTGGCGTGATCTTGGCTCACTGCAGCTTCCACCTCCCGGGTGCTCTGCCTCACCCTCCCGAGTAGCTGGGATATTACAAGCGCAGGCCACCACGCCCAGCTAATTTTTGTATTTTTAGTAGAGATGGGGTTTCGCCATCTTTGCCAGGCTGGTCTTGAACTCCTAACCTCGTGATCCACCCACCTCAGCCTCCCAAAGTGCTGGGATTAAAGCCGTGAGCCACCCTGCCCAGCCAGTAAAATGTTTTACTTATTCTGATTTAAGTTTTCAAAGATGAGTTTAAACCCTTTTCTAACTTCTTTAAGGAGGCAGCATGTTAGGAAACACTTTGATCTTGACCAAAACAGCTTCCCCATATTGCGGCCATGGGACTGACGGGGCCTTGTTTGGAGGAAGTAAACCTCAGGGGAGGTTTGGGCAGTCAACACTCACATTTGCCCTGGGGCCCCCCTGCCTGTGCTGCCCAAGGCTCCAGCTCTGGCCTGTTGGTAGCCCTGAATCCAGCGGGCAGCAGTCTCTGGCTCTGCAGGGCGCTCACCTGCTGAACTTTCTAAAATTTGGATGTCAACCCTCACCCTGCAGAGGTTCAGATCTGTGGCTCCGGAGCCCAGCGAGGCACCTGCATTTTAAGGAGCTCCAGCAGGGCCATCTGCTGTTGGCAGAGCCCTTCACCACCTCTGCCATCTCCCAGGCTGTTAGCTCCCACCTTCCATTTGCCCCACCTATATCCCCTGTCTTTGCACAATCACTGCAGCCCTGACTGCTGTTCCCAGTGTCCGTGGGTCTCATTCTCCAGATCTGTGATTTCTACGTGAAGTGCAGGATCCAGGCTAAGAGGCAGACACAAGGCCTTGTTCCTCTTCTTGAGGCATTGGAACCCCCAGGCAGGTCTGCCTATTTTATTCCACCCTGCCACAGCTCCCAGAATTGTCTCCCACAAACATGGTTTTGATGACTTATCTCCACTGCCCAAAGAACAAAGCCTCTGCTGTTGCAGCCAGCTCTGGCCTTACCTTCCCTACAGCGGGTCCTCAGTTGACATGGTGCTGGTAGGGTGACTCTTGGCCTTCAGCTCTGCCCCTTACCAGCAGCTCACAGCCTCCCCAACTCCTCTTTCCGCTGCTTCGCCATTGCTCATCTTCTCCAGCTCCTCTAGCACTTGGGGCACAGATGGATGCATGTTCAAGTTTCTGATGCCGCTGGGCGGCCTCGTTGCCAGACATGAATCGGGTCAGGTGGTCTGGACCGCCACCTCCAGGTTTGTGTGTGAATGCCTTTGAGGAAGTTGGCCAAGAGACAAAAGTATCATGTCACTTTAGCAACACGAAATTAAAGTCCTTTTTGAGATTGTTTTGTTCTTTGTTCCCCGACTGCCCGATAAGAAAACTCTGGGCAGTGCTTATCAGTCACCTCCCTGTCAGCAGGGGCTACAGGGAAGTGGTGTGCAAAGAGGTTCCCTGCCCCACCTGGGGACAGTCAGTGCCCTTGTCTGGGAATAAGCCTTGCCTCTGAAAATGCAGGTGGTTAAGCCATTTATCAAAAGGATAATAAGGTAGTTTTTTTTAATTGTTTGATGATATAGAAAATATATGATTTTTTTTTTTTTTTTGAGATGGAGTCTTGCCCTGTCGCCCAGGTTGGAGTGCAACGGCGCGATCTTGGCTCACTGCAACCTCTACCTCCTGAGTTCAAGCGATTCTCCTGCCTCAGCCTCCTAAGTAGCTGGGATTACAGGCGCCTGCCACCGCGCCTGGCTAATTTTTTGTATCTTTAGTAGAGACGGGGTTTCACCATGTTGACCAGGCTGGGTTGGCCAGGCTGGTCTTGAACTCCTGACCCCGTGATCCACCCGCCTCAGCCTCCCAAAGTGCTGGGATTACAGGTGTGACCCACTGCGCCCGGCCTGATGTTTTTAACTTTCATTCTCCCCAACTAAAGTACATTCTTCTTATATGGTAGGGGGCAGTACCCAAAGGAAACGCTACGAAAGAATACATGGAGAGCTTGCAGCTGAAGCCCGGGGAAGTCATCTACAAGTGCCCCAAGTGCTGCTGTATTAAACCCGAGCGCGCCCACCACTGCAGGTACGTGCGCTGCTGTATTAAACCCGAGCGCATCCGCCACTGCGGGTACGTGTGCTGCTGTATTAAACCAGAGTGCGCCCACCACCGTAGGTACATGGCCCCCGAGCATCTGGGCAACGTTGTACGGGCGGGGCCGTAGGTGTCATGTTCTTTCTGGGGTAGGGAGCTGAGTAAAGGGCCGGTGCCCTAGAGTCTTTTTGGGAGCTGGGAAACAGTATGGATTCAGGGATCCCCTCCTTCCCGAGGGACTCGCTGTGGCTCAACAACTGGAGGAGGTGACAAGGTTCCCGCCTCTGTTGTGGCACACATGCCACACAGGCCAGCACGTGTGTGCTCACAGCTCCTGGGCACATCCTGTGTGGGGGCCAGAAGAAAGGCTCAGAACCTTCCCCTCACTCCTGCTCTGGGTTCTTCCAGCCAGCCAGAGAGGCTGTTGTGCGTTCACTTTTGTTCTTACCTGGGGTGGTGGTGCAGCGTAGAAGCAAGGTTCTTTTGGATGTGCTCTCATTTTTTTGTTGTTTTGTTTTTTTGTATTTATTTGGGCGTGCTCTCAAACACCAGTTACTGTATTTTTTAAAAGCCACAGTCCAGTTATCTGCCTGGCTCAAGTAGCCTTCCTGGCCCTCACACCTCACCCCTGCTGGTCTTGGTTGCATTTTATCCTCTTCCCCCACATTTGCCAGTTCCTGACTCCTTTTTCTGCTCCTGGAGGGGCTGGCTGTTGATTTCACGTGTTGAAGTGTGAATGTCTGGGTGTATTTCTCCATTCCTTGAAATAGTTGTCACACGTCCCTGTACTGTGTGACAGGCTGCACCTGGACAGTGCCCTTCTCCTGGGGGGTCGTGGCCTGCTTGAATAGGCTGGAAGCCATTGATGGCCTCCAACGGGAGGAAACCCAGATACAGGGTGCTGACTGCTTTATGGCTGGAGTGAAAGCTTTAAGAGATTCATATCCTCATGGTTTGGCCAGAAAGTAAAGAAAGATGAAATGGTATCGGAGAGTAAATGGGTGGCTGTTTTGGGCTGGGGTTAGAAATAGGCAGTGACTGCATATGGGGTGAGGTTTCTTTCTGGGATGGTGGGAATGTTCAAAAATTAGATGGTGATGGTCTCACAACTCTGCAGATAGAATAAAAATCATTGAATTGTACATTGCAAATGGGTGAACTTTTATGGTATATAAATTTTTTGGGGATGGGGGGATGGAGTCTTGCTCTGTCGCCCAGGCTGGAGTGCAGTGGCATAATCTCGGCTCACTGCAACCTCTGCCTCTCAGGCTCAAGCGATTCTTGTGCCTCAGCCTCCCTAGTAGCTGGGATTACAGGCGCCCGCCACCATGCCTGGCTGATCTTTGTATTTTTAGTAGAGACGGGGTTTTGCCACATTGGCCAGGCTGGTCTCGAACTCCTGACTTCAGGTGATCCACCTGCCTCGGCCTGCCAAAGTGCTGGGATTACAGGCATGAGCCACCTCGCCTGACCTATGGTATATAAATTATACTTCAATAAATCTGTTGAAGATAAAATGGGAATGTTTTGGAAGTCAGGTGCTGTGGAGGTCGGGCAGGGAGCCAAGGTCAATGAATAAGAAGAAGGTGACGCTATGGGCGGGTGCGGTGGCTCACGCCTGTAATCCCAGCACTTTGGGAGGCCGGGGTGGGCGGATCACGAGGTCAGGAGATCGAGACCATCCTAGCTAACACGATGAAACCCCCATCTCTACTAAAAATAGAAAAAAAAAATTAGCCGGGCATGGTGACTGGTGCCTGTAGTCCCAGCTACTCGGGAGGCTGAGGCAGGAGAATGGCGTGAACCCGGGAGGCAGAGCTTGCAGGGAGCTGAGATTGAGATTGCGCCACTGCACTCCAGCCTGGGCGACAGAGCAAGACTCCATCTCAAAAAAAAAAAAAAAAAAAAAAAGGTGACGCTATGATAGCAAGTCTGCCTGCAGCGAACCTGCTGCCATCGATGTCTGCTTGATGTAATTAAATGGTGCAAGCTTGGACTAAAAAGTAATCGATAATCAAATTAGTTATTTAAAATTGGACATACAGAGTGTTTTGGGCAAAAGTAAAATACAGCTGTTAAAAACAAGACGACTTCATGCCTGGGTGTGTAGTTGATGATTCAAGATGAATATGCAATCCATACTGCATATTCATCAGTGAATATGGATTCAGTGGTAGGAATTATTTGAAGATACAAAGAATGTTTCTCCTTGAGGGTAAAATTTCAGTTTTTGTTTTTTATTGAAATAGACTTGTAAGCTTGCAAAATTAGGAACATTACTGATAGGTGTACATGATCCAGCTCTACTGGGGGAGTGTCTGAGAACTCGTGAAGTATGGCTTAGTTTGACCTTTCGCCCCAAGCTGTTGGTCCATTGAGTATTTTCCTTAGGAAACGGAAGACATTTAATTAAAATGATAAACCTTAAAGGAATATAGTGAGAATGTATGATATTTTTTGACATGTTGTATTAGAATATACATTCTAATTTTCCTCCACCTTTGATTTTATTTGGTTGTGTTACTCTGGTTTCCTCAGAGCATGGAATACTGAAAAATCAAACTCTCCTTTTCAGTATTTGCAAAAGATGTATTCGGAAAATGGATCATCACTGCCCGTGGGTGAACAATTGTGTAGGAGAAAAGAATCAAAGATTTTTTGTGCTCTTCACTGTAAGTAAAAATATTTTTGTATTGAATTTACATTGAATTTGAAATTCTTTAACTGCTTCTTGCCTGGAGCAGAGAAATCTACTAACGTCAGGCCAGTTTCTCTCCAGCCTTTTCTCCAGGATTCAAATTATAATACTGTGCTGTCATTGGCAGGAAGTAGTCCCAATAAGTAATATGTTGCTTGTATTATTTTAGGTGTTCACTGTAATTTAATTCTCTCCCAGATGTCCTCAATCGCTATTGTTTATTAATAATAACAGGAATCTTCCTAAAGTATGTTAGAGTTTATTTCCTTTTTCTTTTCTTTTTTTCTTTTTTTTTTTTTTGAGATGGAGTTTTGCTCTTGTTGCCCAGGCTGGAGTGCAGTGGTGTGATCTCAGCTCACTGCAACCTCCGCCTCCCAAGTTCAAGTGATTCTCTTGCTTCAGCCTCCCAAGTAGCTGAGATTACAGGCATGTACCACCACGCCTGGCTAATTTTGTATTTTTCGTAGAGATGGGGTTTCTCCATATTGGTTGGGCTGGTCTTGAACTCCCGACCTCAGGCGATCCGCCCACCTCGGCCTCCCAAAGTGCTAGGATTACAGTCGTGAGCCACCGTGCCCGGCCGTTTATTTTTTTATAGACGGGGTTTTGCTGTGTTGCCCAGGCTGGTCTTAAACTCCTGAGCTCAAGCCATCTGCCCGTCTTGGCCTCCCAAAGTGCTGGGATTACAGGCGTGAGCCACCATGCCCAGCTATATTTTTCTATAAAATTATTCTACTTGGTCTAATATGATCTTGGGTAGGAAAATGTCAACTGCTGCCATTTAATCCTTCCCTCATTTTTTTCTCTGACAAGATGGAGGTATACACATGATGTGTCATCAGCCTTTGCTCTTAGAAAGACTTGTTTAAGTTACTAACTGGCTGGGTGGATCACTAGAGGTCAGCAGTTACAGACCAGCCTGGCCAACATGGTGAAACCCCATCTCTACTAAAAATGCAAAACAGTTAGCCGGGCATGGTGCTTGTAGTCTCAGCTACTTGAGAGGCTGAGGCAGGAGAATCGCTTGAGTCTGGCAGGCGGAGGTTGCAGTGAGCTGAGACTACGCCGCTGCATTCCAGCCTGGACAACAGAGGGAGACTCTGTTTCTAAAAAAAATAAAAAATAAAAGTGACTAACCAATCTCCCCCTCATTCTAGATGTATATAGCTCTGTCTTCAGTCCATGCTCTGATCCTTTGTGGATTTCAGTTCATCTCCTGTGTCCGAGGGCAGTGGACTGGTAAGTTCCCTGGCTATGTGTCATTCCTGGCTTTGCATGCTGTTATTGGATGAAAGGGGAAAGCTTTAAAGGAAGAACCAGTTTTCCAATTTTGAAGGAAATCATTGCAATTATTTTAGCAATTGAATTTTAAAGAATTTAGTTAAGTTTTAACACCACCATTTTACTAGTATATTGTTGCCCCAAAAGCTTGTGTCTGTCTGCTGGTCAGCTAGCTCGCCATTGTTCAAAGCAGGCTTCACGTTGCTTACGTGAGTGACCGACCCTAAGCAAGTGTAGTGAAAATAGGTGCTCGTTATCCTACCTTAGATATGCAGTGAGGTCTGGACAGGCTCATCCCACCCCAGGGGAACATGGTGAACAGACTCCTGTGAGCACTGCTCACTGGTATGGGTGCACACAACTCTTCTGGTCTGGCTTCATTTGCCATTTAATTCATAAATACAGTGTCAATAGAAACCTCAGAAAATACAGACTCTTTTGAAACCACTGGCCAGGAAGTCATGGTATGAATTTTTGCTTGGAAGGGTGGCCCTCCTCTGCTCCTTGGAGAACAATGAATGTGCCCATTTAGAAAGTGAACAACTTCCCCCTGGAAGCTGGCCAGGGGCTGGCCCTAGAGGATTCTTCTCTGAGCCAAACATTCTGCCACTCGGGGTATTCAGGACCAGTTATAACCAACTTCCTCTTGTCCGCAGAATGCAGTGATTTTTCACCTCCGATAACTGTAATCCTGTTGATCTTCCTGTGCCTTGAGGGTCTTCTGTTTTTCACTTTCACTGCAGTTATGTTTGGCACCCAAATCCACTCCATATGCAACGACGAGACGGTAAGCTTTGTTCTCGGCTGTGTGGACTTCATATGTGGTCCAAGCTTGAGTAAATGAAAAGTCCTAATGTCAACAATAGGTGCCTGTGGACTGACTCGGGAACGTAATGGGACGGTCTTGATGAGCTGCAACCAGCTCCCTGTGTTTGCTGTTTCTTTCATTCTGGGCAGTGCATATTTCTAGTCTCAGTTTGATTTGCAAGTCAGCAGAGCCAGGCAGATTCCCAGCTCCCAGTGCAGTCAGTAAATTTCAGGGAACTGACTGCCTTTAGGGCCTGGCTCTGCAGGCCTGGAGTGGCGCTCAGTAAATGTCTGTACACAGTAACTAACGAGCGACAAATGTTGGTGCCTGGCTGGGAGGGCCATTGTGGTAGTCTGGGCTGGCCACGTGGCTGCAGCCGGGCTGGGCTCACAGAGGCCACGGGGTCTGGATCGGGGCAGAGCTGGGAAGGAGAGTTCACTCACCTACCCTCCATCGAGCCCACACTGTGCTTGAGCACGGTGTGA
Organism: Homo sapiens; assembly: GCF_000001405.40. Taxonomy (NCBI): domain Eukaryota; kingdom Metazoa; phylum Chordata; class Mammalia; order Primates; family Hominidae; genus Homo; species Homo sapiens. The sequence goes on along the minus strand of NC_000016.10, from coordinate 84,976,588 downwards.
TTCTGAGGCTTGGTGGGGTCTGCCGAGCTTCCTGGAGCCGCTGCCACTTGCTTTTCTTTCTGCTTCCAGGAGATCGAGCGATTGAAAAGTGAGAAGCCCACATGGGAGCGGAGGCTGCGATGGGAAGGGATGAAGTCCGTCTTTGGGGGGCCCCCCTCACTCCTCTGGATGAATCCCTTTGTGGGCTTCCGATTTAGGCGACTGCCCACGAGACCCAGAAAAGGTGGCCCGGAGTTCTCAGTGTGAGGCGTGGCTCATCAGACTGAAACTTGCTCACAGACTTCCAGTTATTTATTTGGGGTCTGAAGGATATCAACAGCTCATCTGTGACCAACAGGGCAACTGGAACCTACACAAACCAATTGCTTGCAGCAAGCAGAGTTTTATATATTTATAGTCACAGATGGCAGAGGAAGAGGCTCTCAGTCCCCACCTGTACAACAACGGAAAGGTGTGTGGCCACACGAAGAAGCCAAACGCCGTGGCCTCCTGCAGAGCTGGGGCTTCTGTGGAGAATACTTCGGGTTATTACATGGGTTATTCAAATCCTGGGTCCTGAGCTGCTGTTTCCAATCATGAAGAAAAACAGTGAATCCAGTGAACAGGGATTCTCCAAGCAGTCATTTCAGGGGGCTCCTGCTGACCCCGCCACTCAGCAGTGCACTCCCCGGATCACAGCAGGGCGTTTACATAGAAAGACGTTTTGGTCTCGATTAGCTCCGATGCTTTGCACTGAAGTTGCAAAAGATCTGTGCACTGAACAGTGAAGGTGGCTTCCGGCACACTCCCCGCTGCCCCGGAAGAGACATCCTTTGACCCTCTCAGCAAGTCTGTGTGTGTGCGTGTCTGTGCGTGTGCGCGCGTGTGTGCATGTGTGTCAAAATTGCCAGTGTTGTTTAGGCAATGTAACATTTACCGGCTGTGTACAGCAAACAAGCTATTTTTTAGAAACCGACGTTTCAGGGAAGAGGGGAGAGAGCCGCGGGGTCCTGCCCGTGGTTACTATGAATGTATTGCTGTTGGAGGACATCTCGATCCAAAGAACAGCCGTTCCTGTGCGGCCCTTCGTTGCCCTCCTGCTTTCATTTTTTAAAGAAATCTTGAGTGCTTGAGGGCCTTGGAACTGATTTTTTTTTTTTGTTCCAGCCAAATTAGCAGTGTATAAATGGCACCTAGGTAAGAGCAGAGCTGCGGCTCGGTGACTTGATACTTGGGGCAGCCCGATGCTGTGTGTGGGGCAGGGGAGGCATCCTTACTGGAGAGGCAGGGCCCAGCCATTGGGCACCTCTGGGAAGGGGAGGGGACCATGAGGCAGCCAGCCCCTGGCAGGGGCGACTGTGCCACCGCAGGCAGCGCTCCAGTCGGGAATGGCCAGGATGGCGCCCTCTTGTTGGAGTTTTTGGTTAGCTTTTACGTTTTCTTCTCCACCCACGGCACAGGTGATAAAATAGGATCCTTGGTGCGGAGCTTAAAATTATGCCAGAAAGCCAACAGCTCCCCTCGTGGGGCCTTGCCTTAAACTTGCCTGGTTTGTACATTTTTTGCCGGACGCATCAAGAAGCAATCTGTGACAAAGTCTGAGGGTCTTCCTTTATGCTTGCCCTCCACACTAAGAGAAGTTGGCGTCTCCCTCCTGGGAATTGTTTTGCCTTTCTGTTCATCTGTGAACTGTTTTTTGTTTTTAATTACTCTGTACCCCATCCGAATCAGGGCTTCTACCACTGCTGATGCAAAACCACAAAGGGACCTACCTGAGCCACCGTCCTAGCCAAGCGAGCAAACCTGCAGGGGGTTTGGAAGTGGACTTGGTCACCGCAGAAGCGTGTGCGCCGTTGGGGGAAGAGCTGCGTCACAGCCAGAGGGACAAAGTGTGGGTGATCCTGGAGACGCCAGTTTCCGAGATTGTTCTGCATATTCATTTGCACATTGTTGTCTGGGTTGGACATGCGTGTGGGCTTCAGTGTGAGGCTTTTAATATGTATATCCTGTTATCAATAAAACAATTATCCAAGTGGTTGAATCCTGTGAGACTTGGCAAGTGTGTGCAAATCAAGTATACTTGACTTTTCAACCTCTTCTTTCAATGTAACTTTTATATGAAATAAAGTAATCAATTAACAGTTCTCAAATGGCTTCCAAAGCGCCCGTTCTTCCTGGATGGTGGTGTTTTCAGGGGGTGCCTTTCCGTGCTTCGTGGGCCCAGCCCCAGGCTGTTAAGGTCACTCCCAAACAGTTTCCAGAAACTCTAAATGCTTTTGTGCCCATGACAAGTGACCTGGGCACTCAAGCGCGACTCACAAATGTTGCCCAGTGAGTACTGTTGCTTGTTGAATGTTTAATTCGACTCCCATCGTTTTACTTAGTCCTTTTTTTAGTGCACGTTGAAATAAAAACAATGTTTCAAAATCTCCACAGTTCAGAATCTCAAGTACCTACAATTTGATTTTAATTCATTCAACAAATTTGTCTAACATTTGCACTGAGGGAACCAAAATGCCCACTTACCTTCCAGAGGCCAGATGGTCAGTGTGTGCCGCAGCCCTGCCTCGCTTACCTTTCAGAGGCCAGATGGTCAGTGTGTGCCGCAGCCCTGCCTCGCACGTGCTGTGCCTTGGGGCTCCTGGTGGCATTCCAGACACGCGGAAATGAGAAGGAGACTCGAACACGGAGGCGCACACCTGAGCCGGGCGGCTGCATGGGCAGCAGCCCTCCAGCTTGTGTTTGTGGCTCTGCCGAATTTTGCTGCAATATTATTTGTATTCCTTATATTAGATTGTTATGTAGGCTCATTGTATAGAAGGATGACGCTTGCATTAAAACAAAACAAAAATATCCTCCAAATAGGAAGGTGGCTAAATCCTATCTTCTATTGTACATGAACTTGGCTTGGGTATGGAAGCAGGGGAAAATAGCTTGAAGGGTAGCCTGGGAGCCGCACACAAAAAGCAGGGTGCCCATAAAAAAAAGCACAAGCGCCCTACAGCATCTCCTGAGGAGCCTGTTTAAAACCGCAATGCCCCTCATCCAGCTGCTAATTTTAGCCAAGACAACCTGAAGACGCCAAGGGAAAATTGGTTTTCCGTGTGGCTGGTTCTGGGCGCTGAAAGCTGAGCCAATCTCTGAGCTCTAAGAGAGCGAGTAGCTCAGCGGTCAGGCCCGACAGGCCCATGCAGGCGGCTTCCCAAAAGGGCCAGCAAGTTTCCGAAGAAAGTTCTAGGCACAGCACATCTGCAGTCCAGAGAACTCCGGGTTTCCTGCCTGCTCTCCCCTCCCCATTCACCGAATATATGTGCGTCCCACGTTTCGTACATGATCAAGTTTAGTTGTGATGACTGAATACTTTGCTGCTAAACCAGATAGGGGCCTCTGATTTTTTGGTCCAACTTTTTGCTTTTACAGAGGTGAAGCTGCCTCGTGTGCCTGTTCCAGCTGTCGCTGAGTGCCTGCACCCCAGCCAGCCTCTGCCACGGGCAGCATCTGCACCATCTCCCCCATTCCCTGCTGAGAGGGCCTGGCTTCTGCAGGGTTGGTGGGTTCAATCTTCTGGGTCCCAGGGTCTACACCTTCCAGATCCTTCCAGTGGTATAACCGCTCCCTGAGAGTTGCTGGAGAAGGGGTGCCTTATTCTTCAAGTTTCCGGTATTTTGGCTCACCTAAAAATACCTTATTCTGCCTCACCTTTGGTTGATGGCGTAGCTAAGTACTTTTCACTCAGCCTGTTGGAGACACCACCCCACCATCTTCTGGCTCCCAGAGCAGCCATGGAGAGCCCACACTCTCCTGGCCCCTGTGCTGTGTGACCTAGCTTTTTTTTTTTTTTTCTTTTTTGAGATAGGTTCTTGCTCTGTCACCCAGGCTGGATCTCAGCCCAGACTGGAGTACAGCAGCGTGATCTCAGCTCACTGCAACCTCCACCTCCTGGACTCAAGCAATTCTTGTTCCTCAGCCTCCTGAGTCACTGGGACTACAGGCCCTTGTCACCACGTCCAGATAACTTTTTTGTATTTTTGGAAGAGACAGGGTTTCGCTATGTTGCCCAGGCTGGTCTCGAACTCCTGACCTCAAGTGATCCGCCCACCTCGGCCTCCCAAAGTGCTGGGATTATAGGCGTGTGCCACTGCACCTGGCCCACGGCCTCTCTTTAGTTCCTCGGTTTCTCAGGGTTGTCGACAAGGTGCCTTGGCCTCAGTTCTCCCGCTGGCTGTGCTGATGCTCAGTAGACTCCACCTGACACTCAGCTTTCTGGTTCTGGCAGACATTCTGTGTTATGTCTTTGGGAATCCCATTCACTCCATTTTTTTCTTAATTTTAAGATTGCATGTTGAACCACCTAGACTGATCCTCTGATTTTCTTATTACACACTCTGTTTTCTGGAAATCTTTAGCTTTGCTTTTTTTTTTTTTTTTTTTAGATGGAGTCTCGCTCTGTCCCTCAGGCTGGAGTGCAGTGGCACGATCTCCGCTCACTGCAACCTCTGGCCTTGCAGGTTCAAGTGATTCTCCTGCCTCAGCCTCCTGAGTAGCTGGGATTACAGGCGTGTGCCACCACGCCGAGCTAATTTTTGTATTTTTAGTAGAGACGGGGTTTCACCATGTTGGCCAGGCTGGTCTTGAAGTCCTGACCTCAAGTGATCCGCCCACCTCGGCTTCCCAGAGTGGTGGGATGACAGGTGTGAGCCACCACGCCACGCTTTGTCTTCTAGCTCTTCTGGATGTTTTTTAAAATTCAGGCTATGGTAGATTTAATTTCCAGAAGCTTTTTATTTTCCTTTGTGTTTTTGAGGAAACATCAGCCAGAGTGTCTTCTGCGGATGCCCTGCTGTTCCCTGTCTCTAAGGATACTGGGGTTTCGTTCTGCATTTCCCCTGGCTTCCTGGGTGGTGTACTCCCAGGCTCCCCACTCCGCATTCTCTCCTCTGCGTGCTCTCTGGCTTTCCTATTAGAAGCCCTCCTCCATGTTCTGCGTGAGACACCAGCCCACTGCCTGGCAGGGCTGTGTAGGGAGCCAGCTTTTCCATGAGGCGGCCCCCATCTCCTGACTGGAAGACTGGCTGCTGGGACTCGGTAGAGAAGGGCCCAGAAGCTTCGCTGGGCAGTAAATAGACCAGCTCCTCTCTCCTTTTCTGCCCCGAGTAGTGCCTGCTGTCCTTGACCCCGTGATCTTCCAGGAATAGCTGCCCCTCTCCTTTGGGGTCTGGGGGGTGGTACCTAGGAGTCTGACCTCCTCCTACAGAAAATTCTTTCCCCATCCTTCGTATCTGGGAACCAGCTGTCAAGCTCTGGTGTTCCTTGGTGCTCCCCCCACATCCCTGGGAGGCAGTGTGGCCAAGGTGGTCATTTCACAGGTGGGGAAATGGAGGCCAAGAAGCTTTCTGACATGCCCAGCTGGGTGAGTAACAGGGCTGACCTCTCACGGTGTCATCAGCCCATGCTCAGGAGAAAATTTCCCCCAAATACGACAGCGCTTCTTTATGGAAAACCTGCCTGTCCTGTGCTGATTTAACACGCACCGTTTCCCTTAACTCTTGCAATCATCACCATCTCATAGATGGGGAAAAACTGAGGCTGAGAGAGGTTGCTCGGGGCCCATAGGCAGCAAACAAGGATCGTATTATGTTTAACATGATCAGCACTAGCTCTTTAATCATGGTGCCATTACTAATGATGTGAGAAACTCTAACAGGGACTTTCCTCCAACTCACCTGATCATCCAGAAGCACAGAACTCCATGGGGGCCAAAAGCTGCCACTTTGTGGATCTGCCCACGTCACCGATGGTGGCCACATGGGAAGTGGGTGCCAGGTGAGGGACTTATCCTGCAGGGAGAAAACGGGTTGGCCCCTCAGCGTGTGCTGCATGACGGCCACCAGGGGGCGCCACGAGACAGCAAATACCCACACACTGCTCAGGCCGCGGGAAGTTCACCCATCGCTGGCCCATCTGCTCAGTAGGTCCACAGATATTTACAGAGCACCTACCGTGTGCCAGCAAGGCGTCTGCCCTCAGTAGACTCTAATTAGCTGGGTGCAGTGGCTCACACCTGTGCTCCCAGCACTTTGGGAATCCAAGGCAGGTGGATTACTTGAGGTCAGGAGTTTGAGACCAGCCTGGCCAACATGGCAAAACCCCGTCTCTACTAAAAACAAAAAAATGAGAGGGACATGGTGACTCACGTTTTTAATTCCAGATACTCGGGAGGCTGAGGCAGGGGAATCACTTGAACCCGGGAGGCGGAGGTTGCAGTGAGACAAGATCGTGCCACCGCTCTCCAGCCTGGGTGAACAGAGTGAGACTCAAGAAAAAAAGACACTAATACAAGAAATTAAATATGCAATTTGTAGACTGTGATTTCTGCTATCAGCATTGAGAAAAGGAGATATCCCCTATCAGGGTGGATATTGTGGAGGATGAGTTGTCAGGAAAGGGCCCTGGAGGGAGGTGAGGGGTTGCAGCTGCGGTTACCAGATGTGCAAAGGCCCTGGGGCAGGAAAGGGCTGGGTTTTTTGCAGTTTCCCTCCCTCAACATGTCCCTTCTGCACAGTGGCTCATGCCTGTAATCCCAGCACTTTGGGAGGCTGAGGCGGACGGATCACCTGAGGTAAGGAGTTCGAGACTAGCCTGACCAACATGGGGAAACCCCGTTCCTACTAAAAATGCAAAAATGAGGCAGGCATGGTAGTGCACGCCTGTAATCCCAGCTACTCTGGAGGCTGAGGCAGGAGAATTGCTTGAACCCAGGACGCAAAGGTTGCAGTGAGCTATCACCCCACTGCACTCCAGCCTGGGCGACAGAGTGAGACTCTGTCTCAAAACAAAACAAAACATGTCCCTTCCTTTCCCACCCTCAGCCTGTAACTTCCCCACTACAGCATCACATCTAACTGGGGGAAGGCTCATACTGAAGCTGTTCTCAGTCCCCCAAACCTTAATATGAATGAACTTGTTTTATTTAGGACAGTGGTTTTCAAAGTGCATTCCCCTCCCCGGACCGGGAACACCGGCATCACTAGGAACTTGTTAGAAATGGAAATTCTCAGCCCCACCCCAGACCTCCCCAGTCAGAAACTCTGATGTCCACCCAGTGATCTGTATTTTAGCAACATGCTCCAAGTTGAAAATCACAGCTTTCGCACCCAGCATTGGAAAGAGTAGGGGATTCCCTGGGTGGAGGGGAACAGGCTTTTCAAGCTCAATGCAACCAGAAACCACCAAATCTGGTCATCTGCCGGCTATTCAGGATCCCAGCACCAGCCTCGTCAGCTGCGAGGCCCGGAGTGGGTCACCTCCTGCCTCTGCATCTCAGTTTCCTTGTATGTAAAATGACAACAACTTCTGCCTCGTGTAGCTGCTGGGAGGATCAGCAATAATGAATCCTGAAGGGCAGGAGGATGCTTGGCACATAGTAGGTGCTCAAGAAATAGTAAGGATGGCCGGGCGCAGTGGCTCATGCCTATAATCCCAGCACTTTGGGAGGCAGAGGCGGGTGGATCACAAGCTCAAGAGTTCGAGACCAGCCTGGCCAATATGGTGAAATCCCGTCTCTATTAAAAGTACTAAAAAAAAAAAAAAAAAAAAAAATTAGCCGGGCGTGGTGGCGGGCGCCTGTAGTCCCAGCTACTCGGGAGGCTGAGGCAGGAGAATCGCTTGAACCCGGGAGACGGAGGTTGCAGTGAGCCAAGATTGCACCACTGCACTCCAGCCTGGGCAACAGAGCGAGAGTCCATCTCAAAAAAGAAAAAAAGAAAAAAAAGCAAACAAGAACATAACCAACCAAACAAAACCACGTCCATTTATAACAAAATCCACCAGAGTAAACATTTACAATCTCCCCAGAAAGTGTTTCATCCATGGCAGAGAGGCCTGTGGGATTTTAAAAGGCTGCAGCTCTTGTCTTTTAAAACCATGAACATCTTGGTGTTTGTCTAGAGCTTTTCTCTCTGCCTGGAGGTACTTTTCCGTCTGTCCTCGTTTCTCCAAGTAAACCCCAAGGAGGTGAGGGGTGGCCATCTCCCAGATGCTTCCACCGAACACACAGACACCCCACCCCAGGTCATCTTGGGTTAAGACTGCAAGCTGGTGGCTGAGACCTAGAGCTGCCCCCAATGGCGTTGATGAAATACCTTTAGTCAGTTGCTAAGATCTACGTATCAGGAGATTCCACCTTGAAATTCAGATTCATTGCCTCCCTGGGCCCCAATTCTTCCTGGCTGGAGCTGGAGGCTGTGCCTGCGCACACCCACCCAGGACAGCATTTCACTTTTAGAAAAATAATATATTGAGATAAAATTCACGTGATGTAAGAGCAACTAATTTAAACTGAATAAGTCAATGGCGCTTAATATCATCTATTTGCAATCTTGTACAAGCTCAATCCTATCTAGGTCCAAAACATTTGCATCATGCCCATTAGCAGCCAGTCCCTACTCCTCCTCCCCGTCTCCTCCCCCGGCCCCTGGCCCCGACTCGTCTACTCTGTTTCTATGAATCTGTCTGTTCTGGACATTTCATAGAAACGGAATCTTGCAAAACGTGTCCTTCTGTGTCTGGCTTCTTTCACTCGGCATTATGCTTTCAGGTTCTGCCCATGTGGTAGCGCGTGTCCAGACTTCATGCCTTTTTATGGCAGAACACGACAGCATCACGTGTTTGCGCCTGTATCGCCGTTATCCACCCAGTATCCCACAGCAACCTCGAGGCAGGGTGGGCCCTGATCCCACCTCCTTTTTGCCTGCTTTGGCCTCGCCCCCTCCTCTACCAGGCCTCGCTAGCTCACTGCCCCCAGGGCCGCTCATATTGGTGGCAAACGTCCTCTGAGGAGCAAGTCTCTGATGGATGCAGGCAGTCCCTGTGCTCACCTTCCTAGCTGGGTGCTGCATTTTATTAGAAAAAAATTTTTGATTTTTCACTTGGAAATAATTTCAGACTTACAAAAAAGTTGCAAATATAGCAGAGATTTCCTACATACCCTTTATATAGCATCCCCCTCCCTTTCTTTTTTCTTTTTTTTTTTTTTGAGACAGAATTTCGCTCTTGTTGCCCAGGCTGGAGTGCAGTGGCGAGATCTCGGCTCAATGCAGCCTTCCAGTTTCAAGTTGAAACCTCAGCCTTCCAGTTGCAAGCGATTCTCCTGCCTCAGCCTCCCAAGTAGCTGGGATTACAGGTGCTCGCCACCACGCCCAGCTAATTTTTGTATTTTCAGTAGAGACGGGGTTTCACCATGTTGGCCAGGCTGGTCTCGAACTCCTGACCTCAGGTGATCCAGCCGCCTTGGCTTCCCAAAGTGCTGGGATTACAGGCATGAGCCATCGTGTCTGGCCTTTTTGTATTTTTTTTTTAATTAGAGATGGGGTTTCACCATGTTGGCCAGGCTGGTATCAAACTCCTGGCCTCAGGTGATCCACCTACCTTGGCCTCCCAAAGTGCTGGGATTACAGGCGTGAGCCACCGCGCCCGGCCTAACCCCTGGGCAATTATTGAAACTAGGAAGCTGGCATGGAGGCACCACTGTCAACTCGTCCGCAGCCTCTTCCAGATCTCACAATGACCCGCGGGGCCCCCCAGATCCAGGCTGGCTCTCACAGTGCTCATGTCTCCTGGGACTCCTCAACTGGAGACAGTTTCTCAGTCTTTCCTGCCTAGCATTAGCCAGATATTTTGTAGAATGTTCCTCAATTGGGGCTTGTCTAACGCTCCCTTAGGAACACATCTGGGTTCTGCTGTGCCCCATCTTAAGGCCTCTGCTCCTTTCCAGGGCAAGCAGCTCCGGAAGGACGGAGTAAACAGGCGGGGAGCGCCAGCCATGGCCACCACTGTCCCCCATCACAAAGGTCAGGCTTTCTACCAAGAACTGGAGCTTCACAGGGGAAGGCGCTGAGTGGACAGGCACCACTTGTAGGATCTGCCTCTGCCCTGAGATGACTCCATCTGCCCCAGGAAGACACCGCAGGGCCACCTCTTTCTGTCTGGGCTCTCCACAGCCCTCCAGCCCCTCCTTCCCTGGGAGGCTGAGATCACAGCAGGGGCCCCCGTTAAGCTGGGGCTTATGAATGGTTGGTGGGCTGGGGGGCTTTAGAGATGAACTTCCCGCTGGGGCTGGAGGCTCTGAGCCCACCTTTGGGGTCTGGCTGGTGGGTCTGGGGACAACATCGTTGGGGCTGCCCTCCTGGCCCAGCCCTTCCTGACCTCTTACTGCTGGGGCCTGGGAAGCGAGGGCTGGGCTGGGATCGGGGTACCAGCTTCATCCAGAAGGAGCTGAGTACTTCAGCAGCTGGGCTTGCTGCATTGTGCATCTGTGATTGTGTGTGTGCGTGATTCTGTGTGTGACTGTGTGTGAGCATGATTGTGTGATCTGTGTAATCATGTGATTGTGTATGTCATTGTGTGTGACTGTGATTGTGTGTGCGCGATTGTGTGTGATTGTGCGTGACTGTGTCTGCGCGTGATTGTGTGTGTGCGTGATTGTGTGTGCGTGATTGTATGTGCGCGATTGTGCGTGATTGTGTGCGCGTGATTGTGTGCGTGATTGCGTGCTGGTGATTGTGTGTGCGCGTGATTGTGCATGATTGTATGTGATTGTGTGTGCGTGATTGTGCGTGATTGTGAGTGCGTGATTGTATGTGATTGTGTGTGCGTGATATTGTGCGTGCGTGATTGTGCGTGATTGTGTGTGCGTGATTGTACGTGCGTGATTGTGCGTGACTGTGTGTGCATGATTGTGTGTGCGTGATTGTGCATGATTGTGTGTACGCGATTGTGTGTGCGTGATTGTGTGTGCGTGAATGTGATTGTGATTGTATGCGGCTGCATGATTGTGTGCGACTGTTTGCAATTGTGTGTGTGATTGCGTGTGTGATTGTGTGTGATTGTGTTTGTGTGATTGTGATTGTGTTTGTGTGATTGCGTGTGTGATTGTGTTTGTGTGATTGTGCATGATTGCGTGTGTGATTGTGTGATTGTGTGTGACACTTTGTGTTTACATAAGTGCAGTTTGCATTTGTGTGTGGTTTTTATGTGATTTTGAGTGATCGTGAGAGATGATTGTGTGCACATGTAATTTTGCATGGCTGTATGTGTGTTTATGCAATTTTGTGAGATTATATGTCTGGTGTATGCGAGTGTGCTTAGAACGAGACTGAATTCAGGTCTCTGAAGCTCAGTTTCCAAACTGCAGTGGGAGAAATCTTGGAGACATGGGAGGTGCCCAGACCCAAGTAAGGTTAGGGCTTCCCCGGCTCTCCCCCATCACTCGAGGGGTTGGGGTGCAGGGCAAGTGGCTGTAACACCAGAAACAGAAACAGCAGCACCAGCAGCAGCTACCAACAGTCAAACCCTTAGCTCGGCCAGCTCCCAGTCCTCCCATCCCTCGTGTGCCAGCTCCTCACAAAAGCGCCAGGGAGCAGGAGCTGTGAGGGGAAAACCGAGGCTCAGCGTCAAAACCTGGACCCTCTAAAGCCAGGGTCTTTGGGGTTTTTTAACCTCTATTTATTTGAAAACTATTAAGTTCATGTTTTGAGCGGGTGGTACCCACGCGGGGCCTAGACGGTCTCTGAGCATGTTCAAGCTGACAGGTGCCTGTGCATGCATACACACATTTCAAGCTGACAGGTGCGTGTGCGTGCACACACACGTTTGAAGCCAACAGGTGTGTGTGCGTGCATACACACGTTTGCTCACGGATGTGTTTGTGCACGAATGGTAGCAAACATTCACTTTGCTGTTTTGCACGTCACAACATGTCTTGGAGATCTGTCCCTATCAACAGTCACGGAGCTCCATCCTTTCCTGTCCCTCACCGTGTGGCCACACCACACCTAATGGATGAGGCTCAGGCCCCCTTGGCTCTGTGGCCCACCTGGGTGGGCCAGCCCTGCCCACTCCCATACCCACACCCAGCCTGGCCAAGCCCTGGACCTGGTACGGGCCCTGAAAGGGAGGTCAGAGATGTCTTCTGTTCTCCTGGCCAGCCCTCCCAGGGCAGCACGTATGGGCCCTTGTCTTCCAACTCAATGCGCATTTGTACTTCCAGACTTGGAACAGATGCTTGTTAACTACATGAATGAAGAAATGAATGGCTACTTCTCACTCATTGTTCAAGGCCTGGCTCAGAATCCACCTCTTCCAGGGAGCCTCCCTGGTCACCCCTGGCAGGGTTAGTTCCCCTCCTCGGAGTCCCATAGGCCCACGCCCTCATAACAGCACTCAAGCCCCGGGTATGTGGTTGACAGGTGCTGCATCCGTCCCTGGTTCCTCGCGGTATCGCCTCCTAGCACGGCATAGTGAATGAACAGCAAGCACGTGCTGGCACAGGGTAACGGAATGACCCATGCCCTCTCGTCAACCCCACACCTGAAGCACACCTAAGGGCTCCAGATCCCACTGCGCCCCATGAGGAGGGGTGGGAGAGGTCACCATATCCATTCGATGGAGGAAGCTGAGGCTCCCAGAGATTCAGCCTGTCCCCTGAGGCTGACCCCACCCCTCTGCTCCGTGCCACCTGAATCTTGCTCCCACCGTGTCATCAGCAAAGCAACCTCCAGGTGCTAGGGGTGAGGATGCAGGTCACGGCAAGGGTGGGCTGGGGTGGGGGTGGGCAACACCTCCCGGCATCCTGGGGTGCTCAGGAACGCCAGTGTGGAGGGTGAGGACTGGTGGAGAGGAAGGGGACCCTCCGGTGGAGCTTGATTGGAACACACGCCCTGCAAGGGTGGAGGCTGGGGACTAACTGAGGTCCTTCAGCAATGGGGTGGGCTGCGGGGTGTTGGAAGAGACTGGAGAAAGTAGCCACTGCAGATGATCCGCCCACACCCACCCCTCCCAAAGCTGGAGCCTCTGTCGTGTTCTGGCCACGAAGTTCAGGGCCTCCTTCACCCCCCGTCACCTCTCCTTGGGCAGAGCGGGAGGGAGAAAGAACATGCCCAGCCAGGGGAAAGCTCTAAAGACGAGAAACTCCAGCAGAAGAGGAGATGATGACGAGGGGGACCAGCCGCAGGGCAGATAGTGAAACACAGGATGCATTTCGGGACTGGTCCTCGCCAGTTAAGGCGCACCGTGTCTGCCACTTGGCTTTCCTCCTCCTCTGCTCTCCAAGGGGAGCTCTGCCTTTCCCAGGCTGGTTCCACTTCTAGCAGAGTCGGGGAAGGGGCAGCGAGAGACAGGACCTAGAGAGGAAGGAGGGGACAGGCGAGGAGGCTGTCCTTTATGGCGGAGAATCCAGATTCTAGAGGAGGCCATGAGAAAACAAGCAGAACTGGAAGAAGAAGCTCCTCCCTCTAAGCCAAGCAAGGGCTGGGGGAGGCGAGGGGAGGAGGAGAGGCAGAAATGAGGGCTGGATGTCGGGGGCAGTTCTGGGTGACTGAAGGAAGGTTCTGGAGCAGAGCAGGATACAGGAGAAGCAGGGAGGAGAGGAAGCAGGATTTCGAGAAACGTAATTGTGGGTTAAGAGGTGGATTCCTTTCAATGTTCTAGAGACATGCAAGTAAAACCCCAGATTCCTTTCCAACCATTTTTGGTGACTGGACTGTGCACGTTTGTGACTCTCTCTAGACCGAGCTGTCTGGGACCCTAGCTCATATTCGGGTTACATCCATAAAGGCTGTCTCTACGAGGAAATTGTTAGGAAATTTTCTCTACAAGGCAGACATGAGCAGGTTAGGAAAGGCCCCCCTCCCCCAGGAATATCAGGAGACCCTCAGGTGATGGTCAGGCAGTTGCTAAACTGTCTCTAAAGTAACAATGGGCTGCAGCTGGCATCAAGGAACGGCAGGGTCCCAAGAGATAGAAACACCTGGAGGCCGAGCTTGGTGGCTCACACCTATAATCCCAGCACTTTGGGAGGCTGAGGAGGGAGGATCACCTGAGGTTAGGGGTTTGAGACCAGCCTAGCCAACATGGTGAAAACCCCATCTCTACTAAAAATACAAAAATTATCCGGGCGTGGTGGCACACGCCTATAATTCCAGCTATTCAGGAGGCATGAGAGTCTCTTGAACCCAGGAGGCGGAGGTTGCAGTGAGCCGAGATCATGCCATTTCATTCCAGCCTGGGCAACAGGGTAAGACTCTGTCTCAAAAAAAAAAAAAAAAAGAAAGAAAAAGAAGAAGAAAGAAAGAAACACCTGGAGCTGGTGATCGGCAGCTTCCTGATAAGATCCCAGGAGTGGGGCGAGCAGGCTCAAGCACACACACTAGGAGGCAAAATGGTGGAGTTTCACTTTCTTTCTTTTCTTTTTTTTTTCTGAAGCAGAGTTTTGCTCTTGTCGCCCAGGCTGGAATGCAATGGTGCTACGTCGGCTCACCACAACCTCTACCTCCTGGGTTCAAGCCATTCTCCTGCCTCAGCCTCCCAAGTAGCTGGGATTACAGGCATGTGCCACCATGCCCGGCTAATTTTGTATTCTTAGTAGAGACAGGGTTTCTCCACGTTGGTCAGGCTGGTCTCGAACTCCCGACCTCAGGTGATCCGCCCGCCTTGGCCTCCCAAAGTGCTGGGATTACAGGCGTGAGCTACTGAGCCCAGCCGGGGGGAGTTTCACTCTCACCATATGGCCTTCCTCTAGGAGGAGCGCTTGACCGTTCCAGTCGCCTCAGACGAGCATGCACGCAACTTCAGTAGACTCACAGTGCTGGCGGCCCCTTCTAAGTGCCGACAGGCCACTGCACATGCAGACAGCCCACCCCAGGGAAAAATCAAGGGAGGAGAGACGCAAACCCCAGAATCATGCCAACGTACAAAACCCCAAGTCAAAGGCTGAATAGAGCACCTGCATCTCTCGAAGCCGCCCGCTTGATGAGCCCCTCCTTCCAAGCGTACTTTACTTCATTTCTGCTCTAAAACTTTTGAATAAACCTTCACTCCTCCTCTAACACTTGCCATGGTCTCTCACCTTATAACCCTTGGCCAAATTCTTTCTTCCAAGGAGACAGGAATCAAGTTGCTGCAGACCCGTATAGATTCACTGCTGCTAACAAAATAACTTAATCCTCACCACAGCTCACAGAGGTTGAGGTTATCATTATCCCTCCTCAAAGACGGGGAAACTGAGGCACAAAGGGGCCATGTGAGTTCCCAAGGTCACAGCTAGAAAGGAGCTGAGCCAGGGCTAAACCCAGGGCTTCCTGACTCCAAATCTGAACCTCTCGTCTCAGTCCAGCTGTCCCCCCGGGAAGGATCCTGTGACATGGAATGGTCTCTTTTTCAGAGTTTAGTATTTCAGGCCAAAACTGAGTGAGGTCTGCTGTTTCCTCTGCAAAGTCTGGCTGACCTTGACTGGTCACTGTCACAGTTGTCTGTTGGTGGTAATGGGCTCAGGGAGGCTGCTCTGGGTACAACTGAATGGAAACTCACATAACTCAACAATTCTTATTTATCTTTGTGGTAAAAATACACAGGACCGTTTAAACATGTAAACTATGAAAATGCCCAGTGTTGGCACGGATGGTGGGAAATGAACACTGCTAGTCTGTGTTGCTGAAGTTTAAATCTGTATGACCTCTGGAAGGAGTTTTTTTTTTTTTTTTTTTTCCAGGGTCCTGCTCTGTTACCCAGGCTGGAGTGCAGTGGTGCAATCAAGGCTCACAGCAGCTTCGACCTCCTGGGCTCTGGAGGGCAAGGTGGCACTCTGAACCGGAGGTCTTGGAAATGCAAAGCCTTTCGCTCAGCCTTTCACTCCACCTTTAGGAACACAGTTTAAGGAACGAGTTCTTTAGAGAGAGCACAACACAATTGTTGGAGTTCACACACTGATCCCCTCAGGGTCAGGCTCCTGTGTGCTCAATGGCACTCAAGTCAAATTAAGAAGAATCTGTTCTTCCCTGAACTGCTTTTGCTTCCCCCCAAGTAGGAAAGCATTTGGACTATTAAAAAAAAAGCCTCTAATTAAGCAGACAAGTTCCTTTTGTGAGTTGGCTTCCCGTCGTTAAAGCCACAGAATTTTCTTTTCTTTTCTTTTTTTTTGAGATGGAGTCTCGCTCTGTCACCCAACTGGAGTGCAGTGGCACGATCTTGGCTTGCCACAACCTCCACCTCCCGGGTTCAAGTGATTCTCCTGCCTCAGCCTCCTGAGTGGCTGGGATTACAGGTGTGCACCACCACGCCCGGCTAACTTTTGTATTTTTAGTAGAGATGGGGTTTTACCATGTTAGTCAGGCTGGTCTCAAACTCCTGACCTCGTGATCCACCCACCTGGGCCTCCCAAAGTGCTGCGATTACAGGCATGAGCCGCCGCACCTGGCTGGCCACAGAATTTCAACATGGAGAAAACCTTAAGGGTTTTCTAGTCCAACATTTCCCAAAGTATCTCCCATGGGAAGTTCATGGGGTATGGAAATGGGTGCTGGCATGATTGAATAAGCATAGGAAAATAGAACATTTTCTTCTCCGCAGGACTTCTCAGAGCCTTTGCTCTACGACGGGCATTACCATACTCCACAAAGCAGATGGAGAATGTGGTATTTTGCACCCACGTTCGGCCACTGTATTCGTTTCCCATGGCTGCTATAACAAATCACCAAAACCTCGTGACTTTGACAACAGAACTTTATTCTCCCACATTCTGGAGGCCAGAGGCCTGAAACCAAGGTATCAGTGGGGCTGTGCTCCCTCTGGGGACCCCTCCTGGCCCCTCCAGCTTCCGGCGATGGCCGGCGATCCTTTGTACTCTGTGGCTTGTGGTGGCATTGCTCCAAACGCAGCCTCTGGTTTCACCCGCCTCCTCTTTTCTGCGTTCCTCCCCAAACTCCTTCCACTTTCTTATCAGGAGGCAGGTGATTGCATTCAGAGCCCATCTGGATAACCCAGAACCAGCTCCTCCTCTCGGGATGTTTAAAGCAACCCCGTCTTTTGCCATATTGCACAAATACAGGTTCTGGGGATTAGAATGTGGACACATTTCAGGGGACCACCACTCAGCCCCCTGTAGCCATCATCTTTTTCGGGTGCCGCATCTGAAGGGATGATGCCCCAAAGAACACCCGATGAGAAGCATCTCGAGTCCAGCCTTCTTATTTTGCAAACAGACAAACTGAGGCCTGGAGCGAGGAAGGGACTTCACAAAGTTCCAGAATATGTTTGCATCAGAGCCGGGTCCTACCCCTGTGTTAGCTGACCACAAAGCCTCCTTGCTCAGTGTGCGATGGTCCCATGCAGGATTGTGTCAGGGCTGTGCGGCTGCGGTCTCCACGCTCCACCGCAATACTGCCACCACCACAATGCCAGGCTTGGGCATCTCTCCCAGGATGGGCCACGGCCTTCATGCACTGGCCTCACATGCTCCCCCTGCCCGAGTCACCCCAGCACTGCACTCCAGGGGCCCCACACTCCATTCACCCCCCAAACACACTGCACCCCCTGCAGGACGGGCCTTGCCTGTCATTGTGGGTGTCAAAGTACCAGGGACTGCCAGCAGGAGGAATTCCTCCTCCTGGGACCTCAGCGTCCTCTTCTGGAATATGGAGTCTGAGGGTGTGAAGGTGGCTTCAGGCCTCATGGGCATGGCCGACTGGTGTCCTCCTGGCCTCGGGCAGCTCTGCAGATGTTGTCCCCACACACATTCCTCGCAGGGCCTTCCCAGCAGCGGGTGTGTGCCTGGGTGTTCCAGGGAGGGCCAGGGTGGCCATACCCGGTCTGACCTGACCCCTTCCTGGGAGGGGGCACTGAATGGGAACTGCCAACAGACAACAGTGCAG
Source organism: Homo sapiens (assembly GCF_000001405.40). Taxonomy (NCBI): domain Eukaryota; kingdom Metazoa; phylum Chordata; class Mammalia; order Primates; family Hominidae; genus Homo; species Homo sapiens. The sequence continues at coordinate 84,958,907 of NC_000016.10, read as the reverse complement.
GAGTGTGGTCTGTGTGGAGCAGAGGAGGTCGCCTCTGTGGCTTTCAGTGGCTGCACGTCCCAGGCTGGGCCGAGCCACTGGGCTCAGTGAGTCCTGCGGGCACAACCTCAGGCCTGGAGCCTGCTTCTGTTTCAACAGGGCTGAGGCTGAAAAAGAACCATGTTGCCCGGGCCGAATTTGCCCGCCAGCCCACTGGGCCGCAGCATCCCTTCCCAAGCTGGCCACGCAGCAGGTTACAGAGCCAGAGTGAACCATCCTAATTTGAACTCTAAAATTCCTTGTGAGCCTCTCCCTTTTGCCAGGAATTCAAAGGACTCGGTCCAATGTCTGGGCAAGAAGGAGGCTGACCTGTTTCCACGGACCTGGTGGAACTGGGCGGCAAAAGCTGTGGCTGTGAACTTGGCTCCTTCCTTCCCTTGTGGGGGACCTCAGACTAGTGCTGCTATCAGTACCTCAGTTTCCCCATCCATAACATGGGACATGATGTCCACAGGTTTCCCAGGGTTGGGATGCCTCCACACCTCTCAGTCTGGGGAGGGTCATGGATGGGGGTGGGAGGGAGGGGACTCTGAGCCCTCCCCTTCTCCTTTCCATCCCTTTCTGCCTCAACTACAGCAACTGAGGGTGTTCTTCCAAGTAAAAGTTCACTTGAAAGTATGTCCTGAAGCTAACAGAGGTGTGAGAAACCCATGACCAGCAGTCCGAGATCTCATGGCCCTGACATCCAGTCCAGGGACCCTTGGGTTGCTGTCAGATGGCAGAGAGAAGGGAGGCCTGGACCACCCTGCTTCCTTCCCAGCCTTCCAGAAGCTGAGCTTATTCCAGTCATGTGATGCTGGAAGAGCTGCCAATCACAGGACCCCATCCCTGGATACGCATCTGACCCAGGCCTGGCCAATCACAAAGCTCCTACCCAGTGGCCACCATGATAGTGCCCAGGGCTAGGCACATGACCACACCCAGCCAATCAGAGTCCTTCCCTGGGTGTTTCTATTCTGAAATAGGTGGAGAGAGGCCTTTTCAGAACTTTTTCACCAAGGTAAGCAGACCTAAGCCAGGGCTGCCTGCATCATGTTTCCCACTGCTGGGAGAAAAACCTGCCCACTTGGGGAGAAAATGAGGTCCCTGCAGAGCAGCCAGGACAGGAACAGATGGCAAGAACGTGCATTCTCAGCACTGAGGCCCCGGTTTCAGCCTTTGTGGCCCTCAGCATGGCCCTGGGGCTGAAGCTTCCTCTGGTTTGAGTTTCTGTCACTGACAACCATGGAGTTCTGCCTGACTCAGCACCACCGGGAAAGGTAAAGAACTCTTCTTCAATAGCCAAGTCCCTAGAGGCAGTTTCAAGCTTCTGGAGGGCAAGTGGAAGTAAGAACTTCACTTTCTATTTACTTATTTATTCTGCAGTATCAAATGCAGGTTGGGGCACCCCACCGGTGCTGGATAGACTCAGAGGATAGGGAGAGGGGAGGCGGGAAGAGCAAGGAGGTAGAGTCATTTCATATGGGACCTGGCAACTGGCCAAGAGCGACCCTAACTCCAAACTGCAGGGGGACTGGAAGACCCCGAGGGCATCATAACCCCTCACCCAGAGTCACACACAGGGCCTGTGAGGCAGAACCTGACCCAGAACCCAGTTCTCTCGACTCCAAAACCCATGTCCACAGGCTTTTGAATTTCATAAAAATTCAGAAGAACCTTTTGAGAATGATAAAAGATCAGCAGATAGACATCCGTAGCCGTCTGTGTCCACGGTCCCTCCAAAAAAGGACAGTTTAGCCCCCAACACTGAAGGAAGGTCATAATCTGAGTAAGGGCCAGTTCTTGAATTAGGATTTATCAAGGGACACCTGATTTTCTTGTGTTTCCTCAAAGCGTTGACTACTGGGCAATGGGTGGCAGTGGACAGGTGTGTGTGTCTCCTGGGGATGCTGTAACAAAGTGTTGCTAACTGGGGGCTTAGGACAGCAGAAACGTGTGTTCTCTCTGTTCTGGAGGCAGAAGTCTAAAATCAAGGTGTGGGCAAAACCATGATCTCTCTGAAAGTTCTAGGGGAGTGTCCCTTGCTGCCTTGTCCAGCTCCTGCTCACTGCCAGCAGTCCTTGGCGTTCCCTGGCCTGTAGACACATCACTGCAACCTCTGCCTCCATCCTCATATGGGCTTCTCCCCATGTTTGTGTCTAAATTTTCCCCCCTACCTTTTTGTTTTTTTTTTGAGATGGAGTCTCGCTCTGTCGCCCAGGGTGGAGTACAGTGGCACAGTCTCGGCTCACTGCCACCTCTGACTCCTGGGTTTAAGCGATTCTTGCATCTCAGCCTCCTGAGTAACTAGAATTACAGGTGTGCACCGCCACTCCTGGCTACTTTTTGTATTTTTAGTAGAGACGGGGTTTCACCACGTTGGCCAGGCTGGTTTCGAACTCCTGGCCTCAAGTGATCTACCCACCTCGGCCTCCCAAAGTGCTGGGATTACAGGTGTGAGCCACCACGCCTGGCCAATTTTCCTCTTCCTGGAGTCCAGTGGCACAATCTTGGCTCACTGCAACCTCTGCCTCCTGGGTTTAAGCGATTCTCCTGCCTCAGCCTCCCAAGTAGCTGGGAGTACAGGTGTGAGCCACCACGCCTGGCTAAATTTTTGTATTTTTAGTAGAGATGGGGTTTGGTCATGTTGGCCAGGCTAGTCTTGAACTCCTGGCCTCAAGTGATCTGCCCACCTTGGCCTCCCAAAGTCCTGGAATTACAGGCGTGAGCCACCGTGCCTGGCCCAGTTTCTCTCTTCTAAGGACACCAGCCATTGGATTAAGGTCTAGCCTACTCCAGTGTGACCTCATGTTAACGAATTATATTTGCAAAGATTCAATTTCAAAATAGGGTCACATTCACAGGTTTCGGGGATTAGGACCTAAACGTATCTTTTTCGGGGACACAATTCCACCTGGTAGAGTGGGTCAGCATTATGCCTGCCCCCCAACGTACTTTGCTGCCAGCAAAGTGTGAGAAAGACTGAGCCAAGGAGCCATTACCTCCTGGCCTGGGGGTACCGTTGGGGACCCCTGGGCCATTCCACTTTCCCTGGCAGCTGTAGGCTTATTTCCCTTCCAAGGAATGGCTGCCCTGAGGTCAGCCAAGCCAGGTGGAACACAGAGCTTTAGGGCCAGGCCCTGACCTAAGCTCCCTGGGGAGGGAGCACCTTTGACTTTTGGAACGGGAGGGCAGGAAGGTTTGGCCTTGATTGGAGGGCTCTGGGGCACCTGCCAGGCTGCAGGTGTTGACACCTAGCAGCCGCCAGCCCGACCTGATCCCCAGTGCCCAGGCAGGGACCAGAGCGGCTCCCAGGTAGCTGGTGCTGCAGGGAACCTTGGGAGCTCTGCCAAACCAAACAACACATTTCCAGAGAGGTGTGCTGACTGGCCTGAGGTCACACAGCGATCAGACAGGGCCAACATGGGTGGCCGGGGCCCCAACCACATTCCTGCCAATTTGAGCTTCTTAGCCTTTTACCCACCAAGAGGGCACAGGGTGTGGGGGGTAAGTAGTTTTTTTGCCCATGGGAGCCCAGGGCTGATTTTATTTTGAGACAGTCTTGCTCTGTCACCCAGGCTGGAGTGCAGTGGCACCATCTCAGCTCACTGCAGCCTTGCCCTCCCCGGCTAAAGTGATTCTTCCACCTCAACACCCCAAGTAGCTGGGACCACAGGTGTGCACCACCCTACCTGGCTCATTTTTAAAAATTGTTTTTGTAGAGATGGGCTCTCGCTATGTTGCTCAGGCTGGTCTTGGACTCCTAGCCTCAAGCAGTCTTCCTGCCTTGGCCTCCCAAAGTGCTGGGATTACAGCATGAGCCCCACGCCCGGCCAGGGTTGATTTTATAATAGCTTTGTAGTGGCAATCAGGAAGAATCTGTCACCCAATTAGCAGCCAGAATGGAGCTGTGTCAGCAGATGTTTGGGAAAAGGGGCGAGAGGACTGACGTGGCCTGAACCCCTCCTCTGTGCCAGCACTTTCCGCACAGGCTGTCACCAAGTCCCAGCCTCTCCCCTGAGAGGCAGTTAGACACACACCTCACCTGTAGGCAGCCGGAGGTCCACGCAGCTTGGAGTCAGCCTGGAGTTCCCGTCCCTGCTCAGGTCCCCAAGGGGCGTCAGTTCATCTCAGAGAGCCTCAGTTTCCCCATCTGTGAACTGGGGATCACAGGCCCAGTCTCACAGGTGGTCACGAGGATTAGGAATCACATCCCAGGAACGGCCACATAGGAGCTCAAGAAAGATGACGGGTGGATTTTCGACGGGTTCTGTAACAAATGTCCACAGACTTAGCAGCTTAAAAACCTCATTTGTCATTTACGGTTCCACAGGTCAGAAACCCAGCCTCAGTCTCCCTGGGCTTGGGTCACGGTCAACAGGGCTGGTAACTTCTGGGGGTTCTGGGGGAGAATCTGTTTCCCTGCCTTTTCCAGCGTCCAGAGGTCACTGGCATCCCATGGCTCCTGGCCGCTTCGTCCACCTTCAGAGCCGGCAATGTTGCATCTCTGCTGCTGCTTCGGTAATCACAGCACCCTCGGAAAGGTTCTATCACGGCTCCCTCTGACCACAGCTCAGAAAGGTTCCACCACGGCTCCCTCCGACCGCAGCTCAGAAAGGTTCTCTGATTCTAAGGACTCGTGTGACTCGATTAGGTCCACCTGGATGACCCGGGTTACCCTCCCTATGGCAAGGTGCCCCTTGCCCCACCTGCAAAGTGCCTTTTGCCACGTCAGGTAACCTGCACAGGTTTGGGGAATTAGGGCGAGCTGAATCGCCGAGCTCATCGGGCCACAGGTGAGTTGAGTTGAATTCTGGAAAGCAAGGGAGGCCTGGGCTGGCCTCTGGCGGTTCTTTTTGGAAGAAGAAGATTCCACTAAAACCAGCTCATTCTAGGACCACTTCCCATCTTTCTGCTGTTTTTGACTCTTTTCAAAGAGGCCCTGTCTAGCCAAGGAGACTGGGTCACGTCTGCCAAACCTTTGCTTCAAAATAAACCCTACTAGGAAATTTCCATGGGACTGGGCCCTTTTCTTCCCCCACGGACCTGCTTGAAGTTCAAAACCTGGCGGGGCTTCTGTACAAAAGGGCACCGGTCATTACGCGGCCCTGAGAGCAGGTTTTCTGTTGTTGTTTGTGTGGGTTTTGTTTGCTTTCCCCGTCTCCATCTCTCCACCCGGTGGGGTCGTAGCAAGATGGTCACCTCTGTCACCTCCCCCAAGTCCCTCTTGCAGCCGCCTCCTTGCTGTTTGCCTTTCTGTCCCCAGGGCTGCATCTTGCACGTGTCCCCTGTCTGATTTCCACTGTGGTCAGGTCACGTGTGGCTCTGGGAATTCCAGGAAAGCCTGGCTTTCAAGACCACTGTCTCATCAAACACTTAAACCTTAAAAACCCTTATTTTGATGCTCAAAGCTGAGTGTGGATTCCTCTGTACCTGTTCTCTTCCCTGAGCAAGAAGCCTCATTTTCAGAGCCTGGTCGTGATAGGAGAAGAGGTGCTGGGGGCCCCCAAAAGAAACTTCCGGAGCTATTTCATAACATCCTTTGCCTGTAGACGTAAAGCCAGCAGCCAGCAAGTGGCAGTCCATTCATGGGACACAGCCCTCTCCAGGAATCACTAAGCTCATATTTGCTGCTCTGTGCTGGGGCTCTCTGGAAGGACAAAAGACACCAGCAATGTGGAAGGGAAATGGGGCTTTGGGATGGGAGGGGACTTGGTTTCCTGACCCTTTTGCACCGTGACACTGGACATGTGTCTGAGTGTCTTTTACTGAAGGAGGAAACATTCCTTCTCTTGCCTCTTTCCAGAAAAGGTCAGGTGGCTCAATTCATCCTGTCTGAAATGAAGAATGAAACAGTTGGTGGTGGTCTTTTGCTGGCAGGCTGTACTTTGGGAAGTCCCCAGGCCATGGCTGATAAGGGCCTGCGGCCTATGGTGCAGTCTCAAGCAGAGAGAGGCCACAGGCATGTGAGGGAGGCCCTGGCCTTGGGGCCCCCTTTGTCTGGCTGGTGGAGTTTATCTCCCTTCCCAGATGAGGCCAGGAGCTGTGGAGTCAGCTCCTGGCCTCTCTGCCCATTGGCTGGCTGTCTGCCTGGGGCCTGAGATTCACCAGCCCTGCACGAAGATTAAGGGGATCAGGATTCCATCCCCTCCCCTTGCTCAACCTCTGAAGTCAGGTCCCAGCCAGGCACCCATTGGAGAAAACCCAGGCTAGCCAGACCTTCTGCCGTCTGGGTCAGCTCCGTGTAGCGCTGGCCTGTCTGTCTGGTGTCTCCTGGAGAGCATGACTTGGTGGTGTGCCATCTCAAATGTCTCCCGCCAGCTGCAGACTTGGTTATTGCCTTTTGTGAGCGGTGTTCACCCAGCGTTAATGGAATGGGCATTCTCTGAAGGGCTGCAAGTAACACTTAGAACCAAGCCCAGGACTGGCCGGGCAGCAATGTCTGCAGCCTGGAGCTGCCCATGTATGTTAAGAGTGTCATTCCCTAAAAGGCCACCAGAGGGTGCTGCTCAGAGCCACATCGCGACAAACCCTCTATGGCTCCTTATGGCTCTCAGGATGAGGGCTGGGGCTCACAAGCCGGTGTACAAAGTTGTGAATGATCTGGCCGCTGACCTCTCCAGCTCCATCTTATTCTCCTCCGTGCTATGTGTTCCAGCCACGCTGGCTTCCTCACAGTTGCTGGAAAAGATTATTTCCTGCAGCCGCAGGTCTTTTGCACATGTTATGCCCACTTCTTTTTTTTTTTTTTTTTTTGAGACGGAGTTTCGCTCTTGTTGCCAGGCTGGAGCGCAGTGGTGCGATCTCGGCTCACTGCAACCTCCATCTCCCAGGTTCAAGTGATTCTCCTGCCTCAGCCTCCCAAGCAGCTGGGATTACAGGCGCCCGCCAGCACGCCCAGCTAATCTTTGTATTTCTAATAGAGATGGGGTTTCACCATGTTTTCCAGGCCAGTCTCGAGCTCCTGACCTCAGGTGATCCACCAGCCTTGTCCTCCCAAAGTGCTGGGATTACAGGCATGAGCCACCGTGCCCAGCTAATTTTTGTATTTCTAATAGAGATGGGGTTTCACCATGTTGTCCAGGCTGGCCTTGAACTCGTGACCTCAGGTGATCTGCCTGCCTCATCCTCCCAAAGTGCTGGGATTACAGGTGTGAGCCATTGTTCCCGGCCCCGCCCACTTCTTAGAAGGCTGTTCCACTCATCTTCACCCAGAGAAGTCCTAGTCACCCTTTAGGCCTTACCTGAAACACTGGTCCCAGAGTGAGGGGCCTTTCTAAACCCCTCCTTGAAGTCACTGGACCCTGCTCGACATGCTGGAGCCCAGCATTCTCCCTGCAGCAGGCGCCACCCATGCAGTGAAGTCATGAGTTCTGTCCTGGCTTGTCCACTGTCTGTCTTCACTGCTGGTTCCCTATGCCCTGTGCAGTGCCTGGCACCTAGGAGCTGCTCAGGAAGCTGTATTGCACTGGATGCTCACTGAACGCCACCTGGTATAGATATTAGTGCTGGGCACCAAATATTTCTGGTTGTCTCTCTTCTAGGCACCTGGTAGGATTAGACTTTCTGCCCCTTTTGAGGGGATGTGGCACGCATTGTCATTCTCCTACCTGTAGCCGGGAAGCATGTGAGCAGAAGAGACATGCGTCCCTGCCCAGGCTGGAGCATTTACTCACCAACGTGAGCGCCTCTGGCACGGCTGCTGGCAACCGTTGAGATGTGGCTACTCCCTGAGCTGGGGCCCCCTAGTGTCCATGATGAGCAGAACCCCCCGCTGGCCTCTGACACAGAGAATGAGCAAGGAACACATCCTTATTGTCTTCAGCCACTGGGATTTGGGGTTTGTTTGTCACAGCGGCACAATGTGGCCAGTCCTGACTGATACACCACCTGCTGCCCAAAGGCAGGAAAAGTGCAATCACCCTGGGGCCGAGCTGGCTTAGGGGGCCAAGATCTAGGAGTGCTTGAAGGTGGTCAGGAAGCAAAGGCTCTGTGGCAGCTGGGGGAAGGCTGGTGTGGCTGCAGCAGCAGGCGCTGGGAATGGGCCCAGACAGGTCACAGGGTCAGACCCTACTGGGCCCAGTAGATCATAAGGGTGTGGCTCTTTAGGTTCATACCATGCCTGGTCCAGCGCCCTCAGTTGGTGGAACTCATTGTTAAATAGCAATTAATAAATTGGCAATAGATTTATATAAATTTTTTAGAGATAGGGTCTTGCTCTGTTGTCCAGGCTGGAGTGCAGTGGAAAAATAATTTACTCCTAAGAAATTAATACAATTGATTTCATTTGTTATTTAATAATTTAATCAATGACTAAAAATTAATCAATTAAATAATAACTTGAGGTCTCAGAGAAGGGTTCTTTTTCCCCTTTCTTCATACACACGAAATATATTTTTCTACTTGGCCTGAAATTCCACCATTAGAGTAAAATTCCTCTGGCTTGTGAGGAATGGGTCCAGCTGAGGCAGGGGGTGAAGGGTGATGGGCACGGCACTCCAGAGGTTGTGCAGCTCGGTGGCCCTTAGGTGACATTTGAACAGAGACCAGGACAATGGGAGAGAGGGAGTCATGTGGGGCTCAGGAATGGTGTGCAGATGGAAGGAACAGCATGTACGAAGGCCTGAGGCAGGACATCCTTCTGTTTAGAGAACTAGGAGCCGATGCCAACCTGGAGGGAGAGGGAGAGGGCTAGGATAGCTGGGAAGATAATTACATGGCTGTGCAGAAAGCTGAAGGAGGTGTTAGTTGGATGTGGGAGTCAAAAGGAGTCCAGGCCACTTTCTCTTTTTATCAAACTGGAGAAACACACCTCCTTTCCATTTTAATGTCTCTGGAATCAGGATGCTCCTCACCTGCAGTGGCAGCTCATATTTGATGAAATACGGTAATTGCAAAGCCGGTTCAAGAAGCAAAGGTTTAGCCCTTGAGTGGAGCCCTTGAAGAGTTGCTGCTGTACTCATGGTTGGTGGCACCGAGAGAACATGGACCTTGATCACTCAGAGTTAAGGAGTGATTCAGAGAGTCAGACTCCAAAAGTGAAGAAGTTTAGGACATTCTGTAATCCACCCATTTCACTCGTGTTTCCTTTGTTTACGTGTGCCCGGAGTGTTCATAAGAATCTAAATAAGTCTCGCAGAGCTCTTTTGGCAAGTATCAAATACAAACTAAGGGATACGCAGGCCCCGCGGTGGAGGATTCGCGCTTCCTTTCTCAGAGGCACAGGTTGGTGGAGAGCCTCAGGACTCGGGCTTAGACCCTAGTTCTGCGACTTAGCACCTGTGTGACCTGATACCTGCTCCTCCCCTGTAGAAACATCAGAGAGAGGCACACCCCACCACACACACGGAGACACACGCAGAGATGCACCTGAGGCACACATGCACACATAAAACCACACAGACACGCACACACACACAGACAAAACCACACAGACAAGCACACACAGACACAGACAAAACCACAAACACACACAGACAAAACCACAGACATGTGCACACACACAGACAAAACCACACAGACACGCACAGACACAGACAAAACCACACACGCACACACAGACAAAAGCACACAGAGACACGTGCACACACACAGACAAAACCACACAGACACACACAGACACAGACACGCACACACACACAGACAAAACCACACAGAGACACGTGCACACACAGACAAAACCACACAGACATGCACACACACACACAGACAAAACCACACAGAGACACATGCACACACACAGACAAAACCACAGACACACACACACACAGACACAGACAAAAGCACACAGACACACACACACACACAGACAAAACCACACAGATTCACACATGCACACACAGACAAAACCACACAGAGACACACACAGACAAAACCACACAGACACAAGCACACACAGACCAAACCACACAGACACATGCACACACACGGAAAAAAACACACAGAGACACACACACAGACAAAACCACACAGGGACACACACACACAAAACTACACAGGAACACACACACACACACACATAGCCACAGCACCGCCTGGCACCTGGAGTCCTGGCCGGCACAAGGTCGGTGCTCAGTCAGTATCTGCTGAGTGACTGAGGAAGTCAGCACTGCCCCTCATGTGCCACAGTGGGAGGCACTGGGGGAGAGTCCCAACGCCTGTCTCAGGTGGGAGGCCCTAGAGGCGCAGCCCCAGGTGAGGACCTGCGTGCAGGCACCGTGGGAGTGCCCGGCCGGGCGGGCTTTGGGTGCAGAAGCAGGGCAGGCTAGGGACCGGAGGAAGCCTGGCCAGGGCCCCATTTCAGCCCCAGCCCAGCCCCAGCCTGATTCGTGGGCAGGCAAGCGGGAGGCAGTCTTCAGGCAAGGGAGCTGGGCCTCTGACCCCGCAGCCTCAGGCCGCAGAGTGACCCAGAGGGACTTTGGCCAGGTGTCTGCTGTAGCCTGAAGGCAGCCCCCGGAAGGGGTGTTTGCAGGTGCTGGCCACGGGAACGACAGCACCGAGAGATCCGTGGGGACCTCTGTGAGTTACCAGCGTTATCCACAACATACACGATGTACACGCTTTGGGGAAGGAAAAGCATCTTTTTTTTTTTTTAATTTTCTTTCTTTCTTTATTTTTTTGAGATGGGGTCTTGCTCTCTCGCCCAGGCTGGAGTGCAGTGGCATGATCATGGCTCACTGCAGCCTCGACCTCAGCAGCTCACGTAATCCTGCCACCTCAGTCCCCCGGGGAGCTGGGACCACAGGCAGTGTGCCATGGTGCCCAGCCAGGAGAAGCATCTTAACTTTATTCTGAATATGGAAAGAGAGGGAAATACCTGCTACCTCTGTTAGCATCGGGCATAGGAAGAACCCTGGGAGCCTCAGTTTCCCCCTTTGTAAATGGGTGCTGATGCCAGGGCCTGGCCTGCTGGGCCTGTGGAGCCTCAAATGGCCAGGACTGCACGAACATCCCCAGCGTCATTCTGAATCGTGCCTATCAGTGAGGCTCCGAGGCGTGCAGCTTCTTCCTGGTTGGTTTTGGGGCCGTCCGCAGAGTTAAATTGGCCACATTCCCTTCTGACCTGGGTGGGCTGGAGGGGGATGAAAGTGTGATCAAGACAAAGTGCCTCCCAGGGTTGGCCGTGCAGCCTGGCCCCCGCCTGCTTCTCTGCTTCTTTTTTTTTTTTTTTTTTTTTTTTGAGACAGGGTCTTGCCCTGTCACCCAGGCTGGAGTGCAATGGCGTGATCATGGCTCACTGCAACCTCTGCATCCCAGGTTCAAGCTATTCTCCTGCCTCAGCCTCCCAATTACCTGGGATTACAGGCGTGCGTCACCATGCCTGGCTAATTTTTGTATTTTTAGTGGAGATGGGGTTTTGCCATGTTGGTCAGGCTGGTCTTGAACTTCTGGCTTCAAGTGATCCACCTGCCTCGGCCTCTCAAAGTGCTGGGATTACAGGCATGAGCCACCACGCCCGAACCCCACCTGCTTCTTGATAATGAGAGATGAGTGTGGGGGAAAATCACTCACAGATGGCAGGGGGCCTGTGGCGGCTAAAATAGGCCAGAGCAGGGGGCCAGGCCCTCTTTTAAACGGACGAGTCTCGAATGAAAAGCCAGTGTTGGGGTGCAGGCCACAGCTGAGCAGGCAGCAGGCAGGAAGCCCGCCCTAGGCCTCTTTGGGCTGGAGGACAACTTCCTAAGTGAATGGCAGTCGGCTCTGAGAAGAAGACACAGTCCCTGGAGAGAGGCCAAGTTCCTCCTTGGCCAACAGCCTCTTACCTATAAATCCTTCAGTGTACAATTTCCGAAAACAGGGATGTTCCGGTAACATAACCACATATAATCACCAAACTCAGGAAATCACGTTGCCACAACTGCATTATCTCCATTTTTGTTCTAGTTCATAATCTAGTTTGTGCTCAAAAGTCATCGACTGTCCCAATAATGTCCTTTATAGCTGTGTTTTCTTTTCCTTTTTGAATCTAAAATCGGACCCAGGATCACCACACTGGTCGAGTTGTCAAGTCTCTTTAGCCTCCTTTAGTTCTTCGCTCACACCTTCCACCCCACTCCTTTCTGTCTTCCATCATGCTCACTTTCTTTTTTGTTTATTTTTTGTTTTTGTTTTTGTTTGTTTGTTTGTCTTTTGAGACGGAGTCTCGCTCTGTCGCTCAGGCTGGAGTGCAGTGGCGGGATCTCGGCTCACTGCAAGCTCCGCCTCTCGGGTTCACACCATTCTCCTGCCTCAGCCTCCCCAGTAGCTGGGACTACAGGCGCCCGCCACCACACCCGGCTAATTTTTTGTATTTTTAGTAGAGATGGGTTTTCACCGTGTTAGCCAGGATGGTCTCGATCTCCTGACCTCGTGATCCGCTCGCCGCGGCCTCCCAAAGTGCTGGGATTACAGGCGTGAGCCACTGTGCCCGGCCCGTGCTCACATTTTCATAGCATATGAACAAGCTATTTTGTAGAATGTCCTTCAATTTGAGCTTGTCTCTCACTGAGGCTTAGGCTACACATTTTAGGAATAGCACAGAAATGGGGTTACGTCCTCCTCAGGGCATCGTATCCAGGAGGCCCATGATGTGGGTTTGTGCCAATTTTGATGATGTCAGTTTTGATCAATTAAGTGTGTGTCCATTGAAAAGTCACTATTTCCCCCTTTGTAAATAATAAATAATTTGTGGGGAAACATTTTGAGACTATAAATATCCTGTCACTCAAAAAATTGTTGGCCAGGCATGGTGGCTCATGCCTGTAATCTCGGCACTTTGGGAGGCTGAGGCAGGCAGATTGCTTGAGGCCAGGAATTCGAGACCAGCCTGGGCAACATGGTGAGACCCCCCTCCTTTACTTTTACCAAAAAAAAAAAAAATTAGCTGCTGTGGTGGCATGCACCTGTAGTTCCAGCTACTTGGGAGGCTGAGGTGGGAGGACCACTTGAGCCCAGGAAATCAAGGCTGCAGTGAGGTGTGATGGTGCCACCACACTGCAGCCTGGGTGACAGAATGAGACCCTGTTTCAAAAAAAAAAAAGATTACTAGTTGTTAGCATGCACGAATGGCCTGATGCCATCATCCCTAACTGTATTAGTCCGTTGTCACACTGCTATAAAGAACTACCTGAGACTGAGTCATTTATGAAGAAAAGAGGTTTAGTTGACTCACGGTTCTGCAGGCTTAATAGGAAGCATGGCTGGGAGGCCTCAGGAAGCTTACAATCATGGCAGAAGGTAAAGCAGAAGCAAGCACCTTCTTTACATGGCTGCAAGAGAGAAAGAGAGAGTGAGGGGGAAGTGCCACACACTTTTAAACCATCAGATCTCGTGAGAACTCAGTATCACAAGAACAGCAAGGGGGATTATCTGCCCCCACCATCCAATCACCTCCCAACAGGTGCCTCCCCCAACGTTGGGAGTTACAGTTCGACATGAGATTTGGGTGGGGACACAGAGCCAAACCATATCACTGCTGAATTTGTTAGCTGGCAGATATATTAGTTATTAAAGAGGAGCTTTCTTTAAAAGAGAACTGTCCCTTCTTTCTCATTTGTTTATTCTTTCATTTGTTTGTGTCAGCATGGACTCAAGGATCTTATTTTATTTAGTGGGTTATAATTCCTTCCCATATTTATTTGGAAGTTCAAATTGTTCCAGATTGGGGCAGGCTGGCTTCTTTTTGACGTGTCCCCATTATTCTTTGAAAACGTTCTGGGGCAATAAGATGTTCTCAGCTCCTCTTTGTTCCTGCTAGCCCTGGAGTCAGCCTTTTCTTCAAGGCGCCCCAGTCCCCTAGAGTGGACAAGCATTGCATTTTATAAACTTGAACCAGCAGATCTTGGCATGGGAAGGGCCTCCATTCCTCCACAGTGCCCCCTGCTCCCTGTTCTCCACCCAGCCTGTGTGGTTCCTTTCAGGACCTCTCTAGCCCCTGCAGACATTTGCTGTGCAAACCTTGGCCTGGTCCAGCCCATTCAGAGTCCTGAGAACACAGTGGAGTTTCTCAACAGCAGGTGCTGCAGCGTTGGACGTGGCAAAGTTCTCTTCTGTTTGGTTTATTGTGACAACCATGTCCCCACTACATTTCCAGCACCCACCCCCACACTGGTCAAGAACCACTGTGGTTGAGTGTGATGAATGATCCAAGACGGAATTCTGTGAGGTGCTGTGAAACTGAGAGGGCAGGATCTGAAGTCAGGACTACAGTCTTCCCCTACAGGGAAGACTCAGGAAGGACTTCCTAGGGGAGGTGATTTATTTGAAGAATAAATAAGAATTGGTGAAAGGTAGAAAGAAGCATTCCAGGCAAGATTGACATACAAAATGTGATTAGGGGAACCTGAAAATTCCTTCCAGGAGCCTAAAGTTGGGGTGTGTGTGTCTGAAGAAGATAAGAGACAAGCCCAGAGGGATAAGTTGGGGCCATGTGAGTCAGAACGAGAAATCTGGATTTTGTTCCAGAAACCATAAGAGCCATGAAGGATTTTTGGTAGAATGGGGAGAGATCTTTGATGGGACGGTTCCAGCTGCTGTGGGAAGAATGGGTGGGGGTGGGTGTCTTAGTTATCAATGGCTGTGGAACATGTCACCCTAAAACTGAGTCATAAACATTTGCTGTCTGTCTTGGTCTCTGTGGACCAGGTATTTGGGAATAGCTCAGTGGGGGCTGTTGTGACTTGGGTTTCCTGGGGTCAGGATGCTGGCCTGAGGACTTCATCACAACCAGAGGACCTACTTCCAGGGTGGCCACTCCCACGACTGCCGTGTCTGCGTTGGCCTTGGCAGGAGGCCTCAGTTGCCTTCTCCGTGGGCCTTCCCATGGGCTGTCTGAGCATCCTCACGACATGGCTGTGGCTTCCCCAGAGTGAGGGAGCAAAGAGGGGAGCCAGCCACAGGCTGGCCCTTGTAAGACTAGCCTTACAGGCGACATAGCATCCCTCCCACCATGTTCTATTTGTTAGAAGCCACCACTGTGTGTGATCCATACTTAAGGGGATGGGAATTAGGCTCCACCTTTTAAAGGGAGGAGGTCAAAGAACGTGAGAACATATTTTAAAACTGCCACAGTGGGCTGAGTGTAATGACTCACTCCTGTAACCCCAGCACTTTGGGAGGCAGAGGTGGGAGGATGACTTGAGGGCCAAAAGTTCAAGATCAGCCTGGGCAACATAGCAAGACCCTTGTCTCTACAAAAACAAGAGGTCGAGGCTGCAGTGAGCTATGATCACACCACTGCACTCCAGCCTGGGCGACAGAGCAAGACCCTGTCTCTAAAAAACAAAATACAAAAGATAAACTGCTACAGTGCATTCCTCAAAAAGTTAAACATAGTTACTCTATGACCCTACAATGCTGCTCCCAGGTATAGGCCCAGAAGAATTGAAAGCAGGTATCAAACACTTACCTGTTCATAGCACTATTCACCACAGCGAGAAGGTGAACAGAACTCAAGAGTCCGCCAACAGATGAATGGATAAACAACTGTGGTCTGTGTGACGGAATATTATTCAGCCATAAAAAGGGATGAAACAGGCGGGTGTGGTGGCTCAAGCCTGCAATCCCAGCACTTTGGGAGGCTGAGGTGGGCAGATCACTTGAGGTCAGGAGTTCAAAACCAGCCTGGCTGACATGGCGAAACCCCATCTACTAAAAATACAAAAATTAGCCAGGTGTGGTGGCGGGCACCTGTAATCCCAGCTACTCAGGAGGCTAAGGCAGGAGAATCGCTTGAACCTGGGAGGCAGAGGTTGCAGTGAGCCAAGATCGCACCATTGTACTCCAGCCTGGGCATCAGAGTGAGACTCCATCTCAAAATAAATTAAAAAAAAAAAAAAAAAAAAAGGGATGAAACACCGATCCAGGTTATACAATGTGGATGAACCCTGATGCCATGGTGCTAAGTGAAAGAAGCCAGACGAAATGACCACATACTGTGTGACTCCATTGATAAGGAATGTCTAGGACAGGCCAGTCCATAGAGACAGAAAGCTGACTGGAGGCTGCCAGGAGCTGGGGGAGACAGAAATTAGGAGAAACTGCTTAATGGGTTTGGGGTTTCACTGTGGGATGAGGGAAGTGTTTTGGAGCTAGATAGGGGTGCTGGTTGTACAAAACTGTAAATGTACTGAATGCTGCTGGGGGCAGTAGCTCATGCCTGTAATCCTGGTGCTTTGGGAGGCCAAGGCGGGCAGATGTCTTGAACCCAAGAGTTCAAGACCAGCCAGGGACGCATGGCAAAACCCTGTCTCTACAAAATGTCAGCCAAGCGTGGTGGCATGTGTCTATAATCCCAGCTACTTAGGAGGCCGAGGTGGGAGGATTGCTTGAGCCTAAGAGGTTGAGGCTGCAAAAAAAAAAAAAAAAAAAGTACCAAATGCCAATTAATTGATCACTTTAAAATGGTTATTTTTATGTTATATGATTTCACCTAAATAAATTAGTTTTAAAACCCTAAAAACAAAACACCACAGTGGACAAGGCAGAACCAGGAGGACCAGTTGGCAAATCAGACAAAAAGGAGGGCAGAGGGGTGGGGTGGGGAGGAACCTGGGGTGTGCAGACAGTTAGGGTGACAGGCGCCATCCGAATGGTGGGGTCAGCAGGAGAGGAGAGGAGAGAGATGCCCAGCGTCTGGAGGAAGGGTGGATGAATCTAAAGCACAATGGGCTCCAGAAGCTTCTGGAAGGAGAGAGGACCTGTTTATGTGTTGGGTCTGCGGTGCCAGAGGGCCTCTCGGGCGGGGAGCTCATGTGAGTGTCTCCCACTGAATGAGTCAGGCGGAGAGTATGTTGGAAAAATACGCTGACATGTCCTGCGGTGTCAAACCATCCCTGGCCCAGCCACTGTGTCACTCAGCCCAAGGGCAGATGGGGAAATGTGCCTGTTGAGGTGCGAGTGGGGTGGGGAGAAGGTCACCCTAGTCCATCTGGGTTGCGGGGCGGGTGTGCTCACCTCAAAAGAAAAGTCTGGTCCAGGAATCCCAGTTGTCTGGATAGCGGTGTGTCTCCCATTTTACTAGGGGGAGGATGCAGATCCAGAGAGGTCCGGGTCCTGGGGAGTGAGGGGCGAGTCAGGTCTGCCTGGCCTCTACACTCATGCCCTTGTCTTTATTTCATGCTCAGCCCCTCATCACATAGGTACCGTTCGGAAGCACGTTCTAGAAAGTCCCCTCCTAAAAGTGGACACGGTTTGGGAGCAGGAGGAGGAAGCCTCGGCGGTGAGGAACGCTCACGGCAGGAAGGCGTGAAGGAGCCGCGCTCAGCAACTGCTGCAGCTCCGGTTTGGAACCAGGGCTGTCGGGGAGTTGAGCGTCTCTGGGTCTCGCTTCAGGTGTTCATCAAGGCACAGGCAAAAGCCACTTACTGGGGAAGGGGGTTGGGAAGAGCAGGCCCCGAAGTCACACTTGAGTTGGGATAATTTAGGGAGCGCTCAGGAAAAGGACTGTGCTCAAAGGTGCAGGGATGCGTGGGCTCCGGGACACCGCAGGCGGCGCACGGGCAGCACCAGGGCCGGCAACGGCAGGAGCGCCCAGCACTGAGGCCCGAGGGTAAGGTTGGGGACACGGGACGCAGCTGGCCCATGCGGCCCTGCAGAGAGGGAATTGGGGGAGTGGATGCGACTCAGCTCCTCCAGCCCTCTCCAGTCTCTTGCAGACACCTCCCACCTGCCAAACGCCTCCAGAGGCCGGGGGCAGCTGGTCCTACAGGGGGTTTCCCAAGGCCGGCATCCCTGGGTGGGGAAGCGTGGACGTGGGCCCCAGGCTGTGTGTGTGGACTTCAGGTGACACTGGATGGCATTCCGCAGCCCTGAGCCCCCCTCACGCACATGATCACACACGGGGGGTCCTGGCCGCCTCTCAGGAGGGGCCTCTCATCCTGCTGTTTGTAAACTTCAGAAAGCCAAACAGTCCCTTAGAGAAGCCAGGCCTGGATTTGCTCCGGACATCTGGAACAAGTTACCCTATTTCCCAATCTCTGCTGATCGTTCCCCGCTGCGGGAATGCTGCCCTCGGCCGACAGGGACGAGGACCTGTGGAGAGTGGCAGCCCCCACAGGCCGAGGCTGGCAAGGCGGGCACGGGGGCCGGGGCTCTGGTGGAAATGTCACATTTGAGGCAGCTCTCACAAGGGCCCTGTCTGATGCGAGGCCAGGCCTAGAGAGGATGGTGGAGACTGTGCGTGTGCAGGGTGTTCCGGAACCTTCCCTGGGATGCATGGGGCCTCGCCGCAGGCCATCTCTCCAGACCTGGACTCACCCTGCCCCTGTGCTGTTGCCTTTGTCTGGAATTCCACCCCAGCCTTCTTGCCTCAAGAACGCCCTTCCCCCTTCAGATCTCATGGGCACAGTCCCCGTCTTCCTAAACGGGGTCAGAGCCCCCAGTAATCATGACAAAGACCCTCTCCTCGATCAAGCTTTGGTCAGGCTCCTCCAAACCCTCTTCTCCAGGAGGCCTTGGCCTGGGGGCTTCTGCACTTGTCTTGGCTTTTTCCAGTTTTAGCAAGAACCCAGAGTCAATTAGGAAAACTCCCCGACCCCCGACGCGTGAGCAGTTCCTCGCCTGGCACTGCCCCTCGGGGGTGTCTGTTCACCTGGCCTGCCTTCGGCGAGAGTCCTGTTCCATCGGTTTAGCCAGAACTTCCCCCCACACCTAATGCTTCCTCTTAGTCATTTTCTTTTTTTGAGACGGAGTCTCGCGCTATCACCTTGGCTGGAGCACAGTGGCGCGATCTCAGCTCACTGCAACCTCCGCCTCCCAGGTTCAAGCGATTCTCCTGCCTCAACCTCCCAAGTAGCTGGGATTACAGGTGTGTCCCACCAAGCCTGCCTAATTTTTGTATTTTTAGTAGAAACAGGGTTTCACCATGTTGGCCAGGCTGGTCTTGAACTCCTGACCTCCAGTGATCCACCTGCCTCGGCCTCCCAAAGTGCTGGCATTACAGGCATGAACCACTGCGCCTGACCTCCTCTTAGCCATTTTCCATCCACTGAACCTCTGCTCCAGGTGACATCCCCACTCATCACCGCTGTATTCAGACCAGAGCCCAGGTCTACACCGAGGTCTCTTCTCTCATTTCAACAGTTCCTCAATAAAATCTGCTTTTACTGCTCACCTATTTTCTGGCTCTGGTTTCTTCGATAGTCGCATGGTCTGTCTCTCCTGCTGTCAGCGCCGGGTGGGCAGGGCTGTGTGTGTTCAGTTCCTGCTTGTCCATACCTTGTATATGGTGGAAGCTCCATAGAGAATTTTTTGAATAGGCCAGGTGCGGTGGCTAACACTTCTAATCCCAGCACTTTGGGAGGCCGAGGAGGGTGAATCACTTGAGGTCAGGAGTTTGAGACCAGCCTGGCCAACATGGTGAAACCCCATGTCTACTAAAAATACAAAAATTAGCTGGGCATGGTGGCAGGAGCTTGTAATCCCAGCTACTCAGGAGGCTGAGGCAGGAGAATCGCTTGAACCCGGGAAGTGGAGGTTGCAGTGAGCCGAGATTGCGCTACTGCACTCCAGCCTGGGCCACAGAGGAAGACCCTGTATCCAAAAAAAAAATTTTTTTTTGAATAGATGGATGGATAACTGGAAACCCTGATACAGGGTTTTTCTTTACTCAGTTTCTCCTGATGTAAACGGGTTTGGAACATGTGGCTGACACAATCCCTACCTCTTCCTCCGTGTATTTTTCATGTTTTGGGTACAGGGAAGTAGAAACAAGTAAAAGTCATTTGTTGAAGTTGCAGCAACGTTGAAAGCTGCAGTTGACCACTTTTCATAGGTCTTCAGCCGCTCTTAAACCTTCAGAGGTTTGTTCTCTGGGCCAGGCATTGCTGCCCACTGGGCTGGGCTGGTCTGAGCTGGGGTCGGGGGTGGCCAGAGTACTCCATCATCCCAAGAACCCTTTCCTCAGCGAACTCACCCACACAGAGGCCTCAGCTCCTAGCTGGACTCAAGGAATTGTACACGATTACAATTCCTTCCTGGGTACACGATTACAATTCCTTCCTGGGTACACGATTCTGTCTGCCCAGGTTTTTTTTTTCTTTTTTGAGACAGAGTCTCACTCTTGTCACCCAGGCTGTGGGTGGCTCACAGCAACCTCTGCCTCCCAGGTTTAAGCGATTCTTCTGCCTCAGCCTTCCCAGTAGCTGGGATTACAGGCTCCTGCCACTATGCCTGGCTAATTTTTGTATTTTTAGTAGAGATAGGGTTTCACCCTGTTGACTAGGCTGGTCTTGAACTCCTGACCTCAGGTGACCCTCCTGCTTCAGCCTCCCAAAGTGCTGGGATTACAGGCGTAAGCCACCGTGCCCGGCCTGCCCAGGTTTTCTTTAAGACAGCAGGGGGTCGGCCAGGCGCCGTGGCTCATGCCTGTAATCCCAGCACTTTGGGAGGCAGAGACAGGCAGATCACCAGGTCAAGAGATCGAGACCATCCTGGCCAACATGGTGAAACCCCGTCTCTACTAAAAATACAAAAATTAGCTGGGCATGGTGGTGTGTGCCTGTAGTCCCAGCTACTCAGGAGGCTGAGGCAGGAGAATCGCTTGAACCCGGGAGGTGGAGGTTGCAGGGAGGCAAGATCGCACCACTGCACTCCAACTTGGCGACAGAGTGAGACTCTGTCTCAAAAAAAAAAAAAAAAAAAAGGGTAGGGGGTATAAAACGGGGTGTACATCGAAATTCAGATTTCTGAGCCTCCTAGATTCAGGAGGACAGGGATGGGGATCCTAACAGGGAGGGCTTTCGGGGGCCCAGGCTGACAGAATGGCCTGTGGCCTCTCTATGGGAGGGGGCCCCCACATCTGGAATCCTGATGCGGAGAACGCTGATGAACTGCGAGACATTTGGACAATACTCACCGGGGTCTTGATGGCTTTGCCTGAATAAAGAGAACCGTGAGCCGGGTGGCCCTTCTGAAAACGACGGTTAGCAGAATGGTTTGGCTCATTAACAGCCTCTCAGAAAGCCTGGTCTGGAAAATCTGTGCAAGAAAAAATAAAATGGAAACAAACATGTAAAAAGAGGGGAAAGATGTTTTCATAAAAGCTGGAACATTTTGGGGTTAAACTCAGCTGCTCACACAGATTCATTTCAGCTCCTCAGCGTTATTCTATATGATTTATTTCCTGTTACAGCATTTGACAATTGTTGTGTAAACTGTTTTCATTTATTCTGGAAAAACATCGTTTCCTGCTTTGGGGAAGTCTTACCAGGACCCAATTAAATCAAAACAACAACAACTGGTTTTGATTTGGAAAAACAAAACCCACAAGAAGACAGAAGGGTCAAAAAATGCTGATTCCAAAAGGAACCTCAGCTATTCCAGAATGAGTTACCCAGGGCACCTCTGGCCCCCTGGAAGGTGGAGGTCTGAATCTTGCTGTGTGCTCTTGGGCAAGTAACTTAACCTCTCTGAGCCCTGTTTCTTCAATTGTAAAATGGGGACAGTAGTCAGTTCCCCTCCTATGGATGTTACGAGCATTAACTGAGACTGGACATGGCATTTGTAAACACTGAGCAATGGAAGCATGTTCACACTTGTAAGTGGGAACTCAGTGGTGACAACACATGGACGCTATGGGGGAGCAGCAGCCGCTGGGACCTGCTCAAGGGAGGAGGGCGGGAGGAGGTGGGGAGGAAGTTGGGACGAGGGTGGGAGGAAGGAGTGGAGCAGGACAATTCATATTGGGCATTATGCTTATTACCTGGGTGACAAAATTATCTTTTTTTTTTTTTCTGAGATGGAGTCTCACCCTGTTGCCCAGACTGGAGTGTAGTGGCGCCATCTTGGCTTGCTGCAATCTCTGCCTCCCAGGTTCAAGCAATTCTCCTGCCTCAGCTCCCAAGTATCTGGGACTACAGGCACCTGCCACCCCACCCAGCTAAGTTTTGTACTTTTAGTGGAGAGGGGGCTTCACCATGTTGGCCAGGCTGGTCTCAAACTCCTGACCTCAAGTGATCTGCCCACCTCGGCCTCCCAAAGTGCTGGGATTATAGGTGTGAGCCACCACGCCTGGCCCAGGTGACAAAATTATCTGTACGCCAAACCCCCATGGCACAGTTTGCCTATATAACAAACCAGTACATTTTGCCTATGTAACAAACCAGCACATGCACCCTTGAACCTAGAAGTTAAATTAAAGAAAAATGGTAACAATTATTTTTCTTCTTCTTTCTTTCTTTTTTTTTTTTTTTGAGATGGAGTCTCGCTCTTGTCACCCAGGCAGGAGTGCAGTGGCGCAATCTTGGCTCACTGCAACCTCCGCCTCCCAGGTTCAAGTGATTCTCGTTACTCAGCCTCCCAAGTAGCCGGGATTATAGGCACCCGTGACCATGCCCAGCTGACTGTTGTATTTCTAGTAGAGATGGGGTTTCACTATGTCGTCCAGGCTGGTCTTAAACGTCTTTTTTTTTTTTTTTTTTTTTTTTTTGAGACGGAGTCTCACTCTGTCGCCCAGGCCGGACTGCGGACTGCAGTGGCGCAATCTTGGCTCACTGCAAGCTCCGCTTCCCGGGTTCACGCCATTCTCCTGCCTCAGCCTCCCGAGTAGCTGGGACTACAGGCGCCCGCCACCGCGCCCGGCTAATTTTTCGTATTTTTAGTAGAGACGGGGTTTCACCTTGTTAGCCAGGATGGTCTCGATCTCCTGACCTCATGATCCACCCACCTCGGCCTCCCAAAGTGCTGGGAATACAGGCGTGAGCCACTGTGCCCAGCCTGCTATTCTTTTTCTTAAATAAAATTTTTTAATTTTTAATTTTTGTGGGTACATAGTAGGTATATATATTTATGGGGCCCATGAGATTGTTTGAAACCGGCATACAATGGGTAATAATCACATCAGCATTTAGCCTTTCTTGATGTCACAACCAATCCAATTCTACTTCTTCTTCTTCTTCTTTTTTTTTTTTTTTTTTTTTTGAGACAGAGTCTTGCTCTTCACCAGGCTGGAGTGCAGTGGTGTCATCTTGGCTCACCGCAACCTGCGCCTCCCTGGTTCAAGCGATTCTCCTGCCTCAGCCTCCCGAGTAGCTGGGATTAGAGGCGCCCACCACCACGCCCAGCTAATTTTTGTATTTTTAGTAGAGATGTGGTTTCACCGTGTTGGCCAGGATGGTCTCGATCTCCTGACCTCATGATCCACCCGCCTCGGCCTCCCAAAGTGCTGGGATTATAGGCGTGCGCCACCGCGCCCGGCCAGGAGTTTCTACTTCTTCTATAATGTGAACACGGCCAAGAACAAGGGCGTTTTCTTTACTGTGCTTCATAAATCCATTCACATTGCAAAGGTTCCAGCAGGAACTGAAAACACCTAGATTTGAATTTTGGACATAAAACAGACTTATTATAGATGAAATAACTGAGATTCAAAAAAGGATGTGGGATTCACTTGTTAAGGGCTCATCCCATTAAAGGCAAAGTTGTCTTTGGTTCTAAAATAATCTTTTCATCTGAAAGAAAATGGGACTCTCCTTTAGAAAATAGTGGTTTGCAGCCAGGAGTCAAATCACTTTGGGAGGCCAAGGCGGACGGATGGTTTGAGGCCAGGAATTCAAGACCAGACTGAGCAGCAAGCTGAAACCCCGTCTCTACAAAATATATTTTTAAATTAATTAATTAATTAATTTGTTTATTTTTTGAGATGGAGTTTCGCTCTTATTGCCCAGGCTGGAGTGCAGTGGCGCAATCTTGGCTCACTGCAACTTCTGCCTCCCGGGTTCAAGCGATTCTCCTGCCTCAGCCTCCCGAGTAGCTGGGATTACAGGCATGCGCCACCACCACGCCAGGCTAATTTTATATTTTTAGTAGAGATGGGGTTTCTCCATGTTGGTCAGGCTGGTCTCGAACTCCTGACCTCAGGTGATCCGCCCGCCTCAGCCTCCCAAAGTGCTGGGATTACAGGTGCGAGCCACCCCGTGGCCCACAATGTATATTTTAAAACCGCCAGACGTGGTGGTGCGTGCCTGTAGTTCCAGCTACTAGGGAGGGTGAGGTGGGAAGATCCCTTGAGCCTGGGAGGTGGAGGTTGCAGTGAGCCGAGATGGCGCCACTGTACTCCAGCCTGGGTGACTGAGCGAGACCATCTCAAAAAAAAAAAAAGGAAAGAGAAGGAAAAGTGATTTTCAAATCTCCAGTCAAGTCATTCTTTTATGGCCGTGATCAAAAAAACAAAATTGTTATTTAGCCAATTCAGTGAAGTTAGCTGGAGAAAAAAAGAACTTTCGGTGAGCTGGCATTGGTGCAGGATGAAATTCAGGTGGTGGGAAAGGGCTTCTGGAACGCTCGTTAGAGTTGGAACTGAACGAGGACAGGTTTTCCTGCAGCTCCCAGCAGCAAGGACCAGGGTCTGGGCTGGCTGGAGGGAGGCTTGAGTTTTGCCGTGAATGCGGGGAGGTAGCTGCAGCTGTGAGTCGTGACTCACAGACACCTCGAGGACCCGTCTGCTTGGTGTGTGGGGAGTTGTGCTCCAGTGTCCACTGTTTCTGGGGGTTGTGATCACACGGCACCCCCCAGGCTTGGCACAGAACAGCAGGGGCCACCTGGCTGGCTGGGGAAGGCCACCCTCGCCCATGTGTGACTGGCTGGACCAAAGCCCCTGCCAGGTCACAGCACAGAAGAGGGCCGCAGGCTGCCCTGCTAAGTTCATCATCTCATCTGGCCTCCCCCTGGCAATGGAGAGAGGGAGGCCAGGGGCTGAAGGCCAAGAAAGCAAGTTGAGCTCAGCATCGGCAGAGCCGGGCAAAGGAAACAGAACAAGTGCAGGCCAGGCTGACAGGCCAAGGTCAGCCCCTAGGCTCCAGACCAAGCAGCTGACGACAGGCCGGAAGCCACGCCAGGCAGGCAGGCCAGAGTCAGCACTGGGATACCGGCTGGGCGGCGGATAGCCTGGCAGCGGGCAGGAGCCACCCCCTAGCCCAGGGGTTCCCAGCAGTGCGCCTGAGGACACAGACAGCTCCCCACAGCTGTGATCTGGCCACCTCCCGCTGAGGACGGGCTGCGGAAGGGGTCGGAGGGCGAGGTGGCCGTGGCAGAGCACTCGGGGGTGACCTCAGTGCTTGGCATGCACCGTATTCCTGCTTCTCAGCTGTGACGTGCTCTGATTCAAGGCCAGGACTTTGCACAGGGCTAGAGGGCCCTCATGACAAGGACAGCCCAAAATTTCAAGAACCTTCCTGACAAGTCAGGGGCAGCTCAAAGCGGTGGCCTAGACCCTCCAAATAGTCATGAGCCCTTCTTCCTTGTGTTTGAGATTGGGTCCCCCAGAAGCAGAGCCTGAAGCAAGGAATTGAGTACGAATAGTTTAAGGAGAGGGAGGTGCTCCCAGGGAGCACAGGTGAGGGAATGGGGAAGTAAGGCAGGGTGGGGAAGGCAATAAAGAGTGGGGTGCCTGCTGGGGGCTCCAGGGGTGACTAGAACGTGCCTCAGAGTCATCCACGTATGGGGCAGGGAGCTGGTGTTTCTACACCCATTCTTTCTTTTTTTTTTGAGATGGGGTCTCACTCTGTCACCCAGGCTGGAGTGCAGTGGTGCGATCTCAGCTCACCGCAATCTCTGCTTCCTGGGCTCAAGCAATTCTCCAGTCTCAGCCTCCCAAGTAGTTGGGACTACAGGTGCGAGCCACCGACACCTAGCTAATTTTTGTATTTTCTGTAGAGACAGCATTTCACCATGTTGGTCAGGCTGGTCTCAAACTCCTGAGCTCAAAGCAATCCGCCCCTCTTGGCCTCCTAAAGTGCTGGGATTACCGGCATGAGCCATTGGGCCCGGCCATCCACACCTGTTCTTGACCTTCCTTGCTGGAGGGCTGCTCTGGGGACATCAGCTCCTCGTAGGGTGACCAGCTGTCCCAGATTGCCTGGCACTGAGGGGTTGTCTGGGACGTGGGACTTTCAATGCTGAAACCAGGAATGCCCTGGGCAGACGGGAATGAGTTAGGCACCCTCCTCTCCAGCCCTTTTGGCCAGCCCCTTACGAACCCTGAGTTTGCTCCTGCAGTCAGAGAAAGCCCTCAGGGACTGCAGGAAAGAAGCCGCTGGCATGAGCCACACTGTGCATTCAGAGGGGCACAGCTGGGGCCTCCAGCAGCATCTGCTAGGCCAGACCAGCTGCTCCCATGAACCCGTGCCTGCCCACTCTCCTGGTGTCCTTCCTGCTGCCTCCCCTTACTCCAGCCAGGATGTTCTGGCCAGCCTTGAGGTTTGGCAAACACCAGGATGCTCTGACCTCAGGGCCCCTGCACTGGCTCTTCCCTCTGCCTGGACATCTCTTCCCTGGACTCATACCCTCACCTCTTTCTCTGCTGCTCAGTGTAATTGTACCCGTGGGGCCTTCCACTTTCTTCCTCTTCCAGGAAGCTCCCCTTCCCCTTTTTTCCCTGGAGCAGGTGTGTCCACTGACGCACCATCTGTCTTATGTGTTAATTGTCTATCTCCGGCACTAAGACACAGCCTGCAGGAGGAAAGTTGACTGGTTGTCACCAGTGGGGTATTCCCGACACAGAGATCAGGGCCTGGCAAGTAGTAAACATTCA
Source organism: Homo sapiens (assembly GCF_000001405.40). Classification (NCBI taxonomy): domain Eukaryota; kingdom Metazoa; phylum Chordata; class Mammalia; order Primates; family Hominidae; genus Homo; species Homo sapiens. Next base: position 84,932,383 of record NC_000016.10, on the reverse strand, counting down.
ACCACTAAATAAATGCATTGAAATCACCTAAAACCAACACTAGCTAAACAGAAATAACGGTGTCAAATGCACCTGGAGATGAGACTCCACGGAGTTAGCTTCCTCCAAAGGAAGCTAGGGGATTGTCAGTTATGGATGTAAGGCAGCGAACCTGGGTTCCCGCAGCTCCCTGCAGCCACTGCCTCTGCTGCCTCAGGCCCTGCCAGCCTCCAGCATTCCCCAAAGTGAACGTTAGTCAGGATGAGGACTTGCTGACTTCTCTACTTGAGCAAATTAATCTTATGCAGAGCCCTGTCGAATAAAACAGAAAATGTGGTATTGCCTTCATTAGAGCACAGATGGGGAGTCTAGACCTGCCTGCAGCCCACCTCCCTCATGGGGGCCTGAATAGCCCTAGGGATTTGGGGTGCAGCTGGAAGTCCAGTAACTTGGGGTGAAAGGAGTGGGAGGGGATAGGGACGATGCGAAACTCTGCAGGGCTGAGCCCGGAGCTTCTCCAGCGGCAGCGTGCAGGCCCACTGGTTGAGGGCTCATTACAATTCGAAGGTCAATGCACAAGGTTTGAGCTGGAACCAGAGCATCAGCATTTCTAACCAGCTCCCAGGGGTCCCAAAGCTGATGCTGCAGGTCCGTGGCCAGGGCTGTGGGCAAGTCTCCCTCTCTGCCTGAGTCACAAGGAATTTGATCATCTTGCCTGCACTTTCCACAAGCTCAGCAGTGGTGAGGAGCAGGAGAGAGGAGGCAGAGGCCCGGGGAGTTCACCGGAGGCACATCTCAGACACAGAGGCCCAAGGGTCTGAGCTAGTCACTGTGTAAGCTGTGGTGAAAAAGAGGCCCTGTAGTACACGATCCTAAACAAGATAGATGCTTGTTTCTCTCCGATAGCACAGAGGGAGGTGGCCCGGGGCTGGGAGGCCAGCTCTGCTAGCTTCAACACGTGGGGTTTGCTTTGCTGTTGTTATTTTTAATTTTTAAGAATTTCTCCAGTGTCAGAATCTAAGGGCACAGCACATGGTTTTTTAACCTCTGGATCCAAAGTGGTTGCTTCAGCTCCTGCCATCATGTCTACATCCCAGATAGTGGGAAGGAAGGAAAGGCAAATGTGATTAAGTTGAGGACCTTTGGATGGGGAGGTTTTCCTGAATTAACTGGGCGAGCCCAATGTCATCACAGGGGCCCTTTCTAAGAGGGAGGTGAGGGGGTCAGAGTCAGAGGGGAGATGGGACAATAGACTCTGAGGTTGGAGTGATGCATTTTGAAGACGGAGGAAGGAGACCATGAGCCAAGGGATGCGGGTGACCTCTAGGAAGCTGGAAAAGGCAAGCAAGGGATGAATCTCCCCGACTCAACACAGCCATGCCCATGCCCACACCATGCCCTTGCCACACCCACTCACCAACGCCCACATCCACACCCATGCCCACACCCACTTATCCACACCCAGGCCCACTCACCCACACCCACTCACACCCATGCCCACTCACCCACACCCACTCACCCACACCCACACCCCTACCCACTCACACCCACACCCGCTCACCCACGCCCACTCACCCACACCCACTCACACCCACTCACCCACACCCCTACCCACTCACACCCACACCCACTCACACCCACTGAACTACACCCACTCACCCACATCCACAGCCACTCACCCACACCCACTCCCACACCCATTCACAGCCACTCACACTGTCACCCACACCTACTCACCCATACCCATTCACCCACATCCACTCACCCACACCCATACCCATTCATCCACACCCACACCCACTCACCCACACCCACTCACCCACACTCACAGCCACTCACCCACGCCCATTTATCCACACCCACACCCCCACTGACACCCACACCCACTCACCCACACTCACACCCACACACACCCACTCACCCACACCCACTCACACCCATACACTCACTCACACCCACTCACCCACTCCCACACCACTCACACCCACACCCACTCACCCACACCCACACCCACTCACCACACCCACACACCCACACCCACTCACCCACACTCACAGCCACTCAGGCTGGCACCACGCAGACGTGCCATTTCCTTCACATCCCATCTTTGATGTAGGAGGAAAGCGGAGTGCCCCTAGAAAACCCACGCAGACACGGGAGCGTGCAGACGCCGCACACACAGGGGCCCCAGCCGGGAAGCGACATTCCCCCCATTAACGCGGCGCTGAAATCACACTGAATGGCGTGGCCCTGGGGCCTTCCACGTGTTAGGCTGGTTTCAGCCTCTGCATTTGCAGCCGTTGGCTGGGGTGGCCTTAGGAATGAACACGTGTGCCGGGGAACACACGCCCCCGCTTAACCCCAAGGCTCCTTCTGGCTTGAGAGCGTGGGGGCGGCAGCCTGGGCTCTCCATGACTCCTCTGGGTCCTGATCTGCGTGTGGGGGCTGCACCCTGACTGAGACCCGGCCCTTGGTGTGTTTCCCTCCTTTTGGGGCCTTCCGCCAGGCCTTCCTACCATCAGCTGAGGACAGAAATGTGCAACCCGGGCAGATGTTGAAGAAAGTTTCAATCTCTGCTTTGCAACTGCCAAGGGACTTTGAAAGAACATCCAAGTGAGACCAACCTCCCGCCACGACAACAGCTCTTGAACACCGCTTCCCCTGCTCCTGCTCTCTGATGGGATCGTGTCAGAGTTACTCAGGCCCACTGACTACCCCCCAACCCCCTAAAAACCTCTTACATGGCCCCAGATCACTCAGATTGGAGGCTCACTTGGCCCTTCTCCCCTTCCTCCTCTCCATGCCCCTCCCCGTGCCAGGCACCACCTCCCCGTCCTGCTGGCTGCTGGGGGTCCCACCCTCGCTCATGGCCACAGCATCCGCAGCATCCGGCGGCATCGCAGCATCCACTTCTCCTGCTCCTCCCTCACCGAGGGTTCCCCCATAACCCCCTACTCTGGCAATGTAGTTTTTTCTCACTCTGCCTCTCCCTGGAGGATTTCTGGTGAATTTTACCAATAAGCAAGCTTTTTAAAAATAAGTGACGTTCTTCGAGGACTACTTATGTGTCTGGCACTGTGCCCAACATTTCCTAGACTACACAACCTCCTTTCAACATCCTGATTGCCCTTCCCTACAAGGATAATTATTAGGCAGCCTTTTCTCCATTTTGTAGATAAGGAAACGGGCTGGAGGGGTTCCCAAGGTCTCCCAAGGTCTCCCAAGGTCACGGTGCTGGGAGCTGGAGGAGCTGGGTGCAGACCCGGGTCTGGCTTGGCATCGAAGCCCCTGGGCGGCTCTATTTTCTGTTTCTGGGCTGTTGCAGGAACTGGCTGCAAAGAACCATCCCTTCTCACTGGCCTGAACAGCTTGTCCACATTTTCTTCCAGAAGAGTGGCCCTTAGCGTCCCTAGGGCCACTTCCCTCTTTTCCTGACAAGGAAGATAAACTGAGCCGGTGCTGTGGGTCTGAGGCTGGGCCAGGGAGGCTGAGCGGCTCTGGCTCTGGCCGGATCCCCGGCCCAGGACCAGGACTGAGTCAGCGAATGCACAGCCCCACCCTTGGGATGGGTCAAGCCAGGCCCAGGGAAATGGCACCGCTCCCCCTGGCTGGGCTGGGAGGCTTTGTTTAAAGGGTGTCTTTTCAAAGGACCGTTCTGAGTAATAGGCCATGCAGGGGCTGTGGACAGCAGACCATTTAACCCCTGGCCAGCGCCCCTCTTCCCCCATCTTGAAACCCCCTGAAGCTGAAGGGGAGAAGGCTGGCCTGGAGCCCAGGGCTCCGAGCCTCCGTTTCTTACCTGTAAAATGGAGCAACAGCCTGTCTGCCCTCCTCCAGGTGCTGTGAGGACCAAATGAGATCATGGAAAGAAAAGTGCTTAGGAAAATCACCCATTCCATGAAGCGTCTTCGTGAAGAGCTGCGATGGGCCAGGGTGGGGAGGGGGTGTGCAGAGGGCTCTGTCGGGAGGGCGGAGTCATGCCCAGATGAACCTGGGAGCCCCGGAGTGCCGGGCGGTTCTGGGGCACCGGAGGGAGCTGTAGCTGGAAGGGTGGAGGGCAGTGAGCTGGAGGAGGTGCTGTCCCAGAGGCCAGAGCCAGCAGGAATGCCAGTTCATCCCAGCCTCGCACTCAGGGCCTGGCACGCTTTAGCTCACAAGCTCTTGCAAACAGGGGGCTGAGGCTCTGGAGACGGCACTTGTCCAAGGGCACACGGCCGGGGCCTGGTGGAGCTGGGTTTGACGGCCTGAGCGGAGGCCCAGAGGCGCCTGGGAGTGGGAGGAGGGGCAGGACGTGCAGGTGGCCAGGGGCCAAGGCGGGGAACCCAAAGGCCACCCTCACAGCCTGAAGGTCAATGGGATGGCGAGGGCACCCTGTGGGAGGGTCTGAGTGAGGGAGGGGACAGAAGACGCAGGGTCCTTGTGCCAGGAGCCCCATCCGTTCTCTCCGTGACTCTGCCAGGGCTGGGCTGCGGACGCTTCCCTCTCATCACTGAAGGGTGTCGCTTCCCTTTTCGGGACCCTGCCTGGGCCTTGGTCTTCTGGACAAACACTTGGAGTAGGGCGAGAACATATCCTCTCGGAGATAAGGCCGGGGCAGGCTCAAGGCCAGACCTCCCTGGAGCTGGCTTCATGGATGGCTGCGGGCTCCCAGCCTGACTCTCTGGGCCTGGAGACGCTGGAGTTTTTCTGGTGATAAGTTACCCTTGAACCCCTGAGGAACTCAGGGGGGCCTAGCGCCCTTCCAGGACTATATGGAGTTTACAGACAAATCTGACGGGAAAGTCTGTGGCCTTTAAACAAATGCAATACTCAATGCACTGCTTTGCTTTGGTGTGCAATGAAGGCCCGGCCACTTGAAGGAGGGCTTGTGACAGAGCCCCTAACCTGGACGTGGAATGGAGCTCAAGCACCTGTTCTTTTTGTTCTTTTCTTTCTTCTTTCTTTCTTTGTTTTGAAACAGGGTCTTGCTGTCTTGCCCAGGCTGCAGTGCTGTGGTGTGATCCTGGCTCACTGCAGCCTCAAACTCCCGGGCTCAAGCAATCCTCCTGCCTCAGCCTCCCAAGTAGCTGGGATTACAGGCTCACGCCACCATGCCCGGCTGATTTTTAAAATTTTTTTGTAAAGATAAGAGTCTCCCTATGTTGCACAGACTGGTCTCGAACTCCTGACCTCAAGCAATCCGCCTGCCTCGGCCTCCCTCTCAAAGCACTGAGATTACAAGCGTGAGCCACTGCACGTGGCCTCAGGCACCTTTTCTAAACTCTTTTGCTTAGGGATCAGTTTGGGAAAAATTATAATGTTCATGGGGTGCACCTGTTTTCTCTCATTAACAATTAAAATAGCTCTAGAGAATCTCATGGGAGAAGCATGGATTTTTTTTTTTTTAACAGCTTTTTTTTGAGGTATAATTCACATACCACACAATTCACCTGTTAAAAGCCCACAGTACAGTGGTTTTTAGTGTATCCACAGAGGTGTGCAGCCATCACTACAATCCTCTTTAGAATATTTTATTTCCCCCCAAAAAAACCCCTGTACCTTAACCATCATCCCCAATTCCCCAACTTCCTCCAGCCCCTGCTAACCATGAATCCACTTTCAGTCTCTCTGGATTTGCCTGTTCTGGACGTTTCCTATAAATGGCGTCATGCAGTCTGTGGTTCTTTGTGTCTGGCTTCTTTCACTCAGCACCACGTCTTCAAGGTCGTGAACATTGTCACACATACCTGAACACCATTCCTTCTTCATGGCCAAATAATGTTCCATTGAGTGAATGGAGCACTTTTTGTTTCTCCATCATCAGCTGATGGACATGTGGGCTGTTTCCACTTTTTTTGGCTACTGTGAATAGTGCTGCCAAGAGCATTCTTGCACACGTTTTTGTGTGAACGTAAGTTTTCATTTCTCTTGGGCGTAAACTCACAAGTGGAATTGCTGGGTCCTTTGGAAACACTATGTTTAACCTTTAGAGGAACAGCCAGATTGAGAACACATAGATTTTTACAACTTACATGACCTGTTTATTAAGAAAATTCGCTGATATTGGTGAATGTTTACTACGGGCCAGGGTGTCTCATGAATGATCTTATTTTGTCCCCACAACAAGCTTATTTGGTCGGTTCTGTTACTGTCCCCAGTGGACAGAGCGGGAAAGCTGGGGATCGGAGAGGTTGTGAAACCCGAGTAGATTCAAATCCCAGCTCGTATGAATCAGGGATTTGAATCCAGGCCGTGGGGTCCCCTCCCTTCTGATGCTTCCTGATGAGTGGCCTCTACTGAAGTGCCCAGTCTGCAGAGCACTGAGGCTCCTTTCCAGCCACAGAAGCACTCATTTTGGAGAACTGGCAACCCCGAGGGTACGTTTAACTCTTCCTTCTGGATTCGATGGGAGCTGGGTCATGGGCGCTGTGTGTCGAGGCCGTGACCATTCCCAGCTCATTCCTCCATCAGGACATATGAACCACCTACTGCAGCCAGCACAGGCCAGGCCCGCAGAGTCCAGTGCCCTCGTTCCAGGTCAGCCTCCTCGTAGTGCAGGGCGCTGCCACCACCGCATGTTGTCCTTCCTGATGGCAACACTGGCTGTGCAAATGAAGGCAGTGTTCCTATTTGGCCTGATTCATTGGTTCTCATATTTGAGCTGCATCAGAATTTCCTGGAGGGCTTCTTCAAACCTGCATTGCAGGCCCACTCCCTGAGAGTCTGGTTCTGCTGGTCTGGCGTGAGGCCAGAGAATATGCATTTACAACAAGCTCCCAGGTGAGGCTGCTGCTTCTGGCCCAGGGACCCCTCTTTAAGGCATTAAGAAGTCCTGGGGATGGGGGCTGGGCCCCTGGGATGGGGGCGGGACCCTTTCTTGGATAACAGGTCAAGGGCTTCAGTCACTACTTGGGCTCAATGGCCTCTAAGAAATGGGGTTCCTGCTTCCCTGGAGGCCTCTCTGGACCCCTGGGGTGTGCGGATGGAGCACATATTGGACTGGAAGGAAGAGGGGCTGCCTAGATGGGTTGGGGTTACAGGCAGCCATTCTCACCCCTCCGGGGAGTGGTAGCAATTGGACCCTGGTGCTCTGCTGCCCCCTGGTGGTGGGCAATTCTGCACTGCCCCCTTTGAGGGTGATGAGACCCTTGAGCGCTGTCTGAAGCCGGGGCACCAAGCTCGACCCCACTGCCGGGGTCCTCGTACGTGCTCTCTCTTGGGAACTGATCTGCTGTCAGTCATATGCACTTTAGTGAGAATAAGTCCAAGTCCTTGATTCTTGTCTCCTGGGGGAGATTTACACTTAAATCCCACGGCTCATTGCTAAAGAACAGGAAGGCTCTGCCCAAGACTTGAAGCTTCAGGCACCAGGGAAGGAAGGGGAGGGTCCTCCCAAGAGTCTTGCTGAACAGCTGTGTACCCTGACCCCTGAACCTGGGAGGACCTGGCCACGGGCCTGCTTCCCAAAGGCTCCTCCCCCTCGAGGGGAGCGGCCGTGCTGTTTGCATGCTGCTTTAGAAGACACCATCCTCAGACCTTCAGCGCTTACCACGTGCTGAGCGTCTTTGCTGTCGCCTCCTGCACGTGCACAGTGGCCCTCCAAAGTCATCATTGCTTTACATGCCAGGCAATGGAAGCCCAGACAGGGTAAGAGGCATCAGCCAAGGCGTGGAGATGGCCATTGGCCAGTGGGCTCTGTGGATCTGGGCCTCAGAGAGGCAAGAGCTGAAGACGTGGCGTGGGGCAGGGGGCACACATGCAGATGGCGTGTAACGCAAGGGATGGGATGACTGCGGGGGAGAGGGAGCCCGGGCAGAAGGGAAGAGGTCCAAGGTCAGCCAGTTAGCAGGGGCCAGGAAAGGAGTGGGGTGGAGAGGCCGGGGATGGAAGGAGAGAAATCGCGAGGGCGTGAAGCATGCACGGGGCTTACAAGCAGACCATAACGGAAGGTTTGTGACCTTTAAGAAAAATCTAACCATTTGATTGGCTGCTCTGCTTGGCTGTAGTGCAAAGCCCGCCCACTTTGAAGAGGGGCCCAGAGGCAGCCTGAGGCTGTGTCCTCTGGGGGACTTGAATTCAAATGTCTTTCCTGTGTTTTTTGCTTGAAGTCCAATTTTCAAACTTGTTTTTCCCCCCTGTTATTTTTGCAGAGATGGGGTCTCCCTATGTTCTCCAGGGTGGTCTTGAACTCCTGGGCTCAAGTGACCCTTCTGCCTCTGCCTCCCTGAGTGCTGGGATTGCAGACGTGAGCCAGCATGCCTGGCGAGATCCAATTTTCAAGGAGAATATCTATATTCTTTAGAATAGTTTACATTAAACTAATATAAACTATTAGTTTATAACATACCATTGTACTAGTTTGAATCTTCAAAAAGATCCGTCCACATACTAACCTCAAAGAATTACGATTGGGACCTCATCTGGGGAAAGGGTCTTTGCAGGTGTTAAGAAGTTAAGGATTTTGAGGTGGGATCATTCTTTTTTTTTTTTTTCTTTTTTTTTTTTGAGACAGAGTCTCGCTCTGTCGCCCAGGCTGGAGTGCAGTGGCACAAACTTGGCTCACTGCAAGCTCCACCTCCCAGGTTCACGCCATTCTCCTGCCTCAGCCTCCGGAGTAGCTAGGACTACAGGCGCGCGTCACCAGGCCTGGCTAATTTTTTTTGGTATTTTTAGTAGAGACGGGGTTTCACCATGTTAGCCAGGATGGTCTTGATCTCCTGACCTTGTGATCCACGAGGTGGGATCATTCTTGACTAGGGTGGGCCCCACATTCAGTGACAGGTGTCCTTCTAGGAAACAAGGGGAGAAAGCCATGTGAAGGTGAGGTGGAGACTTGAGTGTCCTGGGATACGTCGGCATCTATCATCCATCATCTGTCTATAGGTAAGTAGACAGGCGGTAGATATGGACAACCATATATAGATATAAAATATTCTCCCTTGCATATAGATCATATGTCATATAATGTGTCAGTGTTTCTCAAAGTATGGCCTGAGGAACTCCTGCATCAAAGTTGCCTGGGACTTTGTAAAACTAAAGACTCCTGGGCCGGCTTTCAGACCTATGGGATTAGACTGTGGATGGGGCCCAGGAATGGGCATTCTAGACACATTTTCTGAGTGATTCTGATGCCCCTGGTGGTTCCCTGATATGCTGAGGATGGCTTGGGAGCAGGTGGGGGGAGGTTTGTCAACCAGAAGTGACCAGGAATGTGTCCAAGCAGAAAGGCAGGGACAGGGTGGACTGTTCTGGCTAAGGTGGAGGTTGCTGGCGCACCTCCCTCTGGGGCTGATGGACAGCTGGTGTGTGCTGGGGGCCCAGATGTTTGGGGTCATGGGGACCCTGCTCCGTCCTTGTTGGCACTGGTGCCCCCACCGCCCTCTGGGCCCAGCTGCTGTTGGAGAGGGGCCAGGAGTACACACAGGCTATTGTCAGCCCGTCTCACACTCGGCGTGCCTGGCCTTCCTGACGTTTAGACAGCTGCTTTGTGTCTGGCTGCTCTGGGAATTCCAGGGCCCGGGAAGCGACCGGAGCTGACATCCCAGGACCAGCTGGTGGGGTGGGCCGCGGGGCCATCTGGAAGTTTCCGGACCTCAGGGAACACTTATGTAACTGGTTTAGAGGGGAGGTTTGGACAATGGATTCGCTGAAGGACCAAGAACAAACTGAGCCTTTCCCAGGGCAGGCAGGTCCTCTCCCGCCAACAGGCATCTTATCTACTCCCCAAGGCCCCTCTCAGCCCCAGAGGGTCCCTGCTGTCAAAGCCAGAAGAGCAGACGATGGGACTGAAGCTCTCCAAGGGCAAGGACTTGTCTGTTTTGCCTTGTCACCCTCTGTGCTTAGCACAGCACTTGGCCCGTGCTGAGTGCTGAGTGAGGGTTGAATGAACATGCGCTTGTGTACATGACAGAGTTTCCTCCAGGGAGGAAGGACTGGCCCAGAGCAGCGGCTCACAAAGCGGGGTTCCTGGGTCAGCCCAATCAGCATCCCCTGGGGCTTGTTAGAATGCAGGTTCTCAGGCCCCACCCCAGAACTCCTGAGTCAGATGCTCTGGGGCTGGGCCTGGCAATCTATATTTTTAAGAGCCCATCAAGGGATTTCGATCCAGGCCGGTGCAGGAGAACCCCTGGTGTAGGGCAGCGAGAGGCAGCTTCCAATACCAGGCAACCCCCAACAAAATCCAACTGCTTCCACTCATAGCACTATTACTACTACTACCTCCACTACTACGGTTGCTGTCACGACTGCCATTGTTATCAGTACAGTTACTATTATTACTACGATACTTCTACTGGTACTATTGATTTAGTTGAGGCAGAAGAGCTGGGTCCTCCATGCATGGGCACTCAGCTTAGATTGTAGCCGAGTCCCCGAAGGTGGGGCGCAGATGCTTAGACGTTTCCAGGGACTTGTGGGCGGCTGGCGGGAGACCCACTGGTTTGGATGAAAGGGCACACGGGGCCTCTGAAGTGACACAGATGTGGATTCAAGTCCTGGTCCTGCCTCTTTATTTATTTCTTTTTGAGACAAGCTTTCGTTCTGTCACCCAGGCTGGAGTGCAGTGGTGTGATCTTGGCACCCAGGCTGGAGTGCAGTGGTGTGATCTTGGCTCACTGCAGCCTCGATTTCCTGGGCTCAAGTGATCCTCCCAACTCAGCCTCACAAGTAGCTGGGACCACAGGTGCACCCCATCATGCCTGGCTAATTTTTGTATTCTTTGGAGAGATGGGGTTTTGCCTTGTTGCCCAGGCTGGTCTCCAATTCCTGGACTCAAGTAATGCTCTGGCCTTGGCCTTCCAAAGTTTTGGGATTACAAGAGTGAGCCACTGCGCCTGGTGGCCCTGTCTTTTAATAGTGGGGAGACCTTGGGCAAATCACATAAAAGCCCTGTGCCTCAGTTTCTTTATCTATGAACTGAGGGTGGTCGCAATGGCGCGATCTCCGCTCACTGCAACCTGTCTCCTGGGTTCAACCGATTCTTCTGCCTCAGCCTCCCAAGTAGCTGGGACTACAGGCATGCACCACCACGCCTGGCTAAGTTTTGTATTTTTAGTAGAGACAGTGTTTTGCCATTTTGGCCAGGCTGGTCTCGAACTCCTGACCTCGTGATCTTCCCGCCTCGGCCTCCCAAAGTGCTGGGATTACAGGCGTGAGCCACCATGCCTGGCCAAATTTTGTATTTTTAGTAGAGACGGGGTTTCACCATGTTGCCCAGGCTGGTCTTGAACTCCTGACCTCAGGTGGTCCTTCCTCACAGGTGTCTTGGAGATTACATGAGTTTGTCTCTGAACGTGCTTACAAGGGTGTTTGGGATGCAGAGGACACTAAATGACAGCTGCTACCACTGCTAGTTTTAGTATTATTATGACCACTATTTATTTATTTTTCCAGGAACATGTGGACTTTACTGAATGCCATTGTAGAAAAGTGTGTGAGGATAAAGGGCTGATACATGACTTGGCTCTGGGGGCAGGGCAAGGAATAGAAAGTGGAACATGTGGGAGACAGGGCGTGGGCCGAGCTCCTGGCCTGGATGATGCCTCCTGATCTATCGATAGATTTGGAAGGTCAGCACCGGGATGATGATGAGCAGAATGGTCATGAGGATGCCCACAGTCAGGGCCCAGATGTTCACATGCTTGGCGGTGGAGGCATAGGCCTGGGCCCTGTTCAGGTCGTCAACCATCTTCCTGTCCCTAGACTTCACGGAGTAGGCAAATGCTATGAAGCCCAGGCAGCAGGAGTTCATGAAGAGGGTGTTAAACAGGGACCAGATGACATGGTCGGTCACAGAGGTCTCGCTGTGGATGTGGATCACGTGGACGTCAGGGGAGCAGGGTTGTGGGGTGCCCCCAGCACAGCCACCTCTTGCTCCTCCTTGAGCATCTTATAGTTAGGGGAACGGCTGCTGTTGGCGGGAGTGAAGAAGGTTTGGACGGTGTAGTTCATGGTGTCCAGTGAAGACCAGCTGTGGCTGGGTTGCTGGGATGGTTCTCCTCTGATGACCATTATGATCACCACTGCTGTTCCTACCATTATTATCAGTTCCATTATTACTATTATTAATATTACTATTATTACTAGGATTATTACCACTGATATCGGTATTACTACTACAACCACCACTTACCACTATTACTGTTACTGCCGCTATCGTTATTACTACCGTTACTATTATTACTACTGATGTTACTACTACTTCTACTATTGCTATCTGTTTAGTCGAGGCAGAAGAGCTTGGCCTTCCATGCATGGACAGCCACCTCCCATGCCTAATGACAGCTCTGGGCTCTGGGAGCAAGAACTCAACTAAAGCCCTACACTTGGTGGCTGAGTCCCAGCCTGGTGCAGTTGGAGGACTCAAAGGCACGGGGCGGTGCCCTAGAAAGACGCAGCTGTCAGTCAGCGGTGCGGAGGTAGAGCTTTCGCTGCTCCCTGCCTCCCCCCACCCACCCCGTTTTGGGAGCGGCTGGGTTTGTCTCCCCTGGAATGCATCTGTGTTCTTCCTGATGGCTCCTGGATGTCAGGAAGCACCACGCCATTTCCAGCTTCTCAGGCTCATGGCTTAAAAGGACCCCAGCCAACTGTTCTTCCCAAGCAAGCAGACGGGATTTATGGTGGCGGTTTCTTCAAAGTGCTTCTTCTCTACCCAAATCCAGAAGCGAAACAAAACAGAACACCCCTTTACCTTTTCGAAGCCAGGAAAAGGAACTCCTCTTATTTTTTAAAAGGCCCAAGAGCTGCAAGCAAATGTCAACTTCATCCTGTGGTTTGATTTACATGTTTCTTTGGGAGAAATGGACAAAATACAGCATTGAACTTAAAAAAAAACTTACAATGAACTGTTATAACTCAGAACATGATGCACAAACCCAGATTTAACAAATGGAGCAAAAAAAAAAAAAAAGTTCTTCTGAGAGGCTCCTCGTGTGAGGCTGTGCCTGTCTGGCGAATCATCTTGGAAATGGATGAGGTTAAACCAAGGGTCATTGAGTCCCAGCACTGGGATTGTCTGCTCCCTGCTCTGAAAAAATGGAAAAGCTACGTCCATAAGAGGCATGGATGTCTCTAGAGCTGGCCAAATATACGACGCTTTTTTCGAGTGCGATTTTCCCTAATTGTAATATTGTACATGATCATGAATGAAAATTTGGGAAATGGAGAAAAGTAGAAAGAAAACAATCCCCTGTTCAGAGAGAACCTCTGTTAATCTGCCGTAAATTTCTTGTCAGCCTTTTTTCCGTATATTTTAAAACCAAGGTGCTGTCATATTGTAGATTATGCTTTGTATTTTTTAAGAAATTTACCATGGCCACGATTTTTCTTTCTACCTCCTTCCTCAACCCGAAGGTACCTGGATTGATTGACAACACCACCGGTCCAGCTTCATGAAGCCAGGTAACCGGGAAGCATCTGACCCTGCCTTCTCCCTCTCCCCAAAGCCTGTGTCCTCCCAAGCCAGTGTCTTTGCCTCAGTATCTGTCTACCAGCTTCTCTCCATCCCAGTGGCCACCACCCCAGTCTGAGCTGCTGAAATCTCTCACCCAGGCTGGGAAACAGCCTCCACCTGGTCTCCTTGCCTCCACGCTGGACCTGTCTACCCATTTTCCATGCTGCCATCAGAAGGAGCCTTGGAGATGCAAATCTCATCCCAGCACCCTTGATGAACACTTCCATGACTGTGGCCGTTGCTCCTAAGATAAAGACCAGATTCCTCCTCCAGGAAGCCTCCCTGTCTTTACACACAAAATCCCCTGCTTCAAAGCCACATGCCACTGACTACCGCTGCTATTTGTGAGACTCTTGTTTACTCCTTCCCTGACTCTGGGAACCACTCTGTCTCCAGTACTCAATCCTGAGCATTCACTTGAGAACCTCATTTGTTGATAGAATGAATGAGAAAGCTCTCATTGCACATCCGAAAACATGATGTTAGGGCGGCATTGTGACTCCCATGATGCATCTCTGAACACCCACACAATTCTGGCATCTGCCATCCTAAGTGCTGAGGACGGTACCATCACCCGCATTTTGTTATCGGAGAAATAGAGCTGGTTCTTAGTCTAAAGAGAGATACTGGGGAAACAGCTGAGCAGAAAGTAGGACTAGAGACAGCAGTCCCCGAAAATCCCTTCAGGCCTTGCTTCCTGAGCTGGGAGGGGAACTGCGGTTGCCAAAGGCAGCCCCGGCCCCCAGTGTTCTTCTGCTGCGTGACTCCCGGCCTGCAGTGACGCCCACACCCTCCCACTCTTATGATTGTCGAATTGTCTATTGTCACCACTGACTGGTGAGCGAGCCACCCGGGGCAGTTTTGAAAGACAGCTGGCGAGGTAAGCTGAGGCCACAGAGCCAGCCCGGAGACACTGGCAGCATCTAAACTCCCTTTCCTTGACTACGCTTTGGGGCTAGGTCCCCAAGTCCCTGGAGGCAGTGCAGAAATTCCACACGAAGGGGTAACTGGGGTGTCAAACGGGAGCGCCTGCTGCCACTCCAAGCTGGGACCCATCTCTGCCGACACCTCGGGGTGTCCCTGCTGTATTCGGTGTCCTTTTGTTTCAAAAAAATAATTTTCCTCTTAGTACATGGCAGGTGGTGGGGTTTGTTGCTCTTGAATTGGCAAAGCAACTAGAGGAAAAACCAACCCACGCCGTCTGGAAGGGAAGGAACTGTCGAAGGCTGAGACTTGGATTATCCCTCCTTAGCATCTGGGAGGCAGGCGGGGAGTGAAGTGTCTCATCCGTGAAGTGGTCATCACTCTGATCCACATCAGTCCCGTTGTGATGAAGTTTGCTGAGCACAGAGCCGGTGATCTGGGGACTGCATTGAATTGAATTGAATTGATTATCATTTTCTTGAGACAGGATCTTGCTCTGTCACCCAGTCTCTATTAAAAATACAAAAAATTAGCCGGCGTGTCGGTGGGCTCCTGTAATTCAACTTGGGAGGCTGAGGCAGGAGAATCGCTTGAACCCGGGAGGCGGAGATTGCAGTGAGTTGAGATCACTGCCATCACACTCCAGACTGAACTATAAGAGTAAAACTCCATCTCAAAAAAAAAAAAGAAAGAAATTAATCTTTATAGAGCTGAAGACAGTGCCTGGCACAAGTAAGGTGGAGCACTTTGGAAATACAGTAGCTGTCTGGTTTCAATCACAACCATCTTAAAGGTGCAACTTGCATCACACTCCTTCTAGGTCCAGGCACACAGTGGCTCAGTCACTAGAAATGTATTCATGTTTTAGCCCCTTCCTTTCCCTTGGGCTCCCTCTTTACAAATGCACACACACACACACACACACACACACACGCACACACGCACACATGGAGGAGACACAGAGCCCCTTTTCTCCATCAGTTTCCTGAGCCCAGCCCGCCAGGCAAGGGGATCGGCGAGGAGGGAGGAGGTTGAAACTCTCAACAAGGCTCCTGGTTCCCCATGCTCTTTGTCAACTCCCTGGGGAGAAATCAGCCGCATTTACTTTCTGCCTCCTTTTAGCCCTTCATTTAACAGGAAAACATCCAAAGGCCCAGGCAAAAAGTCAGAAAAGGGGAGTCATAGAAGCAAACTCTTCTCCCCAGGGCTGAGCAGGTGGAAGCAGAGGCACCTGTCTTTCCTACCCAGGAAATCACACTTTGCAGCCTCTCATCCTCCATGGAGCAGCGGTTTACAGCTACACACACCCTGACCTGCAGCCTGGAGCTGCTGAAATCAGAAAACGAGACCAGTGTCCACACTCGCTCCTCCAGGGTTGGTGCCACCAGCTGTGTGTTCATTCATTTGCTCATTCATTCACCAAAGTGGCACTGGATATAGGCGCTGTATACAGCATCCTGGACATAAGTAACTCCATCCTGGAAAAAGACTCCATCCTACATTTTAAAAGGCATCATGATAACAGGGACCAGATGTTTTGCCTAATCCACAAAGACTGCACCTATCCGGATAAGAACTCCCGGGCACACTCTCTTCCTCTCTCAGTCCCCACCAGAAGATTCTGTGGCCATAAAGAGAGCAGGACTCCCTCAGCTCAAATCTGCCGTCTTAACAGACACTGTCTTGCTGTCACTGTGGTAAGTGCCTGGCATCTGCCGCCGAAGGCTCTGCCCACATCAAAGACTCTTCCTTGGAAGGCGCTGACGGACCACCCAGACCCGGACAGGCCGGGATATCCTTCTTGTCCACATCACTCTCCCTGGAATGGTTCATTAACCCTTTCTCCTATCCTCTCCTCTTTTTTTTTTTTTTCTGAGATGGAGTCTCACTCTGTCACCCAGGCTGGAGTGCAGTGGTGTGATCTCGGCTCATTGCAACCTCCGCCTCCCAGGTTCAAGCGACTCACCTGCCTCAGCCTCTCAAGGCATAATTGGATCAGGGTGCATATAGCATCCCTGGTCTGCAGGGAGCTATCAGATTATGTGTGCCATTTGTTCAGGATAGCACCAGCTACAAGGTGTCATTGCCATGTTCTCTGGCGGCATCTGTTGAGAGGGCCAGGTCTCCCATCCATGCCCTTTCCCTGTGGGGAGATCCCCTTCAGGATCTCCTGGCTGTCTCTTTTTGGGGGCATGGGAGCCTCTGCCTGCCCTCCCACACCAAACCAGGGCATTGCTGCCTCACTGGGCGGCTCCAGGCTTGCTGTGCCCTGGACTCTCTTCCAGGCCCCTCTCCTGAGAGTGTTCAGCTTGCAGGGTGGGGAATACTGCAAATTCTGAGTGGAAATGTGGAATAGGCCCTTCTACGCTTGGGTTTTTCAGGACTGTCCTGGCACTTTCTCCCTTTTTTCCCAGCTGGATCTGGCTCTGTGAGAGATGGGAGAAGGTGACTCTTTCCAGAACCCCAAGTTCATTTAAGCAGAAAAGGGATTTGTTAAAAGGACCTTGAAGATTCCACAGAATCTCAGGGAGGGCTGGAGGACCAAGCAGGGAAGCTCTGCAGCCAGGAGTGGCTCCCAGTTCCTGCCACGGAGCTGTATGAGGGGACCCGCCTGCTTGGTGGCAGTGCTGTGGCTCCACGCAGCCCCCTGGGGTGGGAGCCCAGGCTCTCCTGTTAGACCCACACTGGGGGTGCCATATGAACAGCAGGCCAGTTCATTTTTATTTTTTATTTTATTTTATATATTTTTTTGAGACGGAGTCTTGCTCTGTTGCCCAGGCTGGAGTGCAGTGGCGTGATCTTGGCTCACTGCAAGCTCTGCCTCCCGGGTTCATGCCATTGTCCTGCCTCAGCCTCCGGAGTAGCTGGAACTACAGGCGCCCGCCACCACACCCGGATAATTTTTCTGCATTTTTAGTAGAGACGGGGTTTCACTGTGTTAGCCAGGATGGTCTCAATCTCCTGACTTCATGATCCGCCCGCCTCGGCCTCCCAAAGTGCTGGGATTACAGCATGAGCCACTGCACCTGGCCAACAGCAGGCCAGTTCAACGGGAACTGCAGATAAGCAATAAGTACGTTTCGGGGCTAAGCGTGTCCCATACCGTATTTTATTGTTATTATTTTATTTTGCCTAAATTTGGCATTCCCACATGCTGCCCCTGAAGCCCCCACCGCTCCCCTGAGACCTTTCTGGACCCCACTCCTTGCACGTGGTGCCCAAGCTGCAGGGGAGTCTGGGAAAGCGAGTGTCAGATACTCCAAGTTTCTACAAGGGGAGGGGGCCCTGTCTCGTAGGACTGGGGAGCCCCTCAGACCATTGCCAGCATCTAGGTTTAGGCTTTTGCTCTCCATCATCAGGTCTGGATGGGGTGAGGAGCCAAACTCTCCCCAAATCTGTTGTTTTCGAGATACAAGCATCTCTTCCCTCAACCTGTTTTCTCTGCCAGAGTGGGGTTTTTTTTTTCCACCTATTTAGACACCATTCTCCACCAGAAGGAACCAGGGCTCCTTGGAGAAATGGCTGATTCCAGGGCTGGGCAGGGGAAGTACAAGATGAGCCAGGAACATCTTGTTGTGCCAGAAAGTCAGGAAGTCCTCGAATTGATGGGCCGCGCTGGAAGGACACAGAGCCAGCTGGACGGAGCTCCCCTCTCCAAATCTGGGACAGTTTGAGCATCCAAATAAAACTGATAGGAAAGCATTTTAATCCACTGCATAAAATAAGAATTCCTGAGTCCATGCCAATGTATATGTGTGTCTATATTATAGATCAGTGATATAATCATATCATATCTACATCTATATATCATATATACATAATATGTATCTAGATAGAGATCGTATATCTGCATGACACACATATAAATATATATCAACTATATAACATACACATATATCATTATACACACACATATGCATGTGTGTATGCAAATAAATAAATAAATGGAGGAAAAGGGAAATCTCTTCCTTACAGTACAACGCCAACTAATAAATGCGGAAAGCACAGTGGAGTTAGAAAGTTCACCTTTGGCAACCATCATAAAATACTTGTCTCAAGAAAGAATCATCAATAGAGGCAAAAACTACTGGGTGAAGTTTTTATGGGGAATAGGCTATTTACATAGTCTCAATATATCTCTCCAGAAGATAATTACTTAGTTTAAAAAAAAACAGAGGCCAGGCACAGTGGCCCACGTCTGTAATCCCAGCACTCTGGGAGGCTGAGGCAGGTGGAATGCTTGAGTCCAGGAGTTTAAGACCAGACTGGACAACATGGCAAAACCCTGTCTCTACCAAAAATACAAAAAATTACCCGGGCATGACGGCACACACCTGTGGTCCCAGCTACTTAGGAGGCTGAGGTGGCAGGATCACCTGAGCCAGGGGAGGAGGAGGCTGCATTGAGCCATGTTCATGTCACAGCACTCCAGCCCAGGCAACAGAGCCAGACCCTGTCTCTAAATAAATAGGAACTTCGCAGTGGACAGATCTGCCAGATGCCTCAGCCAAGCCATCAGAGTCAGCAGCTGCAGGAACAGGACAAACAGATGCGGCTTCTGATACGAGCCACGGAGAAGGACACAGTGTCTCCCCTGCGGTATCTGCCAAAAGTGTATACCCTGAGCCTCATGGTGAAGCAACACCAGACAAACTCAGGTTCAGGGACATTCTTCGAAATATTGGCCAGCTATCTTTAACTAAAAAAGTCAACATCATAAAAGGCAAAGATAGGCTGGGGCCAGTGGCTCACGCTTGTAATCCCAGCACTTTAGGAGGCTGAGGTGGGCCAATCACCTGAGGTCGGGAGTTCAAGACCAGCCTAACCGATATGGTGAAAATCCGGCTCTACTAAAAATACAAAAATTAGCTGGGCTTGGTAGCACATGCCTGTAATCCCAGCTACTCAGGAGGCTGAGGTGGGAGAATCGCTTGAACCCAGGAGGCAGAGGTTGCAGTGAGCTGATATCATGCCACTGCACACACACACACACACACAGACACACACACACACACACACACACACACACACACACACAGGAGAGGCAAAGATAAACTAAGGAGCAATTCCAGATGCAAGGATACTAAAAAGACATCAAAGCGTCCTGGGGTAGTGGCTCACACCTGTAATCCCAGGGCTCTGGGGGCCGAGGTAGAAGGATCAGTGGAGCTCAGGAGTTGAGATCAGCCTGGGCACCATGGCAAAACCCCATCTCTACAAAAAAATAAAACCAAAACCAAAACCAAAAATTAGCCGGGCGTGTTGGCACACACCTGCGGTCCCAGCTACTCCAGAGGCTGAGGTGGGAGGATTGCTTGAGCTCGGGAGATTGAGGCTGCAGTGAGCCCTGATTGTGCCAGTGCACTCTAGCCTGGATGACAGCAGATTAGGACCCTGTCTCAAAAAAAAAAAAAGAAAAGAAAAGAAAACTGAATATACCTCATGACCTGAGATTCTCTTTCGCCATAAAGGACGTTACTGAGACAACTGGTAAAATCTGGACAAAGTATATAGATTAGATGATATATTGCACTAATGTTAATTTCCTGATTTAGAGAATTATATCATGGCTATGTAAGAGAATGTCCTCATTCTTAGGAAATATACACTCAAAGTATTGAGATAAAAGGAGTGTGATGCCTGCAATTCTCTCTTAAATAATTTAGAAATGAGATAGAGGAAGAAAATGACCAATGCAATCCAATGCTAGTGTCTGGGAATCTGAATGAAATGTATATGGGAATTCTTTGTACTGTTCTTGCAACTTTTCTGCCAGTCTGAAATTGTGTCAAAATAAAAAAGTTGAAAAACAAACGGGCGGGGTGTGGTGGCTTGTGCCTGTAATCCCAGCACTTTTAGGAGCTGAGACGGGAGAATCGCTTGAGCCCAGAAGTTCAAGACTAGCCCGGGCAACATGGTGAACCCCCGTCTCTACAAAAAGTACAAAAATGAGCTGGGCGTGGTGGCGTGCACCTGTGGTCCCAGCTACTCAGGAGGCTGAGGTGGGAGGATTGCTTGAGCCTGGGAGGCAGAGGTTGCAGCGAGCCTAGATTGCACCATTGCACTCCAGCCTGAGTGACAGAGTGAGACTGTCTCAAAACAAACAAACAAGAAGTCAGTTTAGAAACTCGAAAGCTGACATTGACCCCTTTGTTCCTGCTATTCAGCTGTGGCCTCCCTTCCCTGGGGTAGAAGGCAGGAGAGCAGTGGCTGAAGCAGTGAAGGCCTGGGAGACACTTTTAGAGGAGAAAACAGTGCAGGGAATGCCAAATGCATTGGTCAAAATAATGATATTAGGAGCAGTAACCATCTGTATGTCGCAGGACAAATGCCATACGCTGAGGATGCTGTGGGCAGAGCCGGAAGTGTTTCGCAAACTTCAGCCCTTATTATCCAATCTTGGTGATTTTTGCAATTGACCTGCACAATCTTAACTTACTCAACATTTTAAAATGGACATTTTAAAAGCCTGGTATTTCTTAAAGAGGAAAGCTATCCCCATCACGCATGGAAAAGGACCGCACTAGAGATGAGCCTGAGAGGAAGGCAGGCGCCTTCACCGGGGAGAGGAAAGGCCGGCCCCGTGCCCCCAAATTGCTCTGGGGCTTTGGTGCATTGAGGCACTCAGCGAGATGTGACTGCGCTTGGTGAAAAGGGGCTGCTTTGGGCTGATGCCTGGGAAGAAGGTGACCGTTACGAACTAAATTTCCCACCCTGAACACATAGGGTTTTCTTTGTTTGTTTTGTTTTTGAGATAAAGTCTCACTGTATTGCCCAGGCTGGAGTGCAGTGGCGCGATCTCGGCTCACCACAACCTCCTCCTCCTGGGTTCAAGCCATTCTCCTGCCTCAGCTTCCCAAGTAGCTGGGATTACAGGCGTGCACCACCACGCCTGGCTAATTTTTGTATTTGTAGTAGAGATGGGGTTTCACCATATTGGCCAGGCTGGTCTCGAACGCCTGACCTCAAGCAATTCACCCACCTCGGCCTCCCAAAGTGCTGAGATTACAGACACGAGCCACTGTGCCCGGCCCACAGGGCTTTGAAATGATTCCAGACACCTCCACAGGTTGCTACGTGGGTGACGCGTTTTGCTGCGCTAAGAACTTGGTGTGCCCCTTCTTCCCTGGAGAATGTGGCCTCACCCCTTATCGGACCCCGTCTGCGAGCTCCTGACCCTCACGACTGGACTTCCATACACATGCAAACCTGCCAGTGGGACGGACCCTTTGGGAGCTCTGGCTGTGGCCGGCTGCACCCTCGGCATCTTCTCCCAAAGCTGGGAGCTCCAGCTGTGACAGGTCACCCCGCCAGCCTTGGAGCTACTCTCAGAAGCCTCTGGCCAGCGCTGGAACTGCCTTCTAGGGACCTTACAGCGCTTCCAAGAACGGCTGGTAGAAGGTGCACCTCAAACTGAGGCCTGCTTCCATCCTAAGTGAGCAAGTAGGCCTTGATCATTCTGGAACTGACCCACTGTGGGGTTAATGGGCTTCGTCTGTCGAGTGTATTCTCTGTGAGGTTTGGTCTCATTCTCTCCCTGTTTAAGCACTGGGAACCTAAGGAAAAAACATCTTTGTGTAGCAATAAACTGTGTGATTTGTGAAATCGTACTTTGATCATTTCCTTATTGTAACCACACAAAACGATCCCTAACCCCCAATGTATTTCTTTCGTGTGTGTGTGTGTGTGTGTGTGTGTGTGTGTCTCGCTCTGTCACTCAGGCTGGAGTGCAGTGGTGTCATCTTGGCTCTCTGCAACCTCTGCCTCCCAGGGTCAAGCAATTCTCCTGCCTCAGCCTCCCAAGTAGCTGGGACTACATGCATGCGCCACCATGCCCGGCAAATTTTTGTATTTTTTTTGTAGAGATAAGGTTTCCCCATGTTGCCCAGACTGCTCTTGAACTCTTGGACTCAAGTGATCCTCCTGCCTCAGCTTCCCAAAGTGCTGGGATTACAGGCATGAGCCAGCCTGTGTATTTCAAGGTAGGGCCTTTAAGGAGGTAATTCAGGTTAAATGGGTCCTAAGGGTGGGGCCCAGACCCAATATGACCGGTGTCCTTATAAGAGAGAGAGAGAGACACCAGGAGTGTACATGCCCAGAGGAAAGGCCATGTGAGGACACGGCCAGGGGCAGCCACCTGCAAACCAAAGAGAGGCCGCAGAGGAAACCAACGCTGCTGGCACCCTGATCTTAGACTTCCAGCCTCCAGAACTGTGAGGAAGATATCTCTGTGGGTTAAGTCACCCAGTCTATGGTATTTTGTTAGGGCAGCCGGAGCTTAGACAGAATGGCCTTGAGCCCACCACCACTCAGAGTGTGATCTGGGGACTGGCAGCATTCGCATCACCAGGATCTTGGGAGAAATTCACAGTCCCTGGCCCCAACCCAGCCTTGCTGAGCCCGAAATTGCATTTTGGCAAGCTCCTCCCTCCTTCCCGCGGATGGGGTGGAGGTCTCCACCAGGCCCTGGCTGTCAGCATCTCTGTGTATATGAGACATCCTAGCAGAAGCAGCCAACACAAAACAGTCCAGAGCCTGAAAGATGGTTTTCAATGTTTTATTTCACAAATTGTTCAGATTTGTTCATAAAAGATATGTTACAGGAACATTTTAGAAATCAAACCAGTTCTACTGAAACAATTGCAACAACGTGGCCCCTGTTCATGCAAAGCACAAAAAACATTTACAATAAAACTTTGTACACAGGAAGTAGCAAAATACATCATTTTTCATAGAAAAAAGCACACACATAAACTGCGGGCTGAGTGAGCCTACAGACAATATGAGAAACCAGCACACGCTTTGGAATACGGTAGGGCAAAACTCCTAAGGAAGCCGAAAATGTTCATCCTGTGGGCAGGAGAGCCAGGAACGCCGTTGGCTTGGTACAAGATCTTTTTAAACACAGGGTAAGTGTTGGTAGCACGAGGGGCCTCTATTCCACACACAGGAGAGGTGGTGCTAGGGACAGGGCTTATCATTTATAGTCTTGTTTCCATTTTCTGAAGACAAATATTCCAGTTTCAAAATGTTTGTGGGGATGATAAAGACAGCCAGGTCCATGGCCGGGCGCAGTGGCTCATGCCTGTAATCCCAGCACTTCGGGAGGCCAAGGTGGGTGGATCACCTGAGGTAAGGAGTTCGAGACCAGCCTGGCCAACATAATGAAACCCCATCTCTACTAAAAATACAAAAATTAGCCGGGCATGGTAGCTCACGCCTGTAGTCCCAGGTACTTGGGAGGCTGATGCATGAGAATTGCTTGAACCCGGGAGGCGGCAGTTGCAATGAGCAGAGATCACGCCACTGCACTCTACCTTGGGCAACAGAGTGAAACTTGGTCTCGGGAAAAAAAAAAAAAAAAAAAAAAAGACAGCCAGGTCCTGCTCTGGGCAAGGACTTTCTATCCTGCTAGGAAGGCCCAGTGAAGGAGGCATTAAGGAACCCGGGGACTTTATTTTTAAATGATGGGGTCAACTCACACTGGAAGTTTCAAGTCTCCCTTGAGTGGGATGCTTTGGAAGCGAGCCCACTGGGATCGTCCTGGACCCTTCACTAATTCTGCAAACCCCACAGGGCGATCTAATTTATCTTGCAGACACAGACACAGCCACAAAAGTCCAGCAGCAGAGCACCCAGCACCCAGAAGTTTCCCAGATGTTTGGTGGTAACTGGACTCACGACCTGACAGGCTGACCGAATTCTTCCTCTCCGACATTTGGGGCTGAGGAGTCAGTACCTATGAATTACGACTAGACTACAATGCACAAAGCACGTAGTCCTGTGAATTTTAGCTCAGTCAAGCTAAGAGTTGAACTGCTTTTTACCAACTCCTTAAAGGGGTGGGTTTTTGTTTTGTTTTAAACCTATTTACCTTCAGATTCTGCATTTATTAGAAAGGCAATCAAAGAAAGAAGGCATCACCTAGGTGCCCAGGTAGAATTTCTTGTCCAGTCTACAGTATCTTAGTTTTTGACTTTCTGCTAGTTCTTTCACCTAAGAAATATTTTGAATCAAATTTGAAACTAGCATTCACCAAAGTGATCTATTGGCTGGCCCGGTGGTAGAGAGTGGAATTTTCACCTTCTGCAAAAAAATGCTATTTACAAAAGGGTACTTCATTTCACTGTGGGCTTTTGGTCTGGGCTCATGAAGCACTTTTATAGAGTGATGGCAGCCAGGGTGTACTACACTCCTTGGCGCCTCGGGAACGTTTGGCAAGAGTCGTTTCACGAAAACAGGAAAAGAGATCCTTCTAGTGTATTCCCATCTCTCGCTGTCATGAGGCCACAGACGGTTTCATAACCACAAACTGAGCTGCTAACCTCGGTGAGGAATGTACCAAAGACTCCATTCCTCCCACGGCTGAAAAAATAGGTCATCGGGTGCGTGGGGAATCTGCACATTTAATTGTCATTTTTTAAAAGCAGCAAAGAGCAGGCCTTCTTTGGTTGTTCTCAGACATCTCGTCTCAGTGGAACCTTACGAGACCAGGAGTTAAGACTTGGGCTTCAAACAGGTTCGCTTGCAAAGAAAAGTCCTGGGTGTGAACCAGGACACGTAAACCAGTCCGAGGCAGGGTGGGAGCCACAACGGGTAGGGGGTAAAGAAAGGGTCCCGATCCTTAGTCCTCAATGGGACCAAAGGTCACGGCAGAAAACAGGTGGGCCATGAAGACGAAGGGCCTGACAAAGACAAGATACATCTCTGAAGTGACTGCTGAACTCTACATAAACCAGCACTGCTGTGTATAGAGCCATCCTGAATGCGGCCATTGAAGGGGGCCTGTGGCGGGCCGCCAGCAAGGACACGTGCCAGGGCGGAGCCGGGGTCTCTCATACCCGCAGCCCTCTTACTCTAGCCCATTTGTCTGTCTGACCAGCAAACATTAAAACCATTTTCCTCTATTGGTAGGGACGGACTGTGTTTTTTATTTTTAAATAACTACCTTCTACTTCATTCCTGAAACTCATTGGCGCTTGCTCAAAAGGCCTCTTCCGACGCCGTGAATGCTTCACAATTGTGAGCTTCAAATGGTTTGTTCTTTTGGCAGGGAGGTTGAAATCAACTTCCTCCACCAACAGAAGAACACATAGCAAGGAACATTTTGGGCAACTGTCCCCTTTAAGAGACAGCTCAGATCTCTAAAGGAGAGAGGACGTCCAGATGGAGACCCCCAGGCCCCAGCAGGATCAGGCACCAGGGAGTCCGGCTGAGCACCTTGGGATGCTGTTGCTTCAGTGAGGGGATGAGATGTCACCTCACCCACAGGCCACAAAGTGATGGACACTGAACATCAGTCAAAGGAAGTTTCCTGACTCTCCATATACCCCGCAATGACAAAATAAAAATAAAAGCAAAACCCCGAAGCCCTCCTGAAGACGCCCCTT
Organism: Homo sapiens; assembly: GCF_000001405.40. Lineage (NCBI taxonomy): Eukaryota > Metazoa > Chordata > Mammalia > Primates > Hominidae > Homo > Homo sapiens. The sequence goes on along the minus strand of NC_000016.10, from coordinate 84,906,661 downwards.
CTCCCCTGGTGCTGGAAATTCACTGCCTGACAGCAAAGATCCGGAAGGCCTTTCCATCCCGAGGAGTCCCCAGGCTGAAAAAAAGAAGAAAGAGGGCCCGTTACTGAGAGATCTGGAGGGCCTCCTGCAGGGACTCTGGGTGGGCAGGGAGACCTGGGTGCCTCCTGCTTGCTCCCGTAGTGGAAGAGCCATGGCCAAGGGACACTTCCTTGAAGCCGCCAGACACAGAGCCTGCCTTGAGTTGAGAACAGGTGGCAAATCCCATTTTCTCTGCACATGAGCATCCATCTGATTCTAGGTCAAGGCTGTTAAGTTATTTCCTTTTAACTCAGGGATCTGCTGGACCCAGTCTGTCTGGATTGGACTCACCCTCCGAGAATTCTGCTTGGTTTCACTACCACCTGTCAACCCGAACAGTGGTGTCTTGGGAGAGATGAACAGGTGCTATCTCAGCACTACTGCATATGCCAGGTGCTTCACCGCCTTCCACCTTCCTCCTGAGGGAGCTGTTATCGCTCGTTCACAGGGGAGGAAACGGAGACACCAGGAAATAAAGAGATTTACCCAGGGTCCCATGGCTAGTAAAAACTGCCCTCTCACAAGAGGAGTTAAATCCTTCAGCTAATCAAAGATGGTTTTTAAAAAAGAGCTTTAGGCCAGGCGCGGTGGCTCATGCCTGTAACCTCAGCACTTTGGGAGTGAGGCGGGTGGACCACCTGAGGTCAGGAGTTCGAGACCAGCCTGGCCAACATGGTGAAACCCCATCTCTACGAAAAATACAAAAATTAGCCGGATGTGGTGGCAGGCGCCTGTAATCCCAGCTACTCGGGAGGCTGAGGCAGAAGAATCACTTGAACCTGGGAGGCGGAGGATGCAGTGAGCCAAGATCAAGGCATTGCACTCCAGCCTGGGGGACAAGAGTAAGACTTTGTCTCCAAAAAAAAAAAAAAAAAAGAGCTTTATTGGTCAGGCACGGTGGCTCACACCTCACACCTGGAATCCCAGCACTTTGGGAGGCCAAGGCAGGTGGATCACTTGAGGTCTGGAATTCGAGACCAGTCTGGCCAACATGGTGAAACCCTGCCTCTACAAACAATTAGCCAGGCATGATGGTGTGCACCTGTAATCCCAGCTAGTTGAAGGTTGAGGCAGGAGAATCACTTGAACGTGGGAGGTGGAGTGTGCAGTGAGCCAAGATTCTGCCACTGCACTCCAGCCTGGGCAAGAGAGTGAGACTCTGTTTCAAAAAACAAAAAAAAAACCAAACCAACTTTATTAAGTTTAACATACCGTATAAACTCAACCTTTCTAAGTGTACAATTCAATGGTTTTTAGAGATTTTATAGAGTTGTGCAGTCATCTCCACAATCCAGTGTTAGACAATTTTTAAAAATTGTTTTAGACACAAGGTCTGTCACCAAGGCCAGAGTGCAGTGGCATGATCGTGGCTTACTTCAGCCTTGACCTCCTGAGTGCAAGCGATCCTCCCTCCTCAGCCTCCTGAGCAGCATGTCACCAAGCCTGATTGATATATTTTATTTTTTGTACAGATGGAGTCTCACTATGTTGCCCAGGCTGGTCTCAAACTCCTGGGCCCAAGTGATCCTCCTGCCTCAGCCTCCCAAAGTGCTGGGATTATGGGTGTGAGCCACCGTGCCTGGCCTAATGGTGTCTTTTAAGGCATAAAAGTTTTAAACTTTGATAGAATACAATTTATCAATTTGTTTTCATTTATAGATTGTGCTTTTGGCGTCATATCTAGCAAACCATCCAAGGTCATGAAGGATTTATACTTGTTTTCTCAGACATCTGTAATTTTTAGCTCTTACATTTCAGCCTTGGATCCATTTTGAGTTAATTTTTATATATAGTGTGAGGCAAAGGTCCAACATCACAGTTTTACTTGTAAATATCTAATTGCCCTTGCATCATTTGTTGAGAAATTATTCTCTGCCCACTGAATGGTCCTGGCACCGATGTCAAAATCAATTGACTGGAAGTGTGATGATTTATTTTATGGACTTCCAATCATTTTTTTTTTTAATTTTTTTTTTAAATTTTTTTTTTTACCTTTTTTTGAGACCGAGTCTCGCTCTGTTGCCCAGGCTGGAGTACAGTGGTGCAATCTTGGCTCACTGCAACCTCTGCTTCCCAGGTTCAAGTGATTCTCTGGCCTCAGCCTCCCAAGTAGCTGGGATTACAGGTGCACACCACCACGCGGGGCTAATTTTTGTATTTTTAGCAGAGATGGGGTTTTGCCATGTTGGCCAGGCTGCTCTGGAACTCCTGACTTCGTGATCCTCCCCTCCTTGGCCTCCCAAAGTGCTGGGATTTCAGGCGTAAGCCACCGTACCAGGCCCAATCACGTTCTCTTAATCTCTGTGTCTGTCCTGATGTCAGCACCACCATCTTGATCACTGTCGCTGTATAGGATGTTTCAGAATTGGGAAGCCTAAGTGCCCCCTCCCGCTTTGCTCCTCTTGCTGTGGGCACAGCCTTCTAGAACACCAGGGACGCCTGGGAGCCTACCAAGGGCCACCACGGCTGTCTCATTCTCTAGATCCTCCCTGATTTTCTGCCCCAGATGATAACTGCACCTTTGGACCAACTGGCCTTCCTGTGTCTTGGCCACCAGGTTTGATACTGTTCCTGACAATGGCCAGAGGTGTGTGGTTTTCCTCGCTCTGCTTCAAATCAAGAAAGCCGCTGGATGGCACAGCCCCACCCCAGTAGAACTTCCAGCCACAGGAGCTGGTGGGGTGAACAGGAGCGGTCCCAGGCTCAGACACCACAGATCCCTCTGTTCTTATCTGAGGTCCACACTTTTTTGAACAAACACCTCCCTGTTCGTTGTATGACTCTGTGGTGTATTTCTGGAGTCCTGAAACAGCTGTTTTTGAACACTGCTTTTGGGAATAAGATTTCCCATGCATCCTGCTTTGGCATTCTGCAAATCTCACCTCTGGAGCATGTCTTCCAGACGCGAGTCTCCATCCCTACACTAACGTTTAGTAACTGTGTGACAAAGTCACTAAGTCTCTTTGGGCTTTTTTTTTTTTTTTTAAATTTTAAGACAGAGTCTCGCCCTGTTGCCCAGGCTGGAGTGCAACGGTGTGATCTCGGCTCATTGCAACCGCCGCCTCCCAGGTTCAAGCGATTCTCCTGCCTCAGCCTCTCAACTAGCTGGAATTACAGGCATGCGCCACCACACCCAGCTAATTTTTGTATTTTTTGTAGAGATGGGGTGTCACCATATTGGCCAGGCTGGTCTCTTGGCCGGGCTGGTCTCAAACGCCTGAGCTCATGATCCGCCTGCCTCGGCCTCCCAAAGTGCTGGGATTACAGGCTTCTAAGGATACTTTCCGGAATGTTCTGTGACAGTGCCGATGTTGGGGGTACCTGGGTTCTTGGGGGAGGTCCAGGAAGGGGCCAGGCTGGAGAGGAGACCCGGAAGGTGGGAGGAGGGGAGCATTAAATTGACGGGAGGCCATTGTTTTGGACTGGGCTAGGCCCAACAGACCAAACCAAATCAGATCGGAGTCACCCTGCTAGGTGCCACCTCATCAAACTGAACTTAGAAATGGGCTGGTTTTAGGCCAGGCACGGTGGATCATTCCTGTAATCCCAGCACTTTGGGAGGCTGAGGTGGGCAGATCACTTGAAGTCAGGAGTTCGAGACCAGCCTGCTCAACACAGTGAAACCCCTACTAAAAATACAAAAATTAGCTGGCTGTGGTGGCAGGCACCAGTAATCCCAGCTACCTGGGAGGCTGAGGCAGGAGAATCGCTTGAACCCAGGAGGTGGAGGTTGCGGTGAGCGAGATCACGCCACTGCACTCCAGCCTGGGCAACAGAGTGAGACTCTGTCTCAAAAAAAAAAAAAAAAAAAGCAATGGGCCGATTTTCCAAAAAATAGGAGATACACAGCAACAACCAATCAAAAGGGCCCCCAGTCCCTCTGAGCCAGCAGGATAGTGTGGCCTTCCTGCTTTAATCCTACAAGAAAAGTAACTGGGACGACCCATCCAAATTTTGTTGTTTCTTTTTTTTTTGAGATGGAGTCTCGCTCTGTCACCCAGGCTGTAGTGCAGTGGCGTGATCTCTGCTCACTGCAACCTCCACCTCCTGGGTTCATGCCATTCTCCTGCCTCAGCCTCCCGAGTAGCTGGGACTACAAGTGTCCAACACCACGCCTGGCTAATTTTTTTCTATTTTTAGTAGAGACGGGGTTTCACCTTGTTAGCCAGGATAGTCTCGATGTCCTGACCTTGCGATCCACCCTCCTCGGCCTCCCAAAGTGCTGGAATTACAGGCGTGAGCCACTGCGCCCGGCCTGTTCATCGTTTGTACTCTCTGCATGCAGCCTTTGCTGACTCTAAAACCTCCCCTCGCTGCTCAGTTCGTGGAAGCACCTTTCTATTCTGTACTTGGGATATTGCCTGATACATGAATTGCTAATAAAAGCCGATAAGATCTTGCAAACTCGCATTTGTTGGAATTTTGTTCTAGAAGGCAGCATGGCGCCTTGTAGACCCCAAAGCGTTGTTCACAGTGTGCAACCAGGGCCAGGCGCGGTGGCTCACGCCTGTCATCCCAGCACTTTGAGAGGTCGAGGCCGGCAGATCACTTGAGATCAGGAGTTCAAGACCAGCATGGGAACATGGTGAAACCCCATCGCTACCAAAAATACAAAAACAAAAATTAGCTGGGTGTGGTAGCAGGTGCCTGTAATCCCAGCTACTTGGGAGGCTGAGGCAGGAGAATCATTTGAACCCAGGAGGTGGAGGTTACAACGAGCCGAGATCACACCACTGCACTCCACCCTGGGCGATACAGTGAGACTCTGCATCAAAAAAAAAAAAAAAAAAAAAAAAGTGCAACCAGTGCCAGGTGCAGTGGCTCACGCCTATAATCCCAACATTTTGAGAGGTTGAGGCAGGTGGATCACTTGAGGTCAGGAGTTCAAGACCAGCCTGGCCAAGATGGTGAAACCCCATCTCTACCAAAAATACAAAAACAAAAATTAGCTGGGTATGGTGGCAGATGCCTGTAATCCCAGCTACTCGGGAGGCTGAGGCAGGAGAATAATTTGAATCCAGGAGGTGGAGGTTGCAATGAGCCGAGATCACACCATTGCACTCCAGCCTGGGCGACACAGGGAGACTCTGCGTCAAAAAAAAAAAAAAAAAAAAAGTGCAGCCAGGAGTGTTCTTTCCACATCAAAATTAAAATGGAAAAGACTAATCATAGCCGCACATTTTAGTTGTTGAACACACAATCCTTAAGGCAAAAAACACTCTCCCTCTCAACCCTGTCTTTCTGCACCAAGTTCTCCCCAGAGGAGAGATGTTTAGATCTTATGTGGATGTTAACAATTATTATATTTTTTCCCTCACCCATTTTTTCAACACAAATATTATATACATACTGCCATAGACATACCACTCTGCACTTTGCTTTTTTAGCTTAACAATATATCTCGGGATTTGTTGCTTTACTATACAGAAAGAACTCATTCTTTTTATCCACTGCATAGTATTCCATTGTAATAAAGTGTTATATTTAACTGGATCCCTATTGGTGGACATTTAGTTCTTTCTAATCTTTTTTTTTTTGCGTGTGTGTGTGTGTGTGTGTGTGTGTGTGTGCAGTGACACCATCATGATTCACTGCAGCCTCAACCTCCTGGGCTCAAGTCATACTCCCACCTCAGCCTCACCAGTAGCTGGGACCACGGGTGCATACCACCATGCCTGGTTAATTTTCGTATTTTTTAGAGATGGGATTTCACCATGCCGCCCATGCTGGTCTCGAACTCCTGGGCTCAAGCAATCCTTCCGTCTCAGCCTCCCAAAGTGCCCGGATTATAAGCGCGAGCCATTGAGCCCGTGTTTTCTAATTTTTTACCTTTGCAAACAATGTCATTGTTGTCCATGGGACTTTTTGCTTTTGTGTGAGGGTGCCTGAGAGTGAGCGCCTAGGAGTGGAATTGCTGGACCAAAGGACGTGCATTTGCATCTTGACAGCTGCCAACCTGCCCTGCATAAAGATAACACCTGCAGACTCCCCGGACAATGACAACGGGGCTGTGCGATGCCTCCCAGCGCTGTGTGATGCCTCCCAGCGCTGTGTGATGTCTTGCTTTTGGTTCTTGACCAATAGAAGGTAGGGAGTGGCATCCAGATATCATTTTCATTTGCATCTTGCTCATGATGAAGGAGTTTGAGTATAAGATTAACAGCCTAGTCACCATTTCTGGGCGGGGTTTCCTTTAGGATCTCCGCTCCAAACAAAGAGAGCCCCCAGATTGGAAACTGCCAGACTAGCCAGGAGACCCCGGCCCTCTCAGGCTGCTAAGATCTGCAATCCTCCGAGAGCAGGCCGCTTGGAATTCCTGGTTGTTTTTTAGCCCTTCTCCATGGCAGCTTCACACTTTTGGCTACCCTGGAATTGAACTTTTGAAACGTGTATCAGATGGGAGCACTCGGAGAGATGGAGCTGCAAAGAAACGCCAAGAGCCAAGACCCAGGCAGAACGCTTGGCCGCAGGTGGCTCCGGACCAAGAGGAGGAGAAAGAGTGGCCAGGGGCTGGGGTGACCCTGGCGGCCCTGCTGGTTTCTGGAAAGTTCAGATTCCAGGGCCCTCCTCAGGCCTTGGGGGATGTAAGATTTCCCTGAATTCTCTGTCCAAGTGAATATCCTGGGAGAACCAACCAGGGCCACAAGTTACTGTGGTTATTCTGCATGGGGGGCAAGCCACGTTGGGGAAAATTACCAGGGGTCTGTGTCCCTCCTGACTTACTATGGGTCTGCAGATTCTATGGACGGTGCAGTGGGTTCTCATGTTCTCAGGGCCCCAAACAACCAAGGGACAAGGGAACCATTCAGGCTGCCGTCCAGATGTAGACATGGCCAGCCCAAGGGCCCTGGGTATCTTGCCTGGACAACCATGCACCCCATTAAACAACCTGCTCACCTTGGAGGTAAGAGCAGGCCCCGACAAGCTGGGCAAGTATTTCCTAACACATCAAAGAATGTGCTGACACCGCCCAGGATGCCACCGTGCAACTGGCAGCATCAACTGTTGGTGCCATCCACCGCCACAGGTAAAAATTCCCGCAGGTTTGGGCACCAAGAAAAATTCCCCACCTTCAGTGTCCCCAGTTGTTCATGCCTCAAGCAGTTATTAAGCTCCAGGTATGCTGGGGAAGTTGGTAGTTGTACGTGTCTGATGAATAACGAGTGTGGCTTGATAATTATAAAATACCCTTCCCGCCCTTCTTTCCCAAATCTTGCCCTCTGATTCTCTTTTTGGATTAGCTTGTAACTCCCATACATGCCTGAAGGAGTATAAATTGCTGCAGTATTTCTGGGTAATTTTCATAAAAGGTATTGGACTTTTTATCAAGTGTATCAAGCAACTTTCATAAAGAGCACTAAACAACTTTGATACAGGGTATTGAAAATCCCTCAGGCGGGGCACAGTGGCTCACACCTGTAGTCTCAGCACTTTGGGAGGCTAACGTAGGCGATTGCTTGAACCCAGGAGTTTGAGATCAGCCTGGGTGACACAGTGACCCCTGTCTCTACAAAAATAAAAAAATTAGCCAGATGTGGTGGTGCACGCCTGTGGTCCCAGCAACTAGGGAGGCTGAGGTGGGAGGATTGCTTGAGTCCAGGAGTGCAATGGTGCAATCACAACTCACTGCAGTTGAGGCTGCAGTGAGCCCAGGAGTACAACGGTGCAGTCACAGCTCACTGCAGTTGAGGCTGCAGGGTCTCACTTATGTTGCCCAGGCTGGAGTGCAGTGGTGCAACTGGGACTATAAGTGAGAAATAAAAGCCCTCAACCAACTCTGAACCAATTGCTCAACTCAGCAAAGTCTCATTCAACCAGTGTTTACTGAGCACCTGCTATGTGCCAAGTGCTGGGCAGCATCAGGGCTGTGGGGTTAACAAGACCAGTGAGGCTCTTGCCTTCAGGAAGTTTACAGTCTGGGGTGGGGTGAGAAGTAGCAAAACATATGCAAGAAACAGTTTCAGAAGGTGATGAGTCAGGGGAAATGACACAGATCCATCAGGGAGCAGGAGACAAGTGCAGGCTGGATGGTGGAGAACGCTGCCTAGGGAGGGGCCATTTCAGTCTAAAACAGCCCAGGAACGTATGAGAGCCCAGAGGGTACCAGACAGCAGCTACAAAAGCACTGAGGTGTGCATGATCTTGGTGCAGTCAAGGAGCAGAGAGGCCAGTGAGGTGGAAATGTAGGAGGAAGATGCACAGAGAGGGTGGGGGAGCGGGCAGGGGCCGAAGCAGCTGCGGCCTTGAATGGGAGTGGGGCGGATTTGATTCTTAGTACAATGGAAAGCCACTGGCGGGGGAGCCTTACACAGGAAAGGATGTGCTGACTTTTTTCCTTGGTGCGACACTGTGCATTGCATTAGGACAGCACTTTGGTGGCTGTGGCTGTTCTGGTAAGAGGAAGTCACCTAAATAAATCGGCAAGAAAGTGCACAGGCTTGCGCAAAAATGTTCTTTCTAGTGTTGTTTATTACAGTGAAAGAAAAAAGGAAACGATCTGAGTGTCAATCAGTGATGATAAACGGATGATGGTCTCTCCATGCCTCCGAATCTGTGCAGCCACTGAAACCACGGTGTGGCTAGACAGGCTAGGGCTTGAAGAGCTAGCCACAATCCGATTAACAAAACAATACTAATAGCATAATCCCTTTTTAAAAAGCGTGTTTAAGCCGGGTGTGGTAGCTCACGCCTGTAATCCCAGCATTTTGGGAGGCCAAGGCAGGCGGATCACCTGAGGTCAGGGGTTCGAGACCAGCCTGGCCAACATGGCGAAACCCCGTCTCTACTAAAAATACAAAAATTAGCCGGGCCTGGCAGTGGGTGCCTGTAATCCCAGCTACTTGGGAGGCTGAGGCATGAGAATCACTTGAACCTGCGGGGCAGAGGTTGCAATGAGCCGAGGTCAAGCCGCTGCACTCCAGCCTGGGCAAAACAGCGAAACTCTGAAACTCCGTCTCAAACAAACAAACAAACAACAAAAAAAGGCGTGTTTATATGTAAACACAGAAGAAACCTGAAAGAAAATACACTGGAATGTTTACAGAGGTTGTTTCTGGGTATGGGAAGTTGAGTGCTATGAAGATCTTAAAATTATTTTCACTATATTGTTGAGGTTTCTCTAGTCTTTTTGAGACACGGTCTTGCTCTGTCACCGAGGCTAGAGTGCAGTGGTGCAATCTCCACTCACTGTAGCCTCCTCCACCTCCTGGGTTCAATCAATTCTCCTACCTCAGCCTCCCAAGTACCTGGGACTACAGGTGCATGCCACCATGCCCGGCTTTTTTTTTTTTTTTTGTATTTTTAGTAGAGATGGGATTACACCCTGTTGGTCAAGCTGGTCTTGAACTCCTGGCCTCATGTGATCCTCCCACCTCAGCCTCCCAATGTACCTGGATTACAGGCATGAGCCGCCGCACCCGGCCTAGAAAGGCCCTTTAAAGGCCAGAGTAAAGGGGCAGGAACAATCCAGGGACTCTCTGAAGAGCTCCCCAGAAGCACGGGGCTCCCTCCTAGAGGCCAGCCAGGGACAGGCACGTGGGGCTGCATCCCCCTCAATTGCCTTGAAAGTGACCTGAGGAGGAAGAGCTTGCCTTTTGGCATCACCCAACACACAGACGGGATTAAGGAGGGTGGACGGCCGGTTCTGGTTCCAGAGGCAGACAGGGAAGCTGCCCTGTGGAGTCCTGAAGCCAGCACTAAAAGGACGGCAGAAGAGGAACCCCTGAGTGCTTAGTCTTCTGGCTTTTAAAAAGTGTAATTTATTTTTAATTATTAAGAAATATCATTTATATGTATATAACTGTCTCTATATGTATGAGTGTACATACATGACTGTGGACACAGATGCTCCCTGACTTACGGTGGGTCGCGTCCTGATAAACCCATCGGAAGTCAGAAGTCCACATCGGAAATGCACTGAATACACCTCGCCTCCATCACAGCTCAGCCTCGCCTACCTTCCGTGTGCTCAGGACACTGACCTTAGCCCACAGCTGAGCAAAATCACCTAACACAGGCCTATTTTACAAGGAAGTTAGTATAAAGAATTTTCAATCAAAATGCAAAATTTGAAGTATGGTTTTTGCTGAATACATATGGCTCTCACACCATTATAAAGTTGAAAAGTCATAAGTTGAACGATCTTAAGTGTCTAAGACTGTCTGTATATGTGTATGTGTCTGTGTGTGTGTGTCTCTCTCTATATATAGTCTTTTTTTTTAAAGGATTCCAATCCTGGCTGGGCACGGTGGCTCACACCTGTACTCCCAGCACTTTGGGAGGCTGAGGTGGGCGGATCACTTGAGGTCACGAATTCGAGACCAGCCTGGCCAACATGGTGAAATCCCATCTCTACTAAACATATATATATATGAAAAAAATTAGCCAGGTGTGGTGGCGGGTGCCTGTAATCCCAGCTACCTGGGAGGCTGAGGCAGGATAATCACTGAACCCAGGAGGCAGAGGTTGCAGTGAGTGGAGATCGCGCCACTGCATCCCAGCCTGGGCAACAGAGGGAGACTCCATCTCCAAAAAAAAAAAAAAAGGATTCCAATCTTGTTCTCCCAGAGTCTCACCCCTCTATTGATCCCTCAGGAAAATTTCAAAGTTAGACAGGTACAGGTTTAGCTCTCATCTTTAGGACCTTGGGCTGGTTAACCCTTTTCTCTGAGCCTCAGTTTCCCCATCTGTAAACTGGGTTCCTCAAAGTGCCCACTCCTTAGGGACACTGTAAAAAGTCCATGAGCCTCTCCAGGGAGGTACCTGGGCCAGAGGCGAGCATCCAGCAGGTGCTCAGTAGCCGGGAGCTACAAATGCCATCGCCCCTGCTAGGTTTAAACCTTGCCCTCCCTTCAAAGTGAGAATGTGGGCAACGCAGGCTGGGTATGCACAAGTGGTGAGTGAACTATCCTCACAAAGCCCACACTCTAGGGAACTGTCAAACCTCTTCATCTCATTTGATGAAATATATCATTATTCTTAGGGGGGAAAAGTTTCAGACTAGCACGTATAATACAATCTCCGTTTTGATTTGTATGTGAGTTTTATGTGCACGGGGGAAAAACAGGTCAAGAAAAGTTATAAATCAGCAGTTAACTGAGGTTAACAGGGCACCTGTTGGGACTCTTACTTTTTGCTCTCTGGATGTATTATTTAAATAATAAGTATGTATTTCTTGTATCGTAAAGACAGGAACAAGTATATCTTGGCATTCAAGGGTCTCCCTGGCCCCTTCTTGGGAAGGGTCTGTGCCCCAAGTTCAGTGGCCTGTCCAGGCTGAGGAAGTCATGAGTGCTGCTTAAAAGCATGGATTCTGGTACAGGCGGCCTAGGTTTGAGTCCCAGCTCTGCCCCTGGTAGGCTGGGTGACCTTGGGCAAGTCGTTTAACCTCTCTGTGCTTCCCTTCCTTTACTGATAAAATAGGGATAATGACGGTTCCTACTTTGCAGGGCTGTTGGGGAATGAGATGTGCTAACGTGTGCAGAGCTGGTGGAAGTTTGGAATACGAGTGGAGGAGGGGAACCTGCCTGTCTGCTATCAGCAGCTCCTCTGCAGAGCACAGAGAACCTCATGTCCCAGCCTCGGGGCAGCCTGGCTTGGGGGAGAGTGCAGGGCTCCTTAGATCTGGAAATGATAGCTTAGTATCTTCTGTTTCTCAGGATTTCTAGACCCATAGCGAGATCTTCAGTCACCTGACCCTTGAGATTCTCGGTGCTGAGTTGTCTAATACAGTAGCCACCAGCCGTGGGTACTCACTGAGACCCAAAATGGGCTCGTCCAAATGGAGATGTGCCTAAGGGTGAAACACACACCAGATCTCCAAGACCTTATACCCAAAAAAGAATGTAAATTTCTTATTTCTAATAATAATTTTCTATTGATTACATACTGAAATAATATGGATATATTGGGATAAGTAAAATGCATCCTAAAATTTCCCTTCCATTACTTCTTCCTTTGGCTTCTAGAAACTTTAGAATCCCATGTGTGCTCACATCATATCTCTGCTGCACTTGCCACAGCAGACCACACCCCTATGAGGACAGGGATTTTTCTCTCTTCTGTTCCCGGCAGTGTCCCCAGTCCCTAGCGCAGGGGCTGCCCATGAGTGTTAGGTGAATGAATTTGCGATTCAGATGGCTGTGCACCCATATATACCTTTGTATAAAGGTGACATTTTAAAAAATCAAGTGGCCAAGAATGCTCACTGTCATTGTTTATATATTTCCCAATCTCTTGCAAAATCTGTGTTAAAAAATGGTTCTGGTCTAAGAAAAATTCTGAACTGACATTCACCCAGATGTCCGGCATTTCCCCAAGAATATTCAGACACCTTCGTCCCAGTATTGAAAGCTCTTCCTGATGTCTTTTCTTTCCTTTGATACCCAGGTGGGCAGGGGTGAGAGAGCAGGTGCTAGTCTCTTATGTTGCCTCATTTCTGCATGGCTGCCTTTCAAAACGTCCAGGAAGTCCTCTTCTAGAGGAGGATCATTGCTAAACCAAAACCACTGTGAAGCAGAACTGACCTTCGGCCCCGTGTGCTGAGAATCCTGTTTGGGGGTTTTGGTGGTTTGTGTGATTGAAGGATTCCCTACATTTAAAGTACAGTTTGCTGTGAACTGGTCACAGTATATACAACATCTACGTCTCCCTTGGGACTGCCTGTGACCGCCCCCTCGCCAAGGGCTTACCAGCCGTCAGGGACAGAGCCACCCTCTGACTCCAGGCTGGGTTTCCACAGCCCCTATTGGGAATAAGCTCCTGGGAAATTTCCCAGCCTCTGCTTTGTGCAGAGATGGTGGCTGAGATCCCACCTAAATAAGGAAAGGACAGGGCATGGCCACACCCAGGTGTCTCTGCAGGGTTCTCTTGGGAGCCATGTCCCCAAGGAGTCCCCTCTGGACAGTAAGACTAGCCCTCTTGATGCCTCCCTGAACTGTCCCTCCACAACAGTGACCCCCTGGGCCCTGCTGCTGGCATTGTCATTTCTGCACTGTGTCCTCTCACTAGATGGCAAATCCCATGACGGCAGAGGTCTGCTGTTGTGCTCCCTGTGGGATCCTGGGTGCCAGGGACATCGTCAGCGCTCCCTAAGTGTATGATGCCTGCATGGAGTGAGCGTTGGAAGGATGGAAGCAAGGATGAAAGAATGAATTCCTGGAAGATCCCTGACCCCTCATCCTGAGAGATAAGTCATGTAGGCCATTTCTTAGGATCCAGCCACCTGACCCTATGAGAAAAGAACCATGGCATCTTTTGAAGTTGTGGCAACAGGTGCCCCTGGGTTTCATGTCATGCTTACTGTGAGCCGCTAGCCGAGGGCTGGACACACACCTCTCACATAATTCTCATGGCAACCCATTAGAGAGAGGAGCTGCCAAGGCCCAGGGAGACTGCCCAAGGTGACCCTGCTGGGGACTGGGGGAGCAGTGTCCCCAGTGCAGCGGGCGCCACATACTGTCCCGGCCATCACCCTGTTGGGGGCTCCAGTGCTCACTCCCCTTCTGAGCTGTGAGTTCTAGGGCTCAATCATCTGTGCCCTGGGTCCCAGCACAGGTGCGTGATGAATATTCAGTGAATGAGTGACTTTTTTTTTTTTTTTTTTTTTTTGAGATGGAGTCTCGCTCTGTCACCCAGGCTGGAGTACAGTGGTGGAATCTCGGCTCAGTGCAACCTCCGCCTCCTGGTTTCAAGCGATTCTCCTGCCTCAGCCTCCCGAGTAGCTGGCATTACAGGCGTGCACCACCATGCCCAGCTAATTTCTGTATTTTTAGTAGAGACGGGGCTTCACCATGTTGGTCAGGCTGGTCTCGAACTCCTGACCTCAAGTGATCTGCCCGTCTCGACCTCCCAAAGTGCTGGGATTACAGGTGTGAGCCACCACGCCTGGCTGAATGACTCTTAGTAGCAAAATAATATCAGAATCAAGGGTATAAAATCTTGAAGATGCGGTGTGTTTTTCACACTTATGCACATCTCCAAACGGGCTCAGGATAAGCCCATTTTAGGTCTCAGTGAGCACCCACCGTTGGTGGCTACTGTACTGGACAACTCAGCGCTGAGAATCTCAAGGGTTGGGTCACTGAAAATCCCTCTATGTGTCCAGAAACCCTAAGAAACAGAAACTATTGAGCTGTTATTTCCACATCTAACAGGCTCTGCACTCTCCCCCAGGCCAGGCTGGAGCAAGGGTGGGACGTGTGTGCTGACTGACTTGTGTCAGGTTTGCCAGGTTCGCGTGACTCTTAGAACGGCAGCTGTCACAGTCGAGCATGCAGCACGATGCCCCCGAGGACCTGCTCAGACGCAGGCTGCTGGGCCCCTCCCAGAGATTCCGATTCAGCAGAGCTGGGTGGGGCCGGAGGATGTGCTTTTCCAACAAGCTCTGGGTTGATCTGGACACTGTTGGCCTGGGGACCCCACCTGGAGACCTCCTGCCCTGCCACCACCCCAGGGGGCAGGTAATATTATTCCCCCCTTTATAGGTGAGGAAACTGAGGCACAGAAAAGCTGAACCCAAGCATTATCACAGATGCCAGTCCACAGGACGGAGGAGCAGAGAGTCTGAGGAGCAAGAAAAGCAAAGTCTTAACTCTGGAAATGCTGCAGAAAATCACTAAAATCTTTCTAGAGTACAGAAGGCACCAGTGACATGTGTGCTTGGGAGGGATGCCTGGAAGACACCTACAAAGACAGCGACAGTGGCGATTTGGGTGGGTGTCACAGGAAGAGAGAAAGACCGACAGCCCCCCACACCCTGGGTGATAGTGGGGCGGGTGGGAAAGCTGCTTCGGGGGCCTTCTCTCCATCCCTGCCCTCCCCAGGGGCCTACCAATGGGGCCCCCACAATGAGGTCCCTGTCCCCAGCCCACAGGGCACTGCTGTGATGTTCTCATGAATCAGCCCGACAGGGAACAAATCCCAGCTGGCTGCGCTGCTCAGGAAGACTGTTTTCTCTCAAAGAGGGTACAAAGAGCTCAATAAATTGATGTCCTGGGATTTCTTTCCAGCCCGGCCAGGAAATTCCTCCTAATCAGCTGCTTCATTTCCCTCCCATTAAATCAGTGGAATTTCCCTTCATTAAGCTTTTCCCAATCAAAGGCCGCACGTGCTGAAGGAGAAAACGTGGAAGCTGTCTACTTGGGCTCTTCAGGGCTGCCGATGGCAGAGTCACCGGGCAGGGGTCCCGGGAAGAATGGGCACGATCTGGGTACAAGTGATGCTGTGGCATCTTCACAGACAGGGCAAGCCCGCTGCACAAAGTGCCCAGGAGGCTGGCAGTGGAAGCAGGGGCCGTGTCCCAGGAGGCAGGAAGGCCTGAGCGTCCAGGGGCCCAGGGCAAGTTACAGCCTTGATTTTATTCCTTCTCTAAAGAACGTCCCTCAAATATGAAATCTTCAACATTGCCCTGTTACGAGCTCGCCTGTGGTCCCTCAAAATCCATATGTTAATGTCCTAACCCTCAAGTGCACCTCAGAATGTGACTGTATTTGCAGATCTTTAAAGAGATAATCATGGCGGCCGAGTGCGGTGGCTCACACCTGTGATCCCAGCACTTTGGGAGGCCAAGCCAGGCAGATCACCTGAGGTCAGGAGTTGGAGACCAGCCTGGCCAACAGGGCGAGATCCAATCTCTACTAAAAATACAAAAATTAGCCGGGCATGGTGGTGCATGCCTGTAATCCCAGCTACTTGGGAGGCTGAGTGCCCTTTCTGAATGACACTCAGGAAAGGCCCCACTTAGGAATTTCACTTCTAGGGACTTTGTTTGGTCTTTTTTTCTTTTTTTTGAGACAGAGTTTTGCTCTTGTTGCCCAGGCTGGAGTGCAGTGACACAATCCCGGCTCACTACAGCCTCTACCTCCCGGGTTCAAGTGATTCTCCTGCCTCACCTGACCTCAGGTGATCCACCCACCACTGCTTCCCACAGTGCTGGGATTACAGGCTTGCGTCATCACACCCGGCCCACTTCTAGGGATTTAAGGAAACAGTCACGGTGTGTGCAAGCATTCCTGGAGAAGACTACTTACTAGGGGAGGATCTGCTCCCTGGGATGGAAAGGACTCACACCAGCTACGAAGAGAAACGCGCTACAGTCATTCACAGTCACTACCAATGACTTATGGTCATAGATTTCCATAAAGGTATGGTCTCGAGTGGAAATACGGAGTAATCAACATAACCCTCATTTGCAGAGTGCTTCTTACTGCCACTTCTTTTTTTTTTTGAGATGGAGTCTCACTCTGTCGCCCAGGCTGGAGTGCGGTGGCGCGATCTCAGCTCACTGCAAGCTCCGCCTCCCGGGTTCACGCCATTCTCCTGCCTCAGCCTCCCGGGTAGCTGGGACTACAGGCGTGTGCCACCACGCCTGGCTAATTTTTTGTATTTTTAGTAGAGACGGGGGTTTCATCATGTTAGCCAGGATGGTCTCGATCTCCTGACCTCATGATCTGCCTGCCTCGGCCTCCCAAAGTGCTGGGATTACAGGCGTGAGCCACCACGCCCAGCCACTGCCACTTCTTACTGGCAATAGGTAGGCACCATTTCCGTTCACCTCCCAACAGCCCTGTGGGGCAGGGTTTATGATTATCCCTATTTCACAGATGAGAAAACTGAGGCTCAAGGAAATCAGGTGGCTTACTCGGGGTCACAAAGCTGGTAAGAAACAGGGCCCAGGTCTGTTGGACTCCAGGCTCCCTAATCTTATTTAACTCTATGTAACTATATTACGATGTAGCTTTATATGACTAGTATGTAACTATCATTTGATCCCATTTTTTTGTGGGAAAAAAATGCACACACACACACACACACACACACACACACACACACAAAGAAAAACAACCGGAAGGACGCACGCCAAGAAATCTAACAGTAAATTCTCCCAGCTGATGAGTTATGGATGACTGTTTATCTTCGGGCTTATCTGATGTTCCTACAGATTATAAATTTTCTACAAAAACGTCCATTGGTAATAGGAAAAAAAGTTCTTTTTTTTTTCTTAATCCCAAATGTGATAGTAGGGAAAAGCATTCCCTAGTTTCAAAAACAAAAGAAAGAGAAAAGCAAAGAAGTCTCTTACCTGGGAGTCCTGGTAAGAATTCGTGCAAGTCTACCCGAGTTTTATTTTAAAGGGTAATGACTCTGGGCCTCTTCCCAGGCCCCCTGAGGGACCATTAGCAGCCGGGATTGGGTGTCAAGGGTTGGAGAACACCACCCTACCTTTCAGACTGAACTCCATTCCTGAGCGAGCCCACGTAGGTCTTCTTTTTATCCACGGGCATCACGTCCACGTCACCCCCACTCTCGTTGCTGATGACTCCCGCGTGCACGGCTGTCTTGCAGATGCTTGAGGTCTGGAAGCACAGGAAGGGCTGTGATCAGCGATGCGGATTCCAGCTCATGGGTCAAGCCAGCTGGGGCTCCATCATTCACTGCTGGGCAACCTGGCTGGTGGGATGTGGACCCCATCAACCCTTAGGAAATAATCATCACTACCTTGATGCCTTGGGGGTCTCTCCAGAGAGACTGGACATCATGCATTCATTCATTTGTTCAACAAGTGTTTTCTAAGCACCTATTATATGCCAGGCACGGAATTAGGAACTGGGGGAATTCAGCAGGGAACAAGATAAAGACCTTGCCTTCAAAGAGTCGAGTGAGCAAATAAATAAATACACAAATGAGGTAGCATCGGCTATGAAGAAAACAAAACCAGTTCACAAGGTTAAATGCCTGGGTGGCGGGGGCTACTTCAGAATTGTTTCATCAGGGGGAACTGCTCAGGGAAGACAGAACGACATAAAGGAAACAGTCACAGCCGTGGGAATGTCTCTGCACAGAGCATCCCAGGCAGAGGGAAAGGCTCGTGCAAATGCCCTGGGGTGGATATAAACTCATCATATCCAAGAAACAGACAGACAGCCAGGGTGGCTGGAATACAGTGAGTCAGGCAGAGCGTGGCAGGAGGTGTGGGCAGGGGCCATTCATGCCATGTAGACTGGACACAGGGTGGCGTCTGGACTATTCTAGGTACCAAGGGAGCAGCTGGGTACCTCGCAGAGGCAGGATGTGCTGGTTTCTGACATCATCAAGGAGTTCAGTTTCTGGGTGATAAAACCTTCCAGGCTCAAGGGATCCTCCCACCTCAGCCTCCCAAGTAGCTGGGACTACAGTTGTGTACCACAACACCTGGCTAATTTTTAAAAATTATTTGTAGGGACAAGGTCTCGCTGTGTTGCTCACGCTGGTCCTGAACTCCTGGGCTCAAGCAATCCTCCCGCCTTGGCCTCTCAAAGTGCTGGGATGACAGGCATGAGCCACTGCACTCGGCCCAATTGTTGGTTTTGAAGATGGAAGAAGAGGCCATGAGCCAATGAATGCAGGTGGCCTCTAGAAGCCGGAAAAGGCAAGAAAACGGATTCTCCTCTGAAGCCTCTAGAAGGAAGCAGCCCTGCTGCCACCTTGATTTTAGCCTGGTGACACCCACATTGGACTTCTGGCTTCCAGAACTGTAAAGATAATAAACCTGGGTTTCTTTAAGCCACCACGTCTGTGGTGATTTATTCTAACAGTAATAGGAACCTAACAGCTTCTAACCACTGTCCACAAAAATGTCCCCCACTGTGGGTGGATCTAGCGATCTGATTTATTAAGTCCCTTAAGTCTGATGACTTCAATTTATTTATTTATTTATCTATCTATTTTTTGAGACGGAGTTTCGCTCTTATTGCTCAGGCTGGAGTGCAATGGCGCAATCTCAGCTTATCGCAACCTCTGTCTCCTGGGTTCAAGTGGTTCTTCTGCCTCAGCCTCTTGAGTAGCTGGGATTACAGGCACGCACCACCACGTCTGGCTAATTTTGTATTTTTAGTAGAGACACGGTTTCTCCATATTGGTCAGGCTGGTGTCGAACTCCTGACCTCAGGTGATCCACACGCCTCGGCCTCCCAAAGTGCTGGGACTACAGGCGTGAGCCGCCGCGCCCGGCCTGACTTCAAATTTATAGGAAATAGAATCCCCAGGAGAATGACACCATAAGTGTCTGGACAACAGGCTCACCCAGGCTCACGGACTCGCCTGATCAGTCCCCGGCAGCAGCTTGCTAATTTAAGGAAAGATGAAAAGCTGGACCCGTTGTCTACAGGGCACGAAGACGGACTCCGGTCTTGCCTCCATTCACAACCGAGTGATGTCACGGCCGTGGCTGTCAGTGGACTGAGCCCCCAGGCACTTTGTGGTTCAAGGGTGGGGAGGGTGAACGGGGCAGACTCCCCATATTCTGTCCTCCCTGCACGTGTAGTGTAGAGACAGAGGCCACCACCAGCAGGTCTGAGCTTAAAAGCTTAACCCCCACCAATGGGTCACTCAGCAGGAGGGCGGGGCTGGGCTATGTCACCTCTGAAACGCTCCCCTCTGCACAATACCCGAGCCCCAGGGGTCATCGGGGAGAAGATGAAGTCCCAGCCACTGGTTCACCAAGCTGGTGCCTCCTTCAAGAAGAGAGCAAGACATGGTGGAGAAGATGAAGCTGGGATGATTTCATTTATAGGAGGCATCCAAAGAAGTCAAATTCCTGGAGACAGGAAGTACAGGGGCTGGCGGAGGGGAAGCGGGAAGTTGCAGTTCAGTGGGTACAGGGTTTCAGATTTGCAAGACAAAAGAGTTCTGGAGGTCGAACCCATTACAACGTGAATATGCTTAATGCTAATAAGCTGTGCACTTAACAATGGTTAAGAGGGTAAGTTTAATGTTATGTATTTTTTTGTCGGGGGACAGGATCTCACTTTGTCACCCAGGCTGAAGTGCGGTGATACCATCTGGGCTCATCAGAGCTTTGACCTTCCGGGCTCCTCCCACCTCAGCTTCTCAAGTAGCTGGGATCGCAGGCATGCGCCACCACGCCTGACTAATTTTTCCATTTTCTTTAGAGATGGGGTTTCACCATGTTGCTCAGGCTGGTCTCAAACTCCTGGCCTCAAACGATCCTCCCACCTTGGCCTCCCAAAACCTCAGGATTACAGGTGTGAGCCATTGCCTGGCTTATGGTGAATTTTTTTTTTACTACAACAGAGAGGGGAGTGGGGAGCTACACCCAAGCTCAGGGAGCCATTGCAGAAGTAATCAGTGCCCCCTCGAGAGAGGCCAGCCCACCACCATCCCTGGCACAGTCTCATAGCTCCTTTGTCCCGTCCTTACCACTGTCCTCGGCCCATCCGGGGGCCCCGGAAGCATTGCTAAAGCCAAAGAGAGCCTGTGTCTCAGGATCCACTGTAAAAGCACAGTTTGTCTGGAAAATGCACCCTGAGCTGCCCTTTAAATGGGACAAGCAATACAATCTAGCAGGTTCCAGGCATGAGGGAATGAAGAGAGGCGGGCTCTTTGAAAATACCAATTTGGCCGGCGCGGTGGCTTACACCTGTAATCCCAGGACTTTGGGAGGCCGAGGTGGGCAGATCACCTGAGGACAGGAGTTTGAGATCAGCCTGACCAACATGGTGAAACCCCATCTCTACTAAAAATAGAAAATTAGCTGGGCATGGATCAAGATGAGCCTGGGCAACATAGCGAGATCTGGTCTCTACAAAAAATTTAAAAACGTTAGTCAGATGTTGTGGCACATGCCTGTAGTTCCAGCTACACGGGTGGCTGAGGTGGGAGGATCGCTTGAGCCCAGGAGGTTGAGGTCACAGTGGGCTGTGATGGCACCACTGCACTCCAGCCTGTGTGACAGAGCTCCAGATCCCATCTCAAAAAAAAAAAAAAAAAAAAAAGAAGGGATCCAACATTCCCACATTAACAATCATAAGCCTATTCAGAAAAATAAAAAACAAAAGAGAAAAGTGGAGCCAAAACACACATTCATATCAAAGACCTGAAAAGTGGATTTCCTGCTTTCCAGGATTCATTTACCGAGTAACTGAAGGCCACTTTCTAAAAACTCTGTGCTAACATGTCTTCATCTTCTTCAATAAATAAACTAAACGGATGAGGGCGGGGTTCCTTAGCCCAAAGCGGGGTCCCGGGTATCTGGGAGGCCCTGGAGTTGCAGGCAGAAGGCCGTGGACCTGCAGGGGCTGATGTCAGCACAGGACACAGGAATCCCCTCAGCCCTAGGCAAACCGGGGATGGCCGGCCTCCCTGTCTGAACCAGGACGCATTTTCCCCCTTTGGAGGAAAGATCCACAACTTCTCAATTCTCAAAGAGCTTTGTGCCCTGCTAAAGACTAAGGAGCAATAACTTTGCATCCATCTCAAAGAGAAGCGAGGAGACTTTAAGATGAAGCGACCATTTCAGAATTCCTCTAAAATCGCCGTGAGCGGGGGCGAGTTTGGTAAGCGAACACAATTAAGCTCATTGTTCTTTCCGGCAGGCGGAAGCCTTGGTGCTTGGATACGTTCTCACACTTGTGCTTGTTTCAGAATCCACCCCCGCCCCTACCCGAGGGCTGGAGCAGATTTTTGGGTCCCACTGTCAGCGTTCAGGATCAATGGTTGATTGGAGCCAGAGAATCTGCATTTCCAACAACAACAACAAGATGAAATAAGACCTCCAGGCTTTCTGTCTCTCTCAGCATTGCTCGCACTGCCAACTGCTGCAGTACCAGGAGCAAGGCCCAGGCTGTTTCCCAGTGGAACGCCAGGAGGGACCCATCCCTTCGGTGTCACAAACTCAACCTCTAAAAGCCCTGGCGGGGGAGGGGCACCCTCCTGGTTGAGAGCTGCCAAGAGGTTCTGGTTGGCAGCCCCAGAGGCGGTGCTTTGACTCAGTCCCTGGAGGATTTCTGGACACAAAAGTGACACAAAAGTTTTCTGTGATAACATCAAGCTGCAGGGCGTCAGTACGAAAAGCTCACACCCATGGCCGGATCTTTCTCACTCCACAGGCCCGGTACCGCCCCGTTATCAATATGCACATCTCCCACGCAAACACCTTTCCTCCTTTCTTCCTTCCTCCACACCTCTCCTCTCACAGGCTTCAGTAAAAGGGACAAGGCATCCAATTCCTCTCCTCAGGGCCCACTGCAACAGGAATACCTGAGTATTTACTAACAATTGACATCCATGAAGCTGGTAACCAATCCTGCATCCAGCGCCGGCTGGCTGTGTGACTTGGGATGACCTGTGTGAACCCCAGAGCCCCGCCTTTCTCCATATAAAGCAGGGATGGTCACAGGTCATATCTTTACATGTCTTTGTTCTATGCATTTCACGTGCATTGACACAGTGATCCCAGTAACTCTGCCGGGTAGGTGTTGTCATTATCAATCGCTTTGAACACTCAGGTGACTGAGGGGCAGGGGGGCTCACACCTTGCCCCAAATCACTCAGCTGATAAAGATCAGAGGCGGGACTGCCACCCGGAGCCAGCAATCTGTCCACTGTCCCACCTAGGGTGATGACAGTGAGGAAGAAGAGGGTTACTGTGAAGATTAAAGAAGGGCTGTGTGTGGTGGCTCACGCCTGTAATCCCAGCACTTTGGGAGGCAGAGGCAGGCAGATCACTTGAGGTCAGGAGTTCGAGACCAACCTGGCCAACATGGAGAAACCCTGTCTCTACTAAAAATACAAAGATTAGCTGGGTGTGGGTGGCGGGCACCTGTAATCCCAGCTACTCGGGAGGCTGGGACAGGAGAATTGCTTGAACTCAGGAGGCGGAGGTTGCAGTGAGCCGAGGTCACGCCACTGCACTTCAGCCTGGGTGACAGAGTAAGACTCCGTCTCAAAAAAAAAAAAAAAAAAATTAAATAAGACCCCAGGCTTAACGCAGGATGGCACACAGCACATGCTCAGTAGGCGTCAGTCAAGACAAATGCCACCTCCATGATTGTCATAGTCACCACCACAATAGAAAATTCCCAAGGGATTGTCATCGCTAGCCCAGTGGTCCTCAACATGCAGTTCCAGACCAGCAGGTTCACCTGGGAACTTGTTGGAATGCAGATTCTCTGGATCCACCCAGCCCCACTGATCCTGAATGCTGAGGGTGAGGCCTAGAAATCTGTTCCAGCCCTCAGGCAGGCGCGGGGGTGGATTCTGATATGTGCACAAGTGTGAGAACGTATCCAAGCACCAAGTGGGATGGGGAGGACAGAAGACTGAGGTTCAGAGGAGGGGAAAGGTTGCCTGGCTTCCCACAACTGGCAAATGTCACCGCCGTGGCTCAGCTCCCTGGGCCACACCCCGATGCTTCTGTCTGCAGCTCACCACACAGCGAGGGGTCTGCCAGGAAATGCAGTCCTGGTGAACAGGCGGGAGCCGCAGGCAGGAACAGGCCCTTTGAAGGTCTGGAGGCAACTCTCCCAAAATCAATCTCTTAGCTAAATAGACATTTTCCAAAAGCCATCATCATTTCCCAGAATACAGTGACCTAGAAACTGAGGCCAGAAAAGAACCTCTCACACGGAGGTGGCTTTCTTCCTTCCCTCCTTCCCTCTTCCCTCCTTCATTCTTTATTTTTTTTGAAGAGCTACTTAAGTACTGAGTACTGCAGTATCTTCATTTATTTATTCCTCCAACAAACAATGATTGTCTGTCAAGCCCTGTCATGAGCACAGTGGTCCCAAAAGCTCAAAATCCTAGTGAAACTTGTTAATGAAGACTGCACATAGCTTTTTCCCCTCACGCCTGTTCATATCAGTGTAGCTATGAATGCAGGTAACATCAAGCAAGGCAGCATACACCAGGGAAAGAGCAGAGTCGAAAGCCGGACACATGTTCACCTGTTTGTCACCTTTGCCACGTGCTCACTGTGTGGATTTGGACAGGTTACTATGAGCCTTGTTTTCTTCCTACAGGAATAAGGATAACGATACCTAGAGACGGTGTTTTTAAAGAAAGGACCTAAAACATAGTATGTGTTGAATAAAAGGTAGCCTTCTGGCTGGGTGCAGAGGCTCATGTTGGTAATCCCAACACTTTGGGAAGCCAAGGTGGGTGGATCACCTGAGGTCAGGGGTTCGAGACCAGCCTGGCCAACATGGTGAAACCCCGTCTCTACTAAAAATACAAAAATTAGCTGGGTGTGGTGACGGGTGCCTGTAATCCCAGCCACTCGGGAGGCTGAGGCAGGAGAATCTCTTGAACCTGGGAGGTTGCAGTGAGCCGAGATCGTGCAATTGCACTCCAGCCTGGGCAACAGGAGTGAAACTCTTGTCTCAAAAAAAGAAAAAAAAGTAGCCTTCTATTGTTGCAAATATCCATTAAGTTCTTGCTTTTTTTTTTTTTTTTTTTTTTTTGCTTTATTGGTTTAGCTGCTATATTGTTTGGTGTGTACAGTTTTTATTCCTTTTCCTGTAAATTGTATCTTCTGTGCCATTGTGTAACATTACTTTGTCTCATTCAGTACATTTAACTTTAAATTCCACTTTTTCAGAGAGGAATATTGCCACTCTTGCTTTTCATGTGTTTGTTTGTATTTGGCTGGGATTGCTTTGCCCAGCTCTTTATTTTTAAATCATTTGAAAACCTCAGCCTCTGTCTCTTAATGGTAGAATTTGGTTCAAACATTTGGTGTAATAATCGACAATATTATTTTACTCCTTCATAAAAATTCTAACTCTTATAACTCAATTTTAGCTGAATCACTTTCAAGAAGAAAAAAAGACCCATTTAAAGAGGAAAGAAAAAAGATGGGGGGAGATAAGCTTAGTCATGAAGCCTGCTCTGACCTTACAGAGCCCAGTGACCTCATATTTACAGGAATCTGGAACACATTAAGGCAGACAGAGGCAAAGATGATGGCGGGGAAGCGGGAGAGAGCTGTAAAGGAGGGGATGATGACAAGCAGCTGAGTAAAGCTCTATCTGGAGGCCGGGTGCAGTGGCTCACCCCTATAATCCCAGCACTTTGGGAGGCCAAGGAGGGAGGATCGCTCGAGCCCAGGAGTTCGAGATCAGCCTGGGCAACATAGTGAGACCTTGCCTCTATTCAGAAAATAAAAAAATAAAAAACATTAGCTAGAGATGAATGATGCTGCCCTAATCACAGAATTTTAGATCTAGAAGATTCCCTGGATTTGATAATCCCGGTTCTGGGCCGTTCCGCCACAAGGAAACAGCTTGACAAGATCACACAGCCTGCTGGCAGCAGAAGTGGGACCACAGTCACATTGTCTGGGTCACCATGTCCCCAAACCCTGGACAACCAGAGGGAACAGACAATGTTCTGCAGGATCCACCTAAGAAAAACCGGGCTAAAGCTCCCTGGTTAAAATTCGGAGGGAAAAAACAGAGGAAGAGATTGGTATAACCAGAGTGGCTATCAACAAGCAGTAAATTAGGGTGGTCTGTATTATCTTCTTTGTGCTTTTAGCTAAGTGTGTGCATAACTGAGAAGAAATACAGTGCGTGGACCAGTTTCTATAAATGCATCCGGAGAGCTGGGAAGATGACTAAATAGCCGGAAAAATGAACTATCTGAAGCATGAGAGCCTTCAAACTGCGAAAACATTTAAGTAAGGCCAGGCACTCCTGAATCTGCATTTGTGAGGACAGGTAGGTAGAAGCACTACTATCTCTAGAAATGGGGAAATGGGGAAAATGTTTGCAGAAATGAGTGGTCTAAACTTAGCTAAGAGGTTGGCCGGGTGTGGGGACTCACACCTGGAATCCCAGCACTTTGGGAGGCAGAGGTGGGCGGATCATCTGAGGTTGGGAGTTCGAAACCAGCCTGGCCAACATGGTGAAACCCTGTCTCTACTGAAAATACAAAAATTAGCCAGGCATGGTGGTGCACTGTGTAACCCCAGCTACTTGGCAGGTTGAGGTACAAGAATCGTTTGAACCTGGGAGGCAGAGGTTACAGTGGGCCAAGATTACTCCACTGTACTCCAGCCTGGGCAACAGAGTAAGACTCCATCTCGAAATTAATTAATTAATTAATTAATTAATTTAGCTAAGAGGCACTGGAATAAAGTTTCAAGTATCCAGATCTTGGAGCTTGCATGTTGAGGTCTTTAACAGGCTTTGCGAGATAGTTGTTGAAAATGCATCCTACTCACATCTGCATAGATGTTGGTTCCAAACACCGGAGCCCAGTAGGAAGGTTCGTCTTTGCAGTGTGCCGGACAATGGATTCTGAAAAACAGGAAGCATTTATGTGATGGGTCTGAGCACAGAAAACCAAACTTCTTAAGCTGGCTCTCTTTATTTGAATTCCAAGATTTAAGTTCGTAGATGAAAGGAAACCGCCATACAGTTTTCCTCATTAAGAAAAAAAACAATACTTCTCCCCCCTCAGCAGAGGTAAAGATATTACTATTTTTGCTTCTCTTAAACAGTGTAGATAGAATTTTTAAAAACACACACACATCCACAAAAGACATGCACAAACAAAAAGGTAAAGAGAATAAAAATCTAAGAGAGAAGAGTGTGGAATTGTGAGGCTGCCCCTCCCATTCTTGGATGTTGGCTAGTTCACACTGTGGGTACATTATGGAGATTAGCATCAAGAGACTTTTTCTAAGGCCGCTTCCCTGTGTGGAGGAGGAAAGGGTGGAGGGCCCTCACCTCGCTGAGTCACAGAATATTCCAAGGCGGGGGCACTGATAACCTGGGGTGGAAGGGGTTAGATCACTGTGTGTCAGTCACCACAGATCCTCCAGGGCATGAGGAAAGCACCTCAAACTGGAAATGGGTGACCCCTGGGTGGTTTGACAAACTCAAGCCAGGAAAGAGCACGGGCTTTACTTAAGAAAAGATCTTCTGTGTTTATCTGGAACAGTCCACCGTGGGCTGGAGCCCAGGGACCAAGAAACCAAAATGGCAGCCGGAAGCCATCTGGCCCCAGGCAGGCAGGATTATGGGAAGGAAGAAGGCCAGGCAAAGGGACTGAGAAGTTGAAACAGTTCTTAGGGGCTGGGAGGAAGGGAAATGAGTGGGTAGAGAGAAAGGGTGTGTGTGTGGATTTAAAAAAAAAAAAGAAGGCCAGGTGCAGTGGCTCACACCTGTGATCCCAGCACTTTGGGAGGCCGAGGTGGGTGGATCACCTGAGGTCGGGAGTTCGAGACCAGCCTGGCCAACATGGTGAAACCCCATCTCTACTAAAAATACAAAATTAGCCAGGCGTGGTGGTGCAGGCCCGTAATCCCAGCTACGCGGGACGCTGAGGCAGGAGAATGGCTTGAATCTGGGAGGCAGAGGTTGCAGTGAGCAGAGATTGTACCACCGCACTCCAACCTGGGCAACAAGAGCGAAGCTCAGTCTCAAAAAAAAAAAAAAAAAAGAATTGGAAAGAGTCTAAGAACAGTCTCCATTCTTTCCTACTTCTTTTGGAATGGCAGATCAGAAATTAACATTTTGCATATTGCACTGTGTCAAGTTTTTCTGTTTGTATTTTCTGAAATTCTTTCCTTCTGCTTCTCTCTAATATTCAGGGAAAATCTACTAAAAGGCTGTTATCCCCACTCGAACATTCAAGGGGGATCAAGACGGTGGTGCGGAGGCAGTGGAGGCCCAGAGAAAGCCTGAAGTGGGGTGGCAGTCAAGGGAAAGCAGTCTGGGCCCCTCCCAACCAGTCACCCTCCTGGGCCTTTCCCTGCTCGGAACCTTGGGGTCACCACCTATTGTCCCTTGGAGAATCCACAGGTCTCCAGCCCAGGATGAGGGCTCATGAGGGCCACACCACCCAGCCTCCAGGGCAGCTGTCTTCATCCTCAAAGCATTTCAACCCAGGGTCCTGGGACTGTCATTCTATTTCTAATTCTACAATGGAGCTAAGTCAGAAAGCGTGCTCTGTTTGAAGGGCAGCTTAGCATTACAGATGTATTATATGATCTGAACCCTGGGGAACATCTATAAAGTGGGGACGTCCCAGAGACCTGCGGCCTTTTCCACCT
Organism: Homo sapiens; assembly: GCF_000001405.40. NCBI lineage: Eukaryota > Metazoa > Chordata > Mammalia > Primates > Hominidae > Homo > Homo sapiens. The sequence goes on along the minus strand of NC_000016.10, from coordinate 84,878,748 downwards.
GAGAAGGTGCCTCAGCCGATTCAAATAAGAGGATGTTCCTGTGTTCCCTTCCCAAGAGGATCTACCAGGAACTTCAGCGACAGCTGTTCCCAGGACACCCTTTATTTTATGCTGGGAGGCATCGTCCTCCGTGGACCACTCATTTGGGGTTAGCTGCCTGTAGAACCGATTCCTGGGACAAACCCGTTGTCACGTATCCACAGAATGGAATGCTGCATGAGGATTTGAAAGAATAAACAAACACGCTCCACAACACGGCTGAGTCTCCAACACATGACGCAGAGTGAGAAGCCAGACACCCAAGACCACACCCTGCCACGGCGCCATAATTTTGCTGAAAAAGCAAAATCAGAGCAACAGAAAGAAGCTCCCTGGTGCAGGGGTGTGGCCGGGAGCTGGAGGGAGAGGGACTGGCCACCAGAGCAGTAATGACATTCGGTGCTGACAATGTCTACACTTTGACGGGTGGTGGTTGTGACCCTGTATACCTTGGCCAAAACACATTGTGTACTTTTTTCTTTTTTTGAGACGGAGTCTCGCTCTGTCACCCAGGCTGGAGTGCAGTGGTGCGATCTCGGCTCACTGCAAGCTCCACCTCCTGGGTTCACGCCATTCTCCCGCCTCAGACTCCCGAGTAGCTGGGAATACAGGCGCCCGCCACCACGCCCGGCTAATTTTTTTTTTTTTTTTTTTTGTATTTTTAGTAGAGACGGGGTTTCACCGTGTTAGCCAGGATGGTCTCGATCTCCTGACCTCGTGATCCGCCTGCCTCGGCCTCCCAAAGTGCTGGGATTACAGGCGTGAGCCACCGTGCCCGGCCACACATCGTTTACTTCTAATGGGTGGATCGTATCATTTACCTCAATAAAGCTGATTTTTAATTTGTATTTTATTTATTTTGGGACACAGTTTCACTCGTCACCCAGGCTGGAGGACAATGGCGTGATCTCAGCTCACTGCAACCTCCGCCTCCCAGGTTCAAGCAATTCTCCTGCCTCAGCTTCCCAAGTAGCTGGAATTACAGGCACCCACCGCCATGGCTGACTAATTTTTGTAATTTTAGTAGAAATGGGGTTTCACCATGTTGGCCAGGCTGGTCACGAACTCCTGGCCTCAAGTGATCCACCCGCCTCGGCCTCCCAAAGTGCTGGGATTACAGCTGTGAGCCACCTCACCCAGCCTAAAAAGCTACTTCTAACATCTTCCATAGAAAAGATGACAGATCAGGCCCGCCTTACCTTGGGCAGTGAGTTGCTGGCTTTTCAAACGGGCACAGCTGAGCAACGGTCGTGTAGCAGTCCAAATCCTGCACTGTGAACAGGAGCAAGGGGGAAAGGGTCAGGTCCCAGCACGCCTGGGCCTCAGGCTACCAGGCTGTGCAATGGGCCACTAGACTACCAGGGCCTATGGGTTCCCTGGGCCCTTGAATAGAGCTGGGACTACGACCCAGCAGGCTCCTCGTACCCCACGTAGGGGCACTTAAGAGATGAGACCAAACCCACGGCCTGCATGTGTTGGCGGGTTGAGGGCGTTGTCACCCCCAGTGGTTTCTCTGTGGGGCTGATGGTGCTTTTCATCTGAATGGTGACTTTCTTATTTGGAAGCTTTTCCTGACTTGATCACCTTTGCTCCTCACAGCAGGTGTTACTCTAAGTAGGCAGATGAGGAAATGGAAGCTCAGAGAGCTCAGAGTGCCCTTCCCAGGACTGAGGTGGGAGCCCAGCTTTCCAGTGCCTGCTCTAGAGCTCCTTCTGACATACCACCTACCTCCTGCCGCTAATCAAGGCACATTCATCCCTGCTGAGGGGCGAGGGGCTTTTATCTTCAAGGTCATTTTGTTGTGTTTAAACAACACAGGTAAGGAAACAGTTCTAATACTGGCCACCTGTGATCTCTGACAGCATGTCTTTATTTAGTTCAGGGCTAAGTAAACTTTTTCTTTTTCTTTTTTTCTTTGAGACAGAGTTTTGCTCTTTTTGCCCAGGCTGGAGTGAAACGGCACGATCTTGGCTCACTGCAACCTCCACCCCTGAGTTCAACTGATTCTCCTGCCTTAGCCTCCCGAGTAGCTGGGATTAGAGGCGCCTGCCACCACAGCCAGCTAATTTTTGTATTTTCAGTAGAGACAGGGTTTCACCATGTTGGCCAGGCTTGTCTCGAACTCCTGACCTCAGGTAATCCACCTGCCTCAGCCTCCCAAAGTGCTAAGATTACAGGTGGAAACCACTGCACCGGCCTTTTTTTTTTGAGACGGAGTCTCACTCTGTCGCCCAGGCTGGAGTGCCATGGCATGATCTTGGCTCACTGCAACCTTCACCTCCTGGGTTCAGGCAATTCTCCTGCCTCAACCTCCCAAGTAGCTGAGATTACAGGTGCCTGCCACCACACCTGGATAATTTTTGTATTTTTAGTAGAGACGGGGTTTCACCATGTTGGCCAGGCTGGTCTCAAACTCCTGACCTCAGGTGACCCATCTGCCTGGACGTCTCAAAGTGCTGGGATTATAGGCGTGAGCCACCGCGCCCGGCCAGGTAAACTTTTTCTTAAAGGACCATAGAGCAAACATGTTTGGCTTTGTGGTCCTTATGTTTGATGTCAAGATTAATCAACTCTGCTGTTGTAGCAGAGAGGAGCTATAGATGATGTGGAATAGGTGTAACTGTGTTCCAATAAAACTTTATTTACAAAAGCAGGCAATAGGCAGGATTTAACCCATGAGTCATCGTTTGCTGAACCCTGCTGGTCCAGTCTGTCACTTGAACAGGCCATGGTTCTATATAGCTATCCAACAAAGGGGACTGGTTTAGTACATCAAGGGACTTCTATTCAATGGGGAGATCATTCACATTAGGTTTGGAAGAACATTTAAAGCAAGGGTGTCCAGGCCGGGTGCAATGGCTCACGCATGTAATCCTAGCACTTGGGGAGGCCCAGGCGGGTGGATCACCTGAGGTCAGGAGTTCAAGACCAGCCTGGCCAACGTGGCGAAACCCCGTCTCTACTTAAAAAAAAAAAAAAAAAAAAATTAGCTGGACATGGTGGCGGGTGCCTGTAATCCCAGCTACTCAGGAGGCTAAGGCAGGAGAATCACTTGAACCCATGAGGAGGAGGTTGCAGTGAGCTGAAATTGCGCCACTGCACTCCAGGCTGGGCGACAGAGAGAGACTCCATCTCAAAAAATAACAAAATAAAAAATAAAATAAAAAAAGCAAGGGTGTCTAATCTTTTGGCTTCCCTAGGCCACACTGGAAAAAGAATTGTCTTGGGCTACAGATAAAATATACTAACACTAATGATAGCTGATGAGCTACAAAAAAAAAAAAAAAAAAAAAAAGTCCATGCATAAATCTCATGTTTCTCATGTTTACAAATTTGTGTTGGGCACATTCAGAGTCGTCCTGGGCTACATGCAGCCCATGGGCTGTGGGTTGGACAAGCTTGATTTAAAGGCACAGAAATATATTCCTGACACACACACACACACACACACATATGTATATATTTTTTTGAGACAGGGTCTTGCTCTGTCACCCAGGCTGGAGTGTAGTGGCATGAACATGACTCATTGCAGCCTCAAGTTTCCAGGCTCAAGCAACCCTCCCATCTCAGACTCCGAAGTAGCTGAGATACAGGTGTGTGCCACCCTGCCCAGCTAATTTTGTGTGTTTTTTGCAGAGACAGGGTCTTGCTGTGTTGCCAGGGCTGGTCTCAAACTCCTGGGCTCAAGCAATCCTCCCGCCTCAGTCTCCCAAAGTGCTGAGATTACAGGTGTCAGCTGCTGCATCAGCCAGACACATAATTATTTAAGAAAAAAATTAGGTTACCAAATTGTATGTAACTCCATTTCAAGTTTTAAAAGTCATCGATGTATATATTACCAATGTACATACTTTGAATATGTAGAGAAAACAAACTGGAATATTTGCCAAAGTGTTCACGATGGTTATCTCTGGCTGCTGGAATTTAGGTCATCACTACAAAAAAATGTTCCACTCCGTGTTTAAATTATCTGGAATAAACAGGCATTCTTTTTGCAATAAGAAAAAAAACTACTACATATTTTAATAAAGATATCTAACTAGAACTTTTGCATGAGGGCAAATGATAAGAGTTGCTGTCCCAAAACAAAGGCATGGTCTGCCGGCAGAGCTCCGGGGAGGAAGCTGGAATGGCTCCTACATCCTTGCTTGCCTGAGATTATTCTAGTCAAGGGCACAGTGTGGGCAGCTATGATCCATCCCTTCACTTCTGGTTGGAGTGTGCTCGCCCATCGTGCATCCCACCTTCCAAATGAACATACACTAAGCAATGTAAAAAGCTGGGCCAGAGATGGCAAGTAAGTGCCACACACTTCCCTTCACTTCCCTCTCTTGCTCATGGCAGACATTACTAATCTATCAAGCTCTGTTTTCCACTAAGCCCAGATGGAGGCCTCAGAATCCTTCTTAACACAACACTCCAGGTAGCCATTACCAATCGACAGAAAGTGGCACTCCCAGTGAAACCTCTCAGCCACTTTAGCCCCAGGCATCAGTATGTCTGTGACATTCAGCTGGCAACCTCAGCCCTGTGTTTCTGGTTCAGTGATCTCAGGCCAATTTCCAGTCCAGATATTCTTAGAAGCTGGTTAAAGAGATGACGTCTTGAAAAAGGCTTGACAATGATGAGAACCATAATGTTCACACGCATGATAAACATTAAATCAGCGACTAAAGGAAGTGAAATTTCCAGGAAAATCTGAGATAACCCAGGTATTATGGTCGCAAAAGAGACTGGCTAGCTTACCTTTCACTTTTGACACCATGAATGAGCTGGAAGGTTTGTATTTGCTGTTTAAAAAAAAAAAAAAAAAAAACGGGCATTAGGTAAATGCAAATAGAATTGCTTCTAAAAGTGAACGCTTGCTCCTATACTTATCTTATTTGCAGTCTCGACTTCACACTTTTCTACTTGTTTCCTATCAGCCTGAGAGCTCTTAGAATGTTCTAGACCAGGGCATCTTAACTTTTTTTGTACCAAGGACTCTTCTGGTAGCCTGGTGAGGCCTATAGATCCCTTCTAAGAATAATGGTTTTCAAATGTATAAGATAAATTTAATCTAACCACAGCTGCAAAATAAAGAAATTTTAAGAAGATAAATTTAAAACATTACAAAGAAGTTATTATTAATATCATGATCAAATTATAAAAACACATTTGCATTAGAGTTAGAGCTGTGGGTTTTTTTTTTGTTTTTTTTTTTGTTGTTGTTGTTTTCTTTTTTTTTTTTTTGAGACGGAGTTTTGCTGTGTTGGCCAGGCTGGAGTGCAGTGACACTATCTTAGCTCACTGCAACCTCTGCCTCGGCCTCAAGCGGTTCTTCTGCCGTAGCCTCCTGAGAGTAGCTGGGATTACAGGTGCCTGCCACCACGCCTGGCTAACTTTTGTATTTTTAGTAGAGACGGACTTTCACCATGTTGGTCAGGCTGGTCTTGAACTCCTGACCTCAGGTGATCCACCTGCCTCTGCCTCCCAAAGTGCAGGTGTGAGCCACCACGCCCGGCCTGTGTGGTATTTTTCAAAATTTCAACAACACCGTCATAAACAGGAAAACCGTTTCACAGAGCCCCGATCACAGAGTAGTTACCTGAGGGACTGCACGCCGTGTCTCTCAGACTTCACGAAGAAGGGGACCTTCCCGTTCCTGGTGATATCCACCAGGCCTCCCTTGTCATCCAGGATCCCGTAGTGGATGGCGGCGCGGCATATGCTAGACGACTGGCGGGAAGGGAAGAGAAGACCAGAGGCACATTCTCAACCTCTGTCAGCAAGTTTCACCAGAAATACCCAAACATTTGTCCTCAACTCACTAAAAGCCTGAAGGACAGGCCAAAGCTCACTCTGCTCCTGCCTCTCGCCTCTGTCTGTAACCACATATTTGTTCCTGGGGTTGCTTACCTTAAAAACTCATCTGAGTTGCTTTACAAACTAAGAAGAGTGACAAACATCCCTTTCTCCCTGCTCGGTCCAGTGTGTGAATGCTCAGTCTAAGACGGAGACTGGCCTTCAGGAGGATTGGTCCCCGAAAGTGGCTTTGCTAGTTTGTAAGCCCATAAATATACACCCGCCCCAGTTCTAGAAATGCCAGGTTTGACTAAGGAGTGGAAAGAAAATCTTTTCCTACTAAAGCCAACCACCTGCTTTAAACATATGCAACAGGATCCCACACAAGCCATTGAGAGGAGGACTGGCCACACTCACGCTTTCATAGAACAGAGTTCCAAAGATCTTCGCCTTGTGGTTCAGGCAGCCTGCTGGGCACTGGTACCTGACGAGGAAGAAATAAAATGATGTTCAGAGATAAGCACGTTGATTACATCTCACAATGAGTTTATCATTTTTTTCATCGATGGCTCTATTACTAAATATAGAAAAGCTTCATTCATGTGGATTCCATTGTTTTTGGACAAGTCAGACTTTACCCAGGCGCAGACTGATTCACGCAAGCACAATACAGTCGTCCCTCGGTATCCGTGGGGGATTGGTTCCAGAACTTCCCTAGGATACCAAAGTCTGCAGATGCTCGAGTCCCTTATGTAAAGTGTCCTAGTATTTGCGTATAACCTTTGCATCTTTTCCCATATGCTTTAAAACATCTCTAGATTACTTATAATACCTACCACAAGGTAAACGCTATGTAGATAGTTGTTACACTGTATTGTTTTTAAAATTTGTATCAGTTTTTTATTATTATACTGTAATACCACACACTTTTTAAGAAATATATTTTTGATCTGCAGTTGGTTGAATTTGAGGTTGGTTGAATCAGAGGCCGGTTGAATCCACAGAAATAGAAGGTCAACCATAGTCTTTTTTTTTTTTTTTTTTTTTTTTTTTTTCTCATTTGAAAAAAAACAAGGCCAGGCACAGTGGCTCACACCTGTAATCCCAGCACTTTGGGAGGCCAAGGCAGGTGGATCACCTGAGGTCAGGAGTTCAAGACCAGCCTGGCCAAGATGGCAAAAACCCATCTCTACTAAAAATATAAAAATTAGCCGCGTGTGGTGGCAGGCACCTGTAGTCCCAGCTACTTGGGAGGCTGAGGCAGGAAAGTCACTTGAACCCTGGAGGCAGAGGTTACAGTGAGCAAAGATCGTGCCACTGCACTCCAGCCTGGGCAACAGAGCAAGACTCAGTCTCAACAAACCAACAAACAAACAAACAAAACCCCAAGAAAGAGTCTGACTCCATCACGCAGGCTGGAGTGCAGCAGCGCAATCACAGCTCACTGTAGCCTCAACTTCCTGGGCTCAGGTGATCCTCCCACCTCAGTCTCCCAAGTAGCTGGGACTACAGGTGTGCACAACCACACCCAACTAATTTTGGGGGTTTTGCCATGTTGCCCAGGCTGGTTTCGAACTCCTGGGCTCAAGCAATCCACCCACCTTGACCTCCCAAGGTGCTGAGGTTACAGGCACAAGCCACCATGCCTGGCCTGCAAGGATTTTTTAATAGGGTAAAACTCAATGATGGTGTTGCTGTTCATGGAAGTGTAAATCACTCTAATGTTTAAGAAAATCTTTAAGAAAGACTTAAACATTCATATCCATTAGCTCTTCAGCTTCCCTTGTAAATATATATTCCAAGCAAAAAGTCAAGAAAGCCAGACCTGCAAGCATATCCCAACTATTTATTTATCATTTTTTAATTTTTGAGACAGAGTCTCATTCTGTCACCCAGGCCAGAGTGCACCAGTACACCTCGGCTCATTGCAGCCTCCACCTCCCAGGTTCAAGCGATTCTTGTGCCTCAGCCTCCCGAGTAGCTGGGACTATAGGCATATGCCACCATGTCCAGCTAATTTTTGTATTTCTAGTAGAGACAGGGTTTCGCCAGTTGCCCAGGCTGGTCTCAAACTCTTGGCCTTAAGTGATCCACCCGCCTCGGCCTCCCAAAGTGCTGGGATTACAGGCTTGAGCCACCGTACCTGGCCGCAACTGTTTATAATGGTGAAAAGCTGGAAATAAGCCAGCAGGTGGCAAAGCAATGGCTAAACACATTCATGTACAGTCGTGTGTCAGAGTATCAGGCAGTCACTAAGCATGAAGTGCGTGAAGAATATTTGGAAAATACTAAGTGAAAATACATAAGCAGCCTAGGCGCAGTGGCTCACGCCTGTAATCCCAACACTTTGGGAGGCCAAGGCGGGCAGATCACTTGAGGTCAGGAGTTTGAGACCAGCCTGGCCTGGTGAAACCCCATCTCTACCAAAAATACAAAATATGAGCCGGGCATGGTGGCGTGTGCCTGTAGTTCCAGCTACGCGGGAGGCTGAGGTGGGAGAATCACTTAAACCCGGGAAGCAGAGGTGGCAGTGAGCCGAGATCATGCTGCTGCACTTCAGCCTGGGTGACAGAGCAAGACTCCAACTCAAAGAAAAAAAAAAAACAAAATACATGGGCAGCATTAGCCTCATCTGTACACAGAAAAAAAGACTGGAAGGAAATACATCAAATTGCTGCTGGTATTGATGAGATTTTGGAACACATTTTTTTCTTTCTACTTTTTTGTTGTTGTTATTGCTTTCCTGAATAATTATTAATGAGCATAGATGCCTTTTCAAGTCAGAAAAAAAACCCACTGACTACTATTTTTGTAAAAGCACCATGAACAGAAAACAGGTGTGCCAGACTGTGGGCCGGCTTCTACAGAGAGAATGAGGATGCTCCCACAGTGGCACACTGGGGCTGAGTAACTTTTCTTGACTGGAGGCCTTTAAGAGCCTTTGTGTGGACAGATTCTTGCCTTCTCCCTGCATGGGGAGTGCCCCACCCACCCCAACTCTGGAACTGCCTCGATGTTGTCTGACAAGGAATGTTCTCCAATACGTGCTCACCTTTTTCCACTGAGTACTACTCAGGGGTGATGCTATCGCAATGTGCTTAGCATTCAGAAAGATGCGTTGCCACAAAAGGACAACTCCGGCTTCTCAGCAGCCCAGACGGGGCAGTGCACACGGCGGAGGCCCCTGCCAGGCGCTGCCTGCTTTTTCCCAATTCGCCCAGCACAGAGACATGCAAATGCTACCCTAACACTGAGCGCGAGGTTTTAGGCACTGTTATTCCACTGCTGACTGTTGACACATGAGGCTCATCTCACCAACAAACGACAGTACCACATGTGAGCCCACTGAGCCGCCTCATCCCGGCTGCTCCAAGTCCATCTCATCACAGTCCTGCCAACGTCTAAGTGAAGTGTTCTCCTGGCAAACTGAATTCCAAACCCTTGCGATATAAAACCGAAGATTCAACCTTCCCTTTTTAACATGTGCTTTAAATAACTCGATTCAGCTTTCGGCAAACTGATGCCAGAATTCGTAGGAAGACGAGCAAGGTCCCCTCTCCCAATGACATGGTTTTCCCATTTGACTCTGAGGGTGTGCGTGCGGCGGCTGCACCTGTTGGCTGTTTACTACCACAAAGAACAGCCCAGCAGTCACACTGCCAAAACCAAATGCGTTCTTTTTGGCAGACAGCGTTCATCATCTGAATGACTGCAACAACTAGATGGATTTATTCATCTACCATGGGGGGAATATACCGGTGGCCCATCTGTCTGGTGGGGCCCACTGGGAGCAGCCTGCTCAGATCCTGCAGCATTCCCATAGGATCTGCCAACGGCCGAGGCGAACACATGCCCAGACACTGCCCAGCCCTAACCCCTGTTCTGCCTGCTGAGAGCAGCTTGCTAAATATGCAACAGCAGGACAGCCCAGCATAGGCCCAGAGGCCACAGTGGTAGGACAGCCCAGCACAGACTCAGAGGCTACAGTGGCAGGACAGCCCAGCACAGGCTCACCTGTTACACGTGGACCCTTTGCACCTGTCCTTCATCTTGGTGTCACATCTGACGACTTGGGCTAGGAGAGAAATGCGGGAATACATGTCACGGCACGAAACCAGGAGGGTGAGAAGACCCTTCCCCATGCTGAGGGACATTCTGGAACATTCTGCAATCCAATCCGTGCTATACTAAGAGCAAGGGCAATGCCTGATGGTTGCAGGCTTCCGCTGGGGGCTCAGACCCCAGGCCCACCGCTTTACAGTAGCAGTGTGACCTTGAACAATTTGCTTCCCCTCTCTGAGGTTCAATTTCCGCATATGGACAATGCGGACAGTGACAGTACCCACCTCCAAGGGCTTTTGTGAACCTTGAGAGAGAAAGTGAACTCTGGCCTTGGCAGGGTGCCTGGCACACACGATGTGCCTGTGGTCCCACAGGGCTCTGCAGGGCAGGACTCCTGAGAGGGTAGGGAGGATGCTGCTCCGAGCCTGTGGGGCCGGAGACCCAGCCAGGCTCACCCGAGTCATCTCCCCCATCGCCAAGATGCCTTTTGCAAAGCTTTTTGCTTTGTTTATTTTATGGGAACATATCAGAGTCTCGGAGTCGTGTTATAGTTTGAAAAGGGACATAAACGTTGTATGTTATTAAAAGAAACAATGGCACCGTTTTGAACTCCTGGACAGACAAGGGCCTCCGCAGGTTTCCTGGTCAAAGCAAGCTACAGAATGCTTCGGCATCACAGGGAAAGAGGTTTGAAGAGGACAGAAAGACTGGTGGGGGCAGGGGAGATGGTAGTTATGAAAAGAAGAGAGGGGCTCTGAGAAGGCGGGTGTGAGGCTGTTCCTCAAAGAGGGGTCCAGTTTTAGGGCCTTTGAGGCTTGCGGGGCAAACGGGGAGAGCCAAGGGCATCCAGCCCAGCCCTCCAGCCCCGCCTGAGCAAAAACGCCCCTCCACAGCCCCCGGCCTGCAGAAACGGCGGCTGCAAATGAGTTCCCGCAGCAGTGGCTGGGGGGAGCTGAAGGGGAGCTGAACTCCACCCTGGGGCGGTGAAGGCAGACAGAACAAAAGCTTGGGGAGCTGAGGTGCCCAGGGAGCCAAAAGGCCAAAGGTGAGCAGGGGAAGAGTCAATATTTTGGGGATTCCTGGAAGTCCCAGGGGGAAACATCTCCCTTTCTCTACTAAAAATACAAAAATTAGCTGGGCATAGTGGTGGGCACCTGTAGTCCCAGCTACTCAGGGGGCTGAGGCAGGAGAATTGCTTGAACCCGGAAGGCAAAGGTTGCAGTGAGCCGAGATCATGCCACTGGACTCCAACCTGGGTGACAAGAGCGAAACTCCATCTCAAAAAAGAGTTGTAGGCAACTCTGCAATGATCTCAATGTACAGGGAGACCTCAGCTGGCACTGGGTGACCCGTGTTGCTGCAGCTCATCCTCCGGGCAACCTTGATGTGGCATCTCTATCCCCTACTTCATGGATGCGCCAACTGAGTCCAGACCCAGGACCTGGTGAGAAAGGAGTGGAACCTTCCAGAGCCAGGCTGGACGCTGCCTGCCCTCTGCAGGGCCAGCGCTTCCCAGAGGAACCCAACTTCAGCCCAGGTCCCTTTTGAAAGGACAAGGGAAGGTCTAACCTTAAAATACCTGCCTGGGTGTGGGGAAAATGCCACCCAAGCACAAGTCCTATAATGCTCGCTTTTGAAATGACTTAAAAATATCGTTTTTGAAAAACGTCTTATGGTTGTGCCTCCATGAGCTTCGCCGCACCCTGTTTGCCACTGCCTGTGGATTTGCAGACCTAAATCCACTAGCTCCCCTCCTCCACCCACCCCGTCCCCTTTGGAGGTGGCTGGGAGGGCAGGAGGGGCGGAGGACGGCCTAGACTCACTCATGTAGTTGACCGCAGAGGTTTTCTTGGGCTTGGTGGGTCTCATCACCCTCGGTTGGAGCCAAACATGGTTTTCTTCAGGAATGGGAGCCGTTTCCACCTCATTCATCTCGTCCGTTTCAGGTTTTGGAGTGTAGGTTTCTTCTTAACATTGGAGAGGGAGGAAAAAAAATAACACACTGGGATTCAACAAAAACGCACTTTGGGGAAAAAAAAGCAATTTGAAAACTAAACGTGTTTGAGGTTTGGTTTTACAAAGAATCATTTCAGCGGCAAAGAGAAAGTTACATTTCAGAACAGACCTGGCCAGGTGGAATTCTACCAGCCCAGATGAGACGGGGACGCTCTCCGCTCACTGTGTTTGCTTTGGACCCAAGATCAGCCAGGCTGCCCAGAGGTTAGCAGGCCCCACGCCCACACCTGGGTTATCATAATGGTTTCTTGTCCCATCTCCTCCTCCACCTGACCCTCTGCCCCCACGAAGCAACTTCAAGAAGCTGCCTCAGGCCGGGTGCGGTGGCTCATGCCTGTAATCCCAGCACTTTGGGAGGCTGAGGTGGGCGGATCACCTGAGGTCAGGAGTTTGACACCAGCCTGGCTAACATGGCGAAACCCCGTCTCTACTAAAAATACAAAAATTAGCTGGGCATGGTGGCGGACGCCTGTCATCCCAGCTACTTGGGGGGTGCTGAGGCAGGAGAATCGCTTGAAGCCGGTAGGTGGAGGTTGCAGTGAGCCGAGATTGTGCCATTGCAGTCCAGCCTGTGTGACAAGAGCGAAACTCCATCTCAAAAAAAAAAACCAAAAAACAAAACTGCCTCGGCCACTGGCCCAAAGCCATAGTGGACTTGCTGGAAGTCCCCTGTCCCTGGGTTTTCACTGGGGAAGGGGTCTTCCTCATCATGCACACATCACGGTGCACAAGGCCAGCCTCAGTGCTCCTAGACCCCAACTGCACCTCACACCAGCCCACTTCCATCCCTTCTCTCCTCCTGCCAGTCAGGGTCACTTAACCAGCTCAATTGTTGCTTCTGTACTGGAGTTTTACTGTCCAATAATGTCAGACTCAACATGTAGAACTATCCAACTATCCGAAAGAACAATCTTTTCCTTATTCAAGGACATGGTATATTATTATTTCTCCAACTATGACCATGACCCATGTTTTAAAACATTTTAATTAACCAAACACATTGCACTTAATAAACCTGAGTTAGCTTATCTTCCAGTTTTCATCCTGAAAGACAACTACAAACTGCTCACCAGAATCTGCAATCAGGCCACCAGGATACCAATTTGTAAATTCCAGCTAAAGCAAAGACACTGCTATTTTCATTTGCCTGAGCGGCCTGATCAAAGACAAATTCACGAGCATATCTGCTGGGGACACTTAATACCTTTACTTATGGCATGCTCCTCCTATGCCCCAACAGAAGTCTTTGGACCAGAGTTGGAAACCTGTGGCCTCCAAGCTCCCCAAGCAAAAAAGGCAACAGATGTATTTGGGTGAAAACAATTTCAAGGAGAATAACTAGAGCACGCTCGCAGGTCTCTTTGTGGTTTTGGATTAAAATCCAAGTTTCAGGGCCAGGTGTGGTGGCTCATACCTGTAATCCCAGCACTTTGGGAAGCCGAGGCGGGTGGATTGCATGAGGTCAGGAGTTTGAGACCAGCCTGGCCAAGAGGGTGAAACCCTGTCTCTACTAAAAATACAAAAATTAGCTGGGCATGATGGCGGGTGCCTGTAGTCCCAGCTACTTGGGGGGCTGAGGCAGAAGAATTGCTTGAACCTGGGAGGTGGAGGTTGCAGTGAGTGGAGATCGTGCCACTGCACTCCAGCCTGGGCGACAGAGCGAAACTCTGTCTCAAAAAAAAAAAAAAAAATCCAAGTTTCATCAGGTGTTCCTCAATCCCTAAGTCTTAGCTCCACTTCTTAAAATACATGAGCTTTCTTTGCTAAAGGACACAGCAAGTATTTTGTGTCCACACAATACCAAACAGCCAAACGAGGGGCAAATGCCTGACTCCCTGACGCCTTCCTGGGCTGGGGTTCTCCATAGCTGCTTCACTGGCCAATTTCACTACCCTACAACCACCACCCCAGGCTGGTCCTGTCCCACAAGGGGAAGGGACGGGTTTAAGTCAGAAGGTGGGAAGCCATTCTGAGCTCCAATTCTAATCTTGGATGTGCTCACGGGTCACCCTGCACTGTTCCCCAGCAGCTTGCTCGCAACTGTCATTTCCCCACCACCTGCCTCATCCACCAGCTGCGAACCTCCAGAGGCCAGGGGCCAGCCTGCCTCACACCTGGCACCCAGCACACAGCAGCTGCTCAACAAAATTCACAAATGCATGAACTACCAAAACCCCCAGAGAATCCTGTCACCTAAAGAAAAGAGCATATGTCCAGCAACAGAGCTTAAAGACATTCAAAGAGGGAACTCTGAAAGCACCTCTGGTAGCAAAAGCTATGGGTGGAAGCTTCAGGAAGACACCGGGTTTGCAGAGGCTGCCCAGGCGCGTGTCTGTTCTTCCCGTCAATGAGGCTATTCAGGCTTGCCCTCACTGAGAGCGGGAGCTGGCTGGAGAATAAGCCGGGTTTTCTTCCACTGGCCTTTAGGATGTTTAGACCTCATAATCGCAGCTTTATTTAGCCGAAGACAGTTTGGTAAAGCGGTCTAAAGCATTTGAGGACTCTCTATTTAAGAAAATGGGCAGACAGACAGTCCTGGCTCTCACACCCACAAATGAAAAGTAGAAGGCTTTACCCGCAGGATGGGCTGGATCCGAGTACCTCCTAATGAAGACACCTTGTATGGCCCAGCACGGGCCTGGGGAAATTCCGTGCAGAGGTCACGGCAAGGTTATTCTGTGCCCCATTCTGCTCCGGGCCAGGGTCTCAGGGCATTGTTTATGTCACTCTGCAGATTCCCTTCTGGCTCTAAAGCTGGTGACCATGCCCGGAGCTAATGTTCACTGAGCACTGGCCAGATGCTGGCTGGGCCCTCCCCGGCATGCATTTTTCTTTCTTTTCTTTTCTTTTTTTTTCTCTCTCTCTTTCTTTCTTTTTTTTTTTTTTTTTTGAGAGGAAGTTTTGCTCTTGTTGCCCAGGCTGGAGTGCAATGGTGTGATCTCGGCTCACTGCAACCTCCGCCGCCCGGGTTCAAGCGATTCTCCTACCTCAGCCTGGGATTACAGGCATGCGCCACCATGCCCGGCTAATTGTGTATTTTTAGTAGTGACTGGGTTTCTCCATGTTGGTCAGGCTGGTCTCAAACTCCCGACCTCGGTGATCTGCCCGCCTCAGCCTCCCAAAGTGTTGGGATTACAGGCATGAGCCACCGCGCCCGGCCATCCCCAGCATTTTCTTCTGTCAACCTCCCATTTGCCTTCAGAGGCATGATTGGCCACATTTCACAGATGAGGAAGAAGGCTCAGAGAGGGTAAGGGCCCTGCCCAGGCTCGCACAGCTGGGAAGTACCTGGGCTGGGTGTCAAACCACCTTTCCCCAAAGCCTGCGCCTTCTATCACCACACAGGTGGGGGTGAGAGGGGAGAATACCTCTTTTTTTATATCCTTATCCCTGCTCCATCTCCGTTAGAGGTCAAGGCCTTACCAGGCACCCTGGATATGCTCTTGGTAAATAGCTTCTGCAGATAAGCTGCTTCAGAGGAGACTTGCTGCGTGCTTAGCTAGAGAAATTGGGTGTCTGCCAAGGAAAGTTGGATACTTTCTACCAAAAATTTAAAAATAAGTACATGAAGCTATGTTGGTGGAGGTAAACTGGCATCTAAGGTTTCTGTGCACATTTGTTCTTTGAAAATGCCCCTCTGTGGCTATTGGCATATTTATTCAAACAACACATAAGACACCCCTGCCATGTGCCTCCGGAGGCCCTGGAGTGAGCTGGCAGCTGAGACGACAGGACGATCAAGGTTCCCAAGGAGTCTGGGGGTTGATGAACATGGGGCAGGTGCACTGTCTGGCTGTGAAGTCCAGGAAGGCTCCCTGGAGGCGGGGGTCACACCAAGACTGCAACAGGTGATACATGACCCAGACCCAGATACATGGTCTGTCTTAGTGTCCAGATCGCTCCTTCTTCCATCCCCATCCCCACTTAGGATGTCCCCTCTCCCCAGCGGGCAGTCAGCCATGAACAGCTGGCTGGGACAACAGAGGACCTGGCTCCTCAGAGGGTCTGGGACCACTGATCTAGCCCACTTGTTCTTCACTCCAGAACCCACCAGCCTGATCCCACATCTACCCCACCCTTCCCTGCCAGCGGAGCCCACCCAAGTCTCTGCAAGGCCCCTCGGTCATGGCAAGGCTGCCAGTGGAGCCACGTTAAAAAAAAAAAAAAAAAAAAAAGCCTGGGCCACACGAGCATGGTCAGCACCATGGACCAGCCATGCCCCATCGGGGACATAACTTCTGAAAGCCTGAGGAAATATCCCAAGACATGAGAAACGCTTTAGGCACCAGAAACCTGTGTTATTTATAGTAGCAGAAGTGGAAACATCCTAAATGGGAACCAGTGAAGAAATGGTGGGCGGGCATGATGGTGCACGCCTGTAATCCCAGCTCTTTGGGAGGCCAAGGAGGGAGGATTGCTTGGGAGTTTGAGACCAGCCTGGGCAATATAGTGAGATCCCGTCTCTACAAAAAATTTTTAAAATTAACCATGGTGGCATGTGCCTATAGTCCCAGCTACTCGGGAGGCTGAGATGGGAGGATCCCTTGAGGCCGGGAGGTTGAGGCTGCAGTGAGCCAAGATTACGCCACTGCACTCCAGCCTGGGCAACAAAGGGAGGCCATGACTCAAAAAAAAGGTGAACTAGGTAGAAAATCGCACCGCCCCAACAGCTCCAGTTCTGAGAGCTGTGGGAGTGGGGGCGAGAAACCTCTAGCACAGTCAGGGGAGCACCAGCAAGACACATGCATAAAGGGGAGGCCAATGGGGGCAAGGACACAGGAGTAAAGGGTCAAACAGCCCGGGAGGACTGATCCTACCCAGCTGTCCACATTGCAGGTACTTCCCACTAGTGAGCTCATTTGGAATATCACGTTGTTTGCTTTTACTTTCTTGTTCAAATGTCTGTTTTATGTTTTTAGAGTTGGGGTCTCGCTGTGTTGCCCAGGCTGGAGTGCAGTGGCGCCATCATGGCTTACTGCAGCCTCAAACTCCTGGACTCAAGCGATCTTCCCATCTAAGCCTCCCAGGCCACAGCCAGGACCACAGGTGCACGTGACCACACCTGGTTAATTTTCTATTTATTTTTTGTAGAGATGGGTTCTCGCTATGTTGTCCAGGCTGATCTAGAACTCCTGGCCTGTGATGGTTAATACTGAGTGTCAGCTTGACTGGATTGAAGAATGCAAAGTATTGATCCTGGGTGTGTCTGTGAAGGTGCTGCCAAAGGAGATTAACATTTGAGTCAGTGGGCTGGGTCTTGGTGGGCACCATCTAATCAGCTGCCATAGCAGCTAGGATATAAAGCAGGAAGAAAAATGTGAGAAGGCGAGACTGCCTTAGCCTCTCAACCTACATCTTTGTCCCATGCTGGATGCTTCCTGCCCTCGAACATCAGACTTCAAGTTCTTTAGCTTTGGGACTCGGACTGGCTTCCTTGCTCCTCGGCTTGCAGACAGCCTACTGTGGGACCTTGTGATTGTGTGAGTTTAACACTCCTTAATAAACTCCCCTATATATATATATCCTATTAGTTCTGTTGCTCTAGAGAACCCCGACGAATACAGATTTTGGTACCAGGAGTGGTTCTAGAGGAACACAATATTAAGGATGGAGTTCTTTCATTGGTTTTAGGGTTTCTGGAGTTGGCTGCTTAATATGATTAGATCCCAAAATGCTAAGGACTCTACTTCTAATAGTATGGAGAACACTGGGAGTCCTTGGCATGAGCTATTTGGAGAGTTATGCACAATAAATGCATTTGACACTCCTGATTCAGCGCTCCTGAGAGGGGAGTTCAGTGACTCTAGACTGAATACCTCTGACTATATGTGGAGAACCAAGGAACATAATGAAGCTGATTGGTTGCTTCTAAGTTCACCGGACAAAGTGATGAAAGAAAATGATGAACTCAGGGATTCTAACTTCCGGCTTCAGAAGCAGATACTGAGCCTCAAATCTGCTAAGATTATCATGAGTGAGTCTTATCTCCTGTAGAGAAAGAGCTGAAATTGTGGAAAAACAGACACAAGCTCTTCTCATGCAAGTGGCTGACCTGCAATGAAGGTGCATGCACAGACACCTCGCTAGGTGTCTACTTATTAAAGTGAGGGCATTGATTGGAAAAGAATGGGGAAGTGTGGGAGGACCCTGCTGAAGCTAGGGACACTGAGCTTGTAAATGCTGATAAACCTTTTTTGCCAGAAGAAACAGGTTCCCCATCCCCAGTAGTGGCAACGTCTCCTCCCCGACCCACGCTGCGGTCAGCCTTTCCACCTTTGTCTGAGGGGATAAACCCTGCACTGCCTGAGGCGCCTGAGGCAGCTGCCAGGCAAGATAATGCTGATTCTCCTCAGGAGCCAACCCCAACATCCCTGTTTGCTTCTAGACCTATAACTAGACTAAAGTCCTGGCGGGCTGCTAGAGGTGAGGTTCGGAGTGTGACACATGCTACACTCGAAAAGAACTGCTTGAATTTTCAAATGTATATAAGCAGAAATCTGGAGAATAGTCATGGGAATGGATATTAAGGGTGTAGGATAATGGTGGAAGGAACATAGAGTTGAATCAGGCTGAATTTCTTGATTTGGGCCCACTAAATAGGGATTCTGCATTTAATTTAATGTTGCAGCTCAGGGAGTTAAAAAAGGTTCTTCACTGTTTTTATTTGCTTTATTTGCTTGGTTAGCTGAAATATGGATTAAAAGGTGGCCCACTGTGAGTGAACTGGAAATGCCTCATCTCCCTTGGTTTAATGTGGATCCAAAGGCTTAGGGAGATTGGGATGGTAGAGTGGATTAGTCATTTTGGACCTACTCATTCCAGCTGGGAGAATCCAGAAGATATACCCTTGACTAATGCTTTGTGAAATAGATTTGTAAAGGCAGCACCTGCATCTTTGTAATTGCTTTTTTCTGTATGTCAGATCTAACAGTGGGAACCACAGTCACTCAACTACAAAATTTAAATGCAATGGGAATGATTAGATCCCAAGGTGGCAGGGGCCAAGTGGCAGCACTCAACCATCAAAAGTAAGGTGGGCATAGCTACCGTAATGGACAGCAGAGGCAAAGCAGCAATCAGAATAGTCTGGCTCGTGTAGAGTCCTGTCATTGGCTAATTAATTGTGCTGCTCCTAGAGGTGAAATTGACAGGAAGCCTACTACATTCCCACTTAATTTACATAAGCAGAAAACTTCCAGATTGAGTGGACAAAAGACTAATTTGAATTATAAAAACAGAGAATCACGGTCCCTCCATCAATTTCCAGATTTGAGCCAGTTTACAGACCCAGAATCCCTTGAATGAAGGGGAGGCTAGGTCCCCTTGAGGAAGGACCCCACTACGCTACTGACAATTTATGCTGTTCATCTTTCTCCCATACTTCCCCGGGGAGACCTCTGGCCTTGTACCAGGGAAACCGTGCACTGGGGAAAGGGAAATGATCAGACATTTTGGGGACTACTGGACACTGGCTCTGAGCAGGTGTTGACTCCAGGGGACCCAAAACATCACTGTGGTCCTCCAGTTAAAGTAGAGGCTTATGGAGGTCAGGTAATTAATGGAGTTTTAGCTCAGGTCTGGCTTACAGTGGGTCCCTAGATTCATCCTGTGGTCACTTCCCCAGTGTCAGAATGCATAATTGGCATAGACATACTTAGCAGCTGGCAGAACCCCCACTTTGGCTCCCTGACAGGTAAGGGAGGGCTATTATGGTGGGAAAGGCCAAACAGAAGCCATTAGAGCTGCCCCTACCTAGAAAAATAGTAAATCAAAAACAATATCGCATCCCTGGAGGGACTGCAGAGATTAGTGCCACCATCAAGGACTTGAAAGACACAGGGGTGGTGATTCCCACATCCCCGTTCAACTCTCCCATTTGGCCTGTGCAGAAGATAGATGGATCTTGGAGAATGACAGTGGATTATCGCAAGCTTAACCAAGTGGTGACTCCAATTGCACCTGCTGCACCAGATGTGGTTTCATTGCTTGAGCAAATTAACGCATCTCCTGGTACCTGGTATGCAGCCACTGACTTGGAAAATGCCTTTTTCTCCATTCACGTCCGTAAGACCCACCAGAAGTAATTTGCCTTCAGCTGAAAGGCCAGCAATGTATCTTTATTGTCCTAAGCTCAGGGGTATATCAATTCTCCAGCTTTGTGTCATAATCTGATTCAGAGAGAACTTGATTGCTTTCGCTTCTGCAAGATATCACACTGCTCCATTGCACTGAAGACATTTTGCTGATTGGATCCAGTGAGCAAGAAGTAGCAAACACGTTGGACTTATTGGTGAGACATTTGTGTGCCAGAGGATGGGAAATAAATTTGACTAAAATTCAGGAAACTTCTACCTTGGTAAAATTTACAGGGGTCTAGTGGTGTTAGGCCTGTTAAGGTATTCCTTCTAAGGTGAAGGAGAAGTTGCTGCATTTGGCCCCTCCTACAATCAAGAAAGAGGCACAACGCCTAGTGGGCCAATTAGGATTCTGGAGGCAACACATTCCTCATCTGGGTGCGTTACTCTGGCTCATTTATCAAGCGACCCAAAAGGCTGCCAGTTTTGAGTGGGGTCCAGAACAGGAGAAGGCTCTGCAACAGGTCCAGGTTGCTGTGCAAGCTGCTCTACCACTTGGGCCATACGACCCAGCAGATCCAATGGTGCTTGAGGTGTCAGTGGCAGATAGGGATGCTGTTTGGAGCCTCTGGCAGGCTCCCATAGGTGAATCACAGCAGAGGCCTCTAGGATTTTGGAGTAAGGCCCTGCCATCTTCTGCAGATAACTACTTTCCTTTTGAGAGACAGCTCTTGGCCTGTTACTGGGCTTTGGTGGAAACTGAACGTTTGACTATGGGTCATCAAGTCACCATGTGACCTGAACTGCCCATCATGAACTGGGTGCTTTCTGACCCATCGAGCCATAAAGCGGGTCGTGCACAGCAGCATTCCATCATCAAATGGAAGTGGCATATGTGTGATTGAGCTCAAGCAAGTCCTGAAAGCACAAGTTAGTTACATAAGGAAGTGGCTCAACTGCCCATGGTCTCCACTGCTGCCACCCTGCCTTCTTTCCCCCAGCCTGTACCAATGGCCTCATGGGGAGTTCCCTATGATCAGTTGACAGATGAAAAAAGACTAGGGCCTGGTTCACAGATGATTCTGCATGATACGCAGGCACTACCTGATAGTGGACAGCTGCGGCAGTACAGCCCCTTTCTAGGACATGCTTGAGGGATGGCAGTGAAGGGAAATCTTCCCAGTGGGCAGGACTTCGAGCAGTGCACCTGGCTGTACACTTTGCATGGAAGGAGAAATGGCCAGATGTGCGATTATATACTGATTCATGGGCTGTAGCCAGTGGTTTGGCTGGATGGTCAGGGACTTGGAAGAAGCATGACTGGGAAATTGGCGACAGAGAAATTTGGGAAAGAGGGATGTGGATGGATCTCTCTGAGTGGTCACGAACTGTGAAGATGTTTGTATCCCATGTCAATGCTCACCAAAAGGTGACCTCAGCAGAGGAGGATTTATTAGTCAAGTACATAGGACGACTCATTCTGTGGACACCACTCAATCTCTTTCCTCAGTCACCTCTGTCATCGCCCAATGGGCCCATGAACAAAGTAGCCGTGTTGGCAGGAGTGGAGGTTATGCATGGGCTCAGCAACATGGACCTCCACCCACCAAGGCTGACCTGGCTATGGCCACTGCTGAGTGCCCAATTTGCCAGCAGCAAAGACCAACACTGAGCCCTCGATATGGCACCATTCCTCGGGGTGATCAGCCAGCTACCTGGTGGCAGGTTAATTACATTGGACCTCTTCCATCACAGAAAGTGCAGAGGTTTGTCCTCACTGGAACACATGCTTACTCTGGATACAGGTTTACCCATTTTGCGTGCAATGCTTCTGCCAAGACTACCATCCGTGGACTCACAGAATGCCATATCCACCGTCATAGTATTCCACACAGCATGGCTTCTGACCAAGGCACTCAATTTATGGCTAAAAAAGTGTGGCAGTGGGCTCATGCTCATGGAATTCACTGGTTTTACCATGTTCCCCAACATTCTGAAGCAGCTGGATTGATAGAACAGTGGAATGGCCTTTTGAAGTCACAATTACAATGCCAACTAGGTGACAATACTTGGCAGGGCTGGGGCAAAGTTCTCCAGAAGGCCATGTATGCCCTCAATCAGCATCCAATATGTGGGATTGTTTCTCCCATAGCCAATATTCACGAGTTCAGGAATTAAGGGGTGGAAGTGGAAATGGCATCACTCACCCTCACCCCTAGTGACCCACTAGCAAAATTTTTGCTTCCTGTTCCTGTGACATTACATTCTGCTGGCCTAGAGGTCTTAGTTCCAGAGGGAGGAACGCTGCCACCAGGAGACATAGCAGCAATCCCATTAAACTGGAAGTTAAGGTTGCCACCTGGACACTTTGGGCTCCTCCTCCCCTTAAGTCAACAGGCTAAGAAGGGAGTTACAGTGTTGGCTGGGGTGAGTGACATGGATCATCAAGATGAAATCAGTCTACCGCTCCACAGTGGAGGTAAGGAAGAGTATGCGTGGAATACAGGAGCTCCCTTAGGGCATCTCTTAGTATTACCATGCCCTGTGATTAAGGTCAATGGGAAACTACAACAGCCTAATCCAGGCAGGACTACAAATGGTCCAGACCCTTTAGGAATGAAGGTTTGGGTCACTCCACCAGGAAAAAAACCATGACCTGCTGAGGTGCTTGCTGAAGGCAAAGGGAATACAGAATGGGCAGTAGAAGAAGGTAGTCATCAATACCAGCTATAACCACGTGACCAGTTGCAGATATGAGGACTGTAATTGTTATGAGTATTTCCTCCTTCTTTTGTTAAAAACTTGCTTGTGCATGTATACACTTGTACTAAGAAAATATCTTCATGTTATTTCCTTTTTCCTTCATCATGGGACATAAGATTTATTAACTTCATATCAGCATTTAAGTATTGTTAACTTTATGTCATAGTATTTGGGTTGGGGATTGGTGAGTTTCCAGTTTTACGAAGGATGGTTGTATTATGTTAGTGTAATTATGATCTTATTATTGTCTTTATTTGAAGATTATGTATGATCTCAGGAGATGTGTATGGGTTCAAGTTGACAAGGGGTGGACTTGTGATAGTTAATACTGAGTGTCAACTTGATTGGAGTGAAGGATGCAAAGCACTGATCCTGGGTGTGTCTGTGAGGGTGTTGCCAAAGGAGATTAACATTTGAGTCAGTGGGCTGGGAGAGGCAGACCCACCCGTAATCTGGGTGGGCACCAACTAATCAGCTGCCAGTGCAGCTAGGATATAAAGCAGGCAGAAAAATGTGAAAAGACTAGACTGACTTAGGTGGAGACTGGGAGCAGCCTCCATCTTTCTCCCGTGCTGGATGCTTCCTGCCCTCAAACATCGGGCTTGAAGTTGTTCCACCTCCAGACTCAGACTGGCTTTCTTGTTCCTCAACTTGCAGATGGCCTATTGTGGGATCTTGTGATCACGTGAGTTTAATACTCCTTAATAAACTCATATATACATATTTATATATATCCTATTAGTTCTGTCCCTCTAGAGAACCCTAATACATGGCCTCATATGGTCCTCCTGCCTCAGCCTCCCAAAGTGCTGGGATTACAGGTGTGAGCCACGATGTCCAGCCCGTGGCCTATTTTATATGAAACTGTGAATGCTAACGAGGGTGAGCAGTGCGTCTGCATTTAATGCTGTGTCCAGCATCTGCAGAGCCCGGCACAGGAGATGCCCATGGGAAGCCATGTCTCGGGGCAGTGGGGCTCTCCAGGGGCCTGGAAGCTGAGCCTAGACCCTGGAGATGAGGCTCAGCTCATCACGGAGGCGGGAGGAATGTGCTGAGAGCGTCTTAAATAGGGCCAGGAGGGGTGACTGACTTCTTTAATTCCCCTGTTTCATGTAACGCTGTCGCATGACTCAGACTGAGGGCAAATTCATTGCAAAAGTGTTGGGAGTAAATTTCCTACCTCGGTAACACAAGTTGTTCCTGCAGCTGCCTCCATAGCTGGGTGGGCACTCAGAGCAGGGCCGGCCATTCTTGTAGGGGGCTTCTCCAATCCAGTTCCCCCTGAGGACAGACCCAAAAACAACCGTCAGAGGGAACCACGACGTGAGGCCTCGGGACTGATCCTCTTCCAAGGCCCACGTGAGTCCCTGAACACCGCCACTGACAGGTCAGGGGGGAAGGTTGTGTGCTGTGGGAAGCGGGAAAGATGGCTATCCCAGGCCTCTCCCGTGCACAGAGAGTCTAGAGAGCTCCAGAATCCCAGCGATTCTGCAGAAGGGAGCTACAAGATGCCCTTCCACACAGTACCTTTGCCCTGGCTGGCTGTCAGCCCCGTGGCCCCCCTTCCACCAACACAGCTCTGAACACTGTTAGGGCCCCTAGATCACAACACCTTAGCGCTGAAAAGCTGCCAGGACCCCCTTTTAAGCCATTTCTCAAATGTGTAAAGCCAGCCTGTCCCAGAGACGGCTTGCGTTTCCCAGTTTTTACCACACACCATCCCTGGTCTGTGCCTTCACTGCACTCCTCACCCCATCTCCCCAACACCCCAGGAGGGAAGAGCTGGAATTCAATATTTTTGCAGAGGAGGAAACTGTGGCACAGTGAGGTTAAGTGACTTGCCCCAGGTCACAGGACAAGCAAGTGGCGGGGCTGGGATTTGAACACAGGCTGTCCGGCTCAGAGCCTTAGGCACACTCTACTCTAGGGGCTGGATCAAAGGTCCCTCTTGGGTCACAGTTGCCCTCTGCCTCCCTCCGGAGTTCCCAGGGGCAGGAAAACTGGAGGCCGCACCATAGGCTTTCTCCAGGGGCCAGGTAGAGGTGGTGAGCGGAATCCCCAGGCCCTTCCTGCGGCTCCTGGGCTGTGAAGAGCAGGCTCCCCGGCTTGGGCCCCAGGCTGCCAGCATGTGCCCTCGGCCAGCCTCCTCCAGCCCCAGCCTCGGTCTCCCTTTCTGTAAAATGGGATCACGGCAGCAGGGCTGCTGTGAGACTGAGGGAGTGACCGTGGGGAAGCCCTTGGACCGGCACCTGACTCACGGGGAAGGCTGTGCTCTGAGCGTTGGGGAAATCCACAGGCTTGTGCGGGGAACGCTCTGATGCTTTCCAGGGAAGATGGGGAGGGGCCCTGCCAGTGCTGGCCAAAGACAAACGGCAGGAAACACGCTCTGGGTCTGATAGGCATCCGTCCTTACAAGAGTGGCCTAGAACTTCCCGCGGCCCCAGAAGCACCCTGGCCTCACCGAGGGGCCTGTGGGCAGGGGAGGGACAGTGGGCCGTGCAGTGTGGGGAGGACAGGGCTGGCCACTGTCTGACTGGGCACTGTTATGACGTGCACACAGCCTCTTCCACCCTCTCACATTCCGGAGGCAGAATGATCGCGTCCGTGCCATGCCACAAGACATCCCTGCTCAGAAATCGTCTGTTCAGATCCCCGGGGGTCTTCGGGATGACTCCCCCAAAAAGAACATCACCAAGGGACCGAGAGGTCCCAGAGCCCATCCTGTCTCTGGGTGAAGCCCAGTAGGTTTCTCAGATGATCGTGGCCCTGTCGTGGGTACGTCCCACTGCCCCTGCCAAGTTTCCCCTTGTGTCTACGGTTCTATATTTCCTCAGACAAACCACACCACTGACGCTCCCAGCTCAACCCTAACACTCAGGGTTGGCATTGGTGGAAGGCTGGCTGGGCACCAGGTCCTGCAGACAAATAATCTCCTTAATTTTTGAGACAGGGTCTTGCTCTGTCACCCAGGCTGGAGTGCAGTGGTGTGACCACAGCTCACTGCAGCCTCAACCTCCTGGGCTCAAGCAATCCTCCCACCTCAGCCTCACAAGTAACTGGGAATACAGGCATGCACCACCACACCCAGCTAACTTTTTGTATTTTTCGTGGAGATGGGGTTTTGCCAGTTGCCAAGGCTGGTCTTGAACTCCTGGACTCAAGCGATTCTCCTGCCTCGGCCAAAGGAGGCTGGGATTACAGGCATGAGCCACCGCACTGGCCAGTCTCCTTAATTTTTGAATAGCACCGTGAAGTACCTTCCCTCACACACAAGGCCCTCTGTGTACACACCCACCCCACCCCTTGTCGGGTTGGGAATCCCCCTCAAGGGATCTGACCCCCCCCACACCCAAACTCACCCTCCCAGCCACCCTCCTCACCCTGGTGCCTGGGACAGTGTCCTGCATAGCCCAGGGGCTCAAGCCCTCTCTCTAAGACAGAGGCCATGGACAGCACGCAGTAATATGCAGCAGACAAAAGGAAAGAACCGGTGATCACGCAACACCACGGGGAGACCTCACCAATGTGATGTTGAGCAAAACACCATTTGGGGGTACAGGGAGTGTGCTGTGTGGCCCCCTTCATATGAGGTCCCACACCAGACACCACAGACCGATGGGAAAGATGCTAGAATGGTGGGCACTTTGTAGGGCACGAGAGAGCCTCTGGGGCATGGGAGACACTGTCCATCTCCATCTGGATGGTAGTTACACGGGTAGAGGGCTATTGCCGTGGACTTTCATTATGTGTCTCCCCAAATCCCAGTGTTGAAACCCTCACCCACAATGTGACTGTACTTGGAGACAGGGCCTTGATGAAACTAATTAAGGTTAAACGACGTCAACAGGTGAAGTCCTGACCCAATAGGATTGATGTCCTCATCTCTCACCACCATGTAAGATAGTGGCCGTTGGTGAGCCAGGAAGAGAGCTCCCACTGGAGCCCGATGCTGCCACCCCTTGATCTGCCACACCTTGATCTGCCACCCCTTGGTCCAGGGGACTTCTAGCCTCCAGAATGGTGAGACATAAAAGTCTGATGTGTAAGCTGCCCAGGCTGTGGCCTCTGTTGTTGCAGCCCCAACAGACTAATGCATGTGAGACTGTGTCGCACTGTATACTTCAGATGAGTATATTTTACCATATGGAGGTTATTCCTTCTTTTAAGGAAGCAGGGGGCAGCTACAGAAGGAAATAATTTCATTTCTGATAGGACCTTCTAGTGTCTATTTTTTATAGAGTCAAGTCAAATGATTCCTCATTCACCACCTGCCACTGGGCCAGGAATTCCACCACCTTGGACCAGTCTGCTGCTCTTGCATGGTGCCTGCGTCCCTCCCAGGCAATGACACACCCGCTGCGCTCATCCATGTGGGCTGCTGAGCCGCGCCACGCCACCGCAGGCACACCAGATGGTTTTGAGAGGGCTTCTATTTTTCCTCCCAACCTCAGCGATTCCCCCTTCATCCCACCTTTTCATAACTACTCCTGACCCAAAACAAATAAATGAGGTCATTCCCATTTCATTCAGTCACTGAGCAAACATGCCCCGGGGCCCACTCTACACAGGGCACGGGGCAAGAACGGCGGTGGCCAGCGGCCAGCATGCAAACCTCAGGCCATGAACTGGGGGAGTGACTCTCCAAGAATCAGCACATATTTGTCCCATGAGCAAATGAGTCAAGGGCTGGACACCACACTGATGAGCTGAGCATGCTATAGGCGGAGGAGGCACCATGATCAGGAGGCCGCATGTGGACCCTCTTTGGAGGGAAACAGAGAAGCTAGGCTTTGTGTGAACATGTGTTTTCTAGGGTGCTGTCTACTGCATGTTTTCAGAGAAAAATAATCATACTGCCAGGGCAGACCATGCTGGTTGCCCAGCCAGCAGCTATTCCCACTTCTGACTTTGTTCAGTTGGTCCCAGAGGACGTCTTGCAAAGCCAGTTGGGGCAATCTTTTTCCCCCTCATCTATGATTGGTCTAATTCTGGCAAAGAACATAAGGAGAAAGTATGCCAGTGTGCAAAAGACCTAAGGAGAGAGCCCTTTGACCATCCTTCCTTGTGCTTGGGGAGATGTGATGTTGGTGCTGTGCAGCCATCTTGGGACCATGAGGAGAGAATGGTACGGCAGGAAGACGGAAAGAACCCGAGTCCTTGTTGACACTGCTTAGCTATTACGCTAACCCAGATGCACTAAACTCTAGATTCTTTGTTATGTGAGATATTAAAGACTTCGCTGCTCAAGCCAGTTTTCACTGGGTGCTCCCTGGCAAGCAAACACATCCCAACCCCCACCCCATACAACGGCATCAACTTGTCTTACTTTGGAGAATAATTGCAGACAAAGTAGACCGCGTTCTCCCAAACTTCTCCCCAGACAGTCATCTTCCGGCAGGTGTTCACAGCACAACCGATCTTGTTGGTGGTGGCCCAAACTATCTGAAAAGATGACATTTGTGTGTCACAGCTCGAGGGATAAGGCACAAAAGGGTGATATCATTTGGCCTGGATGTATAAGGTGCTGGCACTAAAGAGGTACGAGGTGAAGGGTTGGGGAAGCAGATATTAGTCCCTAACCCATTGAAGATACATACATTTTCTTAAAAAGCAAAGCAAGTGGGCCGGTGCGGTGGCTCACGCCTGTCATCTCAGCATTTTGGGAGGCTGAGGTGGGCGGATCATGAGGTCAGGAGTTTGAGACCAGCCTGACCAACATGGTGAAACCCCATCTCTACTAAAAAAACAAAAATTAGCCGGGCGTGGTGGCAGGCACCTATAGTCCCAGCTACTCAGGAGGCTGAGGCAGGCGAATCGCTTGAACCCAGGAGGCAGAGGTTGCGGTGAGCCAAGATCGTGCCACTGCACTCCAGCCTGGGCGACAGAGGGAGACTCCGTTTCAAAAAAAAAAAAAGCAAGCAAACAAACAGACTCCCACACAATGAAAATGCCCCACAATGTCAAATTGCCATAGAAGTTTTCTCGGTTGAGTGCAGTAGCTCACAACTGTAATCCCAACACTTTGGGAAGCTGAGCGGGGAGGATTGCATGAGCCCAGGAGTTTGCGACTAGCCTGGACAACATAGCCAGACCCATCTCTAAAAAAAAAAAAAAAAATACAAAAATTAGCCAGGCCTCGTAGTGCACAACTGTAGTCCCAGGTACTCAGGAGGCTGAGGTGGGAGGATTGCTTGAGCCCAGGAGTTTGGGGCTGCACTAAGCTAACTAAGATCATGCCACTGCACTCCAGCCCAGGTAGCAGGGAGACACTGCCTCAAAGAAAAAAAAGAGTTTGTAGTGCTCACTCAGTTTCTGACCTTGCTGGTAACAAACAGCTTCTTCTCCCAGCTGTACTCTGTATAGAACTGAATTTTTAAAAATGAAGGCAACAACAGCGCAGAGGCTTTACAGATTTGACAATCCCCCAGGGGCAGGGGGTGAATGACTGGGATTGGGGGGCAGGGCTGAGGTCGTGGCAAGTCCCCGAGTTACCTGTGTGTAGTGCGTGCACATGGGCCCCGAGCACCTCTCTGGACACCAGGGGTTGCACTCGCTCGGGTAGGGGTAGGTGTAGTCCTTCACCTCGTCATACCAGGACTGCACATGGAACCCCGGAGAGCGATACCTGCAGGGCAGAAACCGCTCACTCAGTCCCAGCCCCTCCCCTCACCCACCAGTGGAGACAGCAGCAGCCACGGGCAGGTAGGAGGGAGGGAGGCCGAGGAGGGTGAATAGCGGCCAATTCCAGGAGCAGCCACGGGCAGCCGGGAGGGAGGGAGGCCGAGGAGGCGGAATAGCCCCCAATTCCAGGAGCAGCCACGGGCAGCGAGGAGGGAGGGAGGCCGAGGTGGGGGAATAACCCTCAATTCCAGCAGCACCTGGTACAGGTGCTTAATACCATTATCCTTGAGGAGCTCACCTGGGGTCTCTAGTAGGCTCCTCAGGTGGCTCATACACCACCTGCACGTGCAGGAATCTCTTCACCTGGCTCTTAATGAGTCCTTTCTTTTTTTTTTTTTTTTTTGAGACGGAGTCTCGCTCTGTCGCCCAGGCTGGAGTGCAGTGGCGGGATCTCGGCTCACTGCAAGCTCCGCCTCCCGGGTTCACGCCATTCTCCTGCCTCAGCCTCCCAAGTAATGAGTCCTTTCTTATGTCAATTAGGTGTTTATTTTCAGGTACGTTGGAGAAAAACTATCCAGCCCATGAAGCCCGTATTTCACAGATATTGTTGTCTAAGACAAAACCTGATGAAGACGTGAGTGCACTTAAGGCCGAACATGGTGGCTCATGCCTGTCATCCCAGCACTTTGGGAGGCTGAGGCGGTAGGATCACCTGAGGTCAGGAGTTGGAGACCAGCCTGGCCGACATGGCGAAACCCCGTCTCTACTAAAAATACAAAAATTAGCCGGGCGAGGTGGTGCATGCCTGTAATCTGCAGCCACCAGCTGCACCTGTCCCTGGACATCCTCCGTGGGGTCATCGCTTCATGCCCACCACCCCCTTGCTTCAGCCTTGGCTGCCAAGGTTGGCACCATTTTTTTTTTTTTTAATAACTAGGGAGAAAACCAAACTGGAGGCAAGTCCACAGTCACACTGTCACCAGCAAGTATAAACAAAGTGGTTTCGATGAAGAGAAAATGCTCACGGGGGAAATGACCATTTTTAAGGGCCATGTGGTCGTCGAGGCAGTTAGAGGTCTTGTAACAATTACTGTCTGGAAGCGGAGCGCACGGCAGCGGGCAGCGGCATTTGCAGAAAGGCGTGCACACAGTGAGGAGGCAGGAGCAGAGGGCTGCTGGCCACTCATCCGCTTCCCTGCGGCTCAAGGTCACGCAGACTCAAGGCTGGCACTGGCATGGCTGTGGGGAAAGGAACCCGCGGCTGCCCCGGGGGGCCATGCAGAGTCAGGGGCTCTTTTGCAAAGCAAGTTAGCAAAATTCCTTAAGAAAGGGGGAAGTCTGTGTGCCCTTTGGCCCAGCAATCCTACTTCTCAGGAGTAATCCTAATGAAATCATTCAAGTGAGACAAAGACAAAAACAAAAAACAAAAATGAATCTGCAAGAGCCAACGGGTCAACTTTGGTCTGTCCACAGAGGGATCATTAGGGCATTTGCAGGGCGACATTCATGACAACTGTATCACTGAAAATTTCCTGATATTGTATGAAAAGGAAAAAGAAAAAGATTTCAAAGTGATCCAGGCTACAGTCTCAATGCTGTAAAACTACGTCGGCGCCCAGCCAGGTGCTGCAAAGGAGCTCAGAAAAATGAAAAGAGCCGAACCAGGCTAGTGGAATTCCAGATCTCCCTGCTTTAGACACTTCACTTTCATGTTATTGTAAGATTTTTTTTTTTTTTTGAGACGAATTCTTGCACTGTCACCCAGGCTGGAGTACAATGGTGCAATCCTGGCTCACTGCAGCCTCCGCCTCCAGGGTTCAAGCGATTCTCCTGCCTCAGCCTCCCAAGTAGCTGGGATGACAGGCGCCTGCCACCACGCCTGGCTAATTTTTTGTATTTTTAGTAGAGACGGGGTTTCACTATGTTGGCCAGGATAGTCTTGAACTCCTGACCTTGTATTCTGCCCACCTTGGCCTCCCAAAGTGCTGGGATTACAGGCATGAGCCACCTTGCCCAGCCTGTAAGATAGTTTTTATAAAAAGCTAACTTCACCAAAGAAAAAACCATGGTGTGGATTTGCCTCTGTGAAGTCACCGCGGTCGATCCACCATGACACCTGCCCAGGTTTGTCCTGAAAACCCACGGATGCAGAGGAAGGTGCGGCTGCCCGTGGCCCAGTGAAACCCAAGCTAGGAAATCCCTCTGTGGGAAGTGAAAGCAAACGCTCACCTACATTTTAAGAGGCTGTCTAAAGCCCATTCCAACTTTTCAATAATTAGGGCAAAATGGATGTCAATCCAGGTCCTGGATGGGTCTGAGGACGTGAATTCTGGCCTTGGGCATGGCACGGTCACAGGTTGGTCGTTAAGTCTTATGTGGTCTTAGTTGTTATCCTGGGCGTGGTCAAAAGACATTTTTCCACTTTCTCCAATGAAACCAGCCGTCAGCCCCCAGGAGGGGACTTCTGGGTTCTTTGGGAGCACGGATACATGGTCCAGCTTACTCTGGGGAAGGCCCGTCGGCTGCATTTAACAGACAACCGTCAATGCCTCCTATGGGAGAGGGGACAAATCGCTCCCAGACAGGGAAGGAGAGGGGACAGAACACTGCCAGACAGGGAAGCCTCGGGGGTCTGGAGAAGTTAGTGAGCTTCCCGACGGCTGGATGACGCGGGGAAGGCAATGGGCATCTTCCCAACAGGGTGGAACCTGGCTCAGCCTTAAACAGTGAGCAGAACCAGACAGAAATGACCCACCATGAACAGAGCAGTTCACCCCACAGGAACGGGGACTCAAGAACCCTGCACAGGAGATGGAATGGAAACCCCAAACTACAGGCCAGGCGCGGTGGCTCATGCCTGTAATCCCCGCACTTGAGGAGGCCAACGTGGGTGGATCACTTGAGGCCAGGAGTTCGAGACCACCCTGGCCAATATGGTGAAACCCTGTCTCTACCAAAAAATACAAAAATTAGCCAGGCGTGGTGGCACATGCCTATAGTCCCAGCTACTTGGGAGGCTGAGGCTCGAGAATCACTTGAACCCAGGAGACAGAGGTTGCAGTGAGCCGAGATTGCGCCACTGCACTCCATCCTGGATGACAGAATAAGACCCTGTCAAGAAAAGAAGGAAGGGAAGGGGAGGGGAGGGGAGGGGAAGGGAGGGAAGGGAAGGAGGGAGGAAGGGAGGGAGGAAGGAAGGAAGGAAAGGAAGAAGGAAAGGAAGAAGGAAAGGAAGAAGGAAAACCCAAACTACAAACTTTAATCAATCATCAGTGTCTGGGGTCAGCCAACCAAGCTTGAATACATTTTGTCAGTCACTCAGGAGTGTTCCTGGATGCCAAGCCTCAGTTTCCCAGAATATCGATGGGACGGGTGGTCTCTCTCACTCTCTTTGCAGGCTAAACTTGATAAGGGGCACAAGTGCTGAGCCCGGCACACGGCAGTGGGGTCCTGCGGCAGCCGGAGAGGAACTTGTGGCTCTTACCTGCCCCAGTGAGCGCCCAGGTTCTGCCCGATGGACACCAGCAGACTGGTGGGCCCGTGCTCCCAGATGCACTGACTGGCCCACGCTGCAGCAGACTTCTCCAGTTCGTCATCCCAGGTCTGCAGGAGAAGGAGAAACGGGCACCAGGAGGTGAGGGTGAGGGAGGGGCATAAGAACCATAAATACAGCAACGCCCCAGCCTGGGCTCCTGTGGAGCCTACAGCCAATGCTCTGCTGCTGTATTGCTGGGTTCCTAAATCAGCCAGGGGGGCGTGGCAGGCCAGACGTGCCGGCTCCAAGCCTATCCTCAGGCCTCCTGCTGGGCCTCTAACTTGCCAGAGGTCCTGGGCAGGTGCCTTCTCTCTGGGCCTCAGTGTCTGTGAAACAGGAGTGGCCATGCTGAGTGACCTCTGAGGGTAACACGGCACGCTGTGTGGAAGACAAGGGAAGGTCAGCAGCCATCTCTAGGGACGGTCTTGGCCTGGAAGCCTGTCCCGATGACCCCAGTCTCCTCTCCTTATGCATGTTCCAGGCACACCAGGCTTCCTCTCCTTACTACGCATGATCCAGGCACACCAGGCTTCCTCTCCTTACTACGCATGTTCCAGGCACACCAGGCCTCGGGCTTTACCCCAACCTTTTCATTGCATTCTAACAGGGGGCTCCGAAGCGGGCCCTTATCTCCATTTCACAGGCAAGCAAACCAAGGCTTGAAGAAGCAATGCCATTTTCCCTGGGTCCCACAGCCAGTCACAGAACCAGGATCTGAACCCAGGTCTTCAGGACCTTGGACCCTGAGCTGTCTCCATGTACGCAGTTATGTGTGGACCACAGCAGGTAATAATCAGATGCTATTCCTAGGCCAGGGGCTAGAAATCAATTATCCGGGTGGCGTTGGATTGGCGCTCTGAATGCTGGTCCTGGAATGGCAGTGTGAACCTAGGCACGCAGTTACCCTCTCTGAGCCTCACTGTCCTCATCTGTAATGTGGGTATGTCCATGGCCCTCACTGTGAGCAGTAATGGGGAGGGGAAGCCTACAAGATGCCCAGCCCAGGGCCTGGCTGCAGTCAGGGAGGCTTTATCCACGTCAGCGACACACAGGCCTGCAAAGAAAAGCAGACGAGGGCCCCTGCAGGGGATTTTAGACTCTCACTGGCCACCCGCAGGGCAACACAGCAAGAAGGGCCCCGAGATGAATGGATGCCGCATTTCAGTTGGAAGATAGAAAGTGCCGGAGATGGGCCCGGAGCAGTGGCTCACGCCTGTAATCCCAGAACTTTGCGAGGCTGAGGCGGGCAGATCACTTGAGGTCAGGAGTTGGAGACCCGCCTGCCCAACATAGTGAAACCCCGTCTCTACTAAAGATACAAAAATTAGCCGGGCCTGGACAAAGTAAGACTCTGTCTCAAAAAAAAAAGAAAGAAAAGAAAAGAAAAGAAAGT
Source organism: Homo sapiens (assembly GCF_000001405.40). NCBI lineage: Eukaryota > Metazoa > Chordata > Mammalia > Primates > Hominidae > Homo > Homo sapiens. Next base: position 84,844,460 of record NC_000016.10, on the reverse strand, counting down.
GCCAGAGATGGATGGCGGGGATGGTTGCACAACAGTGTGAATGTACCTAATGCCACAGAACTGCACACTTAAAAATGGTTACAATGGTCAATTTTATAGTCCGTATACTTTACCACAATGAGAAGAAATTGACAAGAGACGTCTTCAGCTTGCCCAGCCCTGCTCACCTCCCAGCACGGCCCATCCTGAATCAGTGGGGCCTGAGCAGGGGTCTGGGCAGAGACTCTGAAGACAGGCTGGCCCCAGGAACACACATGACTCCTGGGGAGAGAATTCCATGAACAGAGCAAGCGTGTCCTTTCTCCTCTGTGGAGGAACAGATGCCAGGCAGCCCTGGCACAGCTGGCAGCTGACGCTGCACTTCCTCCCTGGAGTCCTCCCGACAGATGCTCCAGCTTTAAGCAGGCAGAGGCTGGCCTCCTGCCCTCTGCACACCCAGCCCCGGGCACACAGCAGATGCTCAGGGAAGACAGTCCTGTCTTAGCCCTGGGACCCCCCAGCAGGGAGTACCTGCCCAACACAACCGCATGCCTCACTTCCCTCTCTCCCCGTGTCCCAGCAAGACTCCTCAACAGCCAAGGGGCAACAAACCTTGAGTCTTGGAGAGGTTAAGTAGCATGCCTGAGGTCACACAACCAGGAAGTCTTTCACAACCCCCTCTTGTCTGGCTACTAAGGGGGCTCTTCCTGCCTTGCATACTGTAACCAAGTGCCAGACCCATCCCACGAAAATCATAAGTTACTAAAATATGCTAATGCAACATGCTGACTGTGCAATATACTAAATGATAACAGCATCATTCACATTTACTTGGAACTGATTTATGCATTATCTCATTGCCTCCTCCAAACAACCCTATGAGAAAGGGTTTCTTGTTCCCATCATGCAGGTGAGGAAATATAAACAGAAAGGCTAAGCAATCTGCCCGAAGTCACAAAGCTGGCCAGTGACAGAGCTGGCTGGACGGAGGCAGGCTGGCTCCAGAGCCTGTCCACTCATAAAACCTCAGAACGGGCTGCTCAACTCTTTGGGGTTTTAGAATCCACCTTTCAGTGCTAAGGCTGTTTCAAAGGACTGTGGCTTGAAGCCACAGCAGGCAGGGTTGAGCAGGAAGCCACGTTTCCAAGCCGCTTTCTCAAATCTGCATTGCTTGTTTGGGTGTGAACCAGAGCAGAGGGGCAATGCAGCGCAGTGCTGAGGGTGCCGGGCTGAGTGGCAGGGCCCCTGCCACCCCATCCTTTCAGCCTCCTTGCTCCGAGGTAGCCTCAGTAGCATCCATGAAGGCTCAGCCTCCCCAGCAGGCCGGCCTTTTAGACCAAAGGACCCAGATCCCAGCTCCAATCCTGAAACATCACCAAGTAAACAAACAGGAAAACATGAAAGGCCTGCTCTGGGCTGCCCGGGCGGCCTGACTTTCCCTGCTGCAAAGAAGCTCCTTTCACTGGCACTAAGTCTTGCATGAAACCGGGAGGACCACACAGTGCAGGGACAAGAAGACCAGCATGAACCCAGCCTGCTCCAGACCGGGAGGCGGGAAGCATCTGGGATCCTGGGGGTCGCAGCTCAGTCAAGCTCCAGTCCCAGATGCTGACAACCTCTCCAGAGAGACGTGGGGCCTCCCTGCCCCATGAGGACCAAGGCCAAGCCACCAGGGATGCGCGGATTCAATGGGTCTCAACGTTCCCATGGCCCCTTTCCTTTCATTTCTCATAAAGCAACTCTCCCAACAGCATGTTCCAACAAGCCCCCTCTGCTCTCAGAAATTGGCGGCGAAAAAGAAAAACGTAGGTTGGGCACAGTGGTTCATGCCTGTAATCCCAGCACTTTGGGAGGCTGAGGTGGGCGGATCACCTGAGGTCAGGAATTCAAGACCAGCCTGGCCAACGTGGTGAAACCCCGCCTCTACCAGAAATACAAAAATTAGCCGGGTGTGCTGGTGCGCACCTGTCGTTCCAGCTACTCAGGAGGCTGAGGCAGGAGAGTCGCTTGAACCGGGAAGTGGAGGTTGCAGTGAGCCGAGATAGCACCACTGCACTCCAGCCTAGGCGACAGTGCTAGAATCTGTCTCAAAAAAAAAACAATAAGAAAGAAAGAAAGGAAGGAAAGAAGGAAGGAAAGAAGGAGGGAGGGAGGGAGGGACGGAGGGCGGGCAGGCAGGCAGGCGGGGAGGGAGGGAGGGAGGGAGGCTAACTGACTTGGAAGAGGAGGGGAGCGTGGCACGAGGGAACGCAGTGACTCTGAGGGAAGGCTTGCAGGTTTTCCAGCCTCTGCTCTGCCCCTTCAGAAACAGCCCCCGGGCAGGGTTGCTCTGCTTCCAGGAGCCTTTCTCACGGTGCGGTGTGTCCAGAGCTTGGAGAAAGACAGAAAGCCCAGCCAGAAAACCAGTGTAGCCCTGACCCATGGGCAATGCCTCCCAGGTCTCCGGAACGGCTCTTTGTTCTTCACTCCCCGCCTCCCGCCCAAATACCGCCCCGTCACTCCTCACCTGCCCGTCACCTGAGCCGCCTCCCTGCTTCCTGCTGCGCCCTCCAATCCCCAACACCGCACAGCAGCAAAAGTGTTTCACAGCCAGGCGCAGTGGCTCACTCCTGTAATCCCAGCACTTTGGGAGGCTGAAGTGGGTGGATCACCTGAGGCCAGGAATTTGAGACCAGCCTGGCCAACATGGCAAACACCGTCTCTACTAAAAATACAAAAATTAGCTGGCCATGGTGGTGGGCACCTATAATCCCAACTACTTGGGAGGCCGAGACAGGAGAATCGCTTGAACCCAGGGGTCGGGGGTTGCAGTGAGCCGAGATCACGCCACTGCACTCCAGCCTGGGGGACAGAGCGAGACTCTGTCTCAAAAAAAAAAAGTGCTTCACAGTCATAAATGCATCCTCTCCCGCAAAAAAACCCTGTTTCTTTTTTTTTCTTTTTTACCCCCATTTCAGCAATACCAAAACTCTATTCCTCATAGAAAAAAAGGCAGGCTCCTCACCTAGCCTCAAAGCCCTGTGTGATTTGCCCCTGCCTGCCTCTCTGACCTCTTCCAATGGCCTCACTCCCTCAGAAATGAGCCATGGCCCTGCTGGCTTTTTGAGAGCTCCTCTGAGACCCGAAGCTTTTCTCCCGTTAAGGAAAGAGACTCACGAGGCGGTGGTGGCTTTCACACCTTCTGTTCCCTCTGCCCAGAACACCCTTCCCTGCACGCTTGCTTGCTCAACCATGCTCACTCTTCAGGTCTTAACTGAGATGGCTCCTCCGCAGAGTGGGCCACCCTTACTCCTCCCTCTCAGTCAGGATTCTTCCACCCCTAACGTTCTTTCTTGCAGCTCCCCGTATTTCTTCATCTAACTCTGCACAACTCATAATCATGCCTCTTCCGGGAATCCAGGACAGTGCCTGGCACATCGAAGGTGCTCCACAAATACTTCCTGGCTACACTAGTCCGGAGGTGCCGTGTGGACGGGGACCTCATCTGCTTTGTCCACCTCTTTATAGCAAGAATCTCACGGGGTGCTGGGCACACGGGAGGCACTCAAAAATACATAGAATTCACCAGTTGATTAAATATCAGGTATGTGGAAGGCAGAGAAGCAGAGCCTCCTACCCACACATTCAATAAATATGTATAGGCCGGGCACGGTGGTTCATGCCTGTAATCCCAGCACTGTCGGAGGCTGAGGTGGGTGGATCACTTGAGGTCAGGAGTTTGTGACCAGCCTGGCCAACATGGTGAAATCCCGTCTCTAATAAAAATACAAACATGGTGAAACCCCGTCTCTAATAAAAATACAAAAAATTAGCCTGGCGTGGTGGTGCAAGCCTGTAATCCCAGCTACTCAGGAGGCAGAGTCAGGAGAATTGCTTGAACCCAGGAGCCAGAGGTTGCAGTGAGCCGAGATGGCACCATTGCACCCCAGCCTGGACGACAGGGCAACACTCTGTCTCAAAAACAAACAAACAAACAGAAACAATAAATACGTATTAGCACCTTCTATGTGCAGGTTTTGGGGACAGACAGGGTGGCTTTGAATCCCAGCTTCACCATTTGTACATTTGTAGCTGTGTGGTTTGTACAAGTCCTTTAAAGATGAACCTCTCTGAGCCTCAGTTTTCTCTTCTGCAAATTGGTGCTAATACTTTCTATTTTCCAGGATTACTGTCAGGATTAAAGAGGACACAATTCACGTGGCACGTAATAGCCACTCAACCCTCATGCCACGACCCTCCATGGCAGCTTTGTGGGGGAGACACGGGTCATCACCCAGGCCAGCTCAGCCTGTGGCAAAGGAACGTGACCACAGCTTTAAAGACACAGATGAGACGGCAGCGTGTCTCTCAGAGCAATCACAGCAGGGGGCCATGGGTGCATTCCAAAGACATGATGATGCCTGTACCCACAAAGTGGCAAAGACTCAGACTCTGGGGGAGATGTGGATTTTTTTTTTTTTTTTGAGACAGGGTCTTGCTCTGTCACCCAGGCTGGAGTGCAGTGGTGCAATCTCAGCTCACTGCAGCCTTGACTTCCCAGGCTCAAGCGATCCTCCTTCCTCAGCTCCCACCCCCCACCTCCACCTCCACCTCAGTCCCACTGCAGCTGGGACTACAGGTGCGCACCACCATGCCCGGCTAACTTGGATTTTTTTGTAGAGACGGGGCTTTACCATGTTACCCAGGCTGGGACGTGGGTTTGTTTAAAAAGCCATTCATAGCTGACGGATGGCCAAGGTGGAGGCTCCCGGTTGGTGGACGAGGAGGGACCCTGGAAGACTGTGGTCCATTCCTCTGTAGTTCTGGAAAACCAGCCAGGAAGGAAGTTTCCACACTGGAGCTTGGGGTCAAGTAGCAGCATCGCCCAACCACACCTGGAACACCCATCACAATCACCCGGGAGGGTTGACCTTGGCTGTCTTCTGTCACCGTTAGCTCCTTTCCCGGTTAGCAAAGCCTAGGGGTTGGGGAGGCAGGGTCAGTCTGTGCCGGGCCCTTCACAGCCTCGACTTATCTCACAGTCATGGCAACCACGCGAGGAAGGACTCTCCAAGTGGAAAGTGAGGCTCACACGGGCTAAGGAGAAGTCAGGGTGGTGCAGCTAGCGTGTGGCACAGCTGAGATCAGCATCAGCAAAGCCCAGCCCTGGGCCCCTCCCCACTCTGCCTCCAGGTGGGAAAGGCTGAGAGCTGTGTTCCCAGTGGAGCTACCAAGAGTGACATGAAGGCAACGAGGCAGGCTCTGCACAGGGAACCCACGTGTGTTGTTTTGGCAGAATGTTAAGAACAGAGCCAGAGCCAGACAGGGTGACTCATGCCTATAATCCTAGCACTTTGAGAGGCTGAGGCAGGAGGATTGCTTGAGCCTAGGAGTTCAAGACCAGCCTGGGCAACGTAGCAAGACCCCCATCTCCACAAAATATTTAAAATCTAGCTGGGCACCATGGTGCATGCCTGTAGTTCCAGCTACTTGGGAGGCTGAAGCAGGATCGCTTAACCCCGGGAGTCTAAGGTTTCAGGGCATGACGATTGTGCCATTGCACTCCAGCGTCAGTGGCAGAGTGAGACCCTGTCTCAAAACAAACAAACAAAACAGAACAGAGCCGGGATCCTCCCCTGCCAGAGGAGACCCTGAGCCAGCCATCACACGCACTGGCTGGGGAACAGAGCTGGCTGGGGAACAGAGCAGGCTGGTGGCCCAGGCCCCACCCCCGGTGCCAGCCTCTGCGGCCGGAGCCGGCGCTCACCATGTACTCCATGTTGGAGGCCTGAGGCTGCACCTGGCCCCGAAGCTTGTTGTGCAGCATGAGGATCTCCTCCTTGTCCTCCCTGGGGATGGCTCTGCGGACCCGGGAGTGAGACTCGTTGTGCTGGTATTTGCTGAGCAGCTCCTCTAAGAGAGTGACGTTGGGCAGGAGGTAGCCTTGGGATCCGCAGACCAGGAACAGCAGCCCCAAGGGGATGACACCACCCAGGACGCAGCTCATGGCTCCACTCCTGCAGCAACTATGGGACTCACGGGGCAGCCTGGGCTCCTCGGGCAGAGCTGGGCGCTTGAGCTCTGAAAGGAAGCAGAGGGTGGTGGGAGAAGTCGCATTAGTAGGAGCCGGTCACAGCGCTGGCTGGAGCAGCGAACGCAGCACACACGACTCTCTCCATTTTACAGATGCGGAAACTGAGGCCCACAGAAGCTAAACAAGCAAGGTCCCACAGACAGGAAGTGGTGGAGCTGGGATTTACGCCAAGGGTTTCCAGCGAGGCAAGCTGTCAGGATTCCAAAGAGGATAACCTAGAACAGTTCTTCCTGGACTCAAGTTTTCCTTGAGCGAGTCCCTGCATTTTCTAATTATGAGTCAGCATCTCTTATTCATTCAGGACTCAGGTGAATCTCAGGCACAAATTAGCTTCTATCACCTGCCCCAAGGGGATTGCTAAAGTCATTTCCCATCACCAAAGGATGCTCCGTGGACCAACGTTGAGAGCAAACTTCTAGTCCCTGTGAAGTCAGACTCAGTTTACCAATAGTGGTTGACATATGGCTCCTCTTATCACGGCCCTCGCCCCGGGCCCCACCCGCACATCTGTTGCACACTAAGACACAGCTGCCCAGAACCACGTCCAGCCAAGGCCTCAGCCTTTTGTTCCCTCAGAAAACCCTTCATCAGCACCTACACAGGCCGGTCGTTTATGTTATTCTCAATCACCATGGCAACCCAGGAGGTCAGGCTGTTCTCATCCCCATTTTACAGATAAGAAACCTGTGGCTGGCCGGGGGCGGTGGCTCACGCCTGTAATCCCAGCACTTTGGGAGGCCGAGGCGGGCGGATCACAAGGTCAGGAGATCGAGACCATCCTGGCTAACACGATGAAACCCTGTCTCTACTAAAAAATACAAAAAATTACCCGGGCGTGGTGTCACGCGCCTGTAGTCCCAGCTACTTGGGAGGCTGAGGCGGGAGAATGGCGTGAACCCGGGAGGCGGAGCTTGCAGTGAGCCGAGATTGCGCCACTGCACACTAGCCTGGGCGACAGAGCGAGACTCCGTCTCAGAAAAAAAAAAAAAAAAAGCAAGCTATGGCTTAGTGTGGTGACAAGACAAGCCCAGGGCCGGCCTCCTGGTAAGCAGAGATGCTGAAATTCGAAATGATGATTACAAAGACCCAGAGTTTTCCAGCAAGCTACCTTGACTCCTCTGTCCCTGGGGGCCAACTACCTCCCCTCCATTATAGGGTCACGAACCACAGACCTCCTCCTCCTGGCTTGCCATCTGAAAAATGTATGTCATTGGCCCAAGAAGACAAGGAAGGGCTTGAACGAGTGCGTCCACGCACACCCCTCCTCTCTGCTTTCCTCGCAGGGGAGAGTCGGGGCCACCCAGTCACCTCCATCAAGCGCCTTATTTTGTGCTGGACTCCGAGATGGAGACTGGGGATGCGAAGATGAAGAGGACTCTGTCCCTGGCCTCAAGGAGCTCAGTTAGGTCGGGGAGATGGAGGAGGAAACCCGCAGTCCCCACATAGCAGGACAAGGCTGACTCTAAAGACAGTGCCAGGCCCTCGAGGGCCGGAAGAAGCAGCTCTGTCTGGAGGGTTGGGTGGTGGCCGTGCCTCAGGCTGACCCGTCGGAACTCCACGGGGCTCAGTTCTTCACATGAGTCCTCCCTGGTCTTCACCCCCATAGCACCAACCAGGTGTTTACCAGTCAAGTTGGCTGGGACAGTGGCAGTGCAAGGTGGGCATCCTCGGGTGGGGCCGGGGTGGGGAGATGTAGATCAAGGCCTGGAGGGGATAGAGGCCAAGACGGGCATCCCAGGAAGCAGAAACGTTGGCAACAGGCGACAGAGGCTGAGCCAAAGAGCTATGGGAATGCTGTGGTTCCCATTCCCGACCCCTGGAAACTCTCCAGGGTCCTGACTGAGCCTGCGCCTCAGACAAAAATAACCCCATGCGGAGAGGAGAGGCTTGGCTTGCTTTGTAGCAGGGCAGACGGGCTGCCCTCCTCCAAAGCCGAGCCCGGGGCTGCGTGGGGAGGACCTCTGCGTGCTTACTCGTCCCACTGGGAAGCAGACCAAGAATGCAGAACTTCTCAGGATCCCTGATCTCTCTCTCTCAGGTTAGTCACACCACCATATATGAGCATTTCCAGCTGCAGGCGGCCAGGCTCAAAGAAGAGATGCCAGAAAACTCTGACGCTGGGTTGAGGTTGAGAGTGCGGTAATCGGCGTCACGGGGTGTCCTCCTGGTGTCATGACGATGCTCCGCTGATTTGCATGTACATAATGAGATATCTTGGGGATAAGACCCAATCTAAACACAAAATTTGTTGATGTTTGAGATACACCTTATACATGTAGCCTGAAGGTAATTTCATCCAACATGTTAAAATAATTTTGTGCATGGAACAAAGTTTTCACTATGTTTTGACTGCAACCCATCACATGAGGTCAGGTGTGGAATTTTCCACACGTGGCTTCAGGGCAGTGCTCAAAAAGTTTTGGATTTTGAAGCATTTCGGATTTTGGATTGTCAGATCAGGGAGGGCCAACCTGTGCTTAACAAAATAAAACAAAATGCCAAAGTGAGAAAACAGGAGGAGTCAAATGCTGTTTTTAAATGAGTCCTCTGGCACGTCCTCCTGAGCCAGCGTGAGCTATCCCAGGAGATCTGACTGGCCGCCTTTGTTCTGAATGTTAAAGGGACTTCCACAGCTTAGAGGCTGGTCCTTCTCTAAGGATTCCAAAGAGAAGTTATGAAGTCTCAGGTGGAGCTTTAGAGTTGGGAGAACCACGGGGTTTAGTGAAACCTCCACATTGGAAGACAACAGAAGGAAAAGGGGAGAGGAATGGGAGGGTTTCTCCAAGTGCCCTCATGTGCACCACAAAAGCCACCAGCCTGGGAGACACAGGCCTGCCATGCTGGGTGGTGTGCCAGTACTGTTGGGTCTGAAAGTGGTTGGGTTTGACTTCAGCCCAGAGGGCCTGGGGGTGGGTCGGAGGGTCCCTGCTTGGGAGGGGATGAGGCTCCTCCAGATCTGGATGGCTCCTACTACATTTGGGCCGCAGGAGAACACAGCAGATTTTGAGCAGAAAAGTAACCATAGGCCGGGCATGGTGGCCCACACCTGTAATCCCAGCACTTTGGGAGGCCGAGGCAGGTGGATCACCTGAGAAGTTCGACACCAGCCTGGCCAACACGGAGAAACCCCGTCTCTACTAAAAATACAAAATCAGTTGGGCGTGGTGGCGCCTGCCTGTAATCCCAGCTACTTGGCAGGCCGAGGCAGGAGAATTGCTTGAACCTGGGAGGTGGAGGTTGCAGTGAGCCGAGATCATGCCATTGCACTCTAGCCTGGGAGACAAGAGCAAAACTTCACCTCAAAAAAATTAAAAAAAGAAAAGTAACCATAAAAGGGCCAGCACCTCATTCCAGTTTGTACCCCCAGAGCCCAGTGCTGGGTGCACAGGAACAAGCACACAGCTATGGGTTTGAGCTGGTTTTCCCCAAACTCACACACTGGAGCCCTAATGTCCAGGACCTCCAAATGCAATGTATTTGGAGACGGGGCCTTTGCGGAGGTGATTAAGGTAATGTGAGGCCATGAGGTTGGGCCCTAACCAAGCTGACTGGTGTCCTTACTAGAAGAGTTTAGGACCGAGACACGCAGAGGACGACCACATGAGGACACAGGGAGAAGACGCCGTCTGCCAGCCACAGAGAGAGACCCCAGAAGAAACCAGCCCCGCCAGCACCTTGATCTTAGACTTCTGGCCTCCAGAACTGTGGGAATCTAAATTCCTATTGTTGAAGCTTGTGGTACTTTGCTGTAGCCGGCTTAACAGACCAACACACATCAGATAACACATGGCTGGACAGGACTGTTTCCAAATATGCCCCTGGCTATTGTAAAGAGGAGACACGAAGGAGGCAGACAGGCACGTTAGGAGGCCAGGCCAGGGTCCTGGCTGGAACCTGGTTGGTGCCATCTGCCAAAGCCACAAACCAATTGGCCGAGGCCCAGTTCACAGGGGCAGTGCCCGGCAGCCCTGGCCCACACTGCCCATTCTACCCTCACTTCTGAGACAGCTCAGTCGGAACCGGGACCGAAGCACTTCCACCCCTTTTCCATTGACAATGAAAACACACAAACTCTTTCCAAATGGGATGGACCTCCAAGTGGTCCCGGGCTTGCCAACATCAAGAAGGGGCTCACGCCAGCAACCCTCAGGGCGAAGGGGGCCGCCGGGGAAGACCTGCCCTGCGCCCGTCGTGGTGTGAGCGCCTGACCTCCGTGATCTCCTCTCACCCTCCTGACTTTCCAGAGTCTGGGCTCCATCACTCCCACTCTACAGATGAGGAGGCTGAAGTCCATGGAATTTAAGGAACCTGCCCAGGGCGAGCAGCAAGTCTGGAGCCGGAACGCAGCTCTTCTAACCTCGAGGCCCAGGTATGCCCTTGGCTTAGTGCCCTGCTGCCTCCCACGGAGTGGGCTTCCCTCTGGATGTGAAAATCCCAAGCACCCCCACCAACCCATGCAGGGGGAAGGGGGCTCCCAAACCAAACAACCGAATCTTGCCCTAAAGTTCTCTTCCACCCTCTTCTGCCTCCTGGGAAGGCTGCTGGGCTGGGGGAGTCAGGGCACGGGCCTCCCGGGTCACGTGGTGCCTCTGTTGATGAGAAGGCACCAACGTGTCACCCCCATGGGAGACGACGGAGACCCTCGCATCATGGTGACGTTCCACCAACACAAACACGCCCCCCCACCACCATCGGTGCTGCCCACTCGCCTTTGACCCAGATATGATGAGCTGATCTCTGACCTCTGACCTCTGGCAGATGGATGCCCCCTGCAGAGTGCCCTCCTAGCGTCCTGGAAGAGCTCACGCTTTGGTGGCTGCCCCGAGTGCACTTCGGTACCCAGGGTGTGAGGCTCCCACTCTAACTCTGCTCTTCTACCCCTGATGCTCCCAGGCAGGGCCGGGTGCATGCGCCACTCCTAGAGAGATGCCCCTGCATCCTGTCCACTCAGCCACTCATTGATAATGAAATATCACTAGGGACCGCGGGACAACACAGCAGAAATGCTCTCTAGAAGATTTTGTTCTCTTTTGCCAGAGTTGCAAAACTGAGCCCATAAGACCACAAGTAAGATAACGGCTCCGAGACCTCATGAAAACACACCAGATTTCAGCACACAGCAGAGGCTGGGAGGGGAACGGACAGAGCTTTCAGGTCCCAGGGTCAATGGTGAGACCCACAGCTGGCGAATCAAAGCGACGGGAGCCACACTTCTCCCGCGCTGCCCAGAGCTTTGAGATGCATTTGGACTCTAGCAGGGAGGCAGCTGTTTTCAGCCCCATTTTACAGAAAGTGCAACTGAGTCCAGGAGACTGGCATTTAGGAGACTGTGTGGCTAGTTTAAAGTGAAACCAAGACTTGAACTCAAACTTGCCAAAAGTTTGGAGGACTTTCAACACAGCTTGTTTGCACTATGAGCTCTCCAACCGCACCCCTCTACCCTGGCCGAGGCTTTGTGGACATTTAGGGGATCACCAAACCATGTGTCCAAGTTTAGCGAGGGGTCTCCCTGATGGTTATCTCTTGGGCGCCATCGTACTCAACACTCAGAAGTGAGTGAGGGAGAAGGAGCTGGGCTGAAGCTCATTGCGTCATTGGCCTGGGCTGCAAGTGCCTTGTGTTTAGGAGAATCTGCCAGAAAGATGAATCTCGGGACTTAGCCTGTCAGCCGTCAGCTCCCAGCCTGTGCCAAGCTCCCTGCTTTTGCACATGCTGTTCCCACAGCTCATCCCATGACCCCGACATGCCCCGCTTCACTGGCCCAGGCCAGGGAGATGAATTCCTGCTCATTGCTAAGACTCAGCCCGAGGAGCACGGCTTCCTAGAAACCTCCAGTGTAATCACACCGCAGACCTGCGGGTCTCGTTCACCGCCGAAGCGTCGATGTCTAAGTCAGTGTTTGATAAATATTTACGGGATGACTCTGTGGCCCCCTCCTGCTCCCAGCTAGATCAGAAAAGCCATATAAGGACTACGTCTGATTTGGGCTGCTTCTTTACTGACTGCAGCATGGGCTGTCGGGGAAGAGAGACCTGGGTTCAATTCTTGACCTTGCCCCTCACTGGCCCTTGGCCTTGCCCAAGCCTGTGTCATCTTGGACACAGCACCGAGCTTCTTGAGTTCACGTCTGTGGGTGGAGGGGAGTGACAGGCCCTACGGCTGTGAGGAAGGAAAAAGGTCCTGAACTTCAGTCCCCAGTCAGTGCACTGCCTGTTATAATAAGGAGGCTGTGCCAGAGCCTCCAAAAATGCATCGTTTGAAGGGATTTTAGAAGGCTGGAGTGAATAATGTGGAATGCTATGAACAGACAATTCTCTCTTCATATTATTTCAAAGCCCACGTTTACCTTAACAAAATCCAATGTTTAAAAATCCGGCTGGACATGGCGGCTCACGCCTGCAATCCCAGAACGTTGGGAGGCCAAGGTGGGTGGATCACCTGAGGTCAGGAGATCAAGAGCAGCCTGGCCAATGTGGTGAAACCCCATCTTTACTAAAAGTACAAACCTTAGCCAGGTGTGGTGGTGCGTGTCTGTAGTTCCAGCTACTCAGGAGGCTGAGGCAGGAAAATCACTTGAATCTGGGAGGTGGAGGTTGCAGTGAGCCGAGATCGTGCCTCTGCACTCCCGCCTGGGTGACACGGCAAGACTCAAAAAATAAAAAATTTGAAAATTTAAAAATTAAAAAAAATAAAAATCCTATTAGGCCAGGTGCGGTGACTCACATCTATAATCCCAGCACTTTGGGATGTTGAGCTGGGAGGATCGCTTGAGCTCAGGAGTTTGAGACCAGCCTGGGAAACATGGTGAGCTCCTGTCTCTACTAAAAATAATAATAATAAAAAAATTAGCCAAGCACGGTGCCACATGCCTGTAGTCCCAGCTACTCGTGGAGGGGCTGAGACGGGAGGATCGCTTGAGCCTGGGAGATGCAGACTGTAGATCGTGCTACTGCTTTCCAGCCTGGGCGACTCTATCTCAAAAGAAAAAAGGAAAAAAAATCTGTTAAATGTCCAATGCTTGGGGGATGGCAGGGGGACCCTCTACTGAATTTGAAACGTATATTAGCTCTGTATATACCTTGAGCATTGGCCATTTTTCCCCAGATGTCCAAGATGTCATGTGCCAGGTCTGGGGGATTCATGTCACCACCTGGCCAGGTGCCACCCATGCAAATGTATTTGGTGATTCACACCGAGGTTATCCTGTCAGATGTCATTTTCTGTCATGGAGCTCTGTCCTCTTCCATGGCTGCGTCTCAGCTGAGTTGACAGGCCCATGGGCACCCCCGGCCCTGGGCTCCCCACCCAGGATTGCAGCCGCTCTGACTCTCAGCCTCCCTCCCTGGACCCCGAGCTTCTCAAGGGCCGGAACAGTGGTGGGATGGTAAATCGTTCACCACCAGCTTCCAAAACAAAAACCAAGCAAAAACCAGCCTGCCTTGCGGTGTTTGCCAATTCCCTTGGTGTAAATACTCCCACCATGGCCAACTTCAAGCAACCAGTGTGAAGTCACCGAGCATGGAGTTTCTGGAAAGAGATCCCCAGAAGCACACGGTCACGCAGCCTTTCCATCACGCAGATCCCATAGACACTGATAATCTCAAGAGCAGAGGCCACAGTAAAATGCAGGAAAAAAGTCAAAAGTGATAGGTTTTAAGTATTTATTACCTTCTTTTTAAATATGACTTTTTTTTTTTTTTAAGACAGAGTCTCACTCTGTAGCCCAGGCTGAGGCTAGAGTGCAATAGCATGATCTCAGCTCACTGCAACCTCCACCGCCTGGGTTCAAGCAATTCTCCTGTCTCAACCTCCGGAGTAGCTGGGACTAGAGGTGCATGCCACCACGCCTGGCTAATTTTTGTATTTTTAGTAGAGACAGGGTTTCCCATATTGGTCAGGCTGGTCTTGAACTCCTGACCTCAGGCAATCCACCCGCCTCGGCCTCCCAAAGTGCCAAGATTACAGGCGTGAGCCACCATGCCCGGAATATAACTTAACTGTAAGTTTTTATAATCTAACGTTTAATGCTGGTTGTGTTGAACTGGTTCGCAATCCATTTTTTACTGAATTTTATTTATTTATTTGTTTTGAGGCAGGGTCTCACTATTACCCAGGCTAGAGTGCAGTGGTGCAATCATGTCTCACTGCAGCCTCAACCTCCCAGGCTCAAATGATCCTCCCACCTCAGCCTCCCAAGTTGCTGGGACTACAGGTGTGCAACACCAGGCACAGCTAATTTTGTATTTATAGTAGAAAAGGGGTTTCACTATGTTGCCCAGGCCACCCTCGAACTCCCGAGCTTAAGTGATCCTCCCACCTCAGCCTCCCAAAGTGTTGGGATTACAGGTGTGAGCCACTACGCTGGCCCTGAAAATGTAACTATCAGCTCTCAAGAGCTGGTATGAGCCAGTCCAAGCTGGCTGCAGTTCACCATTGGCCAGCACTGAGCCTTGTTCAATCAACTTTATGCCCCCAGCAAATGTTCATCACCAAACCCACGCCAACGTGGGATGAGGAAGGGGCTGCCGCAGGCGTGGCCTGGGCCCTCTACTCCTGCACTGAACATTTCATGTGGTCCACAAACTGATGAGGCCACTGTGACAATAGCCCTATTTTACAGACGATGAAACTGAGGCTTAAAAAAGATAAGCAACTTGCCTGTGGTCACACATAAGGCCTGAGGACAATGTCGATTCATTCACTACGCCCTGGTCACTTACCAGTCCTGGGTCGTCCACGCAGCGACTCTCTTAAACATCAGGGCAGTTCTGACCTGTGGCCCTGCACCACTCAGCTGAGACCCATGGTCCACAGGAGAGCAGCTGACCCCAGAAGCCTGGGGGTCGGGGTGTTCTCTAGGCTCTACCCTTCCTCACAAGTATCAAAGGAGAACTCAGATCTGAGCAAGAGGCCAAGGGCAGATCAGAGTCATACCCACAAACCACCCAGAAATTCCAGGAATGAAGCAGTGGCTGGAAGGAGGGGTACTCCACTCCCCCCGTTTGTGTCTCTGGCAGATCCCTTGACTGAGCAGAACATCCCGTTAGAGCGCCTGGGTAAGCACCACGCAGTGAGTGGGGGCCCTTTCTCCCCTACTCACTGCAGCCTGGCAGTTTTCCTTAAACCCTTCTTGGCAGGATTGAAGCCAGACCCAAGGGAGGCCACAGTCCAGCTCCAGCTCCTTCCCTAGCTGCTGCCTGCACTGTGCTGAATTCCCCATCTCCCCAGGACAGCCAACAGTCCACTCAGCTTAAAGGCGACACCAGCCCCACAAGGCACCTTCTCTCCTCCTGTCACCTCAACAAAAGATAATATTCTTTTTTTTTTTCCTTTTTGAGACGGAGTCTTGTTCTGTCCCCAGGATGGAGTGCAGTGGTAAGATCTCAGCTCACTGGAACCTCTGCCTCCTGGGTTTAAGCGATTCTTCTGCCTTAGCCTCCCGAGTAGCTGGGACTACAGGCACGCACCACCACGTCCAGCTAATTAACAAAAGATATATTCTTATGGGATTTCTGAGTCAATATGTCTGGATGCTTAATTGAGCAAAAAATCTATACAATGCTTTTCATTGTTTACATACTATGCTAAGCATATACAAAATTCTGGACAAAAAGAAAATAGTCATTCAACAAACTCTTATTTAATGCACTATGTGAAAAAAAAAGAACTGAAAAGCAGGTGCATTCGATGCAAGCCAAGGTGATATATAAGAAAAGTCACTTTTAAGGGACCAGGTAATAAATTAATACATTCTTTAAAACCCCAGGACATAACTCCTGGGGCACCTTTCTCCCTTCTTGAAGACGTGTGGTTGTTTCCCTGGAAACAATGTTCCCAGCAAAGCTTTAAAAGATAAACAGCAGGAGCCCTCCCTCTCCGAAGGGAAAGGAATTACGGACTCCCAGAAGGCAATGAGGAAAGGCATAGAGAAGAATGGGCAGCTCTGGGTTCGAATTCTGCCGCCACTGCATGGAGCTGGGCATGCCTCAACTTCCTCAAGCCTCTAATTCCTCACTCATGCATGAGGCCCTGAGTTTCTTCCATGGCTAGGGGAGGAAGGGTGCTATGACTACCCAGGATCATGTTTATAAAGGGCCCAGTGACAGAATCCCAGGAACTTAATGGTGTTTAATGATGTTTCTTTCCCTTCTCCTCCTGAGTAAATTCAGGGCCCCAGGTCATCTCTGTGCTGGGCTCCAGGGCTGGCAGCCCGGGCCAGTCTCCCTGCCTGAGAAGCGTGATTCACTGACAGGTGGCATCCGCGAAGATGAGTCGAGAGCTGGCTGCGGAACCTCCATAGCACTCTGCAGGTGAAAATCCCAGGAGTCCTTGGGATCTGCAAGTGAAAAAGACCGAATCTGCCCTCGGGACTGGGAGGAGACAGAGAGTAAACAAACGGGCAGCGGACAGGTAAATACCGAAGGTGTGAGCAGGACATCCCGGACACACGGATGGCGAAGATGAACAGAGGAGGGGGGCAGAACCACTCTGGTTGGGGTAGACGGCAAGGTCCTGCTGAGCTCTTAAAGAAAGGGCACTGTAGGCCCGGTGCGGCGGCTCGCACCTGTAATCCCAGCACTTTGGGAGGCTGAGAAGGGCAGATCACCTGAGGTCAGGAGTTCGAGACCAGCCTGGCCAACATGGTGAAACCCTGTCTCTACTAAAAATACAAGAATTAGCTGGGCGTGGTGGCACATGCCTGTAGTCCCAGCTACTTGGGAGGCTGAGGCAAGAGAATCGCTTGAATCCGGGAGGTGAAGGTTGCAAAGAGCTGAGATCGCACCACTGCAGTCCAGCCTGAGCAACAGAGTGAGACTCCTTCTCAGAAAAAAGAAAAAAAAAAAAAAAAAGAAAGGGCACTGCAGGCAGCAGGAAGGGCAAGGACAAAGGCTCAGAAGGGGTCACAGTCGAGGCGTGACCGTGACCGAGGACAGGCGAAAAGCCCATGAAGCTGGGGAGGAATGGGGTCAGGAGGCAGCCAGGGCCAGGTGGTGAGCAGCCTTGAAGGCCACGGTGAGGACTCTTGGTTTTGCTCTAAATGCAAAGAGGGCCCTCGAGGGAGGGAAGTCGGGCGGTGACAGGGTCTGGTTTGTGTCGCAAAAGCCTTGCAACACACAACAGCACAGACAAACCCCGCAGACACGGTGCTCAACCAACAGAAGGGGCCAGACTCCGGGGATTCAACACGCATGGTTTCATTTAAGTCAAGTCCAAACCAGGCAAACCCAGCCTGTGCCCTTAGAAGTCCGGAAATGACTACCTTGGGGGGTGCGGGGGCAGTGAGAGGGGCCTGGGGGGCTTCTGGGGGCCGGCCAGGCTCTGCTGTGACCGGGGCTACGGCGCTTTGTGAAAATCTCTCTGCCGGTACAGAGACGGCTGTGCCCTCTTCCCTGGTATGTTAAGCATCAACAAGAAATTATAAAAAAAAAAAATTTGATGTTGCTCTGACCTCTGTTTGAAGACTGGATTAAGAGGGCAGGAGTGGTCCAAGGAGAGAGCACACCATTATGCAAGAGAAAATCCCGGGGCCTTTCCCTCAGGAGTCTCAGAGCTGAAACAGGCCTGGGGCCCCGGCTCAGCAGCCTTCAAAGTGAACTGCGATGTGTCAGGCCCCAGATAAAGTCCAGCTGGCGGTGGGGCCTCCCCCTTGGACCCGCACACGACTCTCCTAGACAGGGCCCAGTTCATCCCAAGTCTGAGAGAGCACTTTGTCCTGCGATGCCAAGGCCCAGCTGAAAATACCTTCTCAGTCCCAGGGCAGCCCCAGCCTCGCAGGTCCCGGGGAATAAACCGTGTCTTCCCTCCCGGGGCGAACGGACTGGCTGTGTGGGCAGCAGGCCTGGGGCAGGAGGGAGAGATGGCAGGGAAGATGGACACACATCATAGAGGTGTCTTCAATGCCCTTGAGGAAACAGCTCACCCCTTCAGGGGTTATAAGTAAATGTGCGTAGCTGGCTCTTCCCAGGCACATAGGGGCATGAAACGTGCTCTGAAGGAGGGTGCCAGCATCCTCAGGACACTGACTCAGGCCCTGGAGCATCAGGGCGTCACAGCTTCAGCACAAAGTGCCAAAGGGCTGAGTGTTCTTCTGGAAGAAAGCCTTCCAAATATGCCAACAACTTGTTCTTAAGGGGCCTTCCTGATTTTGGAGGGAGGTGGTCTTTCAGCTCCCAGGTCACTCGTGACTTCTTTCTGGTCACACCAGGCCCTATAACCAGAACCGTCCACACAGCTCCACGCTGACCCCAGTAGCCAGCCCTCCATGCCCCACCTTTGTGCCAGGGCCCCAGGGCAAGCCTTCTTTAGCTTTCTAGGATAACAGGATGCTTTGTTACAACAGACTGCCAGCCCCACCCCACAGCTTCTGATCCAGGTCTCCAGGGAAGCCTGAAAACCTGCATTTCTATGAGTCCTCAGGTGCTTCCAGGCCAGGAACCCACTTTTTTTTTTTTGAGACAGGGTCTCACTCTGTTGTTCAGGTTGGAGTGCCGTGGCGTGAACACTGCTCACTGCAGCCTCAGCCTCCTGGGCTCAAGTCTTCTACCTCCCAAGAAGCTGGAATTACAGGTGTGCCCTACCACGGCTGGCTAATTTTTTTTCTTCTTTTATTTTATGTATTTATGTATTTATTTTTATTTATTTATTTATTTATTTGAGATGGAGTCTCGCTCTGTCACCCAGGCTGGAGTGCAGTGTGTGATCTTGGCTCACTGCAGCCTCTGCCTCCCAGGCTCAAGCGGTTCTCCTCCCTCAGCCTCCCAAGTAGCTGGGATTACAGGCGTGCACCACCACGCCTAGCTAATTTTTGTATTTCCAGTAGAAACAAGGTTTTGCCATGTTAGCCAGGCTGGTCTCGAACTCCTGACCTCAAGTGATCTGCCCACCTTGGCCTCCCAAAGTGCTGAGACTATAGGTGTACGCCACTGCGCTGGGCCTTTCTTCCTTTATTTTAGAAACATGGAGAGGACAAGACACACTGAGAGGACACCAGCTAATTTTTAAATTTTTTGTAGAGACAGCATCTCACTATGTTGCACAAGCTGGACTCGAACTCCTGGGCTCAGGCAATCCTCCCGCCTAGACCTCCCAAAGTGTTAAGGTTACAGGCATGAGCCACGGCGCCTGGCTGCTGGCCCCCACTCTGAGAAGCACTTCTCTAAATTATAACAGCCTCTCAGTTCTCCTTCTTCCCCGACCTTGATCCAGCATTTCCCAAACCCTGTCCTTTGAATATCCCCCTTCCCAAGTTTTGCCCACCTTCCTACTGTGTACTGGTACCAGTACATATTTTGTTTTTGTTTTGAAATGGCATCTCGCTCCGTCACCCAGGCTGGAGTGCAGTGGTGGCGTGATCTCGGCTCACTGCAACCTCCGCCTCCCGGGTTCAAGCAATTCTTCTGTCTCAGCCTCCCGAGTAGCTGGGACTACAGGTGCCTGCCACCACGCCCGGCTAATTTTTGTATTTTTAGTAGAGATGGGGTTTCACCTTGTTGGTCAGGCTGGTCTCAAACTCCTGACCTCAGGTGATCCACCGTCTCAGCCTCCCAAAGTGCTGGGATGACAGGCATGAGCCACCGCGCCTGGCCCCATATTTTGTATTTTTATTTAACTTGGCTTGTTTTTTGCGTTCCAAGAAATTTACTTTAAAAAGGTAACTTTCTATCACTCCCACTGGCAGAGAACCTGATCACTGGTGCCGTGAACAGACGGCAGGAGTGAAATTAAACACAGTAAAAACAACAGTTACTTCCTCCCAGCCAGGCACTGACACCAACCAAAGGCTTTGTTGTAGAGGATGCTTGCTCTTTGTTGTAAAAGGAGATCAGGGTGTGGGAGAGGTGATAGGGACAATTCCACCTGTGACTTTCACCTTGCCATAAGCAGAAGGACCGGAAGAACAGAGAATGGAAAGAACAGAGAATGGAAAGAACAGCTCTTGGACTGGGGGGATTTGCTGCTGGATCTGTGCCCGTGCTCAGTCACCTTGGGGACCCCTAGGTATTGGCTCTGCACACTTTGGAGGACACAGTTCATTCTAGAGTGAGCTGTTCTCAAGTTCTCAGTGCCACCGTGTTACTCTCTGTTCATCTTGATGGTGCCCACTAAGTGGTACAGCTCATCACAACACCTGCAGGACAGACCTTTGCTGCCCTGAGCCTGGCTCGTAGACTACAGGCACACCAAACTTCCTGCCATTCTCCAAGAGTCCCAGGCCCTTCTCCACCTGCAGGCCTTTGCACACACACGGTGCCTCTGCCTGGGGCACCCTCGCCAGCTCCCCACCCACCCACTATCATCTTCCCCTGCTCGCAAAACCCTGCCTGTTTCCTCTAGGCGTTATCAGGCTCTTCTCAAGTCAGTCTCAGAAGATGCCAGCTCCATGCCAGCTCCCAGTCCTTAGAGGGGTCCAGTTGAGTCTTTTCCCTATTCAAAAAATATTTGGGGTAGGGTCAGTTCCAGCTCACTTGATTACAAGCAAAATGGGAGCATGACTTTTTTTCCTGGGATGTTGCCATTCTGTGCTCAAAATAAAACACGTTCCAGAAATTGGGATTGAAAATGTGGGATTTCATAATTTATAATTTTTAAAAAATGATGGTCCGGAAATTGCACAATCCTCATCAGGACGTTTTTTTTCCCTCTGACTCTGTGGTTTTTGTCTTAGCTGATGCAGCACTCAAGACAATCAAAGATAAATCTCCCTCGGGCTGGACCATGATGTCCTCGCAGCCTTGCAAGAGGGGTCTTTGTCCAAGAGTACTCGTCATTGTACAGCCTGGGGTAGAAGGCAGGGCTCCCCCAGGGCGATGTCTCAGGATTCCCTGCCTGCTGCTGCTGTGACCCAGGTGGCACGCCAACACTGCCCACAAATGCCAAATGCCAGGGCTTCCCTGCACCCATGGAGAAGGCCAGCAACACATTCTGGAATGACATGACCTGAGTTGATGCTTCAAGAAGGAACTCAAAAAAGAGGCCACAGTCTCCTCAATAAGTTAAACATAAAGTTACCATATGACCCAGCAATTCCCTCCCAGGTAAACACTCAAGAGATATGAAAACATCCGCCCTCAAAAAACCTTGTACACAAATGTTCACAGCAGAAGCCTCTGTAAAAGCC
Source organism: Homo sapiens (assembly GCF_000001405.40). Classification (NCBI taxonomy): domain Eukaryota; kingdom Metazoa; phylum Chordata; class Mammalia; order Primates; family Hominidae; genus Homo; species Homo sapiens. The sequence goes on along the minus strand of NC_000016.10, from coordinate 84,823,290 downwards.
AAAGGTGGAAACAGCCCAGATTTCCTTCAGTGGAAGAATGAATAAACAAAACGTGGTCTATTAATGCAATGGAATATTACTCAGCCATAAAAAAGGAACGAAGGTCTCATACACATTACAACATGGATGAACCTTGAAAACATGATGCTGAGTGAGAGGAGCCAGACACAAAAGGCCACACATTGTGTGGTTCCATTTACATGAAATGTCCAGAATAAGCAAGTTCGTAGAGACAGAAAGGAGATGAGCGGCTGAAGGGAGGAGAATGGCGAATGATGCCTAATGGGCCTGGGGTTTCCTTACGAGATGATGAAACGCTCTGGAATTAGTGGTGGTGGCTGCACAATACTTCCAATGTACTAAACGCCACTGAATTGTACACTTCAAAATGGGTTAAATGGTAAATTTTATGTTTATGTGTATTTTTACCACAATACATCTTTTCAGGAAAAAGAAAAACAGAACATGGCCCATCCTATTAACCACCACCCAGATCTACCTGTCCCTTGCCTGTCCCAGAACTCAGCGTGCTCTATTTAAGACTTTACAACGTGCTTTAGGTCCCTGTCCCTGGAAGGTCTGAGCATCTGTTCCACTCAATGAACTGAAGACGAAGTGAAATATGCCCAGATTGAATTTTCCTTTCCTGACAAGCCGTCAGCCCGTTTGAGTGATCCTGGGTTTGCACATCTGGGACTGATCAAAAACCAGTGCGTTTGCAAAAGAAGAAAAAAGAAAAAGAAAGAAAAAGCCTCCTGAGTCTGGCGCAGGCAGACATGCAGACACCTCCCACACACAGCAAATGACGCTGGTGACAGAGGAAAGAAAAGTTCCAGTTCCCACAGGCCAAAGAGGTCAGTGCCCTGCCTCCAAAAACTTTCTGACCTCCAAAGACGTCAGAGGGTCCTGCCTCCAAAAACTTTCAAATGCAACTTACAAAGGGCCACATACTTAATTTGTGGTCTTTTGAGGGATGAAGTGCAGAGGTTTTAAGAGACCTCGCAGTCTTCTTCCCTAGCTCAGGCCTTCCCAGTCAAACCAACTCTCCTCTCCAGGACAGAGGCAGGACTCAGAACCAGCACTGATTTGGGTCCTGGGACGGGGCTCTCAGTACCTGTCAGCAATGTTGAGCCCAAGCCCAGGGTCAGTTGATCCCCTCCCAGCCTCACCCCAACAGGGACCAGGGACCCAGATCCCTGCCAACGTTAAAAAAACTCCCACATGGCACAGAAAGCCTCAACTAGCAGCAAGCTCTGCTGGGACAGTCATGTGGCTGGTCATTAGATGGGCACCTTCCCCCAGAATCTGGGGCAGGGCCCAGCCTGGACGGCAGCTCTACCCCGCCCTGGCTGTGTCATGTTGGGCACACACCTTAATAATTCTGAGCCTCAACTAACTCCTTGTAAAAAGTGCCCAGCTAATAGAGCAGGCAGTGAGCTCATCCGTGGAAACCCTGGGCATGTCTGGTCTGTACTAAGCATCATGTAAATGTCAGCTGCTTGTATTATTACAAATGGCATTATTACTATTCCTACTCTCACATCTTAAGAAACTCTGAAAAAATCAAAATCACCCTCTTGGTTTCTCCTCCCTGGGTACATTGTCCAGTGGTTTTAACTGGAGCCCCTGTAAGACAAAACATCACCTGTGTGAAGGTCAGGTTCATGGGTGGAGTTGGCAGTGGGCAGGGAAGTGTCTTAAAGAAAGCAGGGTCAAGAGTGCAGATAGGACCCACCTGGGGGTGACAGCATTCCATACCAGCTGGGGGATCTTAGGCAAGCACTTCACCTTGCTGAGCCTCAGTTTCCTCAGCTGTGAAGTGGGCATCAAGAGGCCTACTCCCCGGGGTGTTGCAGCGATGACAATACAGGTAAACTGCGTGGCACAGACCGCGTGCCTGCCGCACAGGCAACACAGTCACACACCCACCCCTTCTCCTGAGTGGGAACAGCCAGATCAGGGGCAGAAGCAGAAAATCAGGTGCATACAACCCAAGGAGCCCTGGGACAGCCGACAGTCACAACTCATGGCCTCAGTCTACTGGAAAGGACCACGCCCCGGTCCTGTTCTGCAGGCTCTCCTCACTGTCAGACATCAGACCCTGGATGGGGAAAGCAGGCTCACCCCATTCTACCAGGGCAAGAGGTCCAAAGGCCCAAAGGGGAAACTCACAACCCCACTCTCGGTTGCAAGGCAAGCTAGGCATTTGCACGGGATGCTTCTCTCAGCCAGGGCAGCAACTCACATTTTGGCTGAGAGACGCCCAATTCAAGTTGGACTGCGATGAGCAGGCATCAGCGAAGTCCTCCCTGGCTTGTCCACCAGCCCAGCCTTAGCAAGGGAGGCTCTGGGTCTGCAGCACATGAGGGACTAGCCCTGGCTCTGTCCACGTGGGACGACCGATCTCCCCCACACTCCAGAGTGAGCCCTCCGCTTCCAGGGTAACTCTCCCCACGCAGGAGTTATGCAGGTGCCCGCTCTGGCTAAAGAAACCCAGAAACGTGTTCCCCCAGACTGCAGAACCCTGACATGGCCCCAAGTCTCTACACATCCATTTGAAGCTCTGGAGACAGACAGAGCTGGGTTCCAGCCCTGGCTCTGCCCGGACAACTTACTTCACCTCTCTGACCCTCAGCATCTTCATCTGAAATGTGGGAAGAAGGCTACCTTGCAAATGAAATCACAGAGGGGCGTGGCCCTCTAAACTGCAGCTGAATGCACATGCCACTAGATCACCCTGGTCCTCCAGACATGAGTAGGACACATTCTAATGCCTGCCATATCCATGCCATCAGCTTTCCAGTTATTGACACCCACTACGAACACAGGAATGCAACAAATGCTAGTGAACTGCACGAGGAAGGCAAGAGAGTAAACAGCCTCTAAGGAGCAGGATTCTGCGCTCAGATCGGCGTTGAATCCTGGGTCCTTGGAGTCCTGGCTGCGAGGTCCTGGACAAATGAGTTGTCCTCGCTGAGCCTCAGTTTCTCCATCTGCAAAAGGGCATGTCGCAAAGCTGTGTTCCGCTATGCAAGCAGAGCACTCGGTGTGGTGCCAGCACACAGTCAGCCCTGCGAGGTGGCATCTGTCCTAGTTATTCCAGCTTCTCGGGGGGGTAACAGTTTGCAAAAGGGAGAAGCATGGAAATCACACTTACCTCCGCAGGGCTCCAATCACCAGCTCGCTGGCGTCTCCCGCGTCCAGCAGACGCGGTAGCAGCGGCGACAGCGCGGGCACAGCAGGCACAGCGGGCACAGCGAGCAGACAGCTCAATAGGAGCAGCCGGAGACGCCCTGGGATGCGAGTGGGTGCCGGGGCTCAGCGTACCGCCTCTTGTAGGCTCCCCGGAGCCCGGAGGCCACGCCCCCAGATCGCTGGCGGCGCTGGTAGGACCGAGCATCACCGGCCCCGCCCCCGGCCCCGCCCCGCAGGCTCAGCGGGCTGAAGGAGGCGGGGGGCAGCTGAGGCGCGGGCGCCGGGTGGGCGAGGAAGGCGGGGCCGCTGGCCTCCAGGGCCGGCTAGGGACAAGGAGACGCTCAGCTCCCTCGCCACTGGCCACACAAGCATAGTTTTCATTGAGCGCTTACTATGCGCCTGGCGCGGTGCCAAGCGCTTCCCACAAGGGGCTTGCAAATTTACCAAACCCCAGCTCTCTGCAGCTCAACTGGAAAATAGGAATAAGGAGGCGACCTCCCAGGATTTTAGCAAATGAAATCCGCAAGGGCTGGGCGCTGTGAACTGTGGCGCGGTGCAGAGTACACAGTTACTGAGGTGACTCCCACCCTCTACACGTGCTCAGAAAACTTAGGCCCCCTCTTCCCAATTTGCAGACGAAGAAAGGGAGACTTGTTTCCGGATGGGGCCGCTAGCGCGGGGATCCAGGCTCCGCACTTTACCTTCAACGACCCTAGGACGCGTTCCCAGGAATCCAGGGAGGTGGAAATCACCTCATTTCACAGATCCAGTAGCTGAGGCTTGGAGAAGAGCGTGCCCCAAGTCCCGTAGCTAGGAGCAGTGCAGCATGTTCATATCTCTTTTGCCCGGAGGCATTTAGCATTTTTAACCTGTGCAGGTACATACGGAAATCAATTTAGAGCCAGACGAAATCACCTTTGAAACAGGTAAATCCACGTTCCTTAAGAGCTAAGGGACTGCCCCGTGCTCCCGCCTCAGTCACAAAATGTGGACGGGTATGCAGGCACTGCGCGGTAAGGTGCTGGGGCCCAAGGGCAGGAGGGGGCCTGTCCGCACTGCTCATCTCCGCACCAAGACACCGGAATTAGCTCCTCCAGCATTAACTCATTCCCCAAATACCCATCGAGTCGCTCTGTGCCGGGCCCTGTGCTATACAGCAGGCACAAACAAGACACCTCCGGGATCTCAGAGTCTGGGGCCCCCACGAGCTAGGGCACGTGGGAGAAACAAGGATGGGGAATGGGTGGAACAAGGACTATGGAAGGCTGCCTGCGTGACGTGGACTCAAACAGGGAAGGCTTGCCTAAGATTTTGGTGCGGCTCAAATGCAGATACAGAATAATGCAGACTGGCCGGGCGCGGTGGCTCACACCTGTAATCCCAGCACTGTGGGAGTTTGAGGCGGGCGGATCACCTGAGATCAGGAGTTCGAAACCATCCCGGCCAACATGGTGACACTGTCTCTACTAAAAATACAAAAATTAGCCGGGCATGGTGGTGCATGCCTGTAGTCCCAGCTACTTGGGAGGCTGAGGCAGGAGAATCGCTCGAACCTGAGAGGCAGAGGTTGCAGTGAGCTGAGATGGCGCCATTGCACTCTAGCCTAGGAGACAAGAACAAAACTCCATCTCAAAAAGATAATAATAATGCAGATGTTTTCTGTTATCTTTTTTTCCTCTTTTTGTTTTACTTTTCTCAGTCTTTGAAGCATCATTCTTCAGAGGCACTCAACTGGCATGCAGTCATCCAATAATTAAGCACCTACTATGTGCTGGGCTCTGTTTCAAGCACTGGAGGGCTCAGTAGTGAATAAGACTGTTCCAGAACAACAGTCCTTGGATTGACAAAAGACAAATCCAAGGGGAGAAGAGATCTGTGTTAGCAGATGCCTTTGGAGGCCTGGCACGATGGCTCAGGCCTGTAATCCCAGCACTTTGGGAGGCCCAGGCAGGTGGCTTGAGTTCAGGACCAGCCTGCAACATGATGAAATCCAGTTGCTACAAAAAGTAGCCAGCATGGTGGCATATGCCTGTGGTTCCAGCCACTCAGGAGGCTGAGGTGGGAGGATTGCCTGAGCCTGGGAGGTGGAGGTTGCAGTGAGCTGAAATCGAGCCACTGCATCCCAGCCTGGGTGACAGAGCAAGACCCTATTTCAAAACAAAACCAACCAACCAAACAAACAAACAACAACAAAACAGATGCCTCTGAGTACCTGACCCCAAAGCATTATACTGCCAAATCCTGCCACCCCCAACAACCCTCCAGGCTGGTCCTGTTATTAGCCTCATTTTTTCAATGATGGAACTGAGCACAGAGAGTGTAAGTCACTTCCCTGAGGCCACACAGCCTCTGAATAGAAGAGCCAGGATTTGAATTCACACTCTCACCCACGTGGCTGCCATTGCCTGTGACCATGAAACCTTGGGTGCAGGGGAATGGAATGAACTGGGTCCCTACTCCATCCCCACTCCAGCAAAGAGGAAGGAAAGCTACACGGAATCAGCCTCTACATAGGCCCAGCAGGTGGAACGGGGGTTGGCAGTTGTCAATAGTGAAATGTTTGCCACTTTGCTAATCCAACCCTCATCTCCTTACAGATCCTTTGTATGGCAACCCTGTAGGCTCCTCACCGGCCCAAGTTGGCTTTGGGGAGACCCAGCCCAGCCCAGACGCTCCAAGGACCCCATTGGCAGAGCTGCAACCAGAGACCACTGCTCTGCAAGCCACGATTGCTGTCCGGGCAGTCTCACCCACGGGGCAGACTGAATCCTTAGCTTGCTGGTTTGTGTCATCATCCGGCATCAGGCTCAGTTCAAATCCCAGCTCCTCCACTTCCAAGTTGTTGGCCTTGAGCAAGTCACTTAATGTCGCTGCGTTCCATGCCCCATCTGTGAAATGAATGTGGTAATAATGGCATCTCTGTCTCTCTCTGTGGGCACAAATGGTTAATAGATGGGAAGTAATACGTGGCCTGACACACAGAAAGTGTTAGTTAATACCGTTATTATTAGAGCCAGTAAAGCAAAGAGAGAGAGAGGAGTTTAGTGGTGATCAACTTTTCCATCATGTTGCAATCTCAGAATCTAATTTCCAAAAAATAACATTTGAATTTGAAAAAAAAAAAATGGTGTTTCATGGGCAAGGGGGACCCCTGGGAAGTCCCAGATGGGAGAGCACCAACTTGTACCAAGGAAAGGGGCAAGATGGCCAGTCCCGTCCCAAGTGCCCCCTGGGAAGGGACTGGTCACTGATACCCTTGGACATCCCAGGAAAGGCTCCTATTTGCTACCCAGGCAGGGAGTTAAGTCATGGACAGTTTGAGACAAAGGAAAAAAGTCATCCTTCTGGTCACAATGAAGCCCAACCTGGAAAAACGAACAGGAAAGCCTGGTGGGGCCACCCTGGAGAGCCCAGCCCTCTGCCCACTCTCTCTTGGGACCAAGATGGGCCGACAGAAGGACCGCATGCATGTCTGCAGAACGGTGGCTGGGGCCGGCGGTCATAAATGTTTAATTACGTGATGTAAAGATCAAGGTCGTTCTTTCCTCTCGATGTGATTGCTGTAGGGCTCCTGTCCTCACACCAATTTCTTATTCATCATTTATTTTTATTGGAGGCTCTATGAACTGGACATCAAGAGCAAAGGCCGGGGAGTCCCAGCTTTTCATTTGTTCCTGCCACACCCATTCAGCAGCTGCAGAATGTCACCAGCCCTCAATTTGGCATCAAAGACCACTAACAAGCCTGGGCAACATGGCAAAACCCCGTCTCTACAAAAAATAGAAAAATCAGCCAGGCATGGTGGCGCGTGCCTGTCGTCCCAGCTACTCGGCAGGCTGAGGTGGGAGGACGGCTTGAGCTCAGGAGGTCAAGGCTGCAGTGAGCTGTGATTGCACCACTGCACTCTGTACTCCAGCCTGGGCAACAAAGCCAGACCCTGTCTCACAGGAAAAACAAAACAAACAAACAAACAAAAACCCACTAACAATTTGAGGCGAGGAGACATAGGGGTGCCATTTTGTGATGTGTGATGTGGTGCCATTTTTCTAACTCTTTTCCAGAAGACTTGGAAAAATGGTGCCACCTCTGTATTAACAGGTGCCAATCATGATCTTCCAAGGCTCTCCATGGGACCCACTTGTCTGCCTTGTTGGAGAGGAGGGGGCAAGGGTGACACCTTGTACATCTTACACCGGCAGGCCACTCTCTGGGGGCAGTGGAGACCCTACAGTGGGGAGCTCTGGGGGCGAGGTCTTAATCAATTGGAGTTGCAAGTAACAGAAATCCACTCAAGTTAGCTGAAGCAGAGAAGGGAACTGCTTGGGAGGATACTGAGTTATTTGGGAACCCAAGGCAAGTAAGACTCTCAGACAACTAGAGTGAATCCTGGAAAGGCACCAGGCCCTCTGGCAGTGCTTTCCGTCTATTTCCTCCTTCTCTGGACATGATTCCCGTCTCCCTCTGCAGCCAGGCCTCGCCTATTCCCTGTGGACATGGCCATCCCGTCAGCTTGGGGGGTCACCTCTCCTCTGTCCCAGAGCCCAGCTCAGGCTGTGCCTCACCATCTCCCACTTCTACTTCCTAGAGGGAGAATCGAATTGTCTGTTGGGAGCAGACGTCCACCTGCAGCTCAACTGAGTGACACCAAGGGAAGTTATCGGGCTGCACAAGCATGATGAAATAGTGCTGTGGGCTGGTGGGGTTGATCACAGCAGAGTCTGTGCAGTGTCTGTAGACACATCCAGAAAAAAGCCCCAAATTTAGTGGGACAACAGCTTTGGGTAAATAATCTACATCTAGGACTGAAGCCGACTGTCCTCACAGATCCCAGCCATCTCTGTGAAGGCCAACCTGACTTCCAACAGCCACACCTGTGTCTTTGCTGGAGGGCTGTCCCTGAGCTATCAGAACCCACACAGCACATGAGCATGGTGGCCCATGAGTGCCTAGGATTTAATATCCCCTGGGACAATGGCTAATAACAGCAAATGGGGATGGGGATATAAATACCCCAGATTTCTCGTCCTTGGCTGGGATGATTCAGAGCTGTTTCCCGGAGTTTTCCAGAGGGATTTTCCAATTGGCCATGTGGTAGCTGGCTTAATAACCTACACTGTATCAGCTCTCTTCCTTTCCCTGGATCATTTACCCATCTCTTTCCTATGTTTCTTGCACCTCTCAAATAGACTACCTGCCCTCAAAGCCTCAGCTCAAGGTTTGCTTCTGGGAACCCAAACTAAGTTAACAACCCCAAAGTTTGCAAAGAGGGACTCAGGAGTTACTGCTGTTCTCACAGGCTGTCGTGCATTCATCCATTTAGCCAGTGAATATATGTTGAGCATCTGCTGCCTGCTCGGTAACTCACTGACAAATGTGGGAGAGAAATAGGAAGGAACCAGGGAAGTCTATGCAGCAATAGAGGAGATGACTTTTTACAAGGAGAGCTTGGGAAGCCAAAGACTGAGCTGTGGTATTATTATTATTATTTGTTACTATTTGAGACAGGGTTTCCCTCTGTCACCCAAGCGGAGTACAGTGGCATAATCATGGCTCACTGCAGCCTCGACCTCCTGGGCTCTAGCAATCTTCTCACCTTGGCCTCCCAAAGTGCTGGGATTACAGGCATGAGCCACCACACCTGGTCAGTATTAGTTAACTATAAAAAACTATGAGTCACGTAGGAAAAGTGAACACCAAATTCCAGAATATGATGGGCACCCCCTTACTGTTTAGGTAATTTAGGGCAAATTAAAGGAAATTATTCATCCAACAGCCGACAACAAATTTATCCAACTCGTGTTACCCCACAAGAAGTAATACAGGCAGAAAATGTAAATAGATTTTTAAAAATAAATTAATGATGAGGGCTGTGAAATGCGAGTTCATTTTTTTCTTCTTTTTGATGACCTTCATGGAGGACTTTCTTTGGACCGGGCATTACGAGGGAAAAGAGATGAGTAAGGCAGATGTGACACAGAGATTTTGATGGAGGGACCCTGGGTGACCGGCAGACACTGTCTTTCGGGCTAAATGCAGTCACAGAAGTATCCAGGGGGAGGGATGGGCTTCAGGTTCAGCCCAGGACCTCAATCACAACAGCCATTGTCTCCTGCCCTCTCCTCAGCTCCCCTCTCCTCCTGGTTCTACCTAGCCATGGCCATATTCCCTCCTGTTACTCTGGGAGGAAGAGACGATGGTCTCTGGCAGCTATCAACTCAACCTCTCCAGCCCTGCGACCAGCAGGACTGGCACCACCCAACTTTGCTGCAAATCGAGAAACAAAAATCCCAGGGAAAGGCACTGATTGGCTGGCTTGGGTCACATGACCTCTCTGGCAGATGACATCATGCCCCATCCTGGTCCTCGCACCCTCACCTCCTACCGCCAGTACATGTGTTCCTCGGCATGAGCACTTTCGCTGTGCACGGGAACTTGTGGCAGGCTAGAATCAACGTGGGTCATGCCACTCAGCAGCAGCCTCAACCAATGATTTCACAGGCACAGGGGCACTCACGTCCCAGCTTTCTCACCTCTCTGGGGGACCCTGAGGTGTGCTCCACAGTGGCTCCCAGAGTCCCCTGTGGGATTGAGCTCCAGGGGCCCCCACTGGCGGCTGACTCCATAGTCCACCCTTGATGGGCTGCCTTTCCTAGCTCACATCCCCACTCTCCCCTGGTATTTCCTGGGATCATCTCTCAAGTAAACTACTTGCACCCACATCCTGTCTCAGAATCTGTTTGGGAGGGAATCCAACTTGAGACATCCGGCCATTGGAACAAGCCCATGGCTGTGGCCAGGGGATAGGGACCTTGTGACTGGCTAGCCTGCGTGACATGCTCCCTGCCAGGGTCACATAATCTGCGTGAGGGAGGAGCAGCTCCCCCAAGGAAGGGGGGCTCGGCAGAGAGAAGGGCAAGATAGATGGATCTAGAAGGACACACAGGAGACAGGCTCAGGGCTCTCCGGGCAGAGGATGGTGTGTGCAGGTTGGAGGCAGGAAAGCGCGGGTGTGAGAATCCCAGGATGGAGGCGAGGCTGGAGAGGTGGATGCCTGCAAATCATTTTAGACTCGAACCTTCACTAGAGTGAAACCTGCAAAGGAATTTAGACTCCAACCCACGGGGAACAGAGAATGAGGAGCCCCAGAAAGGCGAGGCTTCCATTTTGGACAGATCCTGGGGGATCTGTGGTGAGGGTGGCTTGGAGGAAGAGCTCCTGGCATCAAAGAGCATGACATCCCATCCCCCTGAACAGCATGCTTCCTCTGTGGGCACCTGGCGAGCCCCAGGCTGCCCAGAGAATGGCTTCACCCAGAGAGGCTTCATTTAGTGTGCAGCTCAGGGAGCAGCAGATACACAGGCCTGCTGAGGCTGTCTCAGGGACACCAGGACAGCCTACACCCTCCGTGTGCCACTCACTGCCTGAGTAACACACGGGAGGGAAATGGGAATGGCAAGTTCATCACCTATGGAAGCTTTACAGGAATCCTACATCCCATCCTCATGTCAACACGATGAGGTGGGGTCTGCAGGATCCCCATTTAGTCAAGGAGAAAACCGGGGTTCCAACGCATCAAACAAGTGCCAAGGACGGCACAGCAAGAGTCACCGAGGGAGTGAACCCAGCAGGCTCCAAAACCCGACCTTTTCACAATTCTGTCATGTGGTCATTCATTACTTGTAGGTCAGGTGCAGGCCTTTCTCTCCCAGCACCCCCTGAATCTATTCAAGTCCTGAGTTCCACCTGTGAGCTTTCTGCTAGAGATGAACACCTGCTCAGGCAATGAGGTGGTCAGAAGGGAGGTGTCCTCTTGAATTCTTTGGTTAGAAAGTACTGGAATATTCATGGAGGCTTTAGCCACAAGGCTTAGGATGGAAAAGCTTTTATGGTTTCAATAGTATAAAAAAAGTATCCTGGAATGCTCGTAAATCCTTCCTCCGAAGCCAAGGAAAGATCTAAAAAAGTGATGAGGCTGCCAAGTCATCAACACCCAGGGTGGCAGTTGGTGGCTGCCCTGGGACTCTAACGCCAGCTTCCCAAGTCTCCATCTCAGGGCCAGGTCCCTTCTACCACAAAAGTCCCCAGCAGTGGCACAGACGGCTCAAGTTGCCTCCCAATATCTTATCTGCTTTCTTCCTTAATAATAGGAAGATTCCTGACTTCTAAATGTGTGCACTGTCACTCAACTAAAGATGATACTCCCCTGCCTGCCTTGCAGCTTCTCCTGTCCATAGAAATAAGTTTTAGCCAAAGAGAAGTGAGTGGGACAGTTGTGTATGACTTCTAGGACATCTCTCTAAAGGGAGGAGGAGGTGTGTCCTTCATGTTCTCCTTCCTCCTTCCTACCTGGAATGAGGGTATGATGGCTGGAGCAAAGCAGCCACATTGGCCCATGAGGTGCCTTCGGAACAGAAGGCACAAATGGTGGGTCTTGAATCCCTGACACTGTAGGTCTCTATACCAGTCCCACTGCCTAGGTCAGACTTCTTCTACATAAAGGAGAGATACATTTATATCCCCATTTAGGTGAGGGAGAAGGGGAACGGTGTTTGTTACCCACAGTAGCTAAACCTGATACGCCTTTAGTTTAAAAGTGAAAATAGGCCAGGCATGGTGGCTCACACCTGGAATCCCAGCACTTTGGGAGGCTGAGGCAGGAAGATCACTCGAGGCCAGGAGTTCAAGAACAGCCTGGGCAATACAGCGAGACCCCATCTCTACACAAAAGAAATTAGCTGGACGTGGTGACATGCACCTGTTTCCAGGTAAATGACAGCATTCCCTTCGGTCTTCCCAGCTACTTGGAAGGCTGAGGTGGGAGGATTGCTTGAGGCTGGGAGGTTGAGGCTGCACTGAGCCATGATCCACTGCACTCTAGCCTGGGCAACAGAGTGGAAAAGAAAAGTGAAAATAGACCTAATGTTAGAACAAGGGAGTTTCTTTTTTGTTATTGCATCTTGGCTTTCTTTCCTTTGAATCCTCCATCTGGCACCTCTTCAACCTTGGGGGAAAACCACAGAACGGAAGGATGATTGCATCTCTACGAGAAGCTGGGGGCTCTACTGCGCGATGTCGTAAGAGACTTTTTGCCCAGGCCGCTTTGTAACCACCACCCCTGGACAGCCCAAGCTCATACCCAAAGCATACCTGGGTTCCCACCATCCCCTGAGTTCCTGCCCCTTTCATTTCTTCATCATCCAAGCTTAGGAGTCAGAGAACTAGGGTGATGACCTGGAGCGGGAATTCCTCAGAAAAATATCCCCTGGGCGGCTCCTTTGGCAAATGCTGCGGCTGTGACCACTTTCTCCCCTGGAGGACAGTCAGGAGGCTTCTCCAGAGGAGACGGCGCCCTGGGCTTCACCTCCAGGGTGCGGTTTCTGGAAGATTCTAAACCTGTCAGGCCAGGAAGAAGGCAGGCCTCTGGATGTTGCAGGTCCTGCAGATGGTGTCCCCGGCTTCAGGGTGTGTGCTGGATCCTGTGTGAGCCCAGATCCCTCCACACCAGGCCGGAACAGAATGGAAACTTATCCCGCCAAGCCCCTGGCGAGGACTCAGCAGTACCCACGCTGGGTCCCCAGGTCCCCTGTTGGGCGTGAACCCCAGCTCCAACACCTCCTGGCTTGAGACCCTGGAGACGTGCCTTGGTGTCTCTGCACCTCAGCGTTGCATCTGTAAAGTGGGAATGATAATAACACCCCTTCCTAACACTGTGTGCCAGGTGGGCTCACTATCGGAAGTTCTCGTCATTAGTAATCTCCCCTCCATCTTTGCTCTCCAAGTCGTCAACACTGTGGTCTCTATAAACGCTATGACTGCTATCACCCTGCCATGGGTTGCCCCACTCACCCCCACCCCAGAAAAAAAATTCAAATAAGTAGAGTTTCTGGTCAAAGCTTGATAAGCAGGTAAATGACAGCATTCCTTTCTCAGGACTGCCATACGAATTATCCCCAACTGGGTGAATTAAACCAGCAGAAATGTATTCACTCCTAGTTCTGAAGGCCAGAAGTGATGTCAAGATGCTGGCAGGGCTGTGCTCCCTCTGAAGGCTCTAGAGGAGGGTCCTCCCTGCCTCTGCCAGCTTTGTTGGTGACTGCAGACCCCTGGAGGTCCCTGGAGATCCCTGGAGACCCCTGGAGGTCCCTGGAGGTCCCTGGAGACCCCTGGAGGTCCCTGGAGGTCCCTGGAGACCCCTGGAGGTCCCTGGAGTTCCCTGGCTTCTGGCTGCACCACTCCAGTCTCTGCCCCCATGGTCACTGCATTTCTCTCCCCGTGTGTGTCTGTGTGTCTTCTTTTTTTTTTTTTTTTTTTTTTTTTTTTTTTGAGACGGAGTCTTGCTCTTGTTGCCCAGGCTGGAGTGCAATGGTACAATCTCAGCTCACAGCAACCTCCGCCTCCCGGGTTCAAGCAATTCTCCTGCCTCAGCTTCCCGAGTAGCTGGGATTACAGGCATGCACCACCACACCCAGCTAATTTTGTATTTTTAGTAGAGACGGGGTTTCTCCATGTTAGTCAGGCTGGTCTCGAACTCCTGACCTCAGGTGATCCGCCCACCTCGGCCTCCCAAAGTGCTGGGATTACAGGCGTGAGCCACTGTGCCTGGCCTGTGTCTTCTCTTATAGACACATAAATCATTAGGGCCTACCCAATTCCAGTGTGACTTCACCTTAACTAAATAAATCTGCAAGGACCCTATTTCCAAAACCACCTTCTGAGGATCCAAGCGGACGCGAATTTTGGGTGGCCAACACCCAATCCAGTACAACGAATTAAAATAAAATAGGTAAATGCTTGCGCACATAGTAAATATTAAGGTTTAACTAAAGATTAATTATCACTGACATTAACAACAATTGGATTTTTATTGCCAGGATAGACAATAACGGGGCCTGGCACCCAGCCTCCGCCCTACGCTGACCTCCACCATGAGCTGGCACTTGGTACTTGGGGTGGTACAGGAATTGGGACAGATGAAAACCCCAGAGATGTGTCCACTTAGGGAAGTGAGGACACAGAGCACCCGCCCCCGCAGAGCTAAGGGCTGGCCCATGGAGGAAGAGCTATCCCTCCCAGCATCCCCTCTGGGTGGAGCGCAGGGTTGGAGCCTGGGGCGGGGATGGAGCAGTAGAAAGGTTTGTCTCTGCAGGAGGGTGTGGCCATCCAGTGCTCTAGGAACAGGGAAGAAATTAGTGTCTGAAACAGACTCAGATGCCAGGTTAGCCCACATGAGGAGAGGCAGGTGTGTTGAAGGCAGGCACCAAGACGACCAGGGATTTGGGATCCCAGTGTCCCAGGGTCAGTCCCTCCCTCAGCGTCCTTCTGTGTCTTGCTCTGGAATACTGAGGTGGTTCCATTAGCTCACCCAGTTGGGGTCTATGTACACTTTTAAAAAATGGTCTCAGGCCGGGTGCAGTGGTTCACGCCTGTAATCCCAGCACTTTGGGAGGCCGAAGAGGGCAGATCACTTGAGGTCAGGAGTTCAAGACCCACCTGGCCAACATGGTGAAAACCTGTCTCTACTAAAAATAAAAAACCTTAGCTGGGCGTGGTGGCGCATGATTGTTATCCCAGCTACTTCGGAGGCTGAGGCAGGAGAATCTGGGAGGTGGAGGTTGCAGTGACCCGAGATCGCACAATTGCACTCCAGCCTGGGCAACAAGAGAGAACCTCCGCCTCAATTAAAAAAAAAAAAGGAAAAGAAAAGAAAGAAAGAAAAGGTCTCAGGCCGGGTGCAGTGGCGCACGCCTATAATCCCAGCACTTTGAGAGGCCAAGGCAAGAGGATCACTTGAGGCCAGGAGTTCAAGACCAGCCTGAGCGACATAGCAAGACGCTCATCCCTACAAAAAACAAAAAATTAGCCGGGCATGGTGGTGCATGCCTGTATTCCCAGCTAGTTGGGAGGCTGAGGCGAGGTGGGAAAATCACTTGAGCCCAGGAGGCAGAGATTGCAGTGAGCCGAGATCACACCACTGCACTCCAGCCTGGGTAACAGAGCAAGATTCTGTGTAAAAAAAAAAAAAAAAAAAAAAAAAAAAAAGAGTCTCATGGCCCGCCTGGCAGCAGAGGCCACCTTCACATGTGACAGTCTCAACTTACGCACCTTATCCACATGGGCTTGAGCACCTGCCCTGTGACAGGCCCCGTTCTGCAGAGCCACGCCACTCTGACACCCTTCCAGGTGCCCTCTCCACTCTCCAGCTCTTCCTTGACAGGGGGCTTGGCCCATTTCTCCGCCCTGCTAAGGGTCTGTGGAGGGCTGAATAATGGCACCCCGTCTAGGCCTGTTCCTGACTCCTGGAGCTTGCAAATGTGCCCTTACACGATGCATTTGCTCCTAGGGCGGCTGTAACTAAGTACCAGAAACAGGGGGCTTCAAACAACGCAAACGCATTTTCCCACAGTCCTGGAGGCCAGGAGTCCAAGATCAAGGTGTCGAAGGGGCCATGCTCTTCCCGAAGGGCCTAGGGAGGATCCATCTGCACATGTCTCAGCTTCTGGTGGCCGGCAATGCCTGATGTCCCGTCTGTGGCCATTCCAATCTCCGACTTCCTCTTCACATGGCCACCTTCCCGGTGCATCTGTGTCCAAACTTTCCTCTTCTTATGAAGACATCAGGCACTAGATTAGGGCCCATCCTAGTTGAGTGTGACATCATCTTAATGTGATTACATCTGCAGAGACCCTAGTTCCATATAAGGTCCCATTCTGAGGTCCCAGGTGGACATGGATTTTTGGGAAACGCGATTGGACCCAGCATTCATTGTAACGGGGCCTCTGCAGACGTGATTCTGCTAAGGGTGGTGACATGGGAAGAGCGGCCTGAATTCTCCTGTGGCCCCCACGGAATCACAAGCCTCCCTTGTAAGAGGGAGGCCAGAGGGTCAGCGTCAGAAGAGAAGGTGCTGTGATGATGGAAGCCGAGGTTGGAGTGATGCACTCTGAGGATGGACGAAGGGGCCATGAGCCCAGGAGTACAGGCAGCCTCTAGAAGCTGGAAAAGTCAAGGAGACGATTCTCCCCTGGAGGTTCCAGGAGCAACCAGCCCCGCCCACACCTTGACTTTAGCCCAGTGATGCCGATCTCAGACTTCTGACCTCCAGAACCGTAAGATGGGATACTTAAGCTGTTTCCAGCCGCCAACCTTGTGGTCACTTGTTACCGCAGCCATGGGAAACCAGATGCATCCATGAAGAGCTGTGTCTGTGACACGGCGTCGGCAGGGCTGCAGAACCGGGCTCCTGCGCCGCCCTTCCAGGGGAAACAGCCATGAATGAGCCCTCAGGCAGCCAACTGTTTCCCTGCAGAGCACCCGGGCCCGGCAGGCAGCCGGCTCCCAGACCACACACACTCCGCACAGTCCTGAGTCATCTGGCCTGAAGGTGCTTCCCTAGAGCCTCTTTACCGGAAATGGCCTGCGTTCGACCTGATTATTTTTCTAGCAATCGATGAACACTTCCCAGATGCAAAATTGGATAGCGGCCAGTTCCAGGCTGTGCATGGCCCAGGACGACCAATGCAAGAGCCTCCGGGGGGTTCTCTAGCCCGAGTGGTGTCACTGCATTCCCACTGTCCCCGAGCACCCACGGCATCACCGCCACCATCAGGGGAGCCTGAAGTGCCTGCAGAAGCTCTGGCCAGGCCCAGGGGGTGGACAGGAAGTCCAGTCATCCTCGGCATCCTGTGAACCGCTGCTTCTTGCATTTTTAATCTCGGCGGGTCCCACTTGCGTGTCTGAAAATGCAACTGCCTTATTTTCCCTAACAGGGCAGTTGAGGGGTGGGGTAGTACTTAACCTTGACAACAGGACATCTCTTGGTTTCTTTTTTTTTTTTTCTGAGTCGGAGCCTCACTCTGTCACCCAGACTGGAGTGCAGTGGTGCAATCTCAGCTCACTGCAACCTCCGCCTTCGGGGCTCAAGTGATTCTCCTGCCTCAGCCTCCCCAGTATTTGGGATTACAGGCATGTGCCACCATGCCCGGCTAATTTTTGTATTTTTAGTAGAGACGGGGTTTTATCATGTTGGCCAGACTGGTTTCAAACCCCTGATGTCAAGCGATCTGCCTGCCTCAGACTCCCGAAGTACTGGGATTACAGGCTTGTACCACCATGCCTGGCTAATTTTTGTATTTTTAGTAGAGATGGGGTTTCACCGTGTTGGCCAGGCTGGTTTCAAACTCCTGACCTCAAGTGATCCGCCTGCCTCTGCCTCCCAAAGTGCTGCTTACAGGTGTGAGCCACCATGCTCAGCCTCAGTCTCTCTATATCATCTCTGTTAATTTGCAGTGGTCTCTGCAGCAACTAGCCCACCCATGTGCACTCAGAGCCACTCAGGGCCCTCGCTCTTTCCCTCCTTCCTCTCCTCTCCCCCTAGATGAGTGGGAAGGAAGTTTAGGGACTTCACGGTTTTGCAGAGAGGCAAAGACGGAGCCCACCCACCGATCTTTTTACATGACAGGAGCCGTGATTAATTTCCCGGGGATGTCCTAATAAACTGCTGCAAACTGGGTGGCTAGCAATAGAGATGTGTTCTCTCCCGGTTCCGGAGGCCAGCGGTCTGAAATCAAAGCGTCTGCAGAGTGGAGAGAGGGAAGATCCTTCCTGCCTCTTCCAGCTTCCAGGGGCCCCAGGTGTTCCTTGGCTTGTGGCCGCATCACTCCCATCGCTGCCTCTGTCCTCGCGTAGCCTTCTTCTCTTCTTATACGGACATTCATGGTTGCACTTAGGGCACACATGGTCATCCAGGATGGCCTCATCTCAAGACCTTCTATTGATTACAGCAAAGATACTTTTTCTTTCTTTTTTTTTTTTTTTTTTTGAGACAGAGTCTCACTCTGTTGCCCAGGCTGGAGTGCGGTGGCCTGATCTCGGCTCACTGCAACCTCCGCCTCCCAGGTTCAAGTGATTCTCCTGCCTCAGCCTCCCGAATAGCTGGGACTACGGGCGTGCGCCACCACGCCCAGCTAATTTTTGTATTTTTAGTAGAGGCGGGGTTTCACCATGTTGGCCAGGATGATCTCAATCTCTTGACCTTGTGGTCCACTCACTTCGGCCTCCCAAAGGGCTGGGATTACAGGCGTGAGCCATCGCAGCCAGCCTATTTATTTATTTATTTATTTATTTTAGATGTGGTCTCGCTCCATCACCCAGGTTGGAGTGCGGTGGTGTGATCTCGGGTCACTGCAACCTCCGCCTCCTGGGTTCAAGCGATTCTCGTGCCTCAGCCTCCCGAGTAGCTGGGATTACAAATGTGCACCACCAAGTCCGGCTAACTTTTGTATTTTTAGTAGAGGTGGGGTTTCACCATGTTGGCCAGGCTGATCTCGAACTCCTGACCTCAGATGATTCACCTGTGTCGGCCTCTCAAAGTGCTGGGATTACAGGCATGAACCACCGTGCCCAGCCAGATTCTTTTTCCAAATAAGGTCACATTCACGGGTTCTGGGCATCAGGGCTTGGATATATCATTCTGGGGGCCACCAGTTAACCCACTCCAGCAAGCTTGGACATACCGGGCCACATCGGCCTACAGGGCTTGGGGAGTCACCCAGGCTGGGGCTGCTCCACTGTGCACGAGGGCTGTCCTCCACCTTGCACTGGAGGGAGCTGCCTCGTAACACGTTCGCTCTCAGCCTCCTCCTTAATCTGCCTCCTCCCTTGACTCCAGGGTCCCGACCAGGGGCAGAAGCTCTTTTTCACCTGTCCGCTCACCTTGCTGGAGCTGGGAGGGAGGATTTTCCACCTTCTTATGTTTGGGGTGTTCCTTCCATGAGGCACTGGGTTTTCCATCCCCTCTGGCTGATAATAAGTTTGAAGTTCAATAGGCCTGACCTTTTTTTTTCTTTTAAATTTCTCACTGACTTTGTTGTTTTTTTGTTTTTGTTTTTCTTTTTGTTTTTGTTTTGAGACGGAGTCTCGCTCTGTCACCCAGGCTGGAGTGCAGTGGTGCAATCTTGGCTCACTGCAAGCTCCGCCTCCTGGGTCCACGCCATTCTCCTGCCTCAGCCTCCGGAGTAGCTGGGACTACAGGCGCCCGCCACCATGCCCGGCTAATTTTTTTGTATTTTTAGTAGAGACAGGGTTTCACCGTGTTAGCCAGGATGGTCTCGATCTACTGACCTCATGATCCGCCTGCTTCGGCCTCCCAAAGTGCTGGGATTACAGGCGTGAGCCACCGCGCCTGGCCCTTTTTTCACTGACTTTGTAAAACAATCGTTTTTTTAAAAAAAACTTTTAATTTCCAGGGTACATGTGCAGGATGTGCAGGTTTGTTACTTAGGTAAACGTGTGTCACGAGGGTTTGTTGTACAGACTATTTCGTCACTCAGGTATTAAGCCCAGTATCCATGAGTTCTTCTTCCTGATCCCCTCCCCGCTCCCACCCTCCACCCTCCGACAGGCCCCAGTGGGTGGTGTTCCCTTCTATGCGTCCATGTCTTCTCATCGTTTAACTCCCACTTATCAGTGAGAACGTGCGGTATTTGGTTTTCGGTTCCTGCGTGAGTTTGCCAAGGACCACGGGCCTGACTCTTGATGCAAAAGGGGTGCAAAGGATGTGGGCAACCCCGTTCCCCTCTTCATTCCTTCCCAGGGCTCTGGTCTCACTGAGAACTCTAAAAGCTAAACAAGTTGCTTTCCTGCTGAGGTTCTGCTAAGCTTTCCTAGTCCCCCGAGGCAGGTAGGGGCTCCAGCTGAGGAGGAAAAAGGTCGGCTAGCCAGAAATTCAAATGACGGAAAGACATCCCTGTGTTCTAAGAAATAGGATCCCCTGACGTCCACCGACCTGGGCAATGTCACCAATAGGAGGCCTCAGAAGCACTTTTAACATCAACCTTACAGGGGGTGGGGTTTATACACAAGCACGTGTACCCATTTAAGTGGACAGCTGGATGAGGAACAGATGTCTATACCCGCCCAACTACCACCATGATACAGAATGTTCCCATCACGCCCATCTGCGTCCCACCTCCCCCAGCAACCATGGATCTGCTTTCTGTTGCTTTGCTGTAGACTTGCTTGCCTGTTCAAGAATATTCTGTAACTGGAAGCATACGGCATGGTCGAGGACTCCTTTTTTTTTTTTTTTTTTTTGAGATAGGGTCTCGCCCTGTTACCCAGGCTGGAGTGCAGTGGCGTGATCTCAGCTCACTGCAACTTCCGCCTCCCAGATTCAAGCGATTCTCCTGCCCCAGCCTCCTGAGTAGCTGGGACTACAGGCAAGTGCCACCACGCCCGGCTCATTTTTGTATTTTTAGTAGAGATGGGGTTTCACCATGTTGGTCAGGCTGGTCTCGAACTCCTGACCTCGTGAACCACCCACCTCGGCCTCCCAAAGTGCTGGAATTACAGGCACGAGCCACCACGCCCAGCCAGTCGAGGATTCTTGACTCCTCTCTTCCCTTCCTGCTCCCCTGAAACTCGTCCCACACCTGGTCCACTTGACGCAGGTAGAAGCCACATCAGTCCCTCCTTTCTCCTGCAGCCCATCCGCCATTTTGGTTGGGGGCTCTGGACTCACCCTATGGGGAGGCGCTGTGGCCCAGTGGCCAGCTGCCCACCTCCTGGGTTTGGATCCTAGCCCACCATTTCCTCACTTGAGACGCTGGGCATGTTCCTCAGGCTCTCCAGGGCTCAGCTTTCCTCATCTGGGGAATGGGGCTGAGAACATCAACCTCCGTGCTTCAGGAGCAAACAACAACACTAAAAGTTCTGGCTGGGTGCGGTGGCTCACACCTATAATCCCAGCACTTTGGGAGTCCGAGGCAGGCAGATCATCTGAGGTCAGGAGTTCGAGACCAGCCTGGCCAACATGGTGAAACTCCGTCTCTACTAAAAATACAAAAATTAGCCAGGCGTGGTGGCGCATGCCTGTAATCCCAGCTACTGGGGAGGCTGAGGCAGAAGAATTGCTTGAGCCCCGAAGGCAGAGGTTGCAGTGAGCTGAGATCGCACCACTGCACTCCAGCCTGGGTGACAGAATGAGACTCTGTCTCAAAAAAAAAGAAAAAAGTTAGCATTCCCTGAGGGTGAGCACAGTGAGCTCCCAGCTGGTCAAGCCTGGCCAATGAGGAAAGATTTTTAAATGAATGCAAATATATTTCTTTTTATGCTAAAATTAAAATTAATAATGCCTATTTCTTTTTTTTTTGAGAGGGAGTCTCGCTCTGTCGCCCAGGCTGGAGTGCAGTGGCTCGATCTCGGCTCACTGCAAGCTCCACCTCCCGGGTTCATGCTATTCTCCTGCCTCAGCCTCCCAAGTAGCTGGGACTACAGGCGCCCGTCACCACGCCCGGCTAATTTTTTGTATTTTTTTAGTAGAGACGGGGTTTTACCATGTTAGCCAGGATGGTCTCGATCTCCTGACCTAGTGATCTGCCCACCTCGGCCTCCCAAAGTGCTGGGATTACAGGCGTGAACCACCGCGCCCAGCCAATAATGCCTATTTCACTCGGTTGCTGTGAGGTTCAAATTAGGCATGTAAAATGCCTGGCTGTTTCTTTCTTTTTTTTTTTTTTTAAAGAAAAACCTACACATGTTAATTATTTTAATTGTTCCTCTTCTCTGGTCTCCACTTTGCAGCCAGAATCATTACCTGAAAACCCAAGCCTGACCAGACACTTCCCTGCCCATTAATGACCTTAGTTATCTTCATTACTGGCAACTTTCTGGGTTCATCTCTCTCTACTGCACCCAGCTCCCTGCCCCATACCCTCCCCACCCACCTGCAAGCACATGCACCCCTCTACACATCAGTAGCACTAAGCTTTTTCCTTCTCTCTGAGCCCACAGGGGCCTTTTGTGCCACTGGACCTTTGCACATGCTCTCTCTCCACCTGGGAAACCCCACCTTTCAAGACCCAGCACCGACATCACCTCCTCTGTGAAGGCATGTGGTTGGCAAGGTAGGCAGTTGCTTCTATCTTTTGTCTTCCTTAGCAACATCTTGCTGTCATGCAAATTGCTTTGCTCACCTGTTAAAATAAATGAGGTGAATTGAATTATCGGTTCTGGTTCTCCACTCTGCTGTCTGTTCTACAGCCCAATGGCCTTGGGGTCTACCATGGCCTCGTGGTGGGCAAAGAGTACTTTCCACCTCTTGACTTTGAGCTTAGCCATGTGACTTGCTTTGATTGATGGGCTTCCGCCATGGCCACAAGGAGAAAATGCCCCAGGCAATCCACGGGTCACAGAACAAAGTGTCCAGTAGAATTGGATCCATCCTGTAGCTTGAGCCCAGCATAGATCAGGTGACCCCACCCCACCCCATTTTCCCAGATGATTTGCAGACAGAGAGCAAGAATAAAGCCACAGAGTTACAGGTGGTTTGTTACTCAGCATCACCGTGGCAATAGGTAACTGTGACAATTGTTCCATCTCCTCTTTTACTTCGAGCATCTATAAGCTGGAGACCACGTCTCACTCCCTGGGTATCCCCAGTACCAGCATAAGGCTGATATTTGAAGGGGAAGGAAATTTCAGAGGGCCCTGTGAAATACTGATTGTTAACTTCAGCCAGCAGGGAAAGAGACAGAAACAGGAAATCCAAGCACTGGCAGGCCCTCCCAAAGATAGCTTAGGGGCCAAGATCATAGGCCTGGTAATTGGACAGCACAGGTTGGAATTCCAGCAACTTCCTTCAGTTCACTGAGATGCCACTTCATCAGCCATGGAGGGGAGCTAAGAATCTTGTCAGTCTCACAGTGTTGTTGGGAGGATTAAATGATTGAATGTAGGCAAATCCCTGCATATAGTGTTTGGCACGTTGCCAGTTCCTCGAAGACACTCCATCAAATTGATATTGGAGAGACATGCAAAGTAACCCAAGAACTGTACTTAGCAATGACAAGAACTGGAGAGCATTTATTCATGAAAAGTATCCTCTGGCAAGGGAAGTTTTCGAGCAGAATACACAACTTTAGAGAGAGGGCTTAGCAGGAGCATAAGGAAGGCGAACACACCGTTCCTGACAGAATACTCACCTTCAGGACCTTCCACGACCTTCCATGACCTCATGTCTCCTAAATTTCCAGGATTATCAAGTTTGCTCTTCTGATGATTCAAATCATAGAAACTATAATTGTGAGCTTAGGAAAAAAAAAATACTTAACTTCTGGTCTAGGTTTTATTCTGTTTCCTAATGATAACTGAAGGTAAGTCCAAACATGCAATTTTTTTCCAAACATGCATTTTTCAATTGATCTTTTCCTTAATGAGTCATCTCATGATTGGCCTCATTATTTTAGAAAAATCATCTATTTTATGTATATCCCTAATGAAACTTCAACTTTTTACATATCTGCAAGCAAATAATATAGATAAATTGGAATCAGACAGGCAATGCAACTAATCTAAAAGAAGACAAGAAAATGGGGAGAAAGTAACAAAGAAGAGATAAGACAAATTGAAAATCAAATAGCATGATAGCAGGTTTTAACCCAACTATATTGATTTATGTTAAATGTAAATGTTCTAAACATTCCAACATAATGTAAGGTTGTCAGATTGTATGAAAAAGCAAGGCCCAACGGTATGCTGTCTACAAGAAACCAACTTTAACTACAAAGACATAAATAGGTTAAAAGTAAAGAGATGGAAAAATGTATACCATGCAACATGCTTATACTCACCAAATGAAAGCTGGAGTGGTGATATTAATATTAGACAAAGGAATATTTCCAGGGATAAAGATGGGTTTGTCATAATTACAAAAAGGCCAACTCATCAAGGATATAGAAAATTCCTAAATGTATACATGCCAAATAATACAGCTTTTTTTTTTTTTTGATACGGAGTCTTGCTCTGTCGCCCAGGCTGGAGTGCAGTGGTGCAATCTTGGCTCACTGCAAGCTCCACCTCCCGGGTTCGCACCATTCTCCTGCCTCAGCCTCCCAAGCAGCTGTGACTACAGGCGCCCGCCACCACGCCTGGCTAATTTTTTGTATTTTTAGTAGAGACGGAGTTTCACCCTGTTAGCTAGGATGGTCTCGATCTCCTGACCTTGTGATCCGCCCGCCTCGTGCCTGGCCAGCATTCTATATTATTGATCTATTTATCGACCTCAATACAAGTACCATGCGGTGTTGCTAAGTTTTATAACAATTTTGAAGGGGACTGTAAATCTTCTAACTTCGGTCATGCTTTAAAGTTGTTTCGACTGTGTTTTATTTTTTCATATTTCCATAGGTATTTTAGAATCCACTTAATTTCTACCAGAAAAAAAAAAAAAGCTGCTGGGATTTTGATTGGGATTGCATTGACTCTATAGATCACTCTGGGGAGACCCTCAAATCCTGGCTTGTTGAATACAGTGTATTTATCCGTTTACTTGGGTCTTTCCTTTCATTCAGGTATGTTTGTAGTTTTCAATGTACAGGTCTTACGCTGATTCGTCAGATTTGAGCCCAAGGATTTCATATTTTTATACTATTGTAAATGGTATTGTTAAAATCCTATTTTACAATTGTTCTTTTTTGGCATATGCAAACACAATTGATTATTGTGTATTGATCTTTTATCTGGCAAGCTTAGTACACTCACTTTTTAAAACATTTTTAAATTAAAAAAAATAGAGACGGGGTCTTGCTGTGTTGGCCAGTGTAGTCTCGAATTCCTGGCCTCAAGCAATCCTCCCACCTTGGCCTCCCAAAGTGCCGGGATTACAGATGTGAGCCACCATGCCCAGCCTACACTCACTTCTTAGTTCAGGGAGCTTTTTTGTAGATTCCACAAGATTTTCTACCTAGGTTTTCATGTTGCCTGCAAATAAGGAGAGTCCTACTTCTCTCTTTCCCATCTGAATGCCTTTTATTTCTTTTTCTTGCCTATTACACTAGCTGGAGGCTCCATTACAGCATTGAGTAGTAGTGGTGGAGTGGACGTCCTTACCTTGCTCCAGACATGGGTGGGAGCGTGCAGTCTCTCACCATCAATTATGATGTTAGCTGTGGATTTTTTTTTTATAAATGTCCTTTGTTAGGTTGAAGCAGTTTCCTTCCCTCTCTAGTTTGTGGCGAGCTTATCTCATGAATGGATGCTGAATTTTGTCAAAAGCTGAATCTATTGAAATGATTACATGGCTCTTCTTTAGTCTGTTTATATCATGAATTATGTTGACTGATTTTGGTAAACTTTTAAACTTGGAATAATTTTAGGTTTTACAGAACAGTTACAAAGCTAGCTAAGAGAGTTCCTGAATCCTCCTAGGGTTATAATCTAATTATTTTGTTTTGTTTTGTTTTTGAGACAGAGTCTCGCTCTGTTGCCCAGGCTGGAGTGCAGTGGCATGATCTCAGCTCATTGCAACCTCTGCCTCCTGGGTTCAAGAGATTCTTCTGCCTCGGCCTGCCACGTATGTGGGACTACAGGTGCCTGCCACCATGCCCTGCTAATTTTTGTATTTTTAGTAGAGATGGGATTTTACCATGTTGGCTAGGCTGGTCTCGAACACCCACCCTCAGGTGATCCTCCCTCCCCGGCCCCCCAACATACTGGGATTCCAGGCATGATCAATTCTCCTGCCTCAGCCTCCCTAGTAGCTGGTACTACAGGTTTGTGCCACCACGCCCAGATAATTTTTGTATTTTTAGTAGAGATAGGGTTTCACCATGTTGGCCAGGCTGATCTCAAACTCCTGACCTCAGGTGATCCACCAGCCTTGGCCTCCCAAAGTGCTGGGATTAAGGCATGAGCCACCGCACCTGGCCAAGAAAATATTTTATAATATTTTGATCTCTTAAAATTTGTTGAGATACAGTTTTTGGTTCAGATTATGGTCCAAGTGATTATCTTATGCATTTGAAAAGAATGTATATTCTAGAATACTGGGTGGACTATTGTATAAAGGTTAATTAGGTCAGTTAGTTGGTAAGTTTGTTTAAGCTTTCTATAATCTTACTGGTTTTCCGTCTTCTTATTTCATCAATTAGTGAGAAAGGAGTGTTGAAATATCCAACTGTCATTTGGATTTGTGTATTTCTCCTTTCAGTTCTATCAGTTTTTTCTTTACATACTGTAAAGCTGTTAGGCCGGGCGCGGTGGCTCAAGCCTGTAATCCCACCACTTTGGGAGGCCAAGGCAGGTGGATCACCTGAGGTCAGGAGTTTGAGACCAGCCTGGCCAACATGGTGAAACCCTGTCTCTACTAAAAATACAAAAATTATCTGGGCGTGGTAGCAAAACCTGTAGTACCAGCTACTCCAGAGGCTGAGGCAGAAGAATAGCTCGAACCCGGGAGGTGGAGGTTGCAGTGAGCCGAGATCACACAGCTGCACTCCAGTTGGGGCGACAGAGCGAGGCTCCATCTCAAAAAAAAAAAAGAAAAAGGAGGCTGGGCACAGTGACTCATGACTGTAATCCCAGCACTTTGGGAGGCTGGGGTGAGTGGATCACCTGAGGTCAGGAGTTCAAGACCAGGCTGGCCAACATGGCAAAGTCTCGTCTGTACTAAAAATACAAAAAAAAAAAAAAAAAAAAAAAAAAATTAGCTGGGCGTGGTGGCGAGTGCCTGTAATCCCAGCTATTTGGGAGGTTGAGGCAGGAGAATTTCTTGAACTCAGGAAGCGGATGTTGCAGTGAACTGAGATCATACCATTGCACTCCAGCCTCGGTGACGGAGCAAGACTGTCTCAAAAACAAAACAAAACAAAAAGAATACAGAGTCTAGAAATAGACCCACATGGTCAATTTTTTCGCAAGGCGCAGAGGCAAATTCAATGGGGACAGGAGAGTATTTTCAACACGTGGAAGAACCGGATATCATTCATATGCAAAAAATTACCTTCGATCTCTACCTCCTCCCACACAAAAGTTAACTCAGTCAAATCAGATACCTAAATGTAAAGGCTAACACTATAAAACTTCTAGTAGAAAACACAGAAGAACATTTGTGAGCTTGGGTTAGGCAAAGATTTCTTGAGTTTTTAATGGGTACAGGAATTGGCCAGGTGTGGTGGCTCACACCTGGAATCCCAGCACTTTGGGTAGGCCAAGGCGGGTGGATCACTTGAGGTCAGGAGTTCGAGACCAGCCTGGCCAACATGGTGAAACCCCATCTCTACCAAAAAGACAAAAATCAGCTGGGTGTGGTGGTGCACGCCTGTAATCCCAGCTACTCGGGAGGCTGTAGTGGGAGGATCACTTGAGCCTGGGAGATGGAGGCTGCAATGAGCCCTGATAGTGCCACTGCACTCCAGCCTGGGTGACAAGGCAAGGCAGTGTCTCCAATAAGAGAGTAAGTGTGCCTGCACCTGCAGGGGTGAAGTGCTTCTGACGCACCCCCCTGCCTGGATAGGGTCCCGGGGTAGCCCTGTGTGGCAGATTTCCGAGATGAATCCTAATGACAGGAAGTTGAGGAGTTTCCACCTCCTTTCCAGCACCAAGGAAGGGGTGGGGACACGGAACTCTCTGAGTCAGTCTGGCTTCCCAAAGCACAGAGGAGGTCAGCTGAAGAGAAGGTTAGAAAGTTCCCATGAGTGACGCAATCCTGCTCCATCTTCAGGAGGAGCCAGCGTTGCAGAGCGGGAGGGATGGCAGCTGTCCACGCAGAAGGACGTCTCTGCCTTCCCAGAATTCCTAATCAAAACAACACACTATAAATGTGCAGACTTTTCAAGGAAACCGTTCTTTACTGACGTTTCCCACCACGCCGCTGCAGTCGTCTGAGACAGCACTAACTCAGCCTTTACGTGAGGTTTCCGTGAAGGGCGTCTGCTGGCGCACTGGCTGGATCTGTCACCGTGAGGGAGCGCTACCAAAATGGGCCCAGGCTGGAATCCTTGCCGTGTGTCCCCGGGAGTCTGTTCCCTCCTCCAGGACTCACCTTCCTCCTCTGTAAATGAGAATAATAAACACTATCGGCCTCGCAGGGCCGCAGCGAGATGAAGGAGAGGTCGTAGGAAGTGCTTCATAAATGCTAAGTGCTTAATGGTCAGTGTGCAAGCGTTTAATCCATAGGAGCTCTTGTTATTGTTATTATTAATATTAAATATTAATATTTAGAATATAGATTCTTGGCTGTGCGCGCTTCACCCAAGCACTTTGACTCCCTGGATGAGTGGGGCCCTGCTGACCGAGAGCCCCAGTGCCCTCCCAGCATTGTTCGGGCTGGCTGGGGTTCCACTCAGATCAGTGCGTGGTGCCCCAAGCGCAGGAGTCCAGGAGTGACTCTCAGCTCTGCCCACTTAACGCCGCCTTCTTCCTCCCGGCACCGCAGCTTCTCCACGTGTAACATGGCTAGGGGCGGCTCCCGCATTTCCAACGGAGAGCAGCACTGACGCCAGCAAAACACGCGAAATGGAAATGGAAGGTGAGGAGCACGCATGTGCCTCGGAGAGCTGAGGCCTTGGAGGGGACTCCTGTGTGACGCTGTAGAGGAGGAAGTTCCTGCATGGAGGTCGGCTGCCTTCCCGGGTCCCTGTGATGTCAGGATGTGCTGAGCCCTGCAATGCTCTCAGCCACTGGCTCCCACACAGGTTGGTGTTATGAAAATAAAAACTATGGAGGTTTGGCTCCACAGAATAGATAAGCCTGTCCTGTCCTGCTCACCCTGCATCTGCCACTGAATGCAACCAAAACCCTGAAGAGAGTGCGGGAGCTGCCATCGAGGGCCTCTGGAGAGTACACGCAGCAGACAGATTGGGGAAGGCAGCAGAACTCGGGTACCTCCCAGCCTTCGGAGCTCCCAGGCTCTTCCCTCCCAGCCTAAACCTCAACGCAGCTGGAAACCTTCCCAAAGAGCATCTTCAGGCCCAGATGCTTTCCCTGGCAAATTCCACCAAACAGCTAAAGAAGAAACAACCAAATCTACACAATGTCTCCCAGATAATAAAAGAGAAGAGGATACTTCCCCATTCATCTTATGAGGACAGCATTACCCTGATACCAAAACCACACAAAGACAGTCCAAGAAAAGAAATGCATGCAGACCAATGTCCATCAGGAACATAGACATGAAAATCTTCACCAATCTACTAGCAAGTTGTATTCAATAATATATATATTTGCTAATATTTTGGTCATAGGTCATACAACCCCATGACCAAGTGGGGTTTATTTGGGGAAGGCAAGGCTGGTGGAACATTTTTTAAAAATCAATCAAACTTGCGTGCAGTAGCTCACACCTGTAATCCCAGCATTTTGGGAAGCTGATGTGGGAGGATCACTTGTGGCCAGGAGTTTGAGACCAGCCTGGGCAACACAGCAAGACCCCATCTCTACAAAAAAATTTTAAAAGTGAGCTTGGCATGTACCTGTAGTCCCAGGTACTTGGGGGGCTGAGGCTGGAGGATTCCTTGAGCCCAGGTGCTCGAGGCTGCAGTGAGTGGTGCCACTGCACTCCAGTCTGAGCGACAGAGTGAGACTCTGTCTCTAAAGAAAAATTTAAAAATAAATTTATAACAATAAAAAAACTATCAATTAATCCATCATATTAACAGACTAAATAAGAAAAACCACATGATCATACCAACTGACGCAGAAAAAAGTCTGACAAAGTTCAACATCCATTCATGATAAAAAAAAAAAAAAAAAACTCTCAGAAAACCAGGGTAGAACAAGAGCAGAAGGCCACTTCCTTAATCTTTTTTTTTTGAGACAGAGTTTCACTCTTGTTGCCCAGGCTGGAGTGCAATGACATGATCTCAGCTCACTGCAACCTCTGCCTCCCAGGTTCAAGCAATTCTCCTGCCTCAGCCTCCTGAGTAGCTGGGATTACAGGCGCCCGCCACCACACCCGGCTAATTTTTTGTAATTTAGCAGACACAGGGTCTCACCATATTGGCCAGGCTGGTCTTGAACTCCTGACCTCAGGTGATCCACCTGCCTTGGCCTCCCAAAGTGCTGGGATTACAGGCCTGAATCACCGTGCCCGGCTTCCATAATCTTATAAAGGGTATCCATAAAAACTCCACAGCTAGCAACGGACTGACTTCATGGGCAAAGAGAATGCTTCCCTTGAGGTCATGAAAAGACAATTTATAAACTCTTGCCATTCCCAGTCAACATCTTTTCTGGAGGCCCAGCCAATGAACTACAACAAGAAAAAAGAAATCCAAGGCACATGGACCTGAAAGGAAAGAATAAAACTGTCCATATTTGCATATAACATAATTCTCTATGTAGAAAATCTTAAGGAAACTATTTAAAAAGCTTAGGCTGGACCGAGTGTGGGGGCTCACACCTGTAATCCCAGCACTTCGGGATGCCAAGGTGGTGGATTACTTGAGCTCAGGAGTTCGAGACCAGCCTGGGCAACATGGTGAGACCCCCATCTCTGCCAAAAAAAAAATTAGCTGAGCATGGTGGTGCATGCCTGTGGTCTCACCTACTCAGGAGGCTGAGGTGGGAGGACTGCTTGAACCCGGAAAGTCGAGGCTGCAGCCAGCTGTGATTGCACCATTGCACTCCAGCCTGGGTGACAGATTGTTAATATGATGGATTACATTGATCGATTTTTTTTATTTTTATAAATGTATTTTATGTTTTACTTGTTTTTTTAGAGACAGAGTCTCACTCTCTTGCCCAGGCTGGAGTGCAATGGCACCACTCACTGTGGCCTCAAACTCCGAGGCTCAAGCAAGACGCTGTCCAAATGAACAAACAAAAAAGCTTATTGAAATAATGAGTTTAACAAGATCTCAGGACATAAGGCCAACAGACAAAAAAAAATCATATTTCTATATACTAGCAATGAAAAATACATAAATGATAAAAATGTTAAACCCATTTACAACAGCTCTCCAAAAATGAAATACTCAGGTATAAATCTGACGAAACTTGAGGATGATCTGTATGCTTTATCAAAATGCTCACAAAAGAAATCAAAGGCCTAAAAACAGAGATATACTGTGTTTATGGATTGGAGGGCTCAAATGTAACTATGCTGTAAATTATCCCCAAATTGATGTGGAGGTTTAACACAATTCAAGTCAAAATTCCAGCATGACTTTTTGTAGATAGTAAAAATTGATGTGGAAAAGCAAAGGATCTGGAATAGAAAAAAATGATTTTGAAAAAAATAGAATTCAACATCTACTGCCCAGCCAGACCCTCCTCCGGGCTCTGCCAGCCACGGGCTCTGTTCTGTGACTCGGAGCACCCCTGCCTTTTCCCAGTTACCGATGTCTTGCTTTCTCCCACTGGCTGCAAACTCTCTAAGACAAGAGCTGTCAAAATGCTCACCTCCTTTCATTTTTGATCTCCCTGCAAGTACAGGCAATGCCTGGCACAGAGTTGGGGCTCAATAAGTGTTTGATGAATGAATACATAAATACACTTGCGATTGGTCCGAGATCTGATTCTGGTAATGGTTGACAGTGGACTCGGGGCAAGTATTTCCGGGGGTGAAAAAAAGCTTGTTTGTGTGGTAAAGACCTTGGCCAGACAAGATCCTTGGTGATCCTGAGATCCTTGCTTCACTCCCAGTACTCCAGACAGATGTCTCTTTAGCCTTCCAGTAATCGTGATAGAGTGAGAAGGCTTCTGTCGATGTAGTTATTAACTATCAATTAGGATTCAGGCTGGAGGCATGGAGGGTTTGGAAAAATGTTTTCAGATTATTTTCCAAGTGTTTGATGAAACCCCAAGATATTTTTCCCAGACATATTTTCCCCCGAAGCTAAAAACCCGTGAGTATTTAAAGGAGAATTTAATCCTAGGGGTTACAGTTTGCTTTTGCTGCGCTCATCTGAATGGAATGGTGTGCAATGCCCAAGAGGTCTGTGGCCCCGTATTTTACACGCGGAATTAGACGCTTGCATTTCAAATGCATGCAACTGAATCTCGCATTAATCCACAAACCAGTACTTGAGTTTCAAGAGGGTATATAAACTTGGCAAATGTGCCTCTCAATTACTGGAATCAAGATAAGCCTGCTGGGTTGTAACAAGGCCCAGGCGCAGGCCTCAGAGAACCCAGGACCTTTGGTCGTCAGAGAAGTGGAGGATGGGAGACAGACATGATGCTGGCGTCTCTGGGCTTGCATGGAGACACGGAAGGAGAAAAGAGTTTCCCGTTTGAAACGTAAAAACTGTCCATTGCAGAAAACTGGGAATACACAGACAAACAGATGGAGGGCAAACAATCCCACAAAGACAACCCTTGGAGGCCAAGCTCACACTTGTAATCCCAGCACTTTGGGAGGCCGAAGCAGGCAGATCACTTGAGGTCACGAGTTTGAGACCAGCCTGGCCAACATGGTGAAACCCTGTCTCTACTAAAATTACAAAAATTAGCCAGGCGTGGTGGCGGACACCTGCAATCCCAGCTACTCCGGAGGCTGAGGCAGCAGAATCATTTGAACCTGAGAGGCGGAGGTTGCAGTGAGCTGATATTGGGCCATTGCACTCCAGCCTGGGAGAGTGAGACTCTGTCTCAAACAAAATAAATAAATAAATAAATAAATAAAACAAAGACAACTTTTGGTGATATTTTAGACCACGACATTTCCTTCCAGTCTTTTTCTCCCCCTGCATTTTGGGAATTGCCATTCATGGCAGCTGAAATGAGAGGTGGGGCTTCGTGATTAATCTGCCATGTGTCCTCATGTTAAAGCCTGAGGGGCGCCCAGAGACTTGGTTAATTGTGAAGACTTAGCGTCAGCTGTCAGCCAGGCACCTGATGACTCAGTGAGTAGATGGAAAGGAAAGGGCTTTATCTAGTTCAGAACTGCAAGTACCTGCTGTTTTGAGAATAATTTATTAGTGAAGATAGCATTATCAAAGTGGGCATGCTCTGGATATATGTCTGTGAGCTTAAATCCCCTCTAGTCCATTTCAACACAAAGCAACTTGAAGCACATCAGAAAGTTTGCATTAATCCTGCAGCACTTAAAATTGTGACAGAAGCTCCCTGACTCTCAGGTGGCCTGTGGGAATGGAATTGGGAGCACTGTGCAATGGTGGCCACTCCTGCTAATAGGCGCCTGCCTGGGACCCTGCAGTCCTACTCAGGAGGATGCACCCAAGAGAAAGGACACAAGCCCTCCACAAGGCACACTGAGAACACTCTTAACAGCCCCAACTGCAACAAGAGATGCCATCCGCAGTGGAACAGACAAGCACATCGTGGCACATCCATAAAATGCAACATTACTCCAAAGTGAGAAAGCAAAACTAACTCCTGGCACCCGCCACCGCTGGAGGGATTTCAGAGAAGCAGCGTAGAGAGAAGAACACGGAGGGCAGGACACATGGCACCGTGCGATGCCATGGAGAGGAAGCGCGGAAGTCACAGTGACCCACGCTCTGGTTCTCAGCCAGGGTGACTGTGTCCCCAGGGTGTATTTAGCAATGTCTGGAGACGTTTGGTTGTCACGATGGAGAGGGTGGGTGCATCTAGTATCTAGTAGGTCAGGGCCAGGGACACAGGAAACATCCTACAGTGCCCACCACAGCCACCACCCCCTAGAATTATTGGCCCCAAATGGCAATCAATAGTGCCGAGGTTGAGAAGCTGATGTACGACAACAGGCATCAGGTTAGCGTCAGGGATGGGGAGAGCGGGAGGGAGTGAGCTCGGGGCCTCTGGGGTGTGGAAATGCTCTATACACTTACACACGTCTAAATGTGTAAAAAGCCACTGAGGTGTACACGTGCGATTTGTGCACTTTGCCATACACACACACACACGCACACACACTCTCTCTCTATCACACACCAGATCCACAGCATTCCCCAGCAAAGCCATGGCTCATGGTTTTGTGTTCCATCACCTCCCGCGCCCCTCTCATTTAAATAGGACAGAACATCTGAGTCAATGCATCCCTTTTACTAAGTGAAATGAAAGAGTTTGGCTCGCGGGGATTCCAAGGCAAATCTGAACCATATGAACATGCAGACTCATGGTAGACACTTGGCTCTTGCACAGCTTCCTCCAGCCCGCCGCCGTCGCGGTGAGCGAGCACACGCAGGCAGCAGCAATGACGGGCGCCTGAGGCTTTATGGGCCCTGGCATCACTGCTGTCCAGAGCTCATCATTTCCGTGAAAAAGGTGCCGGGCCCAGCCCGTCCCTGTTGCTCCATCAGCCGCAAACCTGCCTCAGGATGTCAACAACTGGGCAGCGTCCAGAGACCCAGGGGCTCCTCTGCTCAGTGGGCCAGTGGGTCAGTCTCGAGGAGCTGACCGTGGTTTGTGCTTGCGTTCCATGCACGACCTGACTCAATCTAGTCCAGGGCAAAACTGGGCTGGAGTAACGCCCTGGCCAGACGCTGCAGAAGATGTTTTGCTGTGGCTGCCACTCCTTGGAGAAAAAGCAAATTTGGAAGCTTTGACCCAAGAGGTGGAATGGCTGCTTATTTATTCTCATTTTCTCTCTTTTTTTTTTTTTTTGAGATGGAGTCTCACTCTGTCGCCCAGGCTGGAGTGCAGTGGCGCAATCTCAGCTCACTGCAACCTCAGCCTCCCAGGTTCAAGAGATTTTCCTGCCTCAGCCACCAGAGTAGCTGGGATTACAGGCGTGTGCCACCACTCCTGGCTAATTTTTGTATTTTTCGTAGAGACGGGGGTTTCACCATGTTGGCCAGGCTGGTCTTGAACTCCTGACCTCAGATGATCCACCCGCCTCGGCCTCCCAAAGTGCTGGGATTACAGGCGTAATGAGGCTCAGCCTTATTTTCTTTCAGTGAATTTTATTTTCTCTTTGGCTCATATTAATATACTGTCACCATGAGAATTAACGAGACCAGAATGCTGAAACAGATTTGGCTTCAGGAGGAAAAGACTCCGAAGTCAAAGTCAAGGTGGGTTTGCTGTATAACCTTCAGGCACTGAAGACCTGAGCCATACAGCTTGTGAACGTCAGACGGGCTTTCAAGCCGCATAGAAGACATCTTCACATTTCCAAAATGAATTTCTAAAATGCAAACCATACCTCAACACCGAAACCTTCAGAATTCCAGGGTAAACTCTGCTTTAAATGTAAATTGCAGAAAAGAAATAGAGACCCACTCCCAGCAGAGATGACAGGGCTAGGGTTGAGGACGCTGATTTCAGGGGCTGGTAATGACCAAGAGCAGCCTAGCATCGTGGCCTGGCCATCGCCACAGGGCTGTCTCCCTGGAAAGATGAGGCCAAAACAAAGCCACCCCCACGCCCTCCACCTCCCTGCTCATTCCTTCTCACTCTCCCCTCTCTTCTCAGTTGCTTCTCCCCTCTACATTTTCCTTTTATTACTGTTTTTAACTTTTTTTTTTTTTTTTTTTTTAGTAGAGACAAAGTCTCATTATTTCACCCAGGCTGGGGTCAAACTCCTGGACTCAAATGATCCTCCTGCCTTGGGCTCCCAGAGTGTTGGGATTACAGGCATGAGCCGCCTGCCTAGCTCACATTTTCCTTCTCCTGACCTTCTCTTCCATTTCCTTTACCTGCTTAGCCTCACCCTTTCCATCCCCTAACTGGCCTCAATACAGAGTCAAAGCATACTTTCAGTTGTTTGCTGTATTTACCAAATGAAGTGTGTGTTTTCTTCTCAGTTATAAACGTGGGTGGGTTGAAGCTTTATCGTTCTATTCCTTTGCAAACAAATCTTAGGTTGCTGCAAATCTGAGGTTGGATGCCGGCTTTGAATGGTTCTTCTTGTGCACTAGTGACTGTGAGTATTTTTAAAAGTCCCATTGTAGATGGAAAGGAGGGGACTTCCAGGAAAGCAGAGGGAATGCACATGCAGCCAGCTCTGGAGGACGTGTCTGAGTAAAAGGAAGACAGCAGAGGGAAAGGCTTCCTAGCTCCTCTGGGATAACTGGCTCTGGAACAGTCTTCACCTGGTTGCCCAATATACCCTCGTGCTGTTTTTCGGTGGGAACTTAGGAGTGAATGTCTGTCTACCCTGGTGGTCCCTGACCAGACAGGACACACTCTCTCAGTGCTGAACTAGCACTGTCTGGCTTGATCAGAGTACCCAGAACAGCCAGGAGGGCTGGGATTCTAATGAGGGATAGGGCAGGCAGGGGCAGAGGTCCAGGTAGGCGCGTGACCAAGGTCCCGAAGGCTGGCTGCCCAGAATCGAGGCCCCAGCCCCAGGCCCTCCTGGGTGCTCCCTAAGGGCCTGCTCTGCCAGGGCTCCCTGGTGTGCTTCCTGCCCAGGAGGGCACAACCAGCGGGCAGCTATGGTCATCACTCATGTGCACCTGTGGGCGCACTGCTGAGGGTCCCTGTTCAGACCTCACTAGGCGTGGTGTCGCATCTGCCAGAGTGGACGCTGCGATGTCAGGCAGGTGGTACATTCACTGGGCACGGACTGCAGCCCCTCCTCCCCCAGGCATGGCAGGGGCCCTCTGAGGAGTGCCAGGGCCACCGTGACTGAGCATCAGCTGTGCTAATGGATCACACCTGCTACCTTGCTTACTCCTGCCCCTGGGCCTAGGTGACAGGGCCTAGGTGACAGTGCCACTCCCAGCCACTACCCAGAGGAGGCACCAGGCCACCTGTCCAAGGTCATGTGGCTGGTTCACAGCAGGTGAGGATGGAATGCAGGCACCCGACTATTTAATCACTGTGCTACTTTGCTCTTTTTTTTTTTTTTGCTTTAATGCTGCAAGCACTGAGGCGTCATGCACATCTTTTTCCTTCTGTTCCTCTGCAATATCCACTGGGCTCTGTCTGCCATTCCAGTTTACTCCTAAGCACCAGTGATGACCTCGTCAAGCAGGGTGGGCTGCAGGGAGATGACAGCGGGTATGAAAGGGTGTGAACACCCGCCTGCAGCACAGAGGAGGGGCCCCAAGCATAGGTGCTGGGCAGGTGCCAAGTCCCCAACTGCACAATGTAGACAGAAACTATGCATGGGCTTGGCAGAGGACCAAATGCCTGGCAAAAGCTCAGCAGCAGCCCTGGCCTGCAGAAAGCCCTGTGTGTTTGCTGTTAATCTCTCTCAAATGAAAGGTGCCAAACCTTTAGCCAGAGGAGGAAGTGTCCTGGAGGGGGGATGGAGGCAGGAAAGCTGGAGGGAGGTGCTGGTGGGGGGAGGCCCACAGGAACACCCTAAGGTAGCCACCGAGGGTGCTGCTGTGGGCTGCCGGTCCCCTGTAGCTCAACATCTGATATCCATGGACACACTCCAGGTCTCAGACCCTAGCCTTGGAAGCAGGCCCGGCTGCACCCTTCTTTCGGTCACAGCAGAGGACCCCACTGAAGACTGCACTCCGGCGCAGTGAGGTGCGGCCTCCCAGTGTGGCAGGGAGCATTTGTAGCCACAGGAAACAGGGACATCTTCCTAGAGAGTGAACTTTACTCATTGCAAAGCTAATATACTTTTTCAAAAATATGACAATTAATTTTTTTTTGAGACCAAGTGTCACTCGGTCGCCCAGGCTGGAGTGCAGTGGCGCAATCTCAGATCACTGCAACCTCTGCCTCCCGGGTTCAAGGGATTTTCCTGCCTCAGTCTCCCAAGTAGCTGGGACTACAGGTGCATGCCACCATGCCTGGCTAATTTTTGTATTTTTAGTAGAGATGGGGTTTCACCATGTTGGCCAGGCTGGTCTCCAACTCCCGAGTTCAGGCAGTCAGCCTGCCTCAGCCACCCAAAGTGTGGGGATCACAGGCATGAGCCACCACACAGCCAAAAATATGACACATTTTATGTCACTGTATTAGCCCTAAGGGGGCGCCGCTCACCTGCCAGGATGCCAAGGGTGCATATTTCAATGGAAAATTGAGGCACTGACTTCTCTCTGCAGAGCCCAGGAGTAAACTGTATGTGATAAAATAAGACAAGAATGTCAGGGTCTCTTGCCAGCCCCATGGGTATCAGAAGCTCTACTTTAAGCAGCAATAAATAAGTGGTTACCTGTGCAGAGAGGGACAGACAGGTCAGCTGCGCTGAGTCCCAGACCTGTGTCTTCTGATGGAAACAGGAGGAATGAGGCAGAGACGGGGTCCTCAGATCTGGAAGGCAATCAGCACCTTACAGGGAGGCTTTCAGTCTTTTAAAGCAGAGGAAGAATTTTTTTGTTAAATCAAATGGAGAATACCATCATACTCAGAAAATAGGCAAAAATAATTGCTTTCTTTGAAGGACACGTGGGAAGTCCAAGGTCAGGGTTATTAGACCCGACCCAAGAAAGCCAAGGCTATACCTCGAAAACCAGGGCACGTGGCCTGATCCCATGAACCAAAACACACTCCAGAGGGGTTGTTAAAAAAACAAAACCAAATAATAGGGGAAAAAGAAAGAAAAAAGACACAGAGTTAGATTTTGTCTAGTTCTCAAATGTGCCAACAACACAGGCACCCCTCAGAAAGTTCCTATCAGGGGACTTTTCAAATACACAAACACAACTGAGCAGTGTATTGGCTTGAAACAGGCAGCATAAATGAAGCTACTCTAATGTTTTCGTTATTAGAAAATCAAACAATAAACACTTTCCCCCAAAACAGAGCAAGAACTTAAACGGGAGTCTATGAGAAAATGAAAGGGATAAAAGTTTTTATAGGTCGTCCGCGGTGGCTCACACCTGTGATCCCAGCACTTTGGGAATTCGAGGTGGGTGGATCCCTTGAGGCCAGGTGTTCAAGACCATCCTGGCCAACATGGTGAAACCCTATCTCTACTAACAATACAAAAATTAGCTGGGTGTGGTGGCGTGCACCTCTAATCCCGGCTACTAGGGAGGCTGAGGAGGGAGAATCGCTTGAACCCGGTAGGCGGAGGTTGCAGTGAGCCAAGACCACACCACCGCACTCCAGCCTGGGCTACAGAGTGGGACTCTGTCAAAAAAAAAAAAAAAAAAAAAAAATTATAAAAAATATCTTAAGCATATCACTGTGTGAAATCCTAGAGTCAAAATAAAATAGTTTGCAAATCCCACAGCAGCAAGCGCTGTGTAAATTCCCTTTACTGAAAATACAGCACAGAACAGTGATTTCCAGGTTTGCTTACTTGCCAGTTGTTTCCAAGGAAGGGCCACTCAACGAAATACTACTGTGTTCAGCAAATCAGTGCCTAGCAAATGATCCCGTATCCTGACCACAGAACAACAGGAGACACAACTAAATCCGTGAAACAAAATGCATGTACGACCAAGAAGCAAACGTACAATTTGAGTCCCACTGGAAAAAAATGTACACTTGCTCATTAAAATGATGTAACATGTCTTACTGAGGTGGGGGATGAGCAAAGGGAGGGAAACAATCAGAAAAGAGAATGAAGCATTTGGTCACTAGTTCATAAAGGAACATCACCATGAGGTAAAGCCAGCAGATGCCATCGGGTGCATTTCATTTTCGAGCAAGTTAACTTTTCCCCAAAAGGTGCAAATAAGATGGGAACGGCCAGTCTAAAAGATGAATAACACTAAAACAAACAAACAAACAAACAAACAAAAACAACAAAAAAAACCCCAATTCCTAGGAAGCCAGAGAAAATGTCTGAAGAAGGCAGAACAGTGTCTGCTCGGTGACTTTTGCTGTGACTGATTTTAAAGGAAAAACATGCCGGGCGTGTTGGCTCATGCCTGTAATCCCAGCACTTTGGGAGGCCGAGGTGTATGGATCACGAGGTCAGGAGTTCAAGACCAGTCTGGCCAACATGGCGAAACCCCGTCTCTACCAAAAATACAAAAATTATCTGGTGTGGTGGCAGGTGCCTATAATCCCAGCTACTCGAGAGGCTGAGGTAGGAGAGTCACTTGAACCCAGGAGGTGAAGGTTGCAATGAGTTGAGATTATGCCATTGCATTCCAGCCTGGACAACAAGAGCAAGACTGTCTCAGAAAACAAACAAACAAACGAACAAACAAAAAACAATAAAGGAAACACAAAACACTTCGTGTAGAGTTGGCTATTACCACTTGGCCTTGCTAGACACGGATTTTAAAAACACTAACATTTTGGTCTAATCTCTTTTAAGTCCACTGACCCTCAGGAAATTGGTATAGAGATACTGTCTTCACTAGGCTCAGTCAAGATATTTTTCCTTCTTGAGCCAGAGAAGTACCAGAAAAACTGTGAGTCTTCTGTCTCTTGCTGTTTTTAGTTCTTTTGATGCACTCAGCACTTCCCAAGAGAAATGAAGCCAAGAGACTGCTGTGTCCACACTGCTACAACTTGCTCATTCTCATTGACTCATGAACGTGAGTTGGCTGTACAATACTAGCTCACTGGTTTATTGGGTTATTTCCCATAGTTCAAAAGCCACTGACTTGGACTATGCTTGTCACTTTGTAACCAGTTGGCCTGGTCAAGTATAAGCAGTCTATGACAGCAATAATCAGAAACGTCACCAAATAAAAGACATTCTAAGATGATGCCTTTGCTGACTGCAAAGTTCCTGCTCACGTTGCCCACACATTAGACTAGGATGGTATGACCAATGACATCAAGCAATGAAAGCAGGGGCTGGGCACGGTGCCTCACGCCTGTAATCCCAGCATGTTGGGAGGCCGAGGCAGCTGGATCACCTGAGGTCAGGAGTTCGAGACAAGCTTGACCAACATGGTGAAACCTCGTCTCTACTAAAAATACAAAATTAGCCGGGTGTGGTGGCACATGCAGAACAATCGCTTGAACCTGGGTGGTGGAGGTTGCGGTGACCTGAGATCGCACCGCTGCACTCCAGCCTGGGCAACGAGGGCAAAACTCCATCTCAAAAAAAAAAAAAAAAAAAAGAGAGAGAGAGAGAAATGAAAGCAGAATGCCACTGTGAGCCACTTGGGTGGCTGAACCATAGTTACACCAGTGGAGGCCAGAATGACCTCCATTCTCCATCCTGCCTCAAACACACAGTGGCTTGCGCTTCCTTGGCTAGTGGACAAATAACATACCAACCAGGTAAACTTCATGACATCTTCCCTGTAAGAGAACTTCCAAGTCTTGTTGTCAACAACTGACAAATGCGAGGAAAATCTCCCTATAACATACTAAAAATGTAACCATTCACTGCTTTAAATGCCACCTACAAAGGCATGTTAAATGATAATGAAGGAAAATCACTAAGTCTGTAGCCTCAGCACCAAGGTTAATGAGCAAAGTTCCCGAAGTAAATAACCTAAAGTTAGGAGACCGTACTATGAAACTTACAAAAACATTAAACGTTGCAACATAAAATGGAAACGTTGTGCGTTAGGGTTCTCTAGAGGGACAGAACCTATAGGTAGATGTATATATAAAGGGGAGTTTATTAAGGAGTATTGACTTACAAGAAGGGGTCCCACAGTAGGCCGTCTGCAGGCTGAGGAGCAAGGAAGCTAATCCAAGTCCCAAAACGGAAGAACTTGGAGTCCGATGTTCAAGGGCAGGAAGCATCCAGCACAGGAGAAAGATGGAGGCCACAAGACTAGTCTAGTCTTTCCACATTCTCCTGCCTGCTTTTATTCCGGCCACGCTGGCAGCTGATTAGATGGTGCCCACCCAGATTGAGGGTGGGTCTGCCTTTCCCAGCCCACTGACACAAATGTTAATCTCCTTTGGCAACACCCTCACAGACACACCCAGAAACAATACTTTGCATCCTTCAATCCAATCAAGTTGACACTCCGTATTAACCATCGCAAGTTGAGTGCAAAATCTCAAGAACAGCTAACAGGGACAGACCCAAAATTCACTGGCACCCTAGAAAATGTCTGGATTTGCTAGAATCACCTAATTCTGTATCCCTGGGCCAATTATTCACTTGAGGGACCATATTCTGCCCTGCTCTGGGCTTCCCTGTCTGTGGCTGGGT
Source organism: Homo sapiens (assembly GCF_000001405.40). Lineage (NCBI taxonomy): Eukaryota > Metazoa > Chordata > Mammalia > Primates > Hominidae > Homo > Homo sapiens. The sequence continues at coordinate 84,781,442 of NC_000016.10, read as the reverse complement.
GTGTGCTGATCCTGCCTGAGCAAAACAAAACTTGGGCAGCCACACGTTCATCACGAATACAGCCTCAGGAGTCAGGCGGCATGAGGTTATGGGCTCCGTTTGTGTCGCCCCCAGTATTCATCTTTGAAGCCTGAACCCCCGGCGGAATACTAGGAAGTGGGGCCTTTTAGGTATAGATGAAATCACAAAGGTGGAGGCCCACAGTGGGATGAGTGTCCTTGTAAGAGAAACAGACCAGGGTTCACTCTGCCCTGTGAAGACATAGTGAGCAAGCGGCTGTCTCCAGGCCAAGAAGCAGGCCTTCCCCAGACAGGTCTGCTGGCATCTGCTCTTGGACTTCTAGCCTCTAGAACTGTGAGAAATAAATGTTTGTTGTCTAAGCCACTCAGACTATGGTTAACAGCCCAAAACAACACAGGGGTTTTGCAGGCTGTCTCGCTAGCACTAGCTTGCATCTTTCTATGAGCAGCAGCAAGATTTATTGTGAAGAGCAAAAGAACAAAGCTTCCAGTGTGGAAGGGGACCCAAACGGGTTGCCACTGCTGGCTGGGGCGGCCAGCTTTTATTCCCTTATTTGTCCCCTCCCATGTTCTGTTTTTGTCCTATCAGAGTGCTCTTTTTTCAGTCCTCCCTGTGATTGGCTGCTTTTAGACTCCTGCTGATTGGTGCGTTTTAAGAACCGATTGGTGCATTTTACAAACCTCTTGCTAGCTACAGAGTGCTGGTTGGTGCGTTTTACAATCCTAGCTACAAAGTGCTGATTGGTGCATTTTACCATCCTCTTAGAGGACAGAAAAGTTCTCCAAGTCCCCACTTGACCCAGGAAGTCCAGCTGGCTTCACCTCTCAATATGAGTTATAATTCAGCCAAGCAAATCACAATAGAATTACAAAGGGTAAGTAGGTTAGACGGACAACACTTGTACAGAAAGTTTAGGAAGCTCTGAACCCCAGATGGCACCAGGCTACAATCAGAAATACCAGATGGTAAGAGCAAGAACTTGAGAGAAAGGCTCAGACCACGTTAAAACCCCTTCTCTGTAGATCTCAGGACACCACAATCATCCACACAGGGCCAGAAGCCGGGGCACGGGCACCCTTGCACGTGACATCCCTCTCTCCATGTCTTCCGTCTCAGAAGGCTTCCTTCCCACTACTGAGGGTGGCGTCTGGAGGCACCGCTCAGCCGCCCCAGTGGCACTCAACTGAAGAGCATTTAGCCTTGACCTACAGCAACTATTTTGGTGATACTGAAAACGGTGGGCTATAGAAACAAGGGATGAGGAGGGGAAGGGGAGAAAACCTCCTCCTTTCTGCCAATCGAAGAGTCAAAAACTTCGTGTACCCAAATCACTAATCCATTTGAAAATACTAAACAAGCATAACCTGAGTGGTGGTTCAGCTTCCACAAACACGTCGAGCTGATCGAAGGGCAGATTTTAATTCTGCAGGCAAACTCATGCCCCCATGAATTTCAGTTACCCGAAAAGGCATTCGCATTCAAAGAAACACGCACACACCTTTAAACCAACTTTGTGATTTTTATTGATGGGCGACAACTTTATACTCCTAGATATCACTAAACTGTGTACAATTAGGGACGCAGCATTAGAGAAGAGCAGACAGCAGAATTAAACAGAGCAGACTGAAGGAGAGATCTTCATTATTTGCCCATTTTTCATTATGTGTACACAGAAGCATGAATGCAATTTGAAATCTTTTAATGGCAATAAAGTTACAATCACCCATCTATGTAGACTAACATTTTAACTCCAAATATTTGATCTGCAATGTGTACGTAAGCAGTTTCTCTCAGTACAATTATTAAAATTTTTCCTGTTAGGAACCAGCAACTTATTTTTTATGTTTATTTTTCTTTTGAAGTAAGAACTAGTTCTTCTTTGATAACTGGCTCATTTTTATCATTTATCAAAAACTAAAGGGTAGGGAAGAAAAGTGTGATGGATTAAAAAATTTCTTTTTTAAGGAAAGATAAAATTCATTTTCACAAATTTACAAGTGTTGTTGCTGGTGCAGGATTTATTCTACTAAGCAATGAGACTGGGGATCAAATCCACTTTCTTATCTCAGGAATCAGCATTATTTCAGAAATATGGGTTTTTGTGTATTTTCTAAAATCAAGCAACAGTCTGTTTCAACCAAATGATTTTGATTTGGAAGTTAGAGTCAACAGAAGCTGTGTTGTGCACGAACCCCAAGGCATCTCCTTTTCATTCTAGCCCATTTTTGCAAAGGGAGAAAGAGTTTCTCTCTAAAGAGCCACTAAAGAGAGGCGGGAAGTGAGTGTGAGGTGGTGTCCTACGAAGCGGGCACTGGGCGCACACACAGCGCACACAGGGTTTACAGCAGGTCCACTCGGCGGTAATACAGGAGGTAGGCTGTGCGTTCAGCAGTTGGTTTCACCACCTGGTACTGGTTGATCACCTTGACTGTCTGGTCATCGATGCGCAGCCAGCCATTCAGACCGATCTGGAAGACGTCTGTAGTGTAATGGCCGCCCGTCGCACTGTTGCCGTGATGGTAGACCACTGGAAGAGAGCCCAGCAGGCAGCAGAGTGAGAACAGCACTGCACACGAATCATTACAGGTCTCCGCCGACTTCCCTCCAGGGATGCATCCTATGTGTAAAACCCCTCTCCAAAGCAGGTGGGACAGAGAGATGTCATCACACAAACCAATGCTATTTCAACTCAAACACGCAAGCAATCCATAATAAAAACTTTTCTATAACTGCAAGGTAAGGGTAAGTCAGATAGGTACATGTGTGCATGTACGCATATTAACCACATATTTAAAATGTCCCACGCCTCACACAGACACTCCTACACAGCCATCAGCTGTACAGGCCTACAGACCTGGCTCATGCCCTTGGATGTGGCTGACTCTACTTCTAGACTGTCCTGAAGAGATTATCTGAATCTTGGACAGAGATTATGATGTCATTTATAACAGTGAAAAAACGGAAAACCTCAATAGCCACTAGAAGAAATGACTGATGAGTAAATTATATTAAAATAACACAATTTATTTTTTCGTGGAATAGATTAAGAATGGTGATGCGGGAATACGCTTATGGTATATTAAATGAGAAAACAAGGTCCTTAGGCCTTCTGTGGCCCATCTATCCTAAAGACACGGGACACAATCTCCCGGTGCCGGCCCACATGGCAGGAGGGACCCTGGGACTGCTAACCACGGTTGCTTGAGCGTGGAGCTGTGGTGGGGCACTGCGGAGATGGTGCTGGTAGTTACGCATTTGCCTTTAAAAAAAATTACCCATTTTTCTATGTTTTAACAGAACAAAACACACACACACACACACACACACACAGTTATTTACTTAAAAAAAAAATCCTATAACCAAGAAGCCTTAGTCAAAGGCCTAAAACAAAAAATCTGTAGAAGATGTCATGAAAACATTAAGACAGCCACAGAACACATCCTCCACTTCTATGGAGCAGAGGGGCACAGGTCTGCCTGGCCAGCAGCAGACACCAGCCTCGGGAAGGCGGCTGTCCGGCAGCATTCCGCGGGGAATGACAGGGCAGCCTGCTAAGCTGCGCCCACCATCAGTGGCACAAAAGAAAAGGAACCAGGAGAGATGCAAGACTTGGCTGGTAGGGAATTTCAGCACTAAAACAAGACCAAACATCACCAGGTTCTAGTCGCAGTTGTCACGTGGAGGGGCTAAATGACAGCAGGAGGCCTCAGTCCTCTCTGGGCCAGGGACCTTGGCTGGCTAGAGGACAGTGCTTATGACTGAGGCCACCAGTCAGACTCCTGGGCTCTGCACAAAGAAATCCTCTGTGCAGGGACCCCGGAGGAGACTGAACAGCATAGGGACAGCAAGACTGTGGGGCCCGTACTTCGGAGAGCCAGGGACACAGCCAATCCAAGGGCATAGCTTCATCCTGTGCTGCACAAGTCACAGCCATCTTGTGAAAGGGCAGGAAGCACCCATGACAGCAGCATGTCCCCTGGATCCCAAGTTCACTTTGAGACTTCTGTCCTAGATCTTCACCTCACAGACCTAACTGACTGGGCTAAGAGTTTTGCTTCAAAGCGACCATCAGTAGAATCTGCAGGGCCTGGGGGTTTTACTAACTTGTCTTTCCCACAAGACATCTCCATTCTAAAATGTCAAGGGGGACTGCATGTCACCATTCTAGTTTCATAAGCAGCAGCCCAGTTAACTACCCTGGGCTGAGCCGTGTGTCACTCACACCTGCAAGCCCCCCTGACAGGAGCGCTGAGAACCGCCTGAAAAGCTTGTGCGCGAGATTGCTTCTCCCAGGCCCCACAATCACAGCAGTTCTTAAAAAGTGTTCCTTTGCTCACTCTACAGGTAATTCTAACCAGTCCGGTGACCTCATTTCCAAGATCAGAATAGGCTTCCAGCCTGGCCAAAAGGGCGAAACCTCGTCTCTATTCAAAATACAAAAATTAGCTGGATGTGGTGGTGCACAGCTGTAATCCCAGCTACTCGGGGGGCTGAGGCACAAGAATCACTTGAACCTGGGAGGCAGAGGTTGCAGTGAATGGAGACTGTGCCACTGCACTCCAGCCTGGGCGACAGAGCAAAACTCTATCTCAAAAAAATAATGGGTTAGGGGATGAGGATTCAGGAGGGCAGGGGAGAGCAACCCAGGCCCAGGTCCCGGGGCGAGGCAGGTTGCAGAGTCGGGGAGGGGTGTGTGTGCTCACACTGGGGCCCTGACCAGGAGAGGAGCAATCCCTAGCCCCTGCCCCTGCCCAGTGATGTCCCCCGCAAGAGCCTCCAGGGGAAGAGGTGCAGGGAGAAGGCGGAGAAACTGCTGGCCACCCACTGGGACCTGGGTGCCACACTCCAAGGAGCCAGGCAGGATAATGGCTGGCTGCAGAGTCTGAGGACTCAGACCTTCCATTCCAGACAGGGCTGGAGACACCCACAAGCGCGTGGTGCCCATGGCCGTCCCATCTGAGGCCCAGCAAGTTGAGGAGGAATTGTGATCGGGGGGAGAAAAGAAGAGAGTCAAAAGGAACAATGAATAGTGAGAGGAAGAGAGGGAAGCCTGGCACCTTGCAGTGTGGCTCTGGGCCTCACCCACTGGGCCCTCACCCCTGGGCCCCCACCGCTAGGCCCTCACCCCTGGGCCCCCATCCCTGGGCCCTCACCCACTCGCCAAACTTCCTAAAACATCGGGCGTGAGCTGAGGTGGACAGGAGCTTGAAGCCCTGCTCTGCCACTGCAGGCCAGAGTGGTGAGTTTTCTTCCTTGAGTTCTGGTTTATTCTTTTATAAAACAGGGATCCCACCTCCCATCTCCTAGGACACATGTAAGGAAATGAAAGAATATCTTGGGAAGAGGTTCAATACATGTGTGAAGGTCAATAAATGGCAGTGTTATGTTACGATACAAACAGGTTCACCAAAGGCCACACCAGAGGAGGGAAGACACAGAAGCTAGAAACATGTAGTAAAAACAGCCTGGGAAGCAAACAAAAGTGCGGCAAACAGCAACAATCCAAAGAGGTAAAGACTCAGAGGCATAAAAGATGACGCTATAAAAGAGAAAGAAGGATAAAAGGGAAGGCAGAAAGGAAAGGGAAGATGATGTGGCAGAAAAAATGATACTGCAGGGAGCCTAAGCCAGGAGACAGAAGAGGTCTCAAGGTCCACCCATGAGGGAACAGGGGGTGCCATTCACCCTGTTGGGAGATTTCTCATGACTGACTGAGGGCCTGGCAGCCGAGGAGCTTGTGTAATCGGGCCCACCCTCTCAAGCAGCCCTAACAATACCTGTGGGGGAGGACGCAGGGATCACCGGCTGGGGGCGCGCTCACCCAACCTGGCTGGGTGACCAGGTGTCGTGGAAACTCCACAGCACTGTCACCCACAGGTGCCACAAGCACAGCCGGGAGAGGTCACATTCTCAAACAGCCAGCCTGGGAGCCTGAAACTCCCTCCTCTGACTCAAAGACAGAAATGTTCGCTTTGAGCAAGGTCTTCTGTTATCTGTCCTCAGGGCCAAGATGATAATCCGTCATCTACGCAGAGTTTCAGGTAAAACTCTCACGTGACTCCCCGACTCACAAGGCCACAGGGATACCTGAGTACAGCATCTGGTCGCTATGCTAAGTTGCAGCAAACCTGTGCCCAGCTGTAAACCCCTTCATCAGTGTTTTAATGAAGAAGTAATGTCGTACAAATTTACTCACCTGCAAAGAGCCGATAGGTTCGGTGGCATTTAAAATTCTTATTTTTAACCCCTGGAGAAAGCAGTTCTGGAAAACAAAATATCAATGGCTTGAAGCACTTTTAGAAAGGTTCAGGGTAACAGCAGCAGAAAATGGCTAACAACATTCTCCCCAGCAAGTAAACTGCCTGTCAGACCAGGAACAAAACAACACTCTATCCCTTCAGTTGCACAAAAATTGACTCATGAAGGAAATGAGCCATGTGACGTAATAGGACACAAAATGTGCAGCCAGCTCACTAAAGAAACAGGAGCAACGGCCGAGGCTGTGATGCTCCTGTGGGAGGCCCCTTAAAAACAGGTGCTCTACAAAATGGAAAAGAAAAAAGCTGCTGACTTAAAAACAAAAACAGTTGTGAAAAATCCAAGGCAAGAATTAAAATTTTACATATGCGTCAGATCATAAAACTTCAATTACAGGCCAGGCACGGTGGCTCACGCCTGTAATCCCAGCACTTTGGGAGGCTGAGACGGGCGATCACGAGGTCAGGAGATCGAGACCATCCTGGCTAATACAGTGAAACCACGTCTCTATTAAAAATACAAAAAATTACCCGGGCGTGGTGGCACGCGGCTGTAGTCTCAGCTACTCGGGAGGCTGAGGCAGGAGAATCACTTGAACCCGGGAGGCAGAGGTTGCAGCGAGCCGAGATCGCGCCACTGCACTCCAGCCTGGGTGACAGAGCAAGAAAAAAACAAACAAACAAAAAAAAAACAAAACAAAACTTCAGTTACAGAACAGTAACATGATTTCTCCAAATAGGAACCAGTCTACCAGCTGCTACGAGGCGGGAACTCCCTGCTCTTACTGTGCGCAGAAGTACCACTTACACCGACACAAGAGTCCGTCGGAGGCATGCTGTTCGAGGCAGCCATCTGTACTTCTGACCCATGACCCAAGTGAGGTCCTCTTGTCCCCCATTTATGTTATTTATTTATTTTTTTGAGATGGAGTCTTGCTCTGTTGCCCAGGCTGGAGTGCAGTGGCATGATCTCAGCAACCTCTGCTTCCCAGGTTCAAGCGATTCTCCTGCCTCAGCCTCCCAAGTAGCTAGGATTACAGGCACCCACCACCATGCTAGGCTAATTTTTGTGTTTTTAGAAGAGTTGGGGTTTCACCACGTTGGTCAGGCTGGTCTCGAACTCCTGACCTCAGGTGATCTGCCTGCCTCGGCCTCCCAAAGTGCTGGGATTACAGGTGTGAGCCACTGCGCCCAGCCCCCATTTATGTCATATTTTGATAATGTATTGGAGGTGGCAGCGGATATAAAAATACAGCAAGCAAGAAAAGATATAAAAATAAAATCACTGTAGCAAAACATCCAAGTCAGCTCAGACAGCTGATCTGGAGGCGAGTGAAGATGCAGGAGCAGAGGCCGAGGATGCCTTCTTTGACTTAGCCGGCATTCCAGGTTTCCCGATGGATAGAATAAAATGGGGAGGAGGATCTGTTACATGATTCTCACTGGCATCTTTCTTCCTCTTGCTGGTCCTCAAATGGGATTAAAAAGCAATCGGCTGATGAGTGATAAGGCAGCTAGAAGTGTGAGAGGAGCAACGGACACTAAACCCGGCACAGCAGCCAAGCCCGTCAGCAGAAAGCACAGCTCTTGTGTGCAGGCCTGGGAGAGACAGTGTCTGAGTCTTCACGGGAAGGTATAGGGCGCCCCTAGGGTAGACAGGGAGCCGGCTAGAAGCCAGCCATGCCCACAGTTCCTGGGTCATCTATATGGAAGGAGGTATGAGGTGGGGTTGCTGTGCCAGGGGACGGAGAGAAGAGGACTCTCGGTTCAGGTTTGTTCCTCTGCAGGACCCAGGAGTGAGGCCCAGTGTCCTCTTTTCTGCTTCCCAAACACCTCGATATTCTGAGAATCCTCTCTAGCTAATCACAGTCCCAATCAAGCCTCAGTGTTGTACTATACGTTTTCACAAATTCTAAAGCTTTCAAGAAAAGTCTTCTTGAAGCTGTGCTTTTAGCAAGATGCCTTTAACCTGGGGCTCTTTAAAATTGCTTTCAAAAAGTGCCGAGCCCGTGACCTGACAGAGACTTGAGGCTGGTAAGTGCCACGTCTTATTTGTGCGCCACCACAACTAGAGGTTAGAAGGGACTCTCACTGCCTATGAGAAATCATTCTTACTTCACTAAAAACCACTTAACTGGGCTAGTCAACACAGCTGTTAATACTCGGTGGAAGGCAAACTGCACCATTCATCCCTGAAATATTCACAGAAAAGTGATGTTCTTTTTGATAGACAAAAGCTGCTATTTTTCTAATCTAGTAAGATTATAGAGTTTAGTTATTTTTGCCTCTATTTTCAACAGGCCATTTTCATGAGAATTTTAGTATTAAGGTCTATTACAAGTCAAGAAACTTAAAACAAGTCCACGTCCAGCAAGAGAATGTCCTCACTCTTGACATCATAAAGAAATGCTACAGGGTTGAGCTTCTGATGTGCAGGAGTGTGTCACCACGAACACTCCCGACCTTATGTATGCATTACCTTTACTAATTTCCAAGTCCACAGGATATTCAATATTTTTGATAAGCTTCTGGCACCCACCAGTCTTCTCATAAACGAATCGTTTCAGGTGCAGCACGAGGACAGGAGGGAGTTTTTCCAGAGTCACTCTTCGACTTATCTCAACCTAAGACACAAAGCACACCAGGACACACCGTCCCTGTCTTACTTGCAACAGCTAACACCACATCCACCTTCCGCTCAAAGACGTCCTCTGAGAGGTGAGGCCCAAGAGTCCTGTGGCAGGACTTCATGGCTTTTCCTGCCCCACAGAAGCTCTGAGATCTACCAATGCTCCTCTTAAGAAAATGCACATACCCAGATGCAGTGGCTCATGCCCATTAATCCCAGCACTTTGGGAGGCTGAGACAGGCGGATCACCTGAGGTCAAGAGTTTGAGACCAGCCTGGCCAACATGGTGAAATCCCGTCTCTACTAAAAATACAAAATTAGCCAGGCGTGGTGGTGGGCGCCTGTAACCCCAGCTACCTGGGTGGCAGAGGCAAGAGAATCCCTTGAACCCAGGAGGTAGACGTTGCAGTGAGCTAAGTTCGCGCCACTGTACCCCAGCCTGGGCAACACAGCGAGATCTTGTCTCAGAAAAAAAGAAAAAAGAAGAAGAAAAATGCATACGTTCCCATAAGCACAACTGCAGAGAGCCTCTTGGGTCCCTGAAGTCCAGTCGTAAACTCAAAGTTAAGAACTTTACTCTGTGGCATTACTGACAAATTAGCATAAAAATTAAAAAGCTAACTTAGTACCACCTTATTTATGTACTGACTCCCCCGCCTTTTTTGGGGGGAGGGAGTTCTCACTCTGTCGCCCAGGCTGGAGTACAGTGGTACGATCTGCGCTCACTGCAACATCCGTCTCCCGGGTTCAAACGATTCTCCTGCCTCAGCCTCCTGAGTAGCTGGGATTACAGGCTCCCACCACCACATCTGGCTAATTTTGTATTTTTAGTAAAGAAGGGGTTTCACCATGTTGGCCAGGCTGGTCTTGAACTCCTGACCTCAGGTGATCCACCTGCCTCAGCCTCCCAAAGTGCTGAGATTACAGGCGTGAGCCACCACGCTAGGCCTAGTATTGACCCATTTTAAAATAACTCTGATAGTATTGATAAAACTGATACCAGTAGGATTAGGTGGGTTTTTTTGTTTGTTTGTTTTTTTAAGACAGGATCTCACTCTGGTTGCCCATGCTGGAGTGCAGTGGCATGATGAGGACTCACTGCAGCCTTGACTTCCTGGGCTCAGGTGATTCTCCCACCTCAGCCTCCCAAGTAGCTGGGACTACAGCCATGAGCCCAGCTGGTCTTGAACTCCTAGACTTAAGCAACCTGCTCGCCTCAGTCTCCCACCGTGCTGGGATTCCAGGCCAATTAGATGTTTTAAATAACCTTTAAAGCTATTTATTCTAATCATGAGTTTTATCAATGTAATCTGTTCCTGAAGTACTTTCACAGGTCTGATGAATGCTGCTTTTAAATAAAGCCAGGTTTTTTGTCACTAAGATGCATCTTTACAAATAACAATCCCTTTATCATTCTCTGTACTTACAAAGTCTTTGATGCTTCCCATATTCATTTGGATAACACTTTTTTTTTTTTTTTTGAGACAGTCTCGCTCTGTCATCGAGGCTGGAGTGCAGTGGTGCGATCTCAGCTCACTGCAACCTCCACCTCCAGGGTTCAAGTGATTCAGCCTCCTGAGAGGCTGGGACTACATGTGCACACCACCATGCCCAGTTAATTTTTGTATTTTTAGTAGAGATGGGGTTTCAACATGTTGGCCAGGATGGTCTCGATCTCTTGACTTTGTGATCCGCCTGCCTCAGCCTCCGAAAATGCTGGGATTACAGGCATCAGCCACTGGAGATTTTTTTTTTTTTTTTTTGGGGACGGAGTCTCGCTCTGTCGCCCAGGCCGGACTGCAGTGGCGCTATCTCGGCTCACTGCAAGCTCCGCCTCCCAGGTTCACGCCATTCTCCTGCCTCAGCCTCCTGAGTAGCTGGGATTACAGGCGCCTGCCACCATGCCCGGCTAACTTTTTGTATTTTTAGTAGAGACGGGGTTTCACCGTGTTAGCCAGGATGGTCTCGATCTCCTGACCTCGTGATCCACCCGCCTTGGCCTCCCAAAGTGCTGGGATTACAGGTGTGAGCCACCTCGCCCAGCCAACTGAGGCTTAATTTCTAATCACTCAACAAAGGCAGACATTTTCTATATAGCAAATATTTCATATAATCCTATTTTCCCCAAAACCTTCACATGTTCCCACAGAAAAATACTTCTGATCTAAAACATAATAAAGTTAAAGGTGGCATTTTAAAAACTTAAAAAAAAACACATTCAAGAAAATATGTAATTTGCTCCTTATAGATACTTCCATACAAGCTGTCCCAAATCTTCCTGAAACATCTGCTGTTGAAAGTGGTCCTGGCCTCATCTGGTAACACACCACCACAACCACGCACCCAGAACGGCTGGCAGCATCCTTTTTATCTTCCGGAGTCCACCAAAATGCCAGCTTTCCTTTATTTTTATTTCTTCTTATGTTTTAGAGACACGGTTTCACTATCGCACAGGCTGGAGTGCAGTGGCGTGATCATAGCTCACTGCAGCCTCCAACTGTTGGGCTCAGGCAATCCTCCTGCCTCAGCCTCCCAAAGTGCTGGGACTAAGGGCGTGAGCCACCACACCTGGCCCGCCTTCTTTCTGGAAGCCTTCATCCAAACCTGCTATTTAGGATAAACCATTCTTTCTTCACTACCGTCTAACAACAGGCTAACAACTACCTGCGCCTCAACCCCTGCCCCCACACCGCCACCCCTACCAGCCCACCCCAGCAAAGTCAAACTGTAATTGCAGCAGAAGCAAAAGAGAAAAACAGACACATCACAAAAGGGTCTTCCCTAGGCAGCCCATGGAAAGGCTGACCACCTCCCCAACAGCATGGGTGGCCAAAGACTCCCATAGCTGGCTCAAGAAACAGCATAAGCAGAGTGCACCAGCAGCCAGGGCCAGGGAGCTATCTCTGGAGTTGCAGCTGCCACAGAAGTGAGCCAAGCCGACAGTCACCCACAATGCACAACTGAACCACCCAACCAACCTCCCCAACACAAATACCACTTTTTCCCTCTCTCTCTTCCACGAGGTCCACCGCCAGACTCTTCTTAGCTCATTCACTGAAGTCAACTACCAAGTTTCTGCCTCTGGCTCCTACTGCTTCTATTTTTTAAACAAAATCACCCATGAGATGCAAGTCTGCAAATACGGTAGAAGATTAGGCATAACTTCTACTGATCCCCCCAGAGCCTGGGTGAACCAGTCCACAGCAGGACACCCCGAAGGTGCTAAGGGTCCCTATGTCCTACTTTGCTCTTTCTGACTCAGAGCACACAAGATAAGCCAAGGATAGATCCATCCCAGTCATGCAATGTGATGACAGGTCTTCTACGTTGGGGCACCTTATTTTACCTTGTAGCTGCCATCCACTGCCCATTATTCAAATATCGCTTTGCAGGAATGCTATGGACCGTCCATAATTATCAGCCTGCATTCATCTCCCCAGTGCATTTTTATGAATTCACTGCCACAACCTAAGATATATAACAGAGAAGACACTCTCTGCTGCAGAGTACAAAATAGCTATAAGCTGGCACATCTGGACAGCCAGGAACTAATAAGCTCTCACAGGGCAGAATGCTATCCGTCTCGCCCAACTGAGTTGACAAGGACTCCACCAAGCTATAATGTGATACTCTTAAATTCATGAAGACTGAAAGACTCAAGAATCTTACCTTTTCCAGATCAAATCAAAGAGTAACAAGCATCAGAACAATGACTATATTATATTTACAATGACTATATTATATTTACAATGACCTGGAAGATCTACAATCAAATGCAAAACAGATGTGTCTGGAATCTCTCTGACATCCTAACTAATCTAATGACAGTTGTACCCTACGGTATCATGAACATAAATAAGCTATTTGGCCTCTGTCAGAGGTAGTATTGATGTTGTGATATCATCATTAGATTGCCAGAAAATTAAATGTAGCTCAAGATAAACAATCCAAAAGGAGATCATTACCTTGTGTAATATGATTTAGAGCTAAAAGAGGCCCTTGGGATCACGTTTCAACCATTTCATTGTAAAACCATAAAAACTTTCAGTACAAAATGGTTAAGCAACTGATTTAAGAGGCATAACTCAAACCCATTTCCCCTCATTCCTAATTTTGTGTTCTTTCCACCAAACCAGAGCACCTTAGTAGAAAGGTTCAAAATCAAGTGTGAACATACCTCTTGTTTGGTTTTTGTGGTATAACCTTGGACAGATTCTCTTGCCACCAAGCTCTCCAGTGCATCCTGGACTGTGCGTATCTTGTCTGACTGGATATCCAACTGCAACGTGAAAAATGGCTGCAAAGTGGCAGATTCTTTTGAACTCTGCTGGTAAACCACAGACCTAAGAATTGAAAGCAAAAACAAAAAAATTAAGAGACCACTCCTTGCCACTTTCCCTTAAGATTAACCAAGGGAATAAACACTGAAAATAAGATTATTCAATATCACTTTCAAAAGACCACAGAGAAAAGCCAAAAATATACTGAATTTAAAAATAATTCTGCTGAAGATGTGCTTTGTTAAACAGATGCTTGAAGGCAGCATGCTCGTTAAGAGTCATCACCAATCCCTGATCTCAAGTAATCAGGGACACAAACACTGCGGAAGGCCGCAGGGTCCTCTGCCTAGGAAAACCAGAGACCTTTGTTCACTTGTTTGTCTGCTGACCTTCCCTCCACTATTGTCCCATGACCCTGCCAAATCCCCCTCTGTGAGAAACACCCAAGAATTATCAATAAAAAAATAAATTAAAAAAAATAATAATAATTCTGCTGAATAGCACCTCCTTAGTATTTCTAACAACTAAATCTACCAGTTGATAAATGTTCCCAACGCCAGTGCTCTGGAAGAAAACATATTTCATTTTCCAAATTCTTTCACTTCCTCTCCACACTGTTATTTACTGCACCGGTTCATAAAGGCAGCCACCCTGCCATGGCCTCAAAACGCTGCTGCTTTCCATTTTCTCCAAGTATCATAGCCTGTTCTAATAAAATAGAGGAAATCCCAAGGTAAATAGAGGATTTTTAATGGCATTTTCCTCCTATAAAGATGTCTTACAAAAAGAAGAAGGGGAGTAGGGTGTGTAGAATAAAAAACAAGTTAACATTCCAGGAAAAAAGGCTGCCACCCTTCCAAGAAGGGCGCCAATTTGACCTTGTTTTCTTAGCTGGTTTTTCATTTCATTTTTTTTTTCCTTTTTCTAAGTTTTTCTGAGTAAAAATTGTGTGTTCGGCCCATCTCTCATTTAGCCTCAGCAAGGAAACATTCCAGGGGTTCAACAAGGGCTTCTATTTCTGCAGTCTCGGTGACCTAGTTTCTCAACGGAATAAAATGGGTGTGGACAGGTACTCAGGCTTTCCAGAACAGATGCGGTGAAGAGCTCGCTAAAAGCTTTTCTGTCCAGGGTTTAATTACGCATCTCCATGCTCCTTTACAGTTTGAAGACTTCAGTGACAACAGTTCCCCTGGTTCTGGAGAGGGATACAGTAGTGGGGAAACCGCTCATGAGAGCTGGTGGAGAATCAAGAAGCCCTCTTGATTCAGTGGTCCTGTGTTTTAGCAAAGGTGGCACCGGGGAAGAAAGGCGGGGAAGTCTTCCTGGGGAAACTGAAAAACATCTGAAGAGGCTGAGTTTTAGAAGTAAATCTTTCAATTGGTGTGAATAAAGAATCATGCTTAACAATGGCTGAAAAGAAGTTCCTACGTTGTAAGAATTCCCTATCTTTGCTTTACCGTTTTTCAAAAAGAAACATCAACAACCAATTTCAACACAGAGACCCCTCAGAGGATGTGGCTAGCAGCTGTGACAGAGCTGTTCAATCTGAGCCAGCAAGTCCTCCAAATGGACGCTGGTATTTTCCACTGGTTACTCTTAGACAAATTTGGGATCTTTGAGTATGCTGACCCTCTGTGGCCTTGAAATTCTGATACCCGGCCTCTGCACAAAAACCATGTTCCCGATGCCTCCATTTGAGCTGTCCATTCATCTTTCTCTCCCATCCCGAGGGGGTGTCCTCACAATCCTAAACCAGGCTGCTGGGCTGAAGGAGCAAAGGGCACAGCCTTCCCTCGCTGCTGCGCGCCAACCTGGACCTCAGCGTCTCCCTCCCAACACGACGTGTCCCAAGGAACCACAGACAGTGGTCAGGGCTGGGTGTTTCCCAGGTGACAACTGACCACCCAGCTGCCGTGGACACTCCACAGAGCACCAGAATAGAAAGGGGCCAGTGGAATAGAGCTCACAGTGCAGAACACAGAAGTGACTTGTTCAAGGTCACATGGCTGCTCAACTGGCTTCTAAATCCACTTCCACAGAGGACGGGAAACCAGCTTCTGAGGGCGTCAGCGCAGGTTTCTGAGGTTCTTATTATTCACCTGTTGAAAGTTGTTGATTCAGTCTCAGAACTGAGACTGAATCAAGTCTTGATGCCTCAAAAGGGGTGCTCTTTCTTTCAGGTACGCAGCATTTGGGACAACAACAGACTAAGAGTGTCACTGAAATACCAGCCTGGGGGTTATGCCGCAAGGCCTCAGAAAGGAAATTAGGCTCCAATGAGGCCTCTTCAGTACTTTCGATGGGTAAACCTTCTTGGAGATGGTACAAGTTTTGCTGAATTCCACATCACAGTGGTACTGAAAAGCTCTCAGGTAAATAAAGAAAAACCTTTCCGAAGGACTTTGTGAATGAGCAAAAAGCTGCTTAAGGGAACTGGCACACAGCCAGGTGCCCAGGGACTCCAGCCCAGTCACGGGTCTGTCTGTGTAAAAAAGACCTCCCTTCACACTCTCTTCACTTTCTACCTCACCTGCTTCCAATCAGTTCACAACAGCCAAGACAGGGAAACAACTGTCTGTGGATGGGCCAATGGATAAAGAAACTGTGGTGTGTATATATAGACAAGGGAACACTATTCAGCTGTAATAAAGACCCTGCCATTTGCCACAACAGGAATGAACCTGGGGAACATTATACTAAGTTAAAGAAGTCAGACACAGAAAGAAAAATATTGCATGGTCTCACTTATACATGGAATCTTTATTAAAAAAAAAAAAAAGACGAAACTACAGAGATAGGGAAAAGAGTGGTTCCTAGGGGTGGCGAGTGGGAATGGAAGATGTCGGTCGAAGGACACCAAGGGCAGCCACACAGGCGAACAGGTCTAGAGATCTGATGTGGAACATCGGACAAGAGCTACTCATAGTGCACTGTATTTGGGACTTTTGTGAAATGAGTAAAACTGCAGCTGCTCTTGCCATGTGCACACACACACACACAAGGGTAACTGTGATGGGGAATATGTTTATCTGCTTCACTGTAGCAACTATTTTACTATCTCTATTTCATAACATCTGTGTATACTTTAAATATACACAATTTATTAACATAAATAAAATTCCTCCAGATACACTGTCTTCTCTTACCAAAACACATGGTTTGGTTAGCTGGTTTTTTTTTTTGAAGACAGTCTTGCTCTGTCACCCAGGCTGGAGTGCAGTGGTGTAATCTTGGCTCACTGCAACCTCTGCCTCCCGGAGGTGGTTTTATGTTGCAAGTTTTAAATGCAGATGAAGTCTAATATATATATATATATTTTTTTTTCTCTCTCTCTCGTGGTTATTGTTTATGACCTATCTTATGAAACCTTTGCCTACCCCTAAGTCATGATGACATTCTCCTGTATCTTTTTCTTTTTTTTTTCTTGAGACAGAGTCTCACTCTGTCACCCATGCTGGAGTGCAATGGCGCTATCTGGGCCACTGCAACCTCTGCCTCCTGGGTTCAAGCGATTCTCCTGCCTCAGCCTCCCTAATAGCTGGGATTACAGGTGCCTGTCACCACACCTGGTTGATTTTTGTATTTTTAGTAGAGACGGGGTTTCACCATGTTGATCAGGTTGATCTCGAACTTCTAACCTCAGGTGATCCACCCGCCTTGGCCTCCCAAAGTCCTGGGATTACAGGCATGAACCACCGCGTATGGCCAATTAGCTGGCTTTTCTCTTACTCCCTAGCAGTGAGCAGCTGAACTTGACAGAGTAGAAGGGAGGAGCTCCCTGTCCCCTGCAGACATGCGCCAGCAGGGAGAGAATAAGCCACGGGGGCTGACAAGGGAAGCATCAGGAAGTGCAAGAGAAGAGCAGGCAGGGGAGCAAGATGCAAACCATTACGTCCAAGAAGTCTCAAAACAAGCCTCACACCTTCCCCCTTCACCAACATGGCAAAACCCTAGAAAAGGCAAATATTAAGTTATTCCAGAAAAGCACAAACCTGATGTGTCCACCAAAAATGCCGGTGATTGGAGTCTGAACAAAATCCGCCTGGCGGGTGACGGAAGTCTTGTTCCGGGGGCCCACTTGTTCCCATTCATCCTCGCTTCCTTCACCTTGTTCTTCCTGCTCTTCTTCATTGACCGAGTGGTTTTTGGGGCCGTTGGAAATCGTAAGTTCTGAAAAGGAGAGCATCTGCTTACACTACTATTTACGACAAGAACAGCAAAAAAAAAAAAGGCACAGATCTGTCGATTGCAGTTTTAAAAATGAAATCAGGGTGTGGTCTACATTAGGAGCCACGGCAACCAATCGCAACAGGAGCAACGTCACTGGATCCACGGCCAATCGCAACAGGCACAATGTCACTGGATCCACGGCAACCAATCGCAACAGGTGCAACGTCACTGGATCCATGGCAACCAATCCCAACAGGCACAACGTCACTGGATCCACGGCAACCAATCGCAACAGGTGCAACGTCACTGGATCCACGGCAACCAATCACAACAGGCGCAATGCCACTGGATCCACTGCAACCCATTGCAATGCCACTTGATCCACGGCAACCAATCGCAACAGGTGCACCACCACTGGATCCTTGTTTACATAAACTCCTAGAAATGACATCCCTGGGACAACTGGCGAAATTTGAAGATGCTCTGCAAAGTCGGTATTACCGTGTCATTACAGTTGTTTTTCTCAGTTAGATAAGGGACTGTGGTTACGCAGGAGATGCTTTAGCACCTGAGATGAACTAAACTGTTAGCTGCAACTTAACTTTGAATCATTCAGGGAAAATGTATGCGTATGTATGTATATATGGATGGACAGATAAGACATATATATATATACACAGTGTGTGTATAGCATCAGAAAATATGTTTAAAACTGTACACTCGGCAATTATAAAGGTATTCATCAAACGATTCTTTCAGCTTTTTTATAGGCTTGATCATTTTCCTAATTAAAAGTTAAAGGAAAATGGCAGAGGTTCGGGATAAACTGTAATTTACCTAAATATAACCTTCTCGATGGTGTAAGTTATCGTAGGGAATAAATGCTATTTGAAAGGAAAACGACTGAGGGGCAGGGAAGCAACATAACATATGAGTATGCAACACCTGTTTACAGCGAACTCTTGCACAACTCTGCGGCAAGTGGACCATAACCTACTTTCATTACTTGGTGAGAGAAGCTTCTTTAGGTTCAACATTTCCTCATGAAGTCCATTTAGAATGAAGCCTAAGTATTCCTCAGCATCTTCTTGTCGACCCTGAAAAGGTCAAATATAATCACGTTACTGTGAACTGATCACTGTCAAAGGCCTGCAGGACATGCAGTACTTGCAAAGTCCAACCATGCCTCCTCTGAAATGGAAGATGTAAAGTATTTCCAAACAATGACATGATGACATGGGTTTCCCTTGCATAGCTGAAATCCCAAGAGTAGGAGGAAAAGGAGAAACTGACTAAACACATATCTCTAAATGGGTGGACTAATGGGGATTTTTATTATTTATACTTTCTGTATTTTTGAAATTTTCTTCAATAAATATACTTTTTTTTTTTTTTGAGACAAAGTCTCATTCCGTCACCCAGGCTGGAGTGCAGTGGTGCAATCTCAGCTCAGTGCAACCTCCAGCTCCCGGGTTCAAGCGATTCTCCTGCCTCAGCCTCCCGAGTAGCTGGGACTCCAGGTGTGTGCCACCATGCCTGGCTAATCTTTGTATTTTTAGTAGAGACGGGGTTTCACCATGTCGGCCAGGCTGGTCTCAAACTCCTGACCTCAGGTGACCTGCCTGCCTTGGCTTCCCAAAGTGCTGGGATTACAGGCATGAGCCACCACACCTGGCCACATTACCTTTATCACAAAAAAGTTATTTAAAAAAAAGTTTCTGTCTTGGGTAAACAAAATAGAAGACGAAGAACTAGATGTCTAGGGCCAGTTCACTGTTCAACTGCAAGGGTCACCACTCGAGCAATGAGCTAAGCAGCCCTATGTCTGCTTCTGTCTGTCTTTGATGATGGACAACTACATGGGAAAGAACTCAAACTACATGTGGAAAAACTCCACTGATTTAGAGCGTTAGCTGTGTTACACATACATCAGCAAAATCATTCACAGACGAGTCACCCAAGAGTTTAATAATCCCACATCACGAGTGTTTGATTCTGTTACTTATCATCAGTTCATATTTCATTCTTCACAGCACAACTGCCTATTCCAAGGCCCTGCAAATTGTTCTGTTTGAAGCATCTAGGTAAACTGCAAAGTTTACTTGCCCTCTCCAGATAGTAGACGTGGACAGCAGCTGTTCACGTGAGTGCATGCTCTGCACGTGTGCAGAAAAGGGCAAAAACTGGCACAGCCAAAGTGTGCTGAAGACTTTTCATAGCAGGCCTGGGTGGCTCTCCTTGGAAAGGCCTGCTTGCAAGGTTGCCCCTTGGCTGGTGTCTGGGAATTTGGATTTCAGAAAGGTTCCCATCGGTCCAATAACTGATACGGGATTCTGCCTAAACCGTTTGCGCAAGCAATGTGCTTTCTGCTGAACACTTTGCTTTTGTTTTGGGAGTTTGGACTTTTGGTTCAAGCCAGGCAGATGGTACCTATGGGACCAGCCCTCAGTAAAAACTCTGGACACGGAGTCTGTAATGACCTTCCCTGGTTGGCAGCATTTCACGTGTGGTCACAGTCTGGTGCTGGAGTAGTTACGCGTAGCCTTGTGGCCCCACTGGGAGAGGAGTCTGGAAGTTTCCTTTAGGCCCTGCCTCACCTGTCCTTTCCCTTCCTGACTCTGCTCCGCATGCTTTTGCTGTCAGCAACCATAGCCACGGGTATACCAGCTTCTGCATTTTCTGAGTTCTTCCAGTGAATCACCCAACCTCAGGGTGGTCTTGGGGAGCCCAACACATCCCCTATTAATGTAACCTTTAGAAGATGCTTTTGTTCATAGCATTATCTCTGTGCACGATCCAAGAGGGGTTCCTGAGCACCCACTTTATTTTGCCTCCACCTGTGCTAGGTGGGCCCCTCTGGGTTCTAAGGCATCTCTGTATCTTTGTGCTTCTCTTGTTGACTATTCATTAACTCATTCCCTCACTGAGGGCAGAGGGCGCACTTCATTCCATTTCTGCATCCCTAACACCATGTTCCCATTACTTGGGAAGTGCAAATTCCAAGCCAATACCAAAAGCTGCATTATAAGCATTTAAAAAGCTTAAGACCCTATGCTACCCCTGGTGGTATCCTGCAACGATGCCCTCGACATTCACTCTTCTTCAAAGCAATGAAGCTTCAAGTAAACTTGACTTAAATGGCATTTTCTCAACTATTTTTCTCTCTGAATACATTTCCCTAAGCATCATTTCAACTGCTTGTACTGATTCATCACAAACTCAATCTGGGAGGAAAGAAATGCTCCAGTTAACGGTGCTAAGGGCGGCCCAAGTCACTCTCAACAGCCCCAGGGCCTTTTATAAGGGCTCCCTGGCCCCTTGGTCTCATGCCTTTAGTAACAAAGTATGTGATTAAAAAAAAATTAGGTAAAGGAATCAAGTACATCAAATAGCTACTAAAGCCTGTAAGTATGATGAAGACATAAGCTCTTCTGAATACTGCCATCATTCCAGGCCCAGTGCACTCCATTCTACCCCAGTGGCATATAGTGCAGTGGTTAAGAGAACTGACTTGAAAGCTGGGTTCTGCCATGTACATTAGCTACCTGACCTCAGACAGTGGCTTCACTTCTCTTAACCGTAACAAGGAGACCATAATCATACTTTATTCAGAGTCAACTAAGTTAATATATGTAAAGTACTGAGAGCAGTGCTTGGTGCACCATATCATCCAAGCAATGGACTCTTATAAACCTACATCTACTTATAGCGCTGGAGACAGAGGGCAAATATCAATAAGCAACAGTTACCACACAAACACTGGAACAAAAGGCAACACTTGATACTAGTGACAACAGAGAAGTCTCAAACCTTTTCAGACAGGCTTGACTTGTTAACTGTCAGGAGTCTGTAAATATATGTGGGCTCAAAGGCAGCTCCAGGGCGAATATCCCTCACGATTTTATCTCCAAGAGCTGCAATGGAAAGAGGACACAGGTTTTCCTAACTACAATGAACTCATAAATGATGAAAAAAGCAACATCATCAAAACTCCCCCACCTCCCACCTGGCTGAATGTTGAGAATGGCATAGGTGTAAAGACACTATCTTCCCAACAAGACTGAATTTACCAAATTTAAGTCATCTGTCTCCATAACTCCCAATATGTAATAGCATCAACAAAACTCATTTTTACTAACCTTGTCGGGGTTTTGGAGGTACTGGCATATTAGTGAACTCATTCATTAGCCGAACACTAAACATGGGGAAAAAATGTTAAATAGTGCAGTTTTAAACAATATATACTTTTACTAAAGAGCTTTGATGGCTAAGTAGAATATCAGCTATACGAGTATAGTAGATTTTAGGTAACCAATGCTGTAACAGCTAGTGAACTCAAGTCTCTTCTATATGCATTTTTGGTCTATTTCAAGTGATATATGCTGGTAAACGCTAAAATATTTTCTACTGAATCTAAAGAACACAGATCATCAATGCTCCAATTCCATTTCTGGTTAACTTCCATATAAAATCGCCAACAGTCTATTTTTAAAAAAAGACAGAATTATAGGACTCATTTGCAGGAAATCAAGAGCTTTACTAAACTATTTCAATTCTAATTATCAGACGGGAAAAACCCCACCACTTAACACATCTTTCACCACCTTACTTACAAGCTGTCTATCATGGGTGTTGACGTACAAGGCCTTTGCACTTTGGAATACAGAGGAATGAACTTCATCAGGTGGTACATCGGCGGGCAAGCAACCAATGCCTGCAGTGTCTATGTAGTGGCAGTAAGGAAGCGTAAAGGAAATGAACAGACACACCACATTTCCTGAAGGCACATGAAGCACAAGAATGTTTATAAAAACACAAGGAAGCTAAGGACGTTGAACTACTTAGATATGTCACCACGAAAAGGAATAAACCAAATAGTTACTAGGGTAAGTGTCCTGTGATGTCCATATAAGGATCTACGAAGCAGTCAGTCGTTTGTATTCAAGAACTTGACCTAACCAAGACAGTTCAATCAGTTAAAACCAAATTTCCAGTTGTAAGTGGTTGCTCTGCCCTATTATTTGTGACTATTCTAATGAGAGCCAGCTTGTCTGCAGCCCTCATTCACGTGCCAACATATCCTCTCTTTTAGAGGGAGATGGACTGGGGTCAGGAATAATCCTGTTTATAAGCAAGGTAGGCAGACCAAGTAATAAACCAGACTTAGGGATTCAAATGGAGAGCTAGATGGCCCACGGAAGCTGAGCTAAGTCACATGCACCCAAAGGAGGGACAGCTGCAACAAGCTGGCCTTGCGGACGGCGTCCAGGAAGGATACAGCATTAATGTAGCACCAGTTCCCTTTATTGATCAGCCCACGGGGTTGCAACGACACTGGTTTATGGATTAGGGTTACATTCTCCAGCAACTCTGAAAGAGTGAAGAAGCATATTTCAGAAATTGATGACATCTAGTGAAGAACATTCAAATCATTTCACATGCTCTACTCTGGGACAGCATTTAAAATCCCTTCAGTAAAACACACAGCCAAAGAAAATGCATACTGTTAAGGCTTCATTCAGTTCAACATCAAGTACATTATTCAATTAGAACATTTTTGAAACTAATCTTTTCCCTCAAATAGCAACATTTAATCTTCCTGGGGGGAACAGAATTAGGGAACACAAGAACTACCTATTTTAATGAGAAACAAAAAAATGTTAACACAGTATCATTATTAGAGAATAGATTTGAGAGATACAGCCTTTCTTCCTTAAACACCATTAGCCAGGTGTGTCTCATCAGCAGCAAGGCGCCTCAGACACTAGATAGAAAGATATCTTGCAGAACCCACGTCTCATTCCTCTCTGCATCCCCAGCATCTAATGCTGACCCTACACATCACTGTGTGTGTTCAATGGCTGTTCAGTGAGTAAAAATACTCCTTTCAGAGACAGCGGTCTCCTACAAATTAAACCGTCCACTAGAAATCCAATTTAGCAACTGTTTTATAAACTGTAATTCCCTTATTCCATTTACAAACACGCTGCTCAGCCTCAGGTTCACCCTGAGTGGACATCACTCTTTCTGTGTATTAAAACAGCTGTGAATGCCATCTTTATAGAATTAACCATCAGAAATGCTTGAAAACAAGACAAGGTCTCCCCCTGTCCCACTATGAATCTTCTAATGGTGATGGCTACAATTTATAAACCCTTCTACACTTAGCACGTTCTTTACAATTGACAAATGTTAATTGGCTGGACTTAATCCTTAGTAATCTAGGAGTACCACCACTTTGACCCTTTCACCAATAAGGAAAATGAGGCTCCCAAAGACTGACTAACTCACCTGTGATCACACAGGAGCCAGGTAGCATAGCCAGGGCCTCAACTCCATAATCTGCAGCCAATCCACACTGTCTCCTTTACTTTTAAATTGTATACTAATCATATAACCCACAAATAGATACACCTACTATGTACCAACAAAAATCAAAAATTCATTTAAAAATAAAGTATAATAAATAAACAAATTGTATATAGGAAAGAAAAACCAAAATGGCATACATACATTTGATAGTAGCATCCATCTAAGGCATCGCTCAAAAATAAGCTTTTCTTTTCTAAACTACATTGTACTGGCAGATCCCAGACTTCGGCACTAATCAAATGAAAAAATTAATTTACAAAATTCAAAACACACACACACACACACACACACACACACACACACACACACACCCCCACCCCTCTCATTCCCTCCTTCCTATGAATAAATGTCCTCTTCCTTCTAACTGAAGAAGCGTAGGGAATAATTTCTGCTAGCTCTTCTTCTGTAGAAAGTAAAATATTACAGATTCTGTGGAATCTGTTTAATTAGACTAAGTTTGCAAAGCTCCTCTCTCTCTTAATATGGAATACCGAACTGGGCCTTGAAATAAATGAATAATGGATCAGTTACGAACTGAACCCCAAGCCTGCATGTGATGACACCCAGCAGAGATAGCACCTGTCATGTGAGGGACACTGTGCTAGAAGCTTTGTGTATATTATTCATAATTATCATAACCCTACTGTCAGAGATAGTTACCAACCCCATTTTACAGATGAGAAAACTGAGGTCACATAACAGCTGAAATGACCTGTGAACCTGGGTCCACCTGACTCAAGAGGTTGAGCCCTTTCCTCAATATATAAGGGGCTTCACTTAAAAATCCCTTTTATTCCAAGGTTTCAGATACTTACTTTTCCCCACAGGCTTAAAGTCTATTGACAGTGGATTTTTACATTTGTCTTTAAACCATATCATCACAACAGTCTATCATTTCTAGTGTGTGCCACAGAACAGCAACTAATGTCATTGCAGTGTTAAAAAGGTGCATTTTCAAATAACCATCAATGACGTAAAGGCATAGTGTCTCAAATGAAAACTCCAGCATGATTCCAACAAGGCTTTGCCATAGTATTTTTATATCAAATGACTTTTTTTTTTAAACCTAACCTTAAGACTCAAAGCCTGCTATCTTTCTAACATAGAAACCTTTGTTTTTTTGAGACAAGTCTTGCTCTGTCACCCAGGCTGGAGTGCAGTGGTGCAATCTTGGCTCACTGCAACCTCTGTGTCCTGGGTTCAAGTGATTTTCCTGCCTCAGCCTCCCATGTAGCTGGGATTACAGACGTGCACCACCACGCCCGGCTAATTTTTGTATTTTTAGGAGAGACAGGATTTCACCATGTTGGCCAGGCTGGTCTTGAACTCCTGAGTTCAAGTGATCCACCTGCCTTGGTCTCCCAAAGTGCTTGGATTACAGGCATGAGCCATGGTGTGTGGCTGAAACCTTTGTTAAATAACATGCTGCCTTTCGCTGAAGGCGAGTAAACCCCTGCTGAGCCCTGCCTAGGCACCGGGTAAGGAAGGCACAGAGATGAATGCAAGGTGGTCCTGCCCTAGGCAAGCTCGCAGACCAGTGAAGGGACGAACTGTGATGTCCCTGGCTCCAAACACACACTGTACAGGCTAAGCTGAAGGGGTGTTGGGAGATGGGGGGCGGGGGGTGGGGAAGGATGCTTAGCCCAATCCAAGGGCTGCAGAAACTCTGGGAAGGTCAGGGGTTGAAGCCACCAAATGGAAGCTGAGGAAGAACAGATATACTAGAAGGTTCTCACTGACTGGGGCAGCAGTGCTATCCAACTAGAGGAGGAATACAACAGATGAGCAGGTTATTTTTTGTTTAGTGTGGTAATGAGCTCAGTTTTAGAGATGTTAGTAAAAGATACCCAGATGACACCAGTAAATCGTATATGTATATTAAAAGACCAGCAAGTGACTGATTTTTTTTTTTTTTTTTGAGACAGTCTCACTCTGCCGCCCAGGCTGGAATGCAGTGGCACCATCCTAGCTCACTCCAACCTCCGCCTCTGGGTCTCAAGCAATTCTTGTGCCTCAGCCTCCCGAGTAGCTGGGACTACAGATGTGTGCCACCATACCCAATCATAATTATTATTTTAAAGACAGGATCTTGCTCTATTACCCAGGCTGGAGTGCAGTGGCGTGATTATGCCTCACTGCAGCCTCGACCTCCTGGGTTCAACAGATTGATAATCACACAAACATACGCACAGGTCCCCAGAGTGCAGGGCTGGAAGGGTAGAGAAGTGAGAAGCACGCAGGGGCAGCGTGTAGGAGTGGGGGCAGCGTGTAGGAGTGAAGACAGCAAGTGCAGGCTGCTCAGCCAGAAGCCGGGCTGAGGAAGGAGACAGGATCATGGGTGCAAGGAGCTAGGGATCCAGGAAGATGCAGCGAAGTTTCTGGGTGGGAGAAGGAGTGAAACAGCAACTTCAGTTTTCTTGACGATACGGAAGGAAAGGTCTTCTAGGGCAGAGTTAGGGCGAAGATGCCAGAGGTGGGTGAGACGGGGCTTGAACATGTTCATTCCTGTTTAGCACTGATACTGGAAGGAAATGAAAGCAGCCACCAGGGCCAGGCATACAAGATCTGCCTGAAACTTCCCTTCGTTGTTGACCCGTTCGAACAGACTCAAAAACACGCTTTATGACGAGGCTAACTCCACTCTTAAAAGGAAAGCATTGCACAGCCATCAAGAACTGGCTGCACTAAGCTCTGTCTGAAAACACAGCTCCTTTTTTTTTTTTTCTGGGACAAAGTCTAGAGACAGGGTTTTGCCACATTGGCCAGGCTGGTCTCGAACTCCTGGCCTCAAGCAATCCGCCTGCCTTGGATTCCCAAAGTGCTGGGATTACAGGTGTGAGCCACTGTGCCTGGCCTCCTTTCATGTTCTTAACTGAGTTAGGGGCCCAGAATAATCTGCATGGCCTGGAGGCTTGACCATTCAATCTCTATGCAATCAAAGGATACATAAATCAACTATAAACCGACTTTTTTCCCAGCATTTATTTGTGAGACAGCATGAACTAGTCAGACAGAAACCTTTAGTTTCTACATCAGCCATTCCCTTAAATCGATACCAGCTTCCAGTTTGCTTATTTTGAGGCGCAGGCAGGTTAAAAAGCAGTTTCAGTTTTTCTTGCACAGTATTAAAATCAAGTCTTCTAGCACCACCCAGTGGTTTGTTCAATAACTGCAAGGAACCTACAAAAGCGAACGAGCACAACCTCTGCAACAGCAGAACATACGTACGGGCCCTTGGGACGTGTACTAGGAAATGTACTCCACCAAGCTTTCCTTCAAGCCTTTGACAGTCTTTGAAAGGCCATTCTGGTACGACGTCGTTAAACGCAGAATAAACCTTTTCAGACTTGGAAAATACAGAAGAGACACGAACAACCTAGATTTTTCTTAATGATTATTCTGTTACTGTAGAAAAATTTTATCTAGTGGCAAGTCTTTCATAAACTAAAATACCGTATCATTCTGTTATTAATCTCTTATAATGATCCTAAATCCTAATCTCAGAGTAAGACCGACAGAAGGCACTCAAGATTCTCCACACTGTCTCCACAGTAGCTGACCTCATCACTGCCTACCTGATATTAGTGCTGTGTGCCTCCTTCTCTGGACAGGAGGCTCCTTAAAGACAAGACTCTCACACTTCAACTGCTCAACAAAGTCCGCACCATCTAAGGTAACAGGACTTGGTGGCCTTTTGTGTCCTCAGCCTGTTACTGCCATCCCTACTAGCTGCATGAGGCCTCCCCTCCTTGCTTTCTCCCCTCAACACCCCTCTGCCAATGATCACTTCTCCCTACAAACAGCTGCCATCTGTTCCTTTCTGATCTTATGCCTTAGACTACCCTGAAGGCAAGGCCAATCATTACTCCAACTAGACAGTGCATGGCATACAGTAAGTTCTCATTAGACAGTAATACAGGATCAATTAAACATCTGGAGATTAAAGTTGTTGGTTACGGCAAATGACTCCACTCATATTTGTTAGAAATGACTCAACAGACTTTAAAGGTCATTTAGCTCCTGGTCCAGAAAGTCTAAATGACAGCTCCTGAGAAGACGCACAGTAAAGGGCAAGGGCCCAGGCACACAAACCAGGAAGACGGGGGTTCGCGCCCTGGCTCTGCCACTTCATTCATTGTGCGGCAGATCACTCCGCACCTGGAACAGGTAAGGAGCTGCACCACGCTCAGCTATAGCAAAGATGAGCACGCATGTAAATACATAAGCAGACCACTCCCGGCATGACGGCCAGCTCAATACAGACATCAGAATCCCCCCTAGAAAATAAAGAGCTAATAGAGGTGGAAGGAGAAGGGAAAAGCAAATGAATTTATGTGAGAGTCTGAGAAAACCAACAACTTTCAGCATCCCAAGAGGAAATGTTAGCCCAACTTCCTTAAAATCTTGACAAGTTTTAAACATCTTGACATATTAAAGATATATTAATAAAGTTCTATTTCAGGCAACACTTTGGGAGGCTATGGCAGGAAGATCACTTGAGTCCAGGAGTTCCAAGATCAGCCTGGGCCACACAGTGAGACTCTGTTGCTATGAAAAATAAAAAATAAAAAATAAAAAAATTAGCTGTACATGGTGGTGCCTGCCTATAGTCCCAACTACTCAGGAAGCTGGGGCAGGAAGACCACCTGCGCCTGAGAGATCAAGGCTGCAGTGAGCTATGATCATGCCACAGCACTCCAGCCTGAATGAATGAGCAAGACCCTGTTTCTTAAGAAAAAAAAAATACGTTTTTAAAAAATAAAGCTCCATTTTAAGAGGAATGATTGTAAGAAATGAAGATTAAATACTTATTGTCAAAGATTTTCTCTTAAGATCCAAACACTCAAGAAACATTTAAGGTCCACTTTTGTAACATCTCACACGTACACTAAGCCTTCCATCCTGACTCATTTCGATAACCATCAACTGGAGGAGACACTAACGCTTTATGAAGTTCGTGAGCTCCTCTTCTTCCTCGCAGTGAAAAAAACAGGGGTGCAAAAGCAGTTCTAATTCCTCCTAAGACCAGACCGAATTATGTTCAAGTGAATGAATCCTATTGTTATCATGCAAAAGTCAGGTCTTACGGACAAGCCAGAACTAATACCACTTCCAAATTTCTAATATCACTCTTCGCTCTATTTAAATTCCTCTTTCAACATCAACATTTTCATTTACAATGTTATTCCTAGCCTAAAGTCCAATACGCATTCCAATTATGGAGGCTAAAAGAATAAAAATGAGGAAGGCGGGCCACCAAGGATAGAGGGCAGGCAACTTCTAGGTTGAAACTTGACCTGCATTCCAAAGTCATTGCCATTGGTGTATCTATTTTACCTTCTTTAAGGGCATATAATAGAAGTTGGCTCTAATAACAAACTTTCCCCAGAAGCCTTCTTTTCAATTCATCATGGTTGGTATAATTTACTACTTAACTGTTCAGACAGCAACTTTAGGAAGATGGCCTCCCCCAGTCCATCTTTGTCACAGGAGTTGGTGGGGCTGCCTAGAACAATGTGTGAGAAAAGGCACAAAATGCCAGAATGACTCATAAAAGACACAAAATTGAAACCTGTAGTTCACTTTTGTAATAACTCACATGAAAAGGCTGAACTGAAATTTCACTCTTATGAAATCTGCTGACATACAGAAAAATGGAGTTGCTTAATAGCCTTTTTTCAAATTTTAAGACATACATGCTAGATGGTAGCTCACAAGGGCTGCCACAAATCAGCCCACTGAAATTGTTTATCAACTCAAAGGCAATACCAGCATCGTAAACTTTTATGTCATCATAAGCTATGATTATTCTTACACATATTTTACACATCAAATTCTGTTTTCCTAAAATTAGGACTTAGGGGTCATATTAACATTGAAAATCCCTGAAAATGCAAGGTACAGAACTCTGATTCTTAGGGCTCAATAACTGGCCCGTAATCGACATTCTGGTGTTGTTGACCTGCTTTTCTGTCATCATTCTAACTGTCCAGAACATTCTCCAAGTGCTTTTCTTTTCCTCATTACCATCAATTTGGAAGAACACACACTATCTTGGTTATCTAACCAGGTGGAGGACAGCAAAGTGACCAAAATGTACCACTACCCATTGACTACAGATCAACTTATGTTTCTGAAGTGGAAAGATGTATAATAAATGTGAGGCTACAAACATCGAATCAGATGTGGACTAAACTCTCAGTCCACAAGGGTGGATCCCGGTAAACAGGTGCCACGCCTTTTTAACTTAGATCACGCCGCATGACCACTGCCTGTGTACTTCAGAGTTTGAAGAGGAAGTGCAAAATATCTGAGAAACCATTTCCCCCAAGGAGCGGGGGGAAATATATGCATGATTTATAAACTGCCAAAATAAAGATCAGTTTTAGGATACACAGCCATGCTTAATGATGGGGATATGTTCTGAGAAATGTGGCATTAGGCAATTTTGTCATTGTGGGATCACATGCCTAGATGGTATAGCCAACTACACACCTGGGCCATATGCTAGAGCCTATTGCTCCTAAGCTACAAACCCGTACAGCATGTTGTGTACTGAATACCGTAGGCAACTGTAACACAACTCACTGGTCACTAGAAATTGTTTAGCTCCATTATAATCTTATGGGACCACTGTCGTACATGCGGTCTGTTGTTGACTGAAACATCATTAAAGCAGCACATAACTGTATGTTCATTTACACTTAAATAAACACGGACAGGGTAATTCATTAGAGAAGACCCAAATTGTAATAACTTTGTTTCTTGATCCAATGCCTTTTAGGTATAAAACCACTGTGAAAAATCATATAAACAGGTTTTGACTAACAATTCATAATAAATGACATTGCTAGATACCTCAACGCAATGTTTTCAGAGCTGTTCAAGAGCTCAGTTTTCCTAGTTCTCTCTCACTGGAATTTTAACTTATCGGGCAGTTGGCCACTCTTCTTACCCAGCATTATTTATATTCTGTTAAAACAAAATATACTGTTGCATAATTTTGAAAGCAAAACATCAAATACAAAATGGCTCTATTTGTGATGTGAAAGCATCTGATACAATTTCGTCTAGTATATGAGGAATGTTCCTTAGTAAAGACCCAGGAAAAGTACAATGTTCAATGAAAGCATACGTTCAATTTCAAACGTCACATGTTCGTCAACTCCAAAGTATCTGTGCTAATGAGGGAAGCAGCAGCAAAGGCACTCCCCACGTGTCTGCCATACTCACTCTTAACAAGGGTGTCGCGTTTTGCAACTACTTTCAAACACAAGCTATTAAGTTTTGGGTTTTTTTTTTTTTTTTTGAGACAGTCTCACTCTGTGGCCCAGGCTGGAGTGCAGTGGCACGATCTGGGCTCACTGAACCTCCACCTCCCCGGTTCAAGCTATTCTCCTGACACAGCCTCCTCAGTAGCTAGGATTACAGCCATGAGCCACCACGTCCATCTAATTTTTTTATTTTTAGTAAAGATGGGATTTCCCTATGTTGGCCAGGCTGGTCTTGAACTCCTGGCCTCAAGGGATCCACCCACCTCAACCTCCGAAAGTGCTGGGATTACAGGCGTGAGCCACTGTGCCGGGCTGTATTAAGTTTCCTTTTGTTGACTCCTACTGATAAATGGCAACCATCTCCTCTCAGACCAGTCACTGAAACACAGATCCCTCTCCAACCCTCGGCAAGACAGGGCTTTTGTGTTTAGATACATCCTTCCCTTGGGGCTAAAGGAAATCACTGAGTATTCAGTTCACACGCTCTCCCCTGGCGTGTCCTTCTCCTTTCAAATAACAGTTCACACTTGAAAAACAGCCAATGGAACAAAATGTTGACACATAACCTACACCGAGGAGATGGCCTTGCCACCAAGAAGGTCCAAGTAGAACCCGTTAAAGTGGATAGTTTAAGAGTAATCAAGAGTTTAATGTATTTCACTTCAAAATCCCTTATACGTGATTCTTTTAGTCCATCTGCCTTCTTAATTTCACTTCTGATGGCATAAAAACTAGCTGGCATTTATTAAGCAGACTTAACAATAGGGGAAATAGTCCAGAAATGTGAGTATTTGAAACAAACTTGAGATAAAAAATACACAAATTATTCCAAGCATTTTGTGTGTGTATAATTTTTTTTTTTTTTAAAGATGGGGTCTCAGTATGTTGCCCAGGCTGGCCTCGAACTCCCGGGCTCAAGTTATCGAGCCTCAAGCCTCAATCTCCACACTATCATGCCTGGCAGAAAGGAATACATTTAATGTCTAAATCATTCCCTACTCCCTCTTTCCCAAAAGTTAATAACACAAATACCACTGTCTCAGTAGAAACAGTTAGATACTAATGCAAGTCAAACTCTATTATAACCCACATCAACAGATCTTTTAATGAAACTAGACTTTCACTCAGTTAAACGCTGCTTAAAATAAGTGGGCCTACACTTAAAAGTGTGCCCACTAAAGGGAATTTGTGGTAGTGGATCTGACTTGTAACAAACTGAGTATGTTTTACCACTTTTATAAAGTAAATCCCTAAGTAGGAGAATAAAACAACAAAAAAAATTTCAAACAATGCCATTCTCCCTAAGCCCTATATGATCCCAAGGGTTATTCAATGTGACTCTATTGCTCTACTATCTCACGAGACTCCTGAAACTGTCAACAACTACGTTCTGTCTATCGAAGCCTCAACAAACAGGCTGAAAAGAATTATATATTTTTAAAGAAACTACACTTTTGCTCAGAAAATTAAAACATCTTCATAACTGACCTAACCAAATAGGATTAAAAAAATAATCTGTTTGGTAGGGGTTTACAATATGTCCACACAAAAATAATTACGTGGACTGTGTGTGGCAAGGCTTTCCTCTACTACCAGTCATTAAGAGGCCCTTACTTTCAGTGTTTGACAAAGCTACTTCAATTAGACTTTAACATATACAGAACATAACAAACTATTTATCAAACTATATTTAAAGTCATATGACTAAGTAGAATGTTCTAAAACATTTTAAATGAAGCTTTTCTTGGTTATTTTAAATAAAGATAGAGAAAATCTCCCTAAGATGGGAGGTTTTCCTTTGTGGAGCAATTTTAGAAACGAAACTATAATATTCTCAGCTGGGCGCGGTGGCTCACGCCTGTAATCTCAGCACTTTGAGAGGCTGAGGCAGGAGGATCACTTGAGGTCAGGAGCTCAAGACCAGCCTGGCCAACATGGTGAAACTCGGTCTCTACTAAAAATACAAAAATTAGCCTGGCGTGGTGCCAGGCACCTGTAGTCCCAGCTACTAGGGAGGCTGAGGCAGGAGAATTGCCTGAACCCAGGAGGAGAAGGTTGCAGTGAGCCGAGATTGCGCCACTGCATTCCGGCCTGGGCGACAGAGTGAGACCCCCTCTCAAAAATAAAGAAAAGAAAATAAAATTCTCATGACTTCGAACTTAGAATGCACATTTTTAACAGGACCCCACCATGCATTTCTCATTATAGGTTAAAAATAAACTTTTAACTTAGTAATCTATATAAAGGCTTACACAATCTATCTTTTTTTTTTTTTTTTTTTTTTTTGAGATGGAGTCTGGCTCTGTCGCCCAGGCTGGAGTGCACTGGCGCCATCTCGGCTCACTGCAAGCTCCGCCTCCCAGGTTCACGCCATTCTCCTGTCTCAGCCTCCTGAGTAGCTGGGACTACAGGCGCCCGCCACCACGCCTGGCTGATTTTTAGGTTTTTTTTAGTAGAGACGGGGTTTCACCGTGTTAGCCAGGATGGTCTCGATCTCCTGACCTTGTCATCCACCTACAGTATCAGTCCTTGCAATAAATACATTCTGAAAGCTGTATTCAAGAAATCGCCTGGCCTGAGTGCGGTGGCCCACACCTGGAATCCCAACACTTTGGGAGGCTGAAGCGAGCAGATCACTTGAGGTCAGGAGTTTGAGGCCAGCCTGGGCAGCATGGTGAAACCCCATTTCTACTAAAAATACAAAAAAAGATAGCCAGACATTGTGGCATGTGCCTGTAATCCCAGCTACTTGGGAGGCCGAGGCAGGAGAATCACTTGAACCCAGGAGGCGGAGGTTGTAGTGAGCCAAGATCGTGCCTCCTGCACTACAGCCTGAGCAACAGAGTGAGACTGCATCTCAAAAAAAAAAAAAAAAAAAAAAAAAATCACCTGGCTTTAAAAAATATATATGAAGCCCAAAATAACGACGTCTGGCCTATCATTTGCTCATTTAAGAGAACTTCAGAACAACAAGAGTACCTGAGATAATGTATTTTGTATAAGGAATAAAATACTCTTAAAAATATATATACATTGCTTGCTATCACCCTATTGCCACCCAAAGAATGTGTTTTATTTTTTACACAATTCTGACCATCCATCGAAGGGTGTGCATTTGGCAGCTTGCTGCTACATCCTGGTAATGAAGGGTGTCAGGTGTTCCAAAAGGTCACATCAGAAAGTATTACAGAAAGCCTAAACCAAACAGCTTATTTTAACTTGGCTACTAGGGTGACAATCTGAAGATCTGGTCACCAGGCTTGGTGGAATCCAACCTGATGACACAGCTTCTGCTTCTTAGGTACGTACAGTCACGCGCGGCGTAACATTTCGGTCAACAATGAGCCGCACGTATGATGGTCCCACAAGATTCTAGTGGAACTGAAACGTCCTGCCGCCTAGTGGCGTCTTGATGCTCCTGACCCTGTGCAGGCCCAGGCTAATGTTTGTGTCTTACTTTTTAAGTTTAAAAAGTTAAAAACAATTTTTAATATGAAAAAGCTTATAGGAAAGTAAGAATAAAAAGGAAGAAAATATTTTTGTATAGCTGTAGTGTGTGTTTTAAGCTAAATGTTCTCATGAAAGAGTCAAAAAGTTTAGAATTTTTAATTTAAAAGTAAAATAAAACGTAAAAAAGTTACAGTAGGTTAAGGTTAATTTCTTATTGAGGAAAAATTTGTAAATCAACGTAGTACAGCCTAAGTGTTGACTGTTTATAAAACTCGGCTTTGCTCAGTACTGTCCTGGGCCTTCACATTCACTCAGCACTCATCACTGACCCATCCAGAGCCACTCCAGTCTTGCAAGCTCCATTCACGGTGAGTGCTCTATACAGGTGAAGCACTTTTCATCCTTTATACCATATCTGTACTATATTTTTTCTATGTCTAAATGTGTTCAGGCACACAAATACTTAGCACTGTGTTACAACTGCCTACAGTATTCAGTAGTAACACGCTGGACAGGTTTGCAGCCCGGGAGTAATAGGCTGCACCACCAGCCTAAGGCTCTACCACCTGTATTTGTGTAGTACTCTCTGATGTTAACACGCACATCTCGGAACACATATCCATCTTAGTTAAGCAACACGTGGCTATGTGAGGACACATACCTCTTTCATACCCTGCTGCATTTCTGACTTCCTACTGTAACTTTTTAAAAACAATCTGTGAATTATGCAGCTTTCTATTTTTATTGTGAATTGTTTCTACTTTGGAGCCTTAGCACTCTAAAATAAAACATTAACTTTGGGCTGAACCCTTAACATTTTTTTTCTCTTCAAGAGCTGACCTTGGTGTATCAAAATTCTGAATAAAATCCATTTACTCAATCCAAAAAAAAAAAACCATGTTATTTCACAAAATGATTTCTTGTATCTTAAGAAATATAAAAAAGGAGCACACAGTGAGTACAAATCAGGATTATCATACCAAAGGTATATCACAGAAAAAGTCCATTATACATTCATACCGTGGAGCAGAATTACTTGAACAAAAGGCAAGAAATGGAAATGTAACTTGTCAACAGAAAAGAACTGCTAACAGACATGGATCTTTCACTTAACATAAAGTTACGACAACCCTCTCCTCCCATTTGTTTCTATATTATCTTACTTTTAGAGAACATTTAAGACATAGGCATCCTTCAGACGTTGCTATTAACACACAGGTAATCTGCCATTGTTATGGGTAACACCACAGTCTATAAGCCCAGTTGATGAGGTCTGCTCCCATCTTCACTCTAGATTTGTATCTTTTCAACTATACCTGCAATCTTTATGGCTACAGGATCCTCTGAAACCGGAACAAGCCCTTCTTTGACTTCAACCTGCTTTTCAGAAACCAGGGGAGATATGGCGGGAGGGGAATACTTAGTTTCCACATAGGCCACCGGCGAGGAGGAAGAGGGCTTAGAATCATGAAAGAGGCTGGCCCAGGACTTGGGCTGGCTGACAGGAAGGGTGCCTGATGCAGAGCCCGTGCCGTCAGCAGGAGGTGATGCACTCTCGGGTTTGGTTGGGTCCAAGTCTATGCTTTCCGTGGTGTGCAACTCCACCCCGTTGGTAGCTGTGCCCTCACCCGAGGATTCAAGTATTTGTCCATTAGCAACTCCAAGGTTTTCAGTAGTATCGGTACCAACGCAGGGCTGAGCCCCAGCTGTCCTTGACAGGGTGTCTCTGCCAGCCTCTGCAGGGAAGCAGGACTGACCAAAATCAGCCCCGGGGCCCCCCTCTGGCTGCCCTGCAGTCCTGGTGTCACTGCCGAGTGCTCCGGGGAAAGGACTGTCAGGCACAATGTCACTGACAGAGTCTGTGGAGTTCTGGGGGCTGTTACAAGTCCTGGGCGTAACTGACGGGGGCATGTCACCCATAAATTCTGCATCCTCTGCACTGACACTGTTCGGGACTGCTGAATTGGCATGGCCATTGACCAGGGCTTCTGTGGAGATACTATCATCGCCACCATCTTTCAAATAGCTGTAATATCCAGGTGGCCGCTTTTTCTTCTTTTTACGCTCCCTTTGTCCAAGACCACCTGAGACACCATCATTTTCCAAAACTTCCGCCTCCACATTAGAACTTCCATCCAAAGCGAGGGCAGAGCCTGGGTACTGGCAGTCGATGGAGCCATAGCTTGCTTCTTTAGTGATACCATCAGGGGTTATTTTGGAAGCTGTACAACCGAGAATAAATTCAGGGGCCTGAGGGTTCAGTGTGCTTGAAATACTGTAGCTGGGGGTTCTCGGCAAAGTGTCACTGGGTTCAATGACTTCATCGACACCAAACTCAATTCTCTGATATTCTTGTCCTGTTTAGAAAGAAAACTATTAGTTAAGAACCCAGTTCTACAAACTCTAAGTACCAGTAATTACTCACTTTCTCTTTGAAAATAAAAACCTTAAGTTCTCTTCCTAATCAACAAATCTATTACGTCCTTTACTTACGCTGAACAATTTGCGGAAAATGAAACAACTATAAAATTATTATTTAATTTGGGGATATGAAAAGCAGAAGCCTGTACTTATCTTTCTAGCTAAGGAAGGCTTTCAGAAGGTAGAAATTAAAATAAATTTGTAATAAAAAGCAAGTAATATTTTGCCAATTTTAAAAATACCCCCCAGTGGAATCTGACTTTCTTATAGCTGCCTTATGCCTGAGATAAAGGAATATGTATTTTGGACAACTTAAATTTTAAAAGATCATGACAACTAACTTAGGGACTTAAAACATGGTTAAATCAGCTTCTGTAGTTAACGTGATTTGATTAATTCCAAAAACATGAACTACGCAAAGAATCCTATACATACTGGATAGGAGAAATTAGAAAGTATAAATTTAAAAACAAAAAAAAAAGATGTCAAAAAAAGATTCAACAACAACAACAACAACAACAAAGAATCCTATATATAAAAGCGCACTTCAGAGCACTCTTCTGAATTCTCTATCTCTTGGTCTCCTCCGCTGGTAACCTTCAATTAAGTCTGAAAAATGGCCCTGACATGAACACATGCAAACGTCCTCTAAATAAATTCACACTGGATTAACCCCATGGGTGGTAAAGCCTTCCAAAAATACCAAAAGAAAAAGTTAGAATTGTGAACTTTTAAATATCTCTTGGGAAGCCTTCAATACTTCCTTCCCAGTTAACCACAATCCACATAATTCATTCCTGCTAAGACAGACGTATTTTTATAGTTTACACCTCTGAAATCAGGTTAAGTTTTAGAATCAATTGTGTCTTTCAACAGAAATCAAGCATCAATGTCACCTTATATTTGATAAAAAGTTACACATTTTGAAGTTAAGGGAAGGACACATGCCTTATATTTCATCTTTAATGCATGAAGATTTCTTCCAGGCTAGCATTAAGGGGCCAATTTTTTTTTCAAGGCATCTATCTTAAGAAAAGAAACTAATACCCAAAGAACGGTGTTCTACTGCGGAGAACTGAATATATTTTACCTTGAAAGGACCCCTAGAAATCTTTTTGTAGAAGAAAAAATACAGACGCTGAGAGGGGCCAGTTACGTGCAAGTGAGTGTGCAGGAGGCTGGAGCTACACAGCCTCCCGAGGCCTCCTGAATCTTCGTATGCTTTAGAATCACAGCCCCCGACTGTGGGGGGTGAAGGGTGGTGGCAGCACAATCCTGCCCCAACAAGAGAAAGTTCCTGGAAAAGAACACTGATGACGATTACACCTAACAGCAAGTTTATGCATGAAGTCACGACCATCTAATTCCTTTGGCTACTATTTATTTTTTGTTTCCTTACTTTGAAAAGAATATCAAGGGGAAATGAATTTATTATCATATGTAGGGGCTGGCTGTTCATTTTGGTTCCATACATCCCCTATTCCCTGATGTTCTGGGGCCGTCAAGGCTCCCCAGATTGAAACGGGTGTGCCTGGGGCGGAAGGCTCCATGTGGAGCCTGCCCTTTGAAGGCTGTGAAATCACATTAGAAACTAGAACGTGTTGTGTCATTCAGCTTATGCAAGACTGATTATTTCTAAGACACAGATGTGCTGTACACATCTCAATTCTCAATCTTATCAGAACATAAAACATTCTAGAATGTGATGTAACGTGAACAGAACCATTTCAGTATGTTATAATTAGTATCAAACATTTACTCAATACCATGTTTGATCATCTCACTAGAAGGCAGATTCCTAGCCAGCACAGTTCCTCTTCTTATGGAGGAACACTCACAATGGACGCCATGTGCCTTGCACCGCATGGCAGAGAGCTCAGAGCCCAATGTGCCAGGCAGACGAAGTGCAGGACGGCCTGCACGCTTGGCTTCAACAACCCAATCAATACATTAGGAAGATGGAAACTCAATACTCAGGTAATGCAGGCAGAGGCTCTTAAAACCACGAATCCTAACACAGCATTTCTCCAAGGCTGCTCACTGCAGTACATGCAGTAGAGAGGACTGGACTACAAGGCAGGGGGCGAGGGAGGGAAATATACAGAGATTAGTGACACAAGGGCCCTGCTCAGAGAGTTCACATTTATTAGGGAGACAAATACAAACAACTGAGAATGAAAACATGGAGGGAGGGGAGAGAAAGCTGTGAATAGCTTTAGAAAAAGGATTCTTCTGGATGCAGGAAACAGTGATCAACTTCTATCAGAAACTAGAGAGGTCAGTGGAACTTGATGGATCACTGAATTGCTAAGGGCAGGGTGAAGGAGTGGTATCTCAAGCTTTAGGAACATCTAAAACAGGCAGTGCTTGAGGTGAAGGACAACCATTCACCTTGATGTGATTATTACTTGTTGTATGCCTGTATGAAAATATCTCATGTACCCCATACATATATACACCTATTATGTACCTACAAAAATTAAAATATAAAAAAATTAAAAAACACAAAAATAGAAAAGGCCGAGATCTAAAAGGGAAGCCACGATGAGGTGCCTCTGCAAAGGGCTTGCTGCAGCTGGAGGTAGTGGGAGGGAGCAGAATAAAGCATCCTAAACCATTCATCCAACAAATGTACTGAGGGCTTACAACATTCCAGATACTACAGGCGCAGTGACAGACACAGAGAAATGGATCCTGCCATCAGCAGCTGAGCAGGCTGGAAAGAGAGGCAGGTCCATGACAGTGCCCACAGGCTCTGTACAGTCGAACAGGCACTGGAAGAGAAACTAATGTCATGGAAACACAAGATACCCAGAAAGGCTGCAGAGAAAAGCAGGCCTGTCACTAACTGTGCAAACTGGTGGCAAGATTCCAGTCGTGTTTTTGGCAGAAAAAAGGCAGGACTTAGAGGGAACAGAGTAAAGAATGGAGAAAAAGGGCCAAGAAGCAGTCACTGAAAAGGGCAGGCAGGCTGGAAGGAGGGAGGGGGAAGCAGAACTCCAGAGGCTGGGGGAGCTGGTGGTGCCCACTGCACAGGGAGGAGGGTGAACTCAAAGAAGTGATGTGCATGGGAACATCATGGGGCATTTGTAAGCACTGGTTCAACATGAGCAGCATGCTCACCACGTGCAAAGCACACAGTGACAGAGGAAGTCCCACTGACTCAGATGTCTGAGAGGTTGACATCAGCCAATTAAAAGGTGGCTCAGGAGGCTGAGCAGCCCGGCTTCCCGGTCCCTCAAGCTTCATTCATTTTATTACTTGTCCTAAGCTATTGTTAGATCTGCTCTTTCCCTTATGGTCTCCCACATTTCTTATAAATCTAAAATTTTAGATATAATCACTCCCTGATGTTACTGGAGATAAAACGTTTGGTTAGTCTTTTCAAGGCTTCTATTGAAGCCTAAATTGTAATTAAAACCCCTTTCATAAGTCTGACCATGCTAACTGAACAGGGAATCCAAACCTCTAACTCTCAAAGAAAAAGTTTGGCATCAGTTTCCTGGAGGCCAGTAAGGGCCTTTAAAGTGATTCAGATTGAAAAATGATCTCGACAAGTTTGAATTGTGCAAGGGCAGCCTGCAATCAATAATTAAACAACCTTGTTGGTATTCCAACGCTGGGTACTTAAGCAATACAAAATCATTGCATCTCCATAAGCACCATCTCTGGCAATCAGCTTAGTGCCTGTGATGGAGACCCAAAAAAGTAACAGACCAGGAGGTGAAGAGTTGACCTGAGTTCCCAAGAGTCAGCGACAGACCAGGACATGAATGTGAACTGCAAGAACAACAGATGCCAGCTGCCCCTTAGTTTACAAAGAACACAGGCTCAGAAGCTAGCTGGCGCTGGAGCCAGCAGGCTGCTTAGCAACAAGACCCAAAGTTCGCTTCAACTCCAGCATGTGCTGATGAAGAGTAACATACCTGTTGCACTCAGAACTGTTAGGAAAAAAAGAACTCAACAACCATTTCCTAAACTAAATCTTACATGGCTGGCACTCCGAAGCACAGGATACGCTTTAAAACCAATTCACTAGTCAAAGTGATTCAGCAATTAAATACATTACAGTTTACAGCAAAAACTTCAAGCTACAAAGAAATGTTTATTCAAATGGGAAACAATGTTTACAGGTAGCCTGCCCACCCAGCACGTATGGCCAAATTCCCTTCAGGGAAATAAGGAGAGAACTAGCTTACCATCAGGTAGTTTATCCACAGCCTGTGTGCCACACAGAACTGTTCCACTGTATGGAGGAAGCTGCACAAGGAATCAGAAAACAAATTTTAATTCAACAAAATGTTAAAACCAACGCTTACCATTTAATTAAGGCAACAATTCATTAAAACTCTTAATCCATACAACTTTGCATGCCGTTACTTCTAGCAGAATAACATACATGAAGAGTCAGTGCAATCTAAATCATCTTCATTTAACGAAAAAAACACAATAGAAATGCTTTCAAATATTTATCACTATTAAACAGATCCGAAAATGAAGCCAAAAGGAATAAAAATGAACTCCAATGGACATGTAAATCAGCTACAATGAAATGCTTATGATACATCCTTCTTTCCACAGGATGTCAGTGACTGACCATCCAGACCACAGACACTTTTGTTTGTGCACTAGCGAAGATGACTCTTCCTGACTGCACCTCTTATTCACGATCACTACATTGCAACACAGCCAGTAGAGGCTGGGACCAGGTCCATGGTCGGAGAGCAGAGGAAAGCGCACTATAAACAAAAAGCCTGGTGACTGCAGCTCCCTTTTTAACACAGTGCCTTAATTAACTACATTAACAGCTAGAAGTCACATTCCTTGTTTGGCAGACAGAAAGCAGAATGGGAACTGTCTGACTTCTTTGTAAAAAGCTGAAAGGTTATCTCAAAAATAACTTAAATTTTTCTTCTTCCTAGCTATTCCATAACATTTATTTAAGAGTTGGAAATGCTTCCAATGGACACATTGGGTGTAAGAAAGTTTAGGAAGGGGCAGGGCATGGTGGCTCATGCCTGTAATCCCAGCAATGAGGGAGGCTGAGGTGGGTGAATCACTTGAGGTCAGGAGTTCTAGACCAGTCTGGCCAACATGGTGAAACCCCATCTCTACTAAAAATACAAAAAATCAGCTGGGCGTGGTGGCAGGCACCTGTAATCCCAGCTACTTGGGAGGCTAAGGCAGGAGAATCGTTTGAACCTGGGGGATGGAGGTTGCAGTGAGCCGAGATCGCGCCACTGCACTCCAGCCTGGGCAATAGAGCAAGACTTTGTCTCAAAAACCAAAACAAAACAAAACAAAAAAAAAACAAACCCTGTCTCTACTAAAAAATACAAAAAATTAGCCGGGCATGGTGGTGGGTGCCTGTAGTCCCAGCTACTCAGGAGGCTGAGGCAGGAGAATGGCGTGAACCCGGGAGGCGGAGCTTGCAGTGAGCCGAGATAGTGCCACTGCACTCCAGCCTGGGCAACAGCACAAGACTCTGTCTCAAAAAAAAAAAAAAGGTTTAGGAAGAAAAGGGGTAAGGTAAGCAGAGAGATAAACTGCTACCTGAGGGCAGAACAAAAGAACAAAAAGACATTCTGGTGCAGCACTTCCCAAAGTCTGTTCACTGCAGTACAAAGGCCAGTGCAGGAACGGCCCTAGGGCCGCAAAGTTCAGAGGCTCCTAGGTAAGTCTCATGCCCAATACTGTATGAGAGCTGCTGCTTGATTGGCTTCCTCAGCTGAGTTCTCCAATGAGATCTCAGCACACCAATTCAATAATCACAGCAATAAAAGCTTCTCTCTGCTAGTAACGCAGTAAGTTCTCTTCCCAGAGAATTATGACAAACAGGAAAACACAGGGCAATTCAAAAGAAGCCAACACCTTCAGGAGTTGACAGCTGCACTTATCTCCACCACCAGGGGGCAACCTAGTACGCATCACGTTGACACCCAGAAGAAAGCATTCTGTATGCTGAGATGGGCTACACTAGCCTTGGCACCCGCAAGGCAAAGACCATTCCACACACCAGCATTGATGCTGGCAGGCACCTGGAGCAGAGAGGTGGGTCTATAAGGGCAGTGGACACAGCGGCCATGTGTGTCTCAGGAAGCCTCCATCTCGTTCAAAACCCTCTGTGGTCAAAGAAGACAGTTTAGAAACTGATACATAGAATGCCCTCTTTTTCTGTTAATGACACTAGGATGCCCCCTGGTGACAGAAAGCTGTGTTATTTTGAGGCATGAAAAGTGTTTTGAATCACTCTATTTTTACACAAAATTTATTGTAACATCAAGAAATCATCTTTTTCTGAGTCAAAACAGTTTCATCACTATTATATCAATGTTCTCTTCACACTTCCCAGTATTCTGTTCTGCTCGGGGAAGAGAGAATGCTGAAGGAAACCTCCAGACCCGAGAGACTGCAGCAGGCTGGGAAGACGCACAATTCAGAGAAGGGACCTCTTCAC
The DNA here is from genome assembly GCF_000001405.40 of Homo sapiens. Lineage (NCBI taxonomy): Eukaryota > Metazoa > Chordata > Mammalia > Primates > Hominidae > Homo > Homo sapiens. The sequence goes on along the minus strand of NC_000016.10, from coordinate 84,738,111 downwards.
CCATCCACTTCACAAGGCAGAGAGCTGTTAGAACCCTGCTCACCATCTTCCGGCTGTCCCCTTCCTCAACATTCAACCACGGGGTGTGAACACTCACTCAACTCCCAGCCACTCCCACAACATGCAGAAGAAAACCCCAGCAATCGGGAAAAATACACAGATGACGCTGAGGACAAGCCAAGTGGAGAGGCGGGGCCGGTAATGCCAGGTGGCGCTGACTGAGGGTGGAGAGGCTGGAAAGGCTGGACCAGTGACACCAGGTGGCACTGACTGGGCACTCAGGGTGTGCCAGGCACACATCCTGCTCCTCAACAACTCTGGGGAGGAGGTCCTGTTACTGTGGCCCTCTGACAGATGAGGAAGCCAGGCGACACTGCCAGCTTCAGATGAGGAAGCCAGGTGACAGTGCCAGCAGGTGACACTGCCAGTAAGAGGCACAGCAGGGATCTGGTGAGACGACCACCAGCAAACTCCCAGATGACACTGCCACCTTCAGTAAGCATGCTCAACACACTTACTTTGATTTGCTAAGCTGATAAAAGAGCGCACCTGCAGGAATGCCAGATGGGTTGTGGCACTGTGGAAATGTGTGTGTTTTATTCCACAGGCACACAGCACCTTTCATTCAGCAAACCTCCCTCACACATCAGATGCACTTAGTCTGTGGTAACTGGGTATCTAAATACACAACAGAATAAAAGTGCCAGGATGGTTCGAAGTTCACTCATTAACTATATAACTATTTGTAAGAATACAAAGTTCAAAAATCAAAGCAAAGACATAAAATTCCCTAGACAAATGCAAAGTGAGCAAGGGAAAAAACTGTCATCTATTAATAGTTATGCTAAACGCACAGTGTGAAAACAGTGCTGCGGCCTTGTGAAAAGGATACCTGGGCCCGTGGCTATAGGAAGGTCATGTTCTGAAGTCTCCCTCTGGGCTACCTGTGTGTTCTGCTTTCCGTCTCAAAGACTCTCCTGAACCACAAAGCCCTCCTTTAAAATCCCATTAAGATACCAAATTAGGCCGGGCGTGGTGGCTCACGCCTGTAATCCCAGCACTTTGGGAAGCCGAGGCGGGCAGACCACGAGGTCAGGAGATCAAGACCATCCTGGCTAACCCGGTGAAACCCCGCCTCTACTAAAACCACAAAAAATTAGCCGGGCGAGGTGGCGGACGCCTGTAGTCCCAGCTACTCGGGAGGCTGAGGCAGGAGAATGGTGTGAACCCGGGAGGCGGAGCTTGCAGTGAGCCGAGATCACGCCCCTGCAGTCCAGCCTGGGCGAGAGAGCGAGACTCCCTCTCAAAAAAGAAAACACACCAAATTAAGAACTGTCTCTACTCTCTACTCTCCATGAGTACCCACACACACCCACACCACACACACTGCCCACTGCCAACACTATGTCATCGGGGGCTTATTGACTCAGTCATGGTTGGGATGTGTGCTACTTCCAAAGCTGAGATTCTGGAAACTAAAGAATGGTGAGCATTTTCTCTTTCTTTCTGAACATAAATAACAGGATTACGACTGAGGTTTAAACATGCTTATTAAATAAGGTGACTGCATTTTTTCCACTGGAGAAAATAATTTTTAAATCACTGGAGCACAACTCTAGAAAAGATGCCAGCTACCTTTCACCTGAATTCGTTTCTCCTGATGCCACTAAATTACTAGCCACCTTATCTTGCCAGTGGCAAGCTGCCAAGCAAGCAAACTAAAAGACAAAGCAGCCCTCCGCTGGCAGGAGGCGCTTCTGCAGGAAGGCAGAATGCTCTTTCATCTTAACATCCCACATTTCTTAATTTTGGTTTTTCAATTCATGGCCCCAAGTAGAGAAAACAATATTTTATCAAGCTCCTAACAACGGAGAAAAAGCATATGAAAAATTCGACTAGATTGTAACTCATGCCACAGCCACATGGTAGAAACACTGCATGTTTGAGCGGCAATTATGTTACCTGAGAGATAAAAGGCCAAACTGTGCTGTAGAAGTGACACGCCCTCCCCTCGCCACTCACACACCCACAGGTCCAAGTGACACGCCCTCGCCACTCACACACCCACAGGTCCAAGTGACACGCCCTCGCCACTCACACACCCACAGGTCCAAGTGACACGCCCTCGCCACTCACACACCCACAGGCCCAACCACATGCCGCCCCATGAAAGTGAGTTCCTGTGTAATCATGTGCTATTATAATTCAGATTCCTGAAGATTGGGGAAAACAACTCCATCCGATTATGTTAATTAGCCTGCATTTCCCTTTTGCAGGTTACTGTGATTTTGATAAACTCTTTTTATACCCCTCCAAACTTCACCGTATGTTAAAAAATAAGAAAAACAGAAAAGCCCAAATAAGCCCACACACACTACGAGTTCTGAAGCTTGAGCTCATTTTCATGAGACACAGTCACGTCTTCTGTGAATAAAAGGTTTGGCATAACTTACCATCTGTACCCTTTTCATCCATTTCTACTAACATCTGTTACTCACTAGTTATCGGACCATACATTAGCTGATTTCCCAACATTTCTGTGACGTGAATAAGCATTCTGCATTTTTTCAATTTAAAAAACAAAAGAAAGAGAAAAGAAATGGGAGGCCCAAAAGGAAAGAACGTGCCCAAACCCTCCGAGCCTGTGGAAGTGGCAGAACTGAAGCGACCCCAGGCCTTCAGACTTGAAATACGGTGCACTTTTCACTTTCCTATCACATGAAAACTCAAGTTTTTGTCTACTCACTTGCAAACAGGTACCCACCCATCCACATGTGTACACACTTGAGAAAACCTGTAGCAACTAAAACGTATGGTTACATCAGTGTGATGTGGGAAAAAATACAAAATCCCCTTACTTAAAAACACACACACCACACACACACACACACACACACACACACACACACACACACCACCCGGGCCTGGCAGCACACACCTGTAATCCCAGCTATTCAGGGGCTGAAGCATGAGAACCCCCCTGAGGCGGGGCGGGGGGTCAAAGTTGCAGTGAATTGTGATTGCACTCTGCACTCCAGCCTGGGCAGAGTGAGACCCTGTCTCGAAAAAAAGAAAAGAAAAGAAAAAATAGAAATAAAAAAATAAAATAAAACGTGTGGTGTTTATACAGAGATAAGCAATAGGCCCACAGAATAGCACACTCGGAACCAGGGGAGATGCACTGCCCAACGGGGCTGACAGGACAGCTAAGGGCCGAGTTCCCAATGAATGGTGAGGAGGCACCTGCCAGGGCCACAGGGGCAGGGAGTTCGATGCCACCTCACACATATACAAAATTCAGTGCCTCAATTTCAGCTTATTACACACTGAAGCGTGAAAACAAAATCTGAAAACTTTTAGAAGAAAACAGACAAATATCTTCGTTATCTAAAGGATGGGAAGAATTTCCTAAAGATATTTTTAAAACTAAAAATCCACAAACTATAAGGAAAAAAAAATCAATTCAGTTGACATTAAAGTTGAAAGTGTACTCCTCTTATCCAACAACAACAACAAAAAAACCCAACCCCAAAAAGGGTTCACCTAACATGTGAAGCTTAAAGCCCTCATGCTAGGAACAGATGCCTGTAAAACCAAAGATTAATCCTAAAATCAGTAAGAAAAAGACAAGCTACTTGATTTAAAAATATGGACAAGGGATATAAACCAAGTAATTCACAGCAGAGGACATCCGTATTGCCAGCAGACGTGAAGAGAATGAAATAGTACCCAGCTGTTTGTAATCTGGGAGATGTAAATTAAAACAATGAGAGTCCATTTACTACACACATCAGATTCACAAAATTTTAAATATGCCAACACCAAGAGTTAGCAAGATTTTTTTTTTAATACGAGCAAGAAAACTCCCATGCACTGCTGATGGGAATGAAGACTGTTAAAATCCTAGATAGCAAACGAGCAGTCTCTAGTGAAACTAAAGAGGCTCGGTCCACAGAACCCAGTAATTCCATTCCCAGGTCTGTGTCCCGGAGGAGCCCACAGAGGGGCACCAGGAGACATGATAAAATACATTGAGTGCAATATTTTTAACGGCTGAACTAGAGACCTAAATGGCCCTCGACAGGAAAATATGTAAGTAAATTGCAGTGTGTTCAATCAGTGGTACTGAGCACTGGAAATCAAAGAACAAGGACAAATTTCTTAGCATAAAGAATACAACGTTAGCTTAAAATAAACGACAAACTGAATATAGTATACCATTTACGTGACACTTTAAAGCACATAAAACACTACGATTGACTATGGTGATATACACGTATATGATAAAAGGTGAAAACCAGTCAGGACCAATATTTCCCAATTTCAGCAGAGTAGTTACTTCTGGGGAGAGATGGGAGAGAGGTCCAAAGGAGGCTTCAGTTGCATCTGTAATGTTTTATTTGCTTTTCAAAGCCTAATAAAGTAAATACAGCAAAATGTCAAATCAAATGTCAGTCAAATCTAGTTGGTGGGTTGAGGCATTTCTCATATTAGTCTCCATACTTTTCTCTACATTGGAATTCTTTATTTAAAAAAACAAATTAAAATAGAAACATAACTATTAATTGTATCTACCCACGGACTCACTAAAACAAAGTTTTGTCTTACCTCAACTGAAGATCGAGGAGTCACAAAGAATTGATTGAATTCATCAGGGCTAAAATCTCCAAAAATATACTGAAAAAAAATAAGAGAGTCACTGATCACATAAAATATACAAATTATATACTTTCAGAAAAAATGCTACATATTTTAACAATCCTATGCAACATTTGGGCCATAACCCCCAAGATCCTTTCTCAATTAAACAGAGGATCTGCAACTCAGAGTTCTAGGTTGTTTATATAAAAGAAATACTACTGAACCTTTCCTACAAATTGTCAAAGAACACTATGAAACTGATAAAGCTTATTTTGAAACAAATCAATTTTGTATGCCAAACTTGTCGAGTCCTGCTTGCAGGAGATTTTTATTGGTTCACAAATACTGCCAGTTGTTCCATTTACCTTTCTGCTGACTCATGCCACTACCTCCATTTCCGCTTTCTCTGCCAAACATACTAAAGAAAAGCAGAAAACGTGGTTCAAATGGGAAGACAAGGAAATCCAAAAAAGGAAAATGTTAATGATCCTGATTAATGATCTTTAAAAATATCTATATAACTTCTTAGTTTAAAAATGCATTTCCATAGGATACACAGATACACATATTATCAGACAGACACAGCCCTTGTTGCAAGCCTGATTTCACGGAATTCAGAATGTGATTTTCTGGAAAACGAAGTGGTTAAACTGCACGGATGTGAGTCTGGCAAGTGCCTACCAGTTCATATTCTCCATGGAGCTTCAAGAAACAAGTCATTGAGGCCTGGCGCAGTAGCTCACGCCTATAATCCCAGCACTCTGGGAGGCTGACATGGGCGAATCACTTAAGGTCAGGAATTCGAGACCAGCCTGGCCAACATGGTGAAACCCCCATCTTTACTAAAAATACAAAAATTAGCCAGGCGTGGTGGCGTGTACCTGTAGTCCCGGCTGCTCGGGAGGCTGAGCCAGGAGAATTGCTTGAACCAGGGAGGCCGAGGTTGCAGTGAGCTGAGATCGCGCCACCGCACCCCAGCCGGGGCGACAGAGCCAGACTCCATCTCAAAAAGAAAAAAAAAAAAAAGAAGAAGAAGAAGTCATTGAGAAGAATTAGCAATTTCCACAACGGAGAAGCAATGATTCATTCATTTAATCAATAATTATTTAGAACCTACAAATGCCCACGTATGATCAGTACTGGGTATAAAAATGGTAAGCAGAGTGTGGTTCCTCTGTTCTAATGGAACTAAACAGTCTAGTAGCTTCCAGGGAAATTTACAAGCCAAGTGATTCAAAAATAACCAGTAACTAAATATTACATAAATGAATAATACTCATTATTATTGTAAATGTGAATAAATGGCCACTAAATGTAATACCCTCCTGGTAAGAATGCACAGGGAAAACGTTTCTGGAGAGCTCTTTGACAACATCTACCAAAACTATAAATATACATTAAGAACAAAAAAGTTTTCATATAATATTTACATATACTTGCAAAAGTCAACAAAGAAATTATGTATTGACAGTAACAGTGAAAATAAACAGAGCCTCAAAATGGTTCAGAAATGATCTTCTGAAATACTGTCACTTTTCAGTGAAGAATATAGAAGGTTACACCTTCTTCTCATCACCAACACTGGGAAAAGATGATATGAATTTCACTAAGAAACCCTCAAAGCAATGGAAGGGAAAATTCTATAGGCTAAAAGGAAGCAGAAAAAATTAGCACAGACTATCACAAAAAAAAAAGAGCTATCAGAGATCATGAAAGTGTTCGCGGAAATTAATTACTAATTTTAAATCACTAAATTAAAAAACTCAACAGAACGTCTTAATAGCAAAATCAACAAGGCTATGGAAGGCAATGGGGCAACATTTTGAAAGTTTCGAGAAAAAAGGATTTTGTTCCTAGAATGCCAGAGTATTTTTTCATAGAATTCTATAAACTACTTTTCAAGTGCAAAAGAGAAAGAACACTTTCTGTCACATACACCTTTTTCTTGGGGGGAGGAAAGGAAACTGCTTAAGAATTCCAGAAAATGAATTCGAGAAATACAAGAATGATAAAGAAGTAAAATACAAGAAACACACGGCAGCTGTGAAGTTTAATGCAAATATTAAGAATAAATAAACTAAAATCATGCTGTTTTGTTTAATATCAATAGTAGAAACGTGGCTACTCTGTGCACATTGCCTATGGCGTAGCCCTGCTCTGCAACGAGCAGTTAAAAAAAAAAAAAAAGTAGAGGCCGGGAGCGGTGGCTCACACCTGTAATCCCAGCACTCTGGGAGGCCGAGGTGGGCGGATCATGAGGTCAGAAGATCGAGACCATCCTGGCTAACACGGTGAAACCCCGTCTCTACTAAAAATACAAAAAATTAGCCGGGCATGGTGGCATGCACCTGTAGTCCCAGCTACTCAGGAGGCTGATGCAGGAGAATCGCTTGAACCCGGGAGGTGGAGGTTGCAGCAAGCCGAGAATGAGCCACTGCACTCCAGCCTGCTGACAGAGAGAGATTCCGTGTCAAAAAAAAAAAAAAAAAAAAAAGGTAGAAATGCTATATATTAAAAGTTATCCATTTTATCTTATGACTAACAAGAAAGGCCTTTTACTTCAGAATGTGGGGAAGATACCTAAGGATAAGAAATCAGAATGTTCTGCAGGATTATCAGGTATTTTCTTTAGGAAGGTTTTCTTCCTAGACAATGGAAAATAAAAATGTTTATTTAAATCATACTTCTAAGCACACTTTCTTATTTCAGTTCATATACAGCCTAAAGTTTTTAGAGCTGGTCAATCCAGTAAGAACACTACAAATCCAAATGATTTGATAAAAATCTTGGCAGCAGAGGAGGAGAGGAGGAGAAAACAAGATTCCAAGCCACTAACACACACTTCCTGTTTCAAACGCAGACACCAAGTGGCTTCAGCATGAGTCAGCGGCAAACACCCTCAAGTCATGAGCTGGAACGCTCAGAAACGGTTCACTGAGTTTTTTTTCTCCTATTATTTTCAAATTTATTAGTTTTACTTAATTATTTTTAAAGTATCTGAGAAAATGTTATAGATTTTAAGCGTGTTTTTATTATAACTTCATGTCAATAATTTCTCCACAGATATGTACCTTCAATCAAATTACAGAATTAACTAGGGGAAAATGAGGAAGAACTTTAGGTACAGACAGCGAGAGATCTTCAAAATACTATTAAAAGAAGAAAGCACTCTCGGTGTAAAAAAGGTAGGAAAATAGAGTATCTGTGTTGCTATATAATAACATATTTGTGTTTGTTAATAATATAGATATTTGTGTCTGCATAAAGAGACACTGGAAAGATCAACAAGAAAAAATGTGGCCCTTCACCTTTGGGACAGTAGCACTGAGTGGACGCTGAGTGGACGCAGACAGGAGTGGAGGGGATTTCCTAGCACGTTTTTTGGAGGGTTTTCTTGGGAGGGGACTACATACTTTATTCAAAACATTAATCATAAAAAGTAAACACAACAGAAATCACCTTACAACTCTTCAAATACACCCATTTTGCACAGACATAATTTCATAAGCATGTTAGTTTCAAGAGCTCATTGACAACAGCTTAGGACTTGATGAAAACATGTCACGCAAAAAAATACACCATAAGTAACTGCTGATTACCAGCTATGCAACACTGAACTATCATTTAACACTTGACAAATCACTAGCCACGGCTGTTTTGAACTCCAACTTAATTTCCTTAACACTGGCTCACATAGCTCAAAAAACAACTCCATCAAAATACACGTGAATCACATTTTAATCCTTAAATGCATGAGCTTTTAAAAGTGAGCAGTTACACTTCAGCAATATTTAAAACCGGTCCTTTCGATTTTATAACTGAAATAAAGGAACGGGCTAAGAAGTCAGTGCCAAGGGTTTAAGAGCATCTCTGCAAGGCGCTCAGCCTCCCGGGGAACTTGATTAGAATTTCCATCTCCCATACAATGAGTATTCCCCATATGCTCATGGCAGATAAACTACATGTATCTTTTTCCTATGTGTCAATACAAATATAACTTATACTCAAGCAGGAATTCTGATACAACCCAATAACCACATATAAAGGAATCCTCTATTTGGGGAGTTAACTATCAAATGTCAGTAAAAGACAAGTCATCGATATCACAAGCTAGGGGAATCCTAAGAATAAAACGGAATTTCTTAGAATTGCAATGCACATTTTGAAAAACGATAAATATTTCTTTCTTGGCAAAGTAAGCTGGCATGGTAACCATTCAAACATGGATTATGAATGATGTGATAAAATAATCCATACAAATGTGAAGGTTAAGACATCATTTTTGTATTTAACAAAATCATATGCATCATTCAAAGCACTACAATGAAGAAGCATTTATTATCAACACTATTCCAAAAGACAAAGTGTTGCTTGGCCAGACACGGTGGCTCACGCTTGTAATCTCGTCACTTCCAGAAGCCGAGGCGAGCAGATCACTTGACTTCAGGAGTTCAAGACCAGCCCAGCCAAAATGGTGAAATCCACCTCCACTAAAAATACAAAAATTAGCCAGGCATGGTGGTGGGTGCCTGTAATCCCAGCTACTTGGGAGGCTGATGCAGAAGAATTACGTGAACCTGGAAGGCGGAGGCTGCAGTGAGCCAAGATGGTGCCACTACACTCCAGCCTGAATGACAGAGGAAGACTCCGTCTCAAAAAAAAGAAAAAAGAAGAGGTGCTGCTTATAAAACAGAATATGACAACTTTATTGGGAGGAAAAAAGGTAATTTTTGCATATGCTGATAAAACTACAAAAAGGGAAAATGGCCAAATACTTATTCAGTAGCAAATACCAGTGAGTGGACGGACATAAATTATAATTTTGATAAAACTACAAAAGGAGGCCGGACACGGTGGCTCACGCCTGTAATCCCAGCACTTTGGGAGGCCGAGGCAGGCGGATCACGAGGTCAGGAGATTGAGACCATCCTGGCTAAACCCCGTCTCTATTAAAAATACAAAAATTAGCCGGGCGTGGTGGCACATGCTTGTAGTCCCAGCTACCCGGGAGGCTGAGGCAGGGGAATCGCTTGAACCGGGGAGGCAGAGGTTGCAGTGAGCCGAGATCGCACCACTGAACTCCAGCCTGGGCAACAGCGAGAAAAAAAAAAAGTAAAAAAGGCCAAATATTTATTCAATATATTTCAATTATTTATTCAATTTATTCAATATATTTATAGCAAATACCAGTGAGTGACAATTATTTAACTAAAATGATATCTGACTAAATGTTGAAGCAAGGCATGTTTGTGACACCAAAAAGTTTATCACAGAAATTCAGGACAGCCAACTGCTATTAAAATGTTCTGGTTTCACCATCTCCTTCTCCAAAAGCCTTCCTAACTTCCAATCAAATGTTATTTTAGGTGTTTGGTAAAATGAGGAATGTTATCAAAAGAGGGGAGGAGAAACTGCTGTTCAAAAAAGTCAATATCCTGAAAGGCTGTGGGAAACTTCCAGACTACAAAAAGCTAGAGACATGATAACTAAATACATTTCCTGACCCTAGACTGGATCCTGTGCTGGAAGGGAAAATTCTAGAAAGGACATTATATGGTCAACTCCCAAAATTAGAATATGGACAGGTTAGAAAAAAGTACTGCATCAATGTAAATTTGTGAAAGTGGTAACGTATTACTGTGGTTATTTAAGAGAATATGCCTATTCTTAGGAAATACACATTCAAGAATTTAGGATTAAGTGGCTACAGTGTATGTAATCTTCCCTGAAATCTCAAAGGGTTTGGAAAAATATTGTATGTCTGTATATTTGCATTTGTTAGCCCATGTCTGTGTGTCTGTATGTGTATCCGTATGAGTGTGTATTTGCAGACAGAGAATTCCAGCACACACAAATGATTAAGCAAATGGATTTAATCTTAACAACAGGTGGATCTGGGTAAAGGACCATCTGGGGATTCTTTGTACTATTTTTCTTTCCGCAACTTTTCAAGTTTCAAACTATTTGCAAATAAAGAGTTTTTGTTTGTTTGTTTGTTTGTTTGTTTGTTTTTTTAAAGCTAACACTGAAAATTGTGAGGTTATGAGGAAAACCTTTACCCTCTCCTTATGTTTGACTGTTTAGTGTTTTCTCTCCTCTGGAAGATTAACTTATTTCAAAGGCTGTCACATGAGGGGGGAAAATTGTAGGTGTTTGGGTAAAATAAAGATGAAAATAACGCTGTGTCTGACTTCACAGGATTTACAACCTAGTGAAGAGGGAAATGCCACTGATGACATGAATTAGTTTTGCCCATAACAGAGCAAGATAAAATACAGAACAATTCAGTTCACACGGGAGACTAAAAAGCACGAGTAAGTTCATCGTTTCTTGTAATTTCAAAGAAAGTGCAGAGCTTAGGACATATTGGTGGCTGTCATTAAAATAAAAGCAGGTACCTGGAGGCCCTGTCAGCCATGCCACACCACAGAAACTGTGACACTGCTGCGGCTAACTCTGCCCTTCCCACAGCTACACCAAATACCATCAGGAAAGACTGGGAAGCCCCCTAAGGTTTCAGCAACTCTGCCAGAGTCAGAACACTGGGGTCAAAAGGAGGTATCAGAAAGCAGTAACAAACGCTCCTTTCCCGCGTCCTGTGGTTGCATAGGAAATGCCCAGGGGCGGGACGGCACAGAAATGCCTGCGATTCGGGGGAGCAAAGTACAAGGGCTTCAGGCATTTCTTCCCCTTTTTAGGGGAAGTAAGACTGTGAACTAGAGAAGCTATTTATTCCCCTCCACCACTTCCCCTCATATCCCATCCGGCCTCCATCCCGGGCTTTCAAAACTCTCACTGTTCACATCTTTACTTTCTGATCCTTTCTCAAGAGGATGTGGAAAAAAATATACAAGAAACACTTCGAGAAAAGGGGGGCAAGCCCACACCACAGCAGGGATGGGAACAAAAGACACCTTCCTCCCTGAAGCATAGCCTGTTGGCTAAGCTGGCTCAGTTTACCTTCTGGAGGTGTGTGGAGGCCACTACGGCCCTCAGGGGGCCTGAGTTGAGAAACCCTGGGCAAAGGTTTAGACGAAGTGGGAAAACCAGTGTTCCTGCTAAAGGAAAAACAAAGACCTTGCCCTCAGCAATAAAGACACATTCCTCCATCTCAGCCCAAGGAAGGCGAGAAGGAGAAAAGATGTCTAATGTTCACTTGCACAACCTGCTGGCTACAGCTCTCCCGCCGGAACTGCGGGAAACGCCACTTTCGGCTTCAGGAGACGCTGGGGACTATCAGTACAGCACGGCACTAGGGGGCGCTGCAGCACAGCATTCTGAAAGTTTCATCTCTCTGGAAATTTGAATAAATATGCAGGTTGTTCCAAATTAACATTCTCTGCCTTCAAAAGGACTGATAGAAATAGGAGATCAGCCCTGAAGTAAGAATGTAAATACTTTGCTGCTGCATTTGTACCTGCAGTTTCCGAGGCAGGTGGACAACTATGACCAATCTCTAAGAACAATCTCCCATTCACAGATGCACAGCTAAGCCTCACAGTGGCAAATGGTATAACCAGGTCACAGTCAAATACACAAGAAGCTGAGAAGTATAAAGTATTCTCCCTCTTCTCCTGATCCAAATAAGCTCAATTTGGGGAAACATGAAAAGAGCAATAGACTGTTTGGCATGATTAAAGCCTTAATCTCATCTACAAAATGAAGGTATGTTGGACCAGACAACTTCTAAAATTCTTCCCATCTCCAAAAGGATCTCTTGGATCTAAAAAGGATTAAGAAACACGGGTTTGAAAATGTCGTCAGACAGGCCGGGCACGGTGGCTCACACCTGTAATCCCAGCACTCTGGGGGGCCGAGGCGGGTGGATCACCTGAGGTCAGGAGTCAGAGAACAGACTGCCAACATGGTGAAACCCTGTCTCTACTAAAAACACAAAAAAAAATTAGCCGGGCATGGTGGCAGGCGCCTCTAATCTCAGCTACTCAGGAGGCTGAGGCAGGAGAATTGCTTGAACCCAGCAGGCAGAGGTTGCAGTGAGCGGAAATCGTGCCATTTGCACTCCAGCCCGGGTAACAAGAGCAAAACTCCGTCTCAAAAAAGAAAAAAGAAAAGAAAGAGAAAAAGAAAAAGAAAATGTCATCAGACTAATGCATGCTACAACAGGATGACTTTGAAAACATTATACTAAGTTAAAGCCACACACAAAGAGCCATAAATTGTTTCTTCCATTCATATGAAATGCCAAGAATAGGCAAATTACCAGACACAGAAAGATCATGGTTGCCAAGGGCTGGGAGGAGAGGAGAATGGGGGAGCGGGAGGCGGTGACTGCTAATGAACATGAGCTTTCTTTTGGGGATGATGAAATGTTCTAAAATGGACTACGGTGTTAGCTGCAAAACTTTGTGAATACACTAAAAACCACTGAAATGCATATTTATTCAAATACACAAACTCCACAGCATGTGAATTATATCTCAATAAAGTTTTAAAAAAGGTCAGTACTTATATCAAAATAAAAATTTTAATTTCTTTACTAGGCTTTATGAATCAAAGCCCAGTAAGTTATGGGTGCTAGCTGATATCTACTGAACAATCATTGTGTGCTTTCAACTTCAGAAGGTGGTGTGGGTGGTTCTGAGGACATCTGGAGATGACACTATCATCAACTAGTGAATGCACACCAGGAAGTTCGCCAATTTAACAATATGCACTGAGCATCAACAATCCACACTCAACTATGCGAGACTACGAGAGTAAAACTTTGAACACAACACACACAGGGGTCAGGGCATGGTGACATTTACAGTTTTATTACAGTGCAAGCCAACTGCAAGCTGAACTAAGTGTTACAAATGGCAGAAGCAGACAAAGGAAGAAGGAGGAAGAGAAGTTTTGTTCCCTCACTAATAGGGCTATAGCAAAATTTTGCTTTACTTTCTTGGGGCAAAGAGGTCCTGAGAAGCGAACAAAGTAGACAAACTATCACAAAGTCACTCTCACAGGCAGCCTCTCTCCTTGAAACTCAAATGTCAAAGTACTGCAATTGAGTGTCTACTTCCCTGTTTGTATATTCTATTTCTACTATTAAAGTGCTATCAAAAAGTAATCATTTTACCTCTCAAAGTATGGTTTTTAACAGGTTGGCTGTATATTAAGTGCTTTCATGGAGATTCCGAGCTAAAATTTCCTTCAGAAATTTTAGATTGAATTCAGATTGAATCTCCAAATTAGAAAACATGATTCACTTAACAGAAACCCACTTTTACCAACTTTCCAGTCCTGTGTCTATATTAGAACTGTATTACAAAATGGCCATTAAATTTTAACTCGCTTTGCTCTTAACTAGTACTAAATAGCAAGGTAATATAGATAGCCCTCATTATTGAATAACTTCCTGTGTAAAATTGCTATTGTATGAAACACAGCAGATAAATTAGGGAGTAAATTCAGTCAACTTTATCTGGGATAGCCCTAGTAGAAGTTCAAGATTCCACCAACTTTCATATTCATTACAATCACCTTGGTGCTGACCTTAAGAAAAAAAGAAATGGAAGATGAAACCAATAAAAAAGAAACTGTAACAGAAGCAGTTCTATCTTTGCTGGGGCCAAGGACGAACAAAAGAAGAGGCTGCAAGGGGGCTCAATGTCATTCTGGGGAATGACAGAACTGGTGTCTTGATTGTGGAGGTGATTACACAAATGAATACATCTGTTAAAATTCATGGAAATATACACTTTAAATGGGTGAAATTCACCGCACATACGTTATACCTCCATAAAGCTGATTTCTTTAAAGTACAAGAATCGAGTTAGATCCATCTTTGTTTAGCCAGAAGTTAATGCAGTAGACTTGGCATAGAGTAGGTGCTCAAAATAGCTTTGTTGAACAAATGAATTCAGGAAGAGGAAGATGAAAAAACCCACACAAATAAAAAGCTTATCTAAGGATAAGGAATAATTTCTCCAAACTACATAGCAATCATTGTGACTTCCCAGGCGTCAGTGGGCTGACAGTCTTAACTTGATCACTCTGAATGGTTTTTATTCTCATGTTTTTATTATCACCAGAGATGTTCCAGCTAGGAGTACATCTTTCATTCTCAAATATAATCTTCAAATAAATACAATCAAGAAATAACACTTATTTTTAAAGTATAACACTTAAACTTATATTTTAAAATATAAGACTTATTCAACGTAAGTGAATTAAGCTTCACAGAACACTTTAAAGGAACACCTATTTTGACCTAAAGAAAAATCATTAACAATTACCATGTGATCCATTTCCCAAGCTAAAGAGAAACCACTTTTCAAAATCTTAAGTGTATAAGGGGGAAAAAAGGCCAAAAAAAAAAAAACCCTGGATGTGATCAGAAGGTATCGGAGCCGGTCAATCCTTTTAAAATCGACTTTATTCCCCACCCCCCATCTTTGACCCTCAAATAAGACCACCGGTTTCCAGTGTGAAGCAGGCATGCATCCTGTATTTCTTGGTCCCTCCTTTCTGCTCAAACTGTCTTTCTGGGCACATTTCACTAAGAACCACCTATTTGTACTCAGTTTCACTTTGCTGTCAATGACAGGAACTCATGTTCCTAGGGACAAAAAATTATCATTTAAATTGATGTACTATAAAATTAAGACGACTGAGCCGGACGCAGTGGCTCACACCTGTAATCCCAGCACTTTGGGAGGCCGAGGCGGACAAATCACTTGAGGTTAGGGAGTTCGAGACTGGCCAACATGGTGAAACTCCATCTCTACTAAAAATACAAAAATTAGCTGGGCGTGGGGGAGTCTGCCTGTAATCCCAGCTACTCGGGAGGCTAGCAGGAGAACTGCTTAAACCTGGGAGGTGAAGGTTTCAGTGAGCCAAGATCACACCACTGCACTCCAGCCTGGGAGACAGAGTGAGACTCTGTCTCAAAAAAAGAAGACTGACAATATCAAATGTTGGTGAGGACAGAGAAGAAGCATTCTCATACACTGCTGGTGCAGATAGAAAACGGCATGGCCGCTTTGAAAAAGCCTTGCAGTTTCTTACAGAATAGAATATACGCTTACCACATTTTACCCACAAGAAATGAAAACCTATGTCCACACAGACACTTGTACATGAATGTGAACAGCAGATTCAAACAGTGGGAACAACAAAAATGTCTATCAAGAGGAAAGAGACAAGCAAACTGTGGGACATCCACAAAGGAATACTACCCAGTACTGAAAAGGCTGGAACTCAACACTCAACATGGCTAAATCTAAATAGTTGGGTCAGGTGAAGGTAACCAAACAAAAGAGTACAGTTTGTGTAATTCTGGGCCAATGTAATTCTAGAAAAGGCAAACTTTCTTAGCCTATAGTGACAGAAGCAGACCACTAGCTGCCTGGACAAGGTGGGGATTCATGGCAAAGGGGCATGAAGAAACTCTCTGAGCAATGGAAATGTTCTATATATGGAGTGTGGTAGTAGTTACTACTTTGGTGTATACATCTGTCAAAACTCAAACTGGGCTGGGCGTGATGGCTCCCAGCCTGTAATTCCAGCACTTTGGGAGGCCAAGGTGAGAGGATCACTTGAGAGGAGTTCAAGATCAGCCTAGGCAACACGGTGAAACCCTGTCTCTATGAAAACACAAAAAATTAGCCAGGTGTGGCGGCGTGTGCCTGTAGTCCCAGCTACTCGAGAGGCTGAGGCAGGAGAATTGCTTGAACCCGGGAGGCGGAGGTTGCAGTGAGCTGTGATCGCGCCACTGCACTCCAGCCTGGCAACAGAGCAAGACTCAATCTCTAAAACAAAACAAAACAAAACAAAGCCAGACTTGGTGGCACATGCCTGTAGTCCCAGTTACTTGGGAGGGCTGAGGCAGGAGGATGGCTTGAACCCAGGAGGTCAAGGCTGCAGTGAGCTATGATCACACCACTGCACTCCAGCCTGGGAGACAGAGCAAGACCTCGTCTGAAAAACAAAGACAAAAAACCTCGAACTGCAAACTTAAAATGGGTACATTTATTGTATTAAATTATACTTCAATAAGGTTGACTTTTTAAAAATTGTTATGCACAATCTATGTAAAGCAGATGAAGCAGTACCATAATCAAAGCTCTTGAAGACCAATGGCCACAGTTGTAATCTTTCATTTACAGAAGAATAATTCCTCAGTACGCTCTATTTGTTAATCTCTCATCTACGGAAGAAGAATTCTTCAGTACACCCTATTTGTAGGCATCCACACTCTGGGATTTTTAGTTTCACATTCCTTGGTCCAAAGACCTCCCAGTGCTACACAACATCATCTTAAAAATTCTGCATCATTGCCGGGCATGGTGGCTCACACCTGTAATCCCAGCACTTTGGGAGGCCCAGGCAGGTGGATCACCTGAGGTCAGGAGTTCAAGACCAGCCTGGCCAGTGGTGAAACCCCGTCTTTACTAAAAATACAAAAATTAGTCAGGCATGGTGGCGGGCACCTGTACTCCCGGCTACTCGAGAGGCTGAGGCAGGAAAATAGCTTGAATACGGCAGGCGGAGGTTGCCGTGAGCTGAGATCGCGCCACTGCACTCCAGCCTGGGCAAAAGAGCGAGACTCCTTCCCAAAAAAAAAAAAAAAAAATTGTGCATCATTGGCCGGGCGCGGTGGCCCAGGACTGTAATCCCAGCACTTTGCGACGTCGAGGTGGGCAGATCATGAGGTCAGGAGATCGAGACCATCCCCGCTAATACGGTGAAACCCCGTCTCTATTAAAAAATACAAAAAATTAGCTGGGTGTGGTGGCGGGCACCTGTAGTCCTAACTACTCAGGAGGCTGAGGCAGGAGAATGGCGTGAACCCAGGAGGTGGAGCTTGCAGTAAGGCAAGATCGCACCACTGCACTCCAGCCTGGGCAACACAGCGAGGCTCCATCTCAAAAAAAAAAAAAAAAAAAAAAATTGGGCATCATCTTTTTATTCTGCATCTGTTTTCAATTTAACTGTGCACCACTCTGAAGCCTCTGTCCCATCATTACTCAGTCACTTCAGATTATTCTTGCCTGGCTCAACCTTTATTACTGCCGAGCTTCTCGGACCATGTACTCAAACTCCACACAAAGACAATTACTGCCAAAAACAATGAAGCAAAACTATAGTATTTCATTAAACAGAGTGCTACATGGGCAGAAACTTGTAAGTGCCATCTGTTCTACAGGATTTTTCACTTAATAAAATACGCTGGAACCGGACCAACAGAAGGCCAGCTACTGGAGGCCACCCGCCAGGAAGGAACGCACATCGCCACGGCAGAGCTTCCTCTTAAAGGACATCCATGAAAAAAGAACCTAGCTACAGAAATGATTTTCCTCTGATTTGCTGGCCACTGTCAGCAGACTCTTCAAATCTCCTAGAAAATCTAGGACTGTCTAATAAGAAGTACTTACATTAGCTGGTAAATAGACTCCTCTCCTTCCGGTGTTAAGATCAAGCACAGAACTTCCACCTTAATGAGCGGCTTTGTTGTTAATGGAAAGCAAAGTTACTTAGAAGGTTTGGTTGAAGAAGTAAAAAGCTGCAAAATTACTATCTGTTGAAAATAAAAGAATGCAAAAAGTGGTATACTAGCTAAGGAAGGAATCCACTGTTTGCTGTCTCAGTTTAACCTTCACCTAATGATCTGTCGAAACATGCCCTCCAAAGATTTAAATTATGCAAGTATAGCTTGCTTTACCAGCAAAAATCCTAATAATTTGCATTCCACTCTTTAATTATGTATTTAAGTTCCTGGATATGGTCTGAAATCTTTTATTAGAAAACTGTTAACTCCAGACTTCAAAGTCCCCCTTATGGGACCTACATACACTAGAAGAGATGTTTTCCACCCAATCGGCTTCCTATATTCTATTTTCCACATAAAAGCAGGTAACCAATCCGCGGTGGTACTCACCTAGCAGGGGAGCAGCATAAACCATATTGGACAAAGGCCTAAGACAACAGTCCTCGAACCTGGCCACACCTTAGAATCAGAGCATCCTCAGGCCACACCTGCAACAATTCTGGCTTCAGTGGTCTAGGGTGGAGTCCAGGCCTCATTTAGCATTTTAAACACTTCCTGTGTGATTCTGACTTACAGTTGGAGTTTAGAATCACTGTGTAGGGGCATTCCCGTGATCCAAGTAAAAGCTCCATCACTACAGGCAACTGAGGAGGTGGGAGAAACTAAGCAGAAAACAGGAGGATGAGGGGAGCTACTTCTCCATTCAGTTATGCCTCCCAGTTAAAAAAGAAATTATAAAATAATTTGAGATAATTACTCACTATATAAAGTTGATGAACAACATCCAGATGTCTTTAAAATGGGAACTCTTTTAGTGCTTTTAAGGGTTTACTGATCATTAACAAGTTAATAAAGGCAAAAACAACAACAACAACAACAACTAAACTGGCCGGGCGCGGTGGCTCATGCCTGTAATCCCAGCACTTTGGGAGGCCGAGACGGGTGGATCATTTGAGGTCAGGAGTTCGAGACCAGCTTGACCTACATAGTGAAACCCTGTCTCTACTAAAATACGAAAATTAGCTGGGTGCGGTGGCGGGCGCCTGTAATCTCAGCTACTCGGGAGGCTAAGGCAGGAGAATCGCTTGAACCCAGGAGGTGGAGGTTGCAGTGAGCTGAGACTGCACCACTGCACTCCAGCCTGGGTGACAGAGAAAGACTCCTTCTCAAAAACAACAACAACAACAAAACTAAAAGAAGAAAAACTTTTTTTTTGTTTTTTTGTCAGACAGTCTTGCTCTGTTGCCCAACCTGGAGTGCAGTGGCGCAATCTCAGTTCACTGCAACCTCCGACTCCTGGGTTCAAGCAATTCTCCTGCCTCAGCCTCCGAGTAGCTGGTATTACAGGCATGTGCCACGATGTCTGGGCTAATTTTTGTATTTTCAGTAGGGACAGGGTTTTACCATGTTGGCCAGGATGGTCTTGAACTCCTGACAGGTGATCCACCCGCCTTGGCCTCCCAAAGTGCTGGGATTACAGGCGTGAGCCACCGCACCCGGCCAGAAGAAAAACTATAATGCAACTAAATTAGAAGTAATATGACAGAAAAATTAAACTCCTGCCAAACACAGTGGCCCACACTTGCAGTCCCAGCTCCTCAGGAGGCTGAGGTGGGAGGATCCCTTGAGCCAATAACTTTGAGGCTGCAGTGAGCCATGATTGCACCACTGCACTCTATCTTGGGTCACAGAGTACAATCCTGTCTCAATAAAATAAATGAACTCACAAGCAACTCTTCAGAAATGTCTTCTGAACAAAAGACATTTCTTTTGTAATTAAACTCATCTCTCATTTGCTTTTAATTCACTGAAATCTAACTTTCACTACCAACACTCCACTTTCTCAAAAATAACCTTCCAATCCAAGATTTTCCCTTCGCAATGTAGTCAAGTTCTCTGAAGCATCTACAACTCTATAAGACAAGTAATCTCCCAATCTCTCTCTCATCATTGTTCTTCCAATCTCTTAGGTAAGGAACTTTGAAAATACCATAAATTATATACCCTTTCCATCACAAATACCCTAACGTGATCACGAATCCCAAATTTCTGGGACCATCTCAACAAAATATCAAAATGTTCAGAAAAACTGCATTTGGCAAGAATAGCAACTGAATGAATTAAATTAAGCATTACAGTAAATTAATCCGTACTGAAATCACATACACCTGAGGACCAGAGACTAGGACCTCAATGAATCAAAGGCAGTAGAAGCACTTTCCTGAACACACATAACTCAGGAAGATTACTAAGAAGTGATGCATCTCCTCTTCAACTCTACAGTTACTATCCAGCACAGGCCCTGATGACTCCACCTATGCCTGGGTATCTGCAATAACCTAGGTAGTGGCCTCCTCCTACCTACCTAGTAAAATGCTTGGCACCTAAGAGACTAGCAAATGCTGACAGAATGGCTCACAGTCACCAAACAGCTTGTCACCAAGCTAAATCGACACTTATTGAGCACCAATGACATAAAAAGGACATTAAAAAGCAGTTTAAAATGTTTAAGCAATGTGTCCTGCCTTCAAAGAACTGGGGTCAGGGAAGGAGGACATACAGCTAGTGTGTACTGAATGTCCATTATGCTCTAGACAATGTTAAAGGCATTTAATCAACATATTTCATTTAATCTGCACAAAATTTCTAAAAGGGAGGATTCCTAATCTTTTTTGGGTGGCAGCAGACCTCCCGAGAAACTGATGTAAGGGAATTAGGCCCACCCCCTAAAGAATGCATGTACACACATTTCTGCGTATGATTTCAGAACTTCACAGACCCTCTGAAGCTCCCGAAGCCCAATACGACCTGCTACTCAAAGTGAGGTCACCAGGCCAGCAGCCTAGGAATTACCTAGGAGCTCAGACAGCGCACAGGGCCCACCCCAGGTGTACTGAATCTAAATGTGCACATTCACAAGACCCGCAGCTGATTCTCAACGGACTTTTAAGTTTGAGAAGCACTGCTATGCTCTATCTCATGTAATCCCGAAGCTCTACTATGAAGCAAGCACACTGCTATCACAGTGACTGTCCCTATGGCTCTGGACTTCTATTTTAAGTTGCGTAACCATTTATCATCCAAATTAGAGGCATATCTCAGAGTGAAAGGATCATTATGATGAATTATGCTGGGATAAGTTTAGACCAGGACATGCGGTCACTCCCCATGTAATTGTAAGGTGTATATAAAGGTAGAATCTTCACTCTTCAACTTGGTGTAATGGGCGTCTCTGCCTACCAACCTTGCCGAAGGTCGTGCACCTAAGATCCCAGTAACTCTGCATTTATTCATTATTCTGCTGATCAGCCTTCGTGCAGGCAGCTCCCTCTTCCCCCATGCTCTGAAGAAGTCCTACTTGTCCTTCAAAGCTCAACGCAGGCATCACCTCCTCAGGAAGTGTTTCTAAACCCTATTTCTGCCAAAGCACTGTTCATATTTCATAGTAATTCTCATTTACCTATGTCTCTGTGAATGAACTGTTATCTCCTTGTGTCAGTCTGTATTTCGTCCACTGAAGCACAATACTGAGAATCTAATAAAGATTTGCTGAATGAAGATGAAAAAACTTTAAAAGTTCAGAGAAACCAACCTTGCCTGAGATTCCACAAACAAAATGGAACAGGATTGGAACCTGAGGCTGACCTCAAGGCACAGACACATTAACAGTTAAGGAACAATAATATTTAAAGAAGACTGTAAGATGCAATCAGATAGTACAGATGATTTGCCAAGGAGAAAGGACAATCTTCCAGTCTGAGGAGTCCAGGAGGAACTGGCATATCTGGAAAAGGAGAGGGGGGAGAGACATTACGCTCATGTGGGACAGTAGCGAACTGGCCAGCTCCCCTTCCTACCCTGTGGGATAGTAGTCACCCAGTTCAGAAGTCAACACACCCCCACCCCCAGGCCAGATGGGAGCCCTGCTTGGCATACCACCCTCCTCGCCACAGTGCTCTGGTTGAGGGACGACCCAAAGGGCAAGAAGCTCAGGACACTGCCTAAAATTCTGGGATGCACACTCACTCTCTTGGTCAGGCTGGTGTGACGGAGGCTGTGCCCAAATGTGAAGCCTGAAACTGCTGTGGCCATTCCGCCATCGTGGGGGAAACTAGCCCTGGGATAATACTGACAGGCAGAATGAAAAGATGAAGAAATGAAAAGTGAAAAAATGAAAAGAAGCCACGTCCTCAAAACTGTAACTAAACGGCTGAATTAAACCAACTTTGAAGCCTGATCTACCTCTGGAATTTCTAGTTACATGAGCCACTAAATCTCTAGTTTATGGTGTAAGCCAGTTAGAAAGCTGAGCTCTACTTGTTTGTTTTTTTAAAAAAAAAAGGGAGGGCACCCTAACACATAAATGGGGTAAGCAAAAAGGGAGATAAAAGGATAGTTGGGCAGCAGTGACCAGAGGATTCATATAAAGTAGTAAGGTCACCCAGGTGGACTCACTGGCTCATGCCTGTAATCCCAGCACTTTGGGAGGCGGAGATCCTATTCCTTCTCAAGACTAGCTCATTACCCATCTTCATTCTCTGAATTACTACAAAAGAACCTGCCACATGCACCACATAATTCAGCACTTAATTACACATCTTGTAACGTGCCCAGTTGTTTCTTATGCCTTAGCTATCCATTATACACAAAGGTAAGGATGCTTTGGTTATCTTCCTGGATATCTACAGCAATAGCTGAAATAGTTGGCCTTCACCAAACATAAGTCAGCTTATTGATATTTTATAAATGGGCCGGGAGTGGTGCCTCACGCCTGTAATCCAAGCACTTTGGGAGGCCTAGGCGGGCAGATCACTTGAGGTCAGGAGGTCGAGACCAGACCGGCCAATATGGTGAAACCCCATCTCTACTAAAAAATATAAAAAGTAGCTAGGCATGGTGGTGCATGCCTGTAGTCCCAGCTACTCAGGAGGCTGAGGCAGGAGAATCGCTTTAGCACAAGAGGCAGAGGTTGCAGTGAGCCGAGACTGCGAACTGCACTCCAGCCTGGGCGACAGAGCAAGACTCCATCTCAAAAAAAAAAAATAATAATAATAATAATAATAATCAGAACTTTTTAAATATTTTTCAAACATTTCATATGTAGAACTTGTTTTTGATATTACTTTTAAAATTTAAAAAAATTCATGTTTTAAATATCCACTAAGTATCTTCTTAATATCCCTTAGCAAAATATCTCTCTCCCTTCACCCCAAAAATAATCAATGAATTAAGGACGTTCATCTTCCAGTTTACAATAATGTGCTTAATTTGCTCTAGGAAATAAGATAAATTCACAAGTAACAACTAAAAATTGGACCAAAAAAACCTGCCAAACATTACCATTTTTAGTATGCATAAACTATAACTTGTGAATACGCTGCAGTCCTTAAAAAACAATGCTGAAGATTAAGTTAAGGCTCTTGAGATCTAAAAAAAAAAACAATCGCAAAGGAAAATATTTAATGGAAAAACATTCAACAATATAAGAAATGCAAAGCCGTGCACGGTGGCGCACGTCTGTAGCCCCAGCATTTTGGGAGGCTAAAGAGGGAGGATGGCCTAAGCCTAGGAGTTAGATGGTGCAGGGAGTGAGCTACGATTGTGCCACTCACTCCAGCCTGGATGCCAGAGCCAGACCCCATCTCTAAAAAAGAGGAAGAAGTGGGAAAAACATTTTACTAAACAAGTGTCATTCCACATTTTAAGGAAGAAACTACTATACCATGAACAAACCACAACGAGCTGGCTCCCGCCAGCCACCCACCTCCCGCCACCCTAAGGCCTGCCCCTCCTCTAGGCACTGTTCAAGCCCTCCACGCTTCTCAACTGGGTCTCTGCAACAATCTACCTCCGCCTCTGTGCTCACCCCTCACCCTCCAAACTGCATGTGGCCACCACAGAGCTGTCTCTCAACTGAACCTTACTATTCTGGTGCCCAGGAAAAGCCTTTCTAGTCTCCCAGAACTTTTCAGGCTAAAAGGCTCTAGCAGAGCCTACAAGACGCACCCATCCACCTTCCCAGCCAACCCCCAGTGCTGCAGCCCCGACAACTCTCCACGTCCCAAATGCACTTCAGCGACACGGCACACGCCAGGTCTTTCTGCTTTGGGCGCCCTTCTCTTGGGACCCTGCTGGCCTGGCTGACTCTGCAAACTATAGAACTCAGTTCCAAAGGCTCATCTTTGTGAACTATTTTCCTCACAAACATGAGCCAAGGTGTCCCCGGGGACTCTCCTGTGATGGTCTCTCTAATTCTGGATCCTAACAGTTGATTCTCTAGCTTCTTTCCCACACCTGACTGTGGGCTTCTGAATATGTCCACTGTGGTATGTCTTTCATGAAGGTGTTTGTTAATAAATATTTACTGAGCACTCACCACATTCTAGGACTAGGGGCCCCAGCAGTGAACAAAGCAAACAAAAACCCCTGCCCTCACGGAGCTTACATTGGGGCCTCAAGGAGCTTACATTGGGGGAGGACGAGAGAGTGAACCAGACACACACGTCAGGATAGCGGGTATGTAGGGTATTAGGTGTGAAGTGCTCTGGAGAGGGAGCAAGCAGACAGGGTGACAAGTGTGAAGGAGGGCGCAATTTTAAAGGTGGGTAAAGTGGGTGTAAGAAGATGGCCCAGGCACAGAGACTCACTGAAAGTAGGGGAGCAAACCACAGGGACAAAGGGGGCGAGCCTGTCTACAGACAGAGGGTCTCGGGGACAGACAATGTGTTCCCCTCCATTTCTGTACCAACAATGCCTGGCACATAGCTGAGTTCAATAAATAACTAGTGGGTGAATGGTGGCATTGGCTGAGATATCTAAGGTCACAAAGGTGGGGGAAAGATAAACTAACTGTGGCAAACCAACCGAAAAGCTCTTTCCATGTTCACTGGTGACACATAATTGGGCCCTGTACTGGAAAGGCTGGCTGCTCCATGGTTCTTGCATTTGGGGGACAGCTGCATTTGCTGTAAGCAGGCCTGCGAAGATAGATCACTGGCATGCCCACTAACAATCCTGGAAGAGCTTTAGTACACGGAGCCCCCACAGCCAAGCACTTGCTGGTAACTCTGGTGAAGGCATTCTCTCTGCATTGCTAAGTGTCCTATCATCTCCAGACTACACTTGCTGAGAAAGAGACCAAGGAATAAAACCAAATAACTTATATGTGACGTGCGGGTCAGTCACCTGGATTCAAGAAACTACACAACAGAGGTAAAGAGAGCACTGAAGAACCTGAAGAGCAGCTTAGGGGTCACTCATGCATTCTAAATGCAGAAATGACAATCAAGGTGATACTGTGGGAAGCAGCCACCTCTTCTTCATCAGCTCTCATTACTATTTCTATAGACGGCAAATCTGCCCCTCGGGGTCTTGCATGCTGTGGTCCTGAACTTCATGCCTAGAACTATTATAGAAACACCAAAAACAACCATAAGCAGTCCTGAAAACAGTGAATGACAACCAGCTGTTCTCTGTTTGCTTCAACTGGTCCCTGCCAATTAACCGATCCAACAGACAAACACCTGAGTGCCCACTGTGCTAGGCAGTGGGGACACTGGGGCAGCCAGACCATACCAGACTCAAGAAAGCCTTCCTGACCCGAAAGAGCAGCCAGGCCAGCGGCTGCTTCCGGCTCATCCATGTGGTGTTGGCCTCTGCATAAGGCACAGTCTCCCCAGGCAGAGCCATGTCTTCCTTCCGCTACTCTCAGGACAGGACCACAAGGGCCTCTGTACACAGCTGACTGCCTCCTGAGGAAGGACAGGGCATCTACAGAATCAAAGTATAAGGGCCCTCAAAGCCTGCCATACACACAAAATACTGCGATTTCTTTCCCTTCTCACAGAAAAGAGATCAACTGATGAATATGCTAACTTAAGTCTATGTTTCCACCCAAAAGCAGCAAGGGCAACGAAGCACAGCTGCAAGGTGTTTCTGTCCACCTTAAAAAGCAAAAGCCACCGGGCGCGGTGGCTCATGCCTGTAACCCCAGTACATTGGGAGGCTGAGGCAGGCGGATCACTTCAGGTCAAGAGTTCAAGACCAGCCTGGCCAACATGGTGAAACCCCGTCTCTGCTAAAAATACAAAAATTAGCCAGCCATGGTGGCACGCACCTGTAATCCCAGCTACTCAGGAGGCTGAGGCCAGAGAATCACTTGAGCCCCGGAGGCAGAGGTTGCAGTGAGCTGAGATCTTGCCACTGCCTGGGTGACAGAACAAGACTCCATCTCAGACAAAAAAAAAAAAAAAAAAAAAAGCTAGCCCTTCCTCACGCCTAAAACTCTAGTTATAGGTGGAAGAAAAGTTTCTGCTGCTGGCACCTAACTTAGAATACATTGTTGTGGCACAGAAGAGCAAAGAGGTAAGAAGCAACAGAGAACCAAGCGTAATTATTTCAGCACCAGTTTGGGAAAAACTAGAGACTAGAATTTCCTCACCTGACGAATCCATGAGCAACAACAGCAAAAGAGAGCAGGAATTCCCGATGGTAAATTGGCTTAATGCTATGCACACATCCTCAGAGATGTTGACAACCAGGCTTCAGGATGAATTATAAAGTTCCAGTTCTCTGGGACATCAGATGCTCACAGTTACACTGAGCTGTGGGGGAGTGTGCTGATCCCATGCTGTCCACAAAGGTCCTATTTCAAGATGTGGGGTGCAGAGCAACAGCCAGAGCAGCTCTTAAGGTTCTGGGGAACACATGTGTACTTACATTTTTAAAAACATGTTTTTTTGCAACTTATAAATCCCAACACGGGCCCTGGCACAGAGCAAGTACTGGGTAAATGCTTGCTTAAAAGGCATAATCATGGACTTAATGAATGCCAAGCCAAACTGAAATCTCGTTCTGAAGACACGACATGACAGCTCTTCAAAGTGGCAAAATGTCAGGTTTCTCATCTGCTCACAACTGTTCCACCATTCCA
Organism: Homo sapiens; assembly: GCF_000001405.40. NCBI lineage: Eukaryota > Metazoa > Chordata > Mammalia > Primates > Hominidae > Homo > Homo sapiens. The sequence continues at coordinate 84,711,046 of NC_000016.10, read as the reverse complement.
CTCGGCGCTAAAATAAGTGAGTATCACACTCAGAGGGAGGGGCACAATTCATATTTTTGTTGTTGTTCACGCCTAACCTAGACTGGAGATGTAACACTTTGTCCAAAATACGATTTCGTTATTGCTATTCATGCGAAAGGGCTCAACAAGTTAAAACAAAAAAAGCTGTACACAAACCCATGCGGACGACCTGCAACCTGAGCCTGGCTCAGACGGCCTGGGGACCTGCTCACAGGGATCCTTACTCAGTGTCTCTTGGTGGCACCCAGGGTGCCAGGTGATTCTGGTATTAGAAGAGGGCACTCGAGGATCACAAACCTAAAAACGCTGTTAAATCCAATGATTCCAAATTTCTAAAGTTTACTACCAAAAGTACTACAGGAAACATTTAAAATAAGGTAACAAGTCACCTAAGTTTTCCTTAATATTTTCTACGAATATAATCAAGGGACAGATGCTTGTTTTTAAAGGTGCCTCCCCCTCAAAATAAAGGGAATATGTCCCTAAATGACCTTCCCTAACTACTCTATCCAATTACCACTGAGGACACTGAAGGGCTACCTGCCTCACATTAATCTGTCTCAAAAGTCCCCAAAAGAAATGCCCTACTTCTTTCCCCTCAAAGTTATGAGGCTTAAGATGCCAAAATGAGCAGAGAGTAGAGTCCCAGCTATGGAGGAGAGCCTAAAGAATCAAATCCCTGACAACTTTCGAAGCATCTAAGTAAGACCCCTGCACAATCAACTCAACCCAGCAATCTTTTTTTTTTTTTTTTTTCCGAGATGGAGTCTGCTCTGTTGCCCAGGCTAGAGTGCAGTGGCACAGTCTGGCTCACTGCAACCTCTGCCTCCCGGGTTCAAGCGATTCTCTTGCCTAAGCCTCTCAAGTAGCTGGGATTACAGACATGCGCCACCACGCCCGGCTAATTTTTGTATTTTTAGTAGAGATGGGGTTTCAGCATGTTGGCCAGACTGGTCTCAAACTCCTTACCTCAAGTGATCCGTCTACTTCGGTCTCCCAAAGTGCTGGGATTACAGGCGTGAGCCTCGCACCCGGCCTCAACCAGCTATCTTAACACAGAGTTGCTACCAACTTCACTCAGTCCTGAGCTTGGATTACCAAATTCTTTCTCTCTCCTCTCCAGACTCCCGGCTAACCACTTCACCCTACACACCATTTCAGCCACAAATTTATCTGTTTCCCAAACAGGCTGCAGGCTTTGAGACAGTTCCTCTGCACAGTCTCCTCCACATGCCCTTGTCCGTGTGCTTCTCTGCCTGAAAAACTCCAGCTCAAATGTCACCGTTCTACAAGAGACGTCTTCCCAGCTTTGCCCAACATTCAGTCCCACTCTCCTCCTTTTTTGAAACACCTTATACCTAACTCCTGAGTCACGCAACTTCTCTCCACCTCCACGGCACCCTCCGAGTCAAAAGTCCAAGGACCCTGCCCTAAATGATCTCCTTATGGCCACTGCGACCCCGTGAGTCTATTCTTCACTGGGCAGAGTATGATCCCAAAAGGCAATGTGATTATGAGGTTCCATGGTCAAATGTTGTACCACCCCCTCTTCCACACTTTTCTCAGAATAAAGACAGTAACATCTAACAAAGGCTGCAAGGTTGGATGGTGCGTCTGTCCCTCCCCTCCAGCTCTGTGCCCAAGACACACAACTCCTTGCTGAGTTCTCCAAAGTGCTCCAAATTCCCTCCAGCCAAAGGTCCACCACACATGCTGTCCCCACTGTCTCATGCTGTAAACACGTCACTTCCACGGGAACGGTTCTCTGACTTCAGATTGTGTTCCCTTCCTTTGGGAAACATCTCTCAGTTTGGAGTGACGTGTACGTAACTGTGATTATCTGATTAGCAAGCTGTCTTCCTCAATGGACCCATAAACTCCTCCGCGAGAGAAACAATGCCTGTTTTCGCTCATCACTCCCTCCTCAGTGCCTGGTACACAGCAGCCACTCGGTAACTATTTGCTGAATGAATGAACAAACGAATGAATGAATGTTCTTGACTATGTTGTTCACACTTGTGTTACAGGAATTACCACCCTAAAACTGGATGCACCCAGCCATTAGCCTGCTTCTCTCCCTCACTACCCAGCGAACCTCTAAAGCACAGGAATTCTCTCTTCAGCTCTATACTCCTAACGTCCGGCCACCAAAATCTGTGAACAATCACAAAAGATATAAAGTCCTTCATATGTGGTTCTGAAAAAAGTGTCTAGTATTCTACAAATTAATTCTAAACAAAATAGTAAACCACACTTGGAAGCCCCGATTTTGCATTCTATTACAAGTCAGAAGTACTTAAATGTGGTTATCTCTCAGGAGTGGGACCTGAGTTGGGAAGTGTTTTGTTTTTTGCCATTGCAGTACTCTGATGAAACAAAGTGACAGAAGACAAAAACATGATTTTGAAGAAGATGGAGAAAAATTCAGGTGAATTACCCAGTTTCTCATTATTCCCTAGGGCAGGTGACTTACCAATCTCCAACTAATAAAAAGTTTGTCCTCTCATAAATCTAGTGCAAAGGCAATGGATGGACAAGAATCTGAATGTGAATCAGACCTCCTTTTTTGTTTTTTGAGATGGAGTTTCACTCTTTCGTCCAGGCTGGAGTGAAGTGGCGTGATCTTGTCTCACAGCAACCTCTGCCCCCACGGGTTCAAGCTATTCTCCTGCCTCAGCCTTCGGAGCAGCTGGGATTAAAGGTGCCCGCCACCACACTCGGCTAATTTTTGTATTTTTAGCAGAGATGAGGTTTTACCATGTTGGCCAGGATGGTCTCAAACTCCTGACCTCAGGTGATCCACCCACCTCGACCTCCCAAAGTGCTGGGATTACACGCGTGAGCCACCACGCCCAGCCAGACCTCTTTTTACACTATGAACACCGGACAGCATGACTACTACTAAGGGGGTGGAAGTCTTCAAAATATTTCTTATCTTTTCTTTTTTGACGTAAGAGTCTCGCTCTGTCACCCAAGCTGAAGTGCAGTGGCACAATCTCGACTCACTACAATGTCCACCTCCCAGGTTCAAGCGATCCTCCCACCTCAACCTCCCAAGTAGGTGGGACTACAGGAGAGCACCACCATGCCCAGTGAATTTTTGTATTTTTGTAGAGAAAGAGTTTTGCTACGTTGCCCAGGCTGGTCCCAAACTCCTGAGCTTGAGTGATTCGCCTGCCTCAGCCTCCCAAAGTGCTGGGATTACAGGCGTGAGTCACTCACTGCACCTGGCCCAAAATATTTCTTAAGAAAAAAAAAAATTGTTTGGACAACATGTTATAAGTTGTGGCAGCACTTCCACAATCCCCTGCACACTGGATCCTGATAAGTCACTTCAATCTCCAGAATATCTGCTTCATTCCCTGGCAAAATTAGGTAAACCTAAGAAAACTGACTTCAGTGGATGTTTTCAATAATTTTGAAAACAAGGTTTGCTCAATAAAGTTCAGTGACTAGATACAACAGACCATATTATGAAACAACGGAACAACAACAACAAAATACTCCAGTGGAAAAAAGCATAGAAGACACACACCAAACTGACGATTAAGGATCAGAGAGGAAGGGAATGACTTCTACTTTTCACTTTAAATACGTCTGTGCTGTTTTCGTGTCTTAAAAATAGCATGTCTTTATACTAGAAAATAAAATAAACGACTTTATTAAAATGTACCCCACACAAACTTTAGTGAATAGTAACATATTATAGTAACAAATTTTGTAATTAGTAACATTAAAGTTTCTAAATGCACATTTCATTCATTCATTCTGTAAATGTTTATGGAGGAACTACTAAGGGGAAGTCACAGTGTGAAAGATTATGCCTTCATCAGTCTCTTCCAGAAAACCAGTCTGGCAAAGTAGAAAAAGCAAAGGATTTAGAAGTCAAAACACCTGCTTTTAAAAGGTCCTGATGGCCAGCAGCCATTTGACCTCAAGCCACAACCTCTCTGGGTCTTATCTTACTCATCTGTAAAATGGTTATAATAATACAGGACAGAGTTGCTGTAAAGGCTCAAACAAGCTAAGGCACTTTCTAAACTATGCAGTTTATAGAGTTTATAGGCTTCAAATGATGACTACTACAATGCTTAGTATCTCGTAATAAATATGTTTCTCCTTCTCCAATGATCAGATCTACCCAGAAAGCCTACTTCAGGTCTTGAATAAATATATATATAGTCTTGGCCCGGCGCGGTGGCTCACGCCTGTAATCCCAGCACTCTGGGAGGCCGAGGTGGGCAGATCCCGAGGTCAGGAGATGGAGACCATCCTGGCTAACACCGTGAAACCCCGTCTCTACTAAAAATACAAAAAATTAGCTGGGCGTGGTGGCGCACACCTGTATTCCCAGCTACTCCGGAGGCTGAGGCAGGAGAATGGCGTGAACCCGGGAGGCGGAGCTTGCAGTGAGCCGAGATTGCGCCACTGCACTCCAGCCTGGGTGACAGAGGAAGACTTCGTCTCAAAAAATATATATATATAAAAATATATATAAATATAAAAATATAAATAAATATAAATACATATACAAATAAATACATATAAATATATATATAGTCTTTGCAGCCACGTAAGGGAAATTATTACTTAAAATACCAAGAGAAGGGGTATATAGGAACTCTTTGTACTTTTCTCTCAATTTTGCTGTGAACCTAAAACTGCTCTAAAAAATGAAGTATAAAAAAATTGTTTTAATGTATCAGAAGTTTTTTATATTGGGCAGGAATCTCGAAAACCTCTAGAATTGAACTTCATTTTCAAATCCTCTTCTATTTTTAACCAAAACTTCAACATGTCCTATCAAAAGTAAAAAGACTGATACTTGCAGAATGAATAGGGAGGCTAGGCGCGGTGGCTCACACCTGTAATCCCAGTACTTTAGGAAGCTGAAGCAGAAGGGATCCCTTGAGGCCAGGAGTTCAAGACCAGCCTGGGAAACACAGCAAATCCCTGTCTCTACAAAACAACAACAAATTGTTTTTTTCAAAGAATGAGTAGGGATGCTGGGGGCAGTGGCTCATGCCTGTAATCCCAGCACTTTGGGAGGCCAAGGTAGGTGGATCACCTGAGGTGAGGAGTTCCACACCAGCCTGACTAACATGGTGAAACCCCGTTTCTACTAAAAATACAAAAAAATTAGCTGGGCGTGGTAGCAGGCACCTGTAATCCCAGCTACTTGAGAGACTGAGGCAGGAGAATCGCTTGAATCTGGGAGGTAGAGGCTGCAGTGAACCCAGATCGCACCACTGCATTCCAGCCTGGGCAACAGAGCAAGACTGTCTCAAAAAAAAAAAAAAAAAAAAAAAAGCAAGCAAGGGCATGATTATGTCTGTACTCAACATACACAAATGGAAAGGAGCACATCTTCATAAAACAAAGACAAATGGGAAAACAAAAATCTAGCACCATCAGATCAGGAAGAAAGAAAGAGGGAAAGGGACGGAGGGAGGAGTCAGCTAGATGTAAAAATCAGGTTCAAAAGGCACAGGAGTGGCTGGGTGTGGTGGCTCACGCCTATAATCCCAGCACTTTGGGAGGCCGAGGTGGGCGGATCGTGAGGTCAGGAGATGGAGACCATCCTGGCTAACATGGTGAAACCCAGTCTCTACTAAAAATACAAACAATTAGCTGGGCATGGTGGCGGGTGCCTGTAGTCCCAGCTACTCAGGAGGCTGAGGCAGGAGAATCACTTGAACCCGGGAGGCAGAAGTTGCAGTGAGACAAGATACCGCCAATGCACTCCAGCCTGGGCGACAGAGCGAGACTCCGTCTCAAAAAAAAAAACAAACAAAAAAAACAAGGCACAGGAGTGGGGACACTCACCTTTTTATTAGGGATACTCTCACTTCAAAATGGACTGGTTTTGAGACTCCTGAGCCATAGAGTACAGGCTTAAGGAGATGTCCCTCCAGCTAATACCAGAAAAATAAACTGAGAATGGATCCGAAGAATGACAACCGATAAGGCTGTACACACAAGCCCAACGGGGAGGAGACTGAGGACTCTTAGGAGCAGCCACCATTACAGCGCAGACGGTAGCAGGTGCTGGGCCCGCACTCCACATGCACATTCTCCTAACAATTCTCATGTGAGCCCAAAAGGGAAAGTCGAGGAATTCAGGCTGTAACAGCCCCAAACCACATTTCTATCTCAACACCTTACCTGCCCTATTCCAGGAGAGGGCAACCAGGGCATGATGTTTCAAGACGGGACAGAATGGCAGTGCTGGTAGAGCTTCTGGGTTCTCAAGTCATCTGATGAAAATGGGATCATGGCCCAGGAGCTTTCAAATAGCCAGAAAATAGCCAGTTCAGAAAAAATCTAGGATCTGAAGATTCTACATCGAGGTTTATGATAAATTCTACATTTTCTGATCCTTGAAACAAATACTATACACATACCCCAAGGGCTACCTTTATTTTCCTACACTAATTCTTCATCCAGCCTGTATTGACAGAAATGGTCAAAGAAAGACCTTTTGGGAGAACACTTCAATAAACAGGAAAACTGCAGTCCAAGCACATACAAGTCTCTGGAAATGAACATCTACACTGCTGAAGTGGCACTAAAGTGACAAATGACAGTAATCCAATGGCCCAAGGCCAGCAAATTCCATTGCAAACAGATTTATCTGTTTTGTGCGATGGTGATTCTTGCATGTGTGGCAGTAAATAGAAAAGTAACAGCCTAATTACAAATTCAAAAGCAAGCTCTTCCCACTACGTTTCATATTTTGGTATAGTACCAGTAATAAGTGTCCTCAGCAACCACGTTTAATGTGCCACCTGAATACCAGGAACCATTAACAGGAAGTACCTACATGTCTGAAATTATATCTTTAAAAACAAACAAACAAACAAAAAACCGAAACAAAAACCCTGATGTAACTAATTCAATTGGAGATGATACCACTTTTCTCAATTACTTGAATGTTATATTCTGAGCACAGCACAGTGCAACGTGCCGCTTAGGCTTGGCATTAAACAGCAATCATTAAGCTTCGTAATCCTTTTCTCCTTTAAGTTTTCCTATGTGAATCACTGCTTAAATCCTATCAGTTCCACGTAACAGAACACTGGAATACATGTCCTAACTTTTGCTTTAGTGAGGAATTTAGAATGTGGTAGGCCCGCTTAGTATTCACTGGAATTTCAGTGCGCTGTGCTCTCAATGAGATGGGCTCAAGAGCATGATGGTGAGGTCCTGGTACGGCGCGGCTGCTCAGGCCATCTGTACAAACCACTAAGGCGACCACTGGCTCACAAACTTCTCAGGCCATCTGTACAAACCACTAAGGTGACCACTGGCTCACAAACTTAAAACATCTACTCTTAGGACATGTTTAAATAGCTTGCTGTCACTATGCAAAGGAAAACTGTTATCTCCAAATGCCCTGTCAACATTTCAAACAATTGTATTTACTTCAGCTGCTCATTACTTGAGATTCTAATAAAAATGTATCTCTTTTAAGAATTAACACTAATCCAGCTGTTGGCTAGAAACAGATATTCAGCAATACAGTAACATTCAGCCATATGCTAGAGGGGGAATCCAAGACTTTCCATCATGTAAAATGTGGAGGATCTGCTATTACAAGCTAAAAAAGAGACTGGGGTGAGTCTATGCAGAGACAAGGACAGAAGCCAACTGCATGACATTCAAATTGGGTGTAGGAAGCATTATTGTGGAGATTTCACTATAAATGACATCAATAATCACAAATATTTTTTCGGTGTAAGGCAAAACTAATAGCTTCAAATTAATTACCCCAAATAATTTAACCGGTCCCCTCAGTGACAAGGATATTCACTTGGACCTACACTTCAACTGTTAAAGTTCATTTATTTGTCTTTGCTAAAATGCTGAGTTACCGGTCTCAAAATGTTTCCAAATTCTTCACTATTACACTTCAATACAGGTAACAGGGATCAACCAACACTTTCTAATATTTGGAAATAAGGTTATTAACCTATAAACTTTTTTATTTATTTTGAGATGGAGTTTCGCTCTTTTTTTTTTTTTTTTTTTTGAGACGGGAGTCTTGCTCTGTCGCCCAGGCTGGAGTGCAGTGGCATGATCTCGGCTCACTGCAACCTCCGCCTCCCGGGTTCAAGCGATTCTCCTGCCTCAGCCTCCCAAGTACCTGGGACTACAGGCGAGCTTCACCACACTCGGCTAATTTTTGTATTTTTAGTAGAGACAGGGTCTCACTATATTGGTCAGGCTGATCTCGAACCCCTGACCTCAAGTGATCCACCCACCTGCGCCTCCCAAAGTGCTGGGATTACAGGCACGAGCCACCGCGCTGGCCTGTAAACATTTTTAAACTGTAACTTTTTCCACCTCCCATTATTCTCAGTGACAAATTTAACTTTAACAAGTCAATTTTAAAATAAGACCTTCAATTTGCAGTTGTTATTCCCAACATAAACAAGTAATATACATACCATGACGCTTAATATCTGATAAACAATCAGTATTTGCTGAATGAATGAATGGCCATTAAGGCTGCAAGACTCTTAGGACAGTAGGCAACCAAGTAAAACAAATTTATTAAAACGCTCAGAATGACTGGAGCAGGAACCAGTAACTAAATCCTGTCATACATGATTCCATTACTTGTTTGCATTACTATTCTTTTAAAATGAAAATTATGAGAAATCGGCCAGGCGCAGTAGTGGCTCACGCCTATAATCCCAGCACTTTGAGAGGCCGAGGCGGGTGGATCACCTGAGCTCAGGAGTTTGAGACCAGCCTGATCAACATGGTGAAACCCGTCTTTAATAAAAATACAAAAAATTAGCCAGGCATGGTGGTGGGCGCCTGTAATCCCAGCTACTTGGGAGGCTGAGGCAGGAGAATCGCTTGAACCCGGGAGGCAGAGGTTGCAGTGGGCCGAGATCATGCCACTGCACTCCAGCCTGGGCGACAGAGCAAGACTCCCGTCTCAAAAAAAAAAAAAAAAAAAAAAAAAAAAGAGCGAAACTCCATCTCAAAATAAATAAAAAAGTTTATAGGTTAATAACCACAGCACTCCAGCCTGGGCAACAAGAGCCAAATTCCAACTCAAAAAAAAAAAAAAAAAGAAGAAGAAAATTATGAGAAATCAAACTATTTCCTTTGCTACTTTCTCCATGCTAAAACTTAAAAGCATTTAAATCATACTTTAAAAGAATAAACCCAAAGTGTTGCTAACATTTACGTTCCGCCAACTTTTGCTACTCCAATTTTCTAAAGATGTGTATAACGCTTTAGACTGTTGTATAAAACGTAAATACTGGGACAATGAATGCAAACGAAATTACAATTAAGTTTACATATTATCCATCCCCATTAATTAACATTTCAATCAACCTTGAATTGTGATTGATGCTTATTAAATAAAGGAAGTGAGCTATGCCTAAAGATGCTTTCTTCATGTCAAAATCACAAGGAATATTACACATTAATTCATAATGAGCCTTTTACTTGTTCATACCAATTCTAATAAGCTAGTTAATTAGGATTTAAGTTGAGAAAAAAGCAAATATCAAATCTTTTTTTTTAACAGAAAGGTCTAAACAAAGCTAAATACACCAAATCTCTTAAAATCTTTGGGCTATACATTTGTAAAAATTATTCAACTACTGATCCCTTTTTTGGCGCAAAGACCTACACTACTTACAAAAGTAAATGAATAAGGGAACAAAACGTTAAAGGGGGAAATTCTGATGCAAACTAAACTACAGCTAATTTAACAAAATTGAAGCTTGTCGTAAGATCTAATTTTTTAAAAAGTTTTCGCATTTTAGATTCCACAACACGCATTCATTACAATAGTTCCGAAAATCATGTTTCAAAAGAGGTGTAGTCAGATTGACTTCATCTGCAGAAGGGCAACAAAACCCAATTGCTCATGAAGGGTTATGATTTTACTCGCAATCAGTTTCCCGAATGGCTACTTTGTTTCATTTCCCCATATTTAATACAAATACACAATGAGATGGTTTAAAAGTGTGCAACAATTTATAGGGACCAGATGTCAACAAATTAGCAGTCTAAAGCAAGGCTGACAAATAATACATCATGCCGATTTTTGTCCAGAATAATTATAATGGCGGAGGGGGGAGAAGATGTGAGAGAAGGGGTGGGAGAGGGGAATAAGAGCTTAACTCTACACGCACATCTCCCAAAAAGAGCTCTTTCTTTCCACCACGGGATTATTGTAAAGGGCCCCCAAGCTTTAGCTACTGTTCAGGCAGGGTGCGTTAGTTGTCAGCCTGGCTGGGATGGATTCGTGCAAGGGATGTCACTCAAACGCAAGTGAAAGTACGGTCCTTGCGACTTATTTCGAGTTTTCTTTGCAACAGCAGCCCAAGGCCGCTACTCTGCTACTTCTATCTAAAAAACAGAAAATCGGCAACCCCCGCATCATCAATCAAGCTGAGAAAGGAAGCTCTTGGGGCAAAGGGGCAACAGGGCACCCCCAAATCTCTGAGGCTCGCTCCAGGCAGAGGCAGCAACCTGAGCTGCTCTGGGGCCCCTGCGCTCCAGGGGACTCCCGGAGCCCCCGGGCCGCCTCCCCCGGCCGGCGCGGCGGGGAGGGCCCCACTCCACACCCCGGGCTCGCCCCGCGGTCCAGCCCCAGGGAGGTTAACCCCTTCGGCGCCCTCCACGCCCTCCCCAAGCGGGGCCCGGAGCCCCCGCCCTTCGACCTCCCCGGGACTAGGGGGTCCGGGTGGCTCAGGGGACGAAGGCGCGGCGGGCGCGGAGGCGGCGGGTGGCTCCGGCCTAGGCCCGGGCAGCGTGTCCCAGCGCCCTCCCCCACTCCCACACGCTCGCTCCGGGCAGGGCGCGGACGCCCGCCCGCCGCGGCGTCCGCCCGCCCGGGGCTCGGGCCCCTTCCGGCCGAAGGCGCAGACCGGCGGCTACCTGCGGGCTGTGGAGGGCCATGGCTGCCCGTTTCATTGGGACTCCGCGATCCTCCGGCTGCTCACGCTGCTTCCCCCGCCGCCGCCATCTTCTCGCCCGCACATACACACTCGCATCGGCCGCCGCGCCTGCGCACTGGCCGCGCGCCGCGGGGCGCGGGGAGGCCGGCCCGCTGCTGCGCCTGCGCGGCCGACAGGTGGGCGTGCGCCTGCCGGGCCGCGGACATCCCCTGCCCCGCCTGGAGCCTGCCGGACTCTGAGCCCCGCGACCCTCGGGCGGAAGCGGCCGGGCGGCTGCACACCAGGAGCCCGCCGAGGCCTGGCTGTGGATCCGGAAGGGGAGAGGGCAGGCAGGTAGAGGTGGCAACGCCAAGGCGCCGGCGGGCCCGGCTCCTCACCTACTGGGGGCCACCTGGGCCCCCGGAGCCCGGGAGTCGCGGGCTGAGGTCGGCCTGGGGCCCACGAGCCGCCCTCAGCGTACCTGGGCCCGGGCCTCGGGAGTGTTCGCATTAGATCCCCGAGGAGGGTCTGGTTTATGAAGATCCCGTTGCCGCGCATTCATTCATTTGTTCACTCTTCATTCACTCCCCAAGTCCTGCCTGGGCGCCTGGGCCACGCCTTTGGCTAGGCATTAGGGGAAAAAAGCAAAACAGACAAAAACAAAACGTAGGGCATAAAAGCACGCGTAAAGTGCTTGACATGAGGCCTGGCAAGTAGCAAACACTCAGCAAGTGCTACGTGTTGCACACGTGCGTGCGTGTGCACGGGCAAACCAGCCTTGGGGGTCGTTGGTTCATTCATTATTAAGAAACAGGGGCCCCTGCCTAACTGCACTGTTTTCCAGCCAGTGGGTCCACCCTTGGGTTTTGGCCCCTTTTCTAGCTGTGATTTCAGACAAGCGACTTTCCTTCCCTAAGCCTTGGTTTCCTCACCTGTGAATAAGACAAATATGTCATAACGCGTAAGATTTCTGTGAGGTTCAAATTAGATTAACGTGAGCACACTGGCCAAGAGAATAGTCAATAAAAATTGGCTACTGGGATTGTTATTAATAACCATTACTATTGGTTTCATTTATTCAACAAACACCTACAGAGAGTCTGCTCTTGCTAGACCGTACACTGAGCAGAGGAGATGAACAGGAAGATCCATTCCCACGTTACATAAAATAGGGAGCCTGGTCTCTTCATAAATGGGATGCCATGAAAAATATAAGTGGGCCAGGCGCAGCGGCTCACACCCGGAATCCCACACATTGGGAGGCCGAGGCGGGCGGATCACTTGAAGTCAGGAGTTGGAGACCAGCCTGGCTAATATGATGAAACCCCAACTCTACTAAAAATACAAAAATTGGTGGGATGTAGTGTGGCACACCAGGCGTCCCAGCTACTCAGGAGGCTGAGGTGGGAGGATCACTTGAACCCCGGAGACGGAGGTTGCGGTGAGCCGAGATCGTGCCACTGCACTCCAGCCTGGGTGACAGAGCGAGTCTCTGTCTCAAAAAAAAAAAAAGAAAGAAAGAAAGAAAGAAAAGAAAAGAAAAATATAAGTGGTAGGGAGGGGTTGTTCCAAAATAGAAGAGCTAGAAAACATAACCAAATACAATGTGTCATCTTGCTTGGATCCTGATATGTCTTTTAAGCTGGTTTTACTATTTGTTGACAATTGGAGACATTTGAATATGGATTGGATATGGGTGATCTTCGTGAATTATTGGTAATTTTATAGTGTAATAATTATACTGTGCTCACTGAGAGAATGTCCTTATTGTGAGGAGATGCATTCTGAAGAGTTGAGGAGTGAAGGCCATAATGCCTGTAAACTATTGTTTAATGGTTCAACAAAAGATAAAATCATGTACACACATAAACATTCAGGGAGAGACAGCAAATATGGCAAAATGTTTACTATTGTTGGCTCTAAGTAGTGCTATATATTTCAGCTTTTCTCTATGTTTGAAAATTTTTATAACAAAAAATTGGGGAAAACAATACAATATAGTGTCTGTGCTATAATTTTAACCATGGAAAAGCGATATCTGCACTTGGATAGAAACTGGGGGACGTGAAAACTCACTAGTGATTTATGGTTGTCTCTCTGGCTCGGTGCGGTGGCTCACACCTGTAATCTCAGCACTTTGGAAGGCTGAGGTGGGTGGATCACCTGAGGTCGGGAGTTCAAGACCAGCCTGATCAACATGGTGAAGCCCCGTCTCTACTAAAAATACAAAAATTAGTCGGGCGTGGTGGCAGGCGCCTGTAATCCCAGCTACTCAGGAGGCTGAGGCAGAAGAATCGCTTGAACCCGGGAGGCAGAGGTTGCAGTGAGCCGAGATGGCACCATTGCACTCCAGCCTGGACAACAAGAGTGAAACTCTGTCTCAAAAAAAAAAAAAAAAAAAAACATATATATATATATATATATATATATATATATATATATATATATATAGTTGTTTGTCTGATTTTTATCATACAGTTGCTTGAACAACAAATAAAAGTGATAATAAACAAAAGATCCCAGGCCAGGCACGGTGGCTCACGCCTGTAATCCCAGCACTTTGGGAGGCTGAGGCGGGTGGATCACCTGAGGTCAAAAGTTCGAGACTAGCCTGGCCAACATGGTGAAACCCCGTCTCTACTAAAAATACAAAAATTAGCTGGGCATGGTGGCGGGCACCTGTAATCCCAGCTACCTGGGGGGCCTAGGCAGGAAAATTGCTTGAACCCGGGAGGCGGAGGTTGCAGTGAGCTGAGATCACACCATCTCACTCCAGCCTGGGGGACAAAAGTGAGACTTTGTCTCACAAATAAATAAATATATAAATAAATAAATAAAAAAGATCCCAGTCTTCATTTTCAAATAATTCACATAGATATGAACACATACCTTCAGTACAAGGAAATAGATGTTAAAAGGAAGCTATGAACAAGCACTATGGCCTTCAGTGCTTAGCAGAGCCTGGTGATATACTTCGGCTGTGTCCCCACCCAAATCTCATCTTGGATTGTAATAATCCCCACGTGTCAAGAGTGGGGCCACGTGGTGATAATTGAATCATTGGCGTGGTTTTCCCCATACTGTTCTCATGGTAGTGAGTAAGTCTCACAAGATCTAATGTTTGTGTGTGTGTGTGTGTGTGTGTGTGTGTGTGTGGTTTTTTTGGTTTGTTTGGTTGTTTTTTTGTTTTTGTTTTTGTTTTTGTTTTTGAGACAGTCTTGCTCTGTCGCCCAGGCTGGAGTGCAGTGGCAGGATCTCAGCTCACCGTAACCTCCGCCTTCTGGGTTCAAGTGATTCTCCTGCCTCAGCTTCTGGAGTAGCTGGGACTACAGGCATGTGACACCACGCCCGGCTAATTTTCGTATTTTTAGTAGAGATGGGGTTTCACCATGATGGCCAGGCTGGTCTTGAACTCCTGACCTCAAGTGATCTGCCCACGTCAGCCTCCCAAAGTGCTGGGAATACAGGCGTGAGCCACCACGCCCAGCCTCTAATGGTTTTACAAATGAGAGTTCCCCTGCACAAGCTCTCTTGCCTGCCGCCATGTTAAGCGTGACTTTGCTCCTCATTTGCCTTCCGCCATGATTGTGAGGCCTCCCTTGCCATGTGGAACTGTGAGTCAATTAAACCTCTTTGCTTTATAAATTACCTAGCTTGGGTATGTATGTCTTTATTAGCAGCATGACAACCGACTAATACACCTGGTATCTCCCATGAGTCTGGGGACAGTGGCCTAGGCCTGGAGTCAAGACAGGCCCAAGTTCAAATCTGGAATCCCCCACTCACTAGCTGTGTGAACCTGGGCAAGTTACCTACATTTTCTGTGAATCTTTTGTAGAAGGTGGTGTGATGGGCAGAATAATGCCCCTCCCCTCAAAGATGTCCATGCCCCAACCTCAGAACCTGTGGATATATTACTTTACATGGTAAAAGGAACATTGCAAATGTGGTAATGTTAAAGGCTTTGAGATGGATTATCCTGGGAAATAACCTAATTATGACATGACTGGTGGGTCCCAAGTAATCACAAGGGTCCTTATGAGGGAAAGAAGGAGGGGCAAGAGAGTCAGGTCACAAGGAGATGTGAAAATAGAAGCAGAAAGAGAGAGGGAGAGATTTGAAGATGCTGCGCTGCTGGTGCCACGAGCCAAGGAATGTGGGTGGCCTCTAGGAGCTGGAAAAGGGCAAACATTTTCTGCTAGTGCTGCCAGAAGGAACATAGCCTTGCTTACAGCTTGATTTAGCCCCGTGAGTCTTCTGAGCTACAGAACTTTAAAACAAAAAACTTGTGTTGATTTAAGCCGGTAAATTTTGTTCCAGCAACAATAGGAAACTATGACAGGGGAAGCAACACTACCTGTTCTATAAGCCTGTTGCTAGGAGGAGATGAAGTAATGGAGCTAGCACATGGAGTGTGCTGCCTGGTGCTTTTATTTTTTTATTTTTTTGAGACGGAATTTCACTTTGTCGCCCAGGCTGGAGTACAGTGGCATGATCTCAGCTCGCTGCAACCTCCGCCTCCAGGGTTCAAACGATTCTTCTGCCTCAGCCTCCCAAGTAGCCGAGATTGCAGGCATGCACCACCATGCCCAGCTAATTTTTGTATTTTTAGTAGAGACAGCGTTTCACTCTGTTGGCCAGGCTGGTCTCAAACTCCTGACCTCAGGTGATCCACCCGCCTCGGCATCCCAAAATGCTGAGATTACAGGCATGAGCCACCATGCCCGGTGCCTGGTGCTTTTAAACTACCATTCAACAAATGGTAAGTGAGTTTTCTCATTGTCCAGTTTGGGCATAAGGCTTCCCCAAGGAGGTAACATTTGAGCTAGATCTTGATGAGTAGGTGTTTCCCAAGAGTTCTTTTCTGGAACTCTGAAAGTATATAGGAGTGCCACTAACTGTGTGGCCTTAAGCAAGTAACTAGTGTCTCTGGACCTCAGTTTCCTCATCTGCAAAATGGGAGAAATAATACCTCCCAGGGATATCGTGAAAAGGAGAATAAGATAACAGAGGCAAATTGCTTAGCAAAATGTCCGGCATACAGCAAGGGCTTAATAAATGGTGAAAATTGTCATTATTACTCCCAGAGTTCTTAGAAGGGAAAGTGAGGTTTGCACAGGAAGGGCTCAGTGCATTTGACAGCATTTATTGCCAATTATAAAATTCAAGCTTTCTTTCAAACAAAAATTAGAATTTGGAGACACTTGTATCCACCATTGTGAGATGGACAGCTACCCAATTCTTAAAGACTTTTCTGATAAGATTGGTGGTGATAGTAATAAATGTAACTTTTTTTCAACTTTTAGATTCAGGAGGTACATGTGCAGGTTTGTTACCTGGGTATACTGCATGATGCTGAGATTTGGGGTAGGAATGATCTCGCCCCCCAGGTACTGAGCATAGTACCCACTGTTAGTTGTTCAACGCTTGCCCCCCTCCCTCCCTTCCCCCTCTAGTAGTCGCTAGTGTCTATTGTTGCCATCTTTATGTCTGTAATTAAAAAAAAAAAATAGAATAGAATGCGTCAACATTTGGAAGATCTGCATAACTCAGCGAATCAATGTTTTCCAAATGACTGATGTTATAAAATTGCACATGAGTAAAAGATCCATTCAAAGTACAAGATAGGACAGTGGGGCCAGACACAATGGCTAATGCTTGTAATCCGAGGCTGGTCTCAAACTCCTGAGCTCAAGCAATCCTTTCTCCTCAGTCTCCCACAGTGCTGGGATTACAGGTGTGAGCCACTGCTCCTGGCCCAGACTTTTTAAAAATTTGTAAAAATACAAAATAATGCCACTCCTCTCACCAAAATGTTTTGTTTTGGAGTATAGTTGTTTTTCACTAAAATGATGTTATTTATGTTAACATTTAATGAAAGTATTATATTTTAAATAAATTGTTATTATTTTGTAATGTTTTAGTTTTTACTTCTAATATGGTAAACCACAACAGATACAACCTCTGTCTCCTGTGTTCAAGCGATTCTCCTGCCTCGGCCTCCTGAATAGCTGGGATTACAGGTGCGTGAGCCACCACGCCCGGCTAGTTTTTGTATTTTTAGTAGAGATAGGGTTTCACCATGTTGGTCAGGCTGGTCTCGAACTCCTGACCTCGTGATCCTCCCACCTCGGCCTCCCAAAGTGCTGGAATTACAGGCGTGAGCCACCGCACTGGCTCTTTTTTTTTTTTTTTTTTTCTCATTTAATTCTTTAGCTTTGCCAACAGGAGGTCAGCCAACAATAATTTTTAAGAATGTGAAGAGATCAGCGACCAAGAAGTTTGAGAACTCCAGCTCTCCCGTGCCAGCAAGTGCCCACTTTAAATGTGCCCTCTGTCTGCCTGGAACTTTCCCCAGGGAGGCTCAACCCTTCATTCACTCAGGTTTCTGTTAATGGTCGTCTCTTCCTAAAGGACCCTCCTCACTCCTTTGCCCATAATGGGTGCCCCACCCTGTGCCCTCCTGCTATCCAGGTTAATTTCCCACAGCACTCACAAACTTTCTTTCAAACAAAAATTAGAATTTGGGGAAACTTGTAGCTGACATTTGGGGAAACTAGCTGACATTCTATGGCATATTAATTTTGTGTGTTTATTGTCTTTTTCTTCCACTAGAATCAGGCCTGGCGCAGTGGCTCATGCCTGTAATCCCAGTACTTTGGGAGGCTAAGGCAGGTGGATCACTTAAGCCCAGGAGTTCAAGACTAGCCTGGCTAACATGGCAAAACACCGTCCGTCTCTACTAAAAAATACAAAAATCCACTGGACATGGTGGCAGGTACCTGTAATCCCAGCTACTCAGGAGGCTGAGGCAGGAGGATTGCTTGAACCTGGGGGGTGGAGGTTGCAGTGAGCCGAGATCATACCACTCCACTCCAGTATGGGTAACAGAGCAACTGTCTCAAAATAATAATAATAATAATAAAAAATATAAGCTCCATGAAGCCAGGTACTTGGTCTTGTGTTCTGATATTTTTGCAGGACCTAGAACAGTTCCAGGCATTTTGGGCAGCTGCTTACAAAACATTTGTTGAATGAATGAAGGAAGGAATGACCTCATTTAATTCTTGGAAAACCCAGTAAGGCAGATCCTATTGGTTTCCCCGTTTTAAGGTGGGGGAAATGGAAAAAAGTCAAGTGACTTGCCTAACATCATGTCACTTATAAGTGGGGCAGATTGGGATAAAAAAGATTGGCCAAATGCAGAGTTCAAAACTGAGTCAAATCAAGTACTATGAAAAGACATTTTTGAGATAATTTAGAGAATGTAGGTGAGGCCTGGAAAATACCAAGAAACTATTTACCAATACATGTGTTAGGTATGGTCATGACATTGTGGTTTATATAAGAAAATACTCCTGGTTTTAAGAAGTGGGCTCTGAAATATGTAGGGAATGAAATGACGTGAGGTATGGGATTTGCTTTAAAGTATCTGAGGACAAAACAGGAAGGAAAAAGGAAGTGACGAAGCAAACGTTGCAAAATCTTGGTAGCTGTTGAACCTGATATATGGATGTCTTTGTTAGTCCCGGTCCTCTGAGAAACAGGGACCAAGAGGTGGAGAAGGAAAAGGCCCAGGAGGGAAAGAGGAAGGGTGGGCAGAGATGGGAGATTGGCCGGCAGAGTGTGGGGCTGGCCCCTGCAGAGGAGAGCAGGAAGGCAGAGGGCTGGGAGGAAGAGGGTTTCACTGTAGGGCAGTTTTCTTCTTTTTTTTCTTTTTCTTTTTTTTTTTTTTTGAGGCGGAGTCTCTCTCTGTCGCCCAGGCTGGAGTGCAGTGGCACTCTCTGCTCACTGCAAGCTCCGCCTCCCAGGTTCGCGCCATTCTCCTGGCTCAGCCTCCCAAGTAGCTGGGACTACAGGTGCCCGCCACCATGCCTGGCTAATTTTTTGCATTTTTAGTAGAGACGGGGTTTCGCCGTGTTAGCCAGGATGGTCTCGATCTCCTGACCTCATGATCCACCCGCCTTGGCCTCCCAAAGTGCTGGGATTACAGGCGTGAGCCACCGCGCCCGGCCTGTAGGGCAGTTTTCTAAAAGTTTCAGCAAGGTCATCAGGAGTCCTTGGGACACAACTGCACGTAAGAGAAGTCCCGTATGTCCCAGAAAACAACCAACCTAGTCGCTGTTTCCTGTGGCTGCTGTAACAACCACAAACTGGAAGGCTTAAAGCAACACAAATGTATTCTCACAGCTCTGGAGGTCAGAGTCCAAAACCCAGGTGTTGGCACGGCCATGCTCCCTCCGGAGGCTCCAAGGAGGACGCTGCTGCAGGCCCGTCTCCCAGCTTCTGGTGCAGCCGGCCACCCTTGGTGATCCTCAGCTGGTAGCATCATGGCTCCAGTCTCTGCCTCAGTCATCACCTGCCTTCTTTTCTGTTTGGCTCTGTCTCTGTCATGTAATAAAACCAACACAGACAATTTTTCCTCCAAAGCTGGATCAAATTTCAGGTGGTCCATTGGAGCCCTGAATTACAGCTTGCTCTGCGGGCCGTGTTATCTGAAATCTGTTTATCATTAAACACCAACATCAAAGTCAGCTCAGCAATCTGCCCTAGGAGGGAGGGAGGACCCGTGGAGGGAGCACAGAGCTCTGCCTCTCATCTGAGCCTCACTCGGATCTCTTTGCTCGTTGATAGCATGTTGAATGGACTAGAACACCCACTTTTTTTTTCTTCTAATTCTTTTACTCTTTTATTTTTGGTGGCAGAACTCACATAGCTGACGTCTCTTCTTAAGTGAGGATCTATATAATGCAGTTCCTCACTTAAACATTATACTCATTTCCCGTGTCTCTGCCCCTCCCCAGACAGTGGGCCAAATTTAGGCACCATCATCTTCAAAGACTTTGGCCAGGAGAAAAAACTGCTAAAGAAAGGCAATAAGAAAAAAATAAAAGACACATTATTGATCCATTCTTCCTTTTTGTTTTTTTAGATAGGGTCTCACTCTGTCACCCAGGCTGGAGTGCAGTGGCGCCATCTCAGCTCACTGCAATCTCCGCCTCCTGGGCTCAAGCAATTCTCGTGCCTCAACCTCCAGAGCAACTGAGACTACAGGTACACAGAACCACACCCAGTTAATTTTGTTTACTTTTTGTGGAGACAGGGTCTCCCTATGTTGCCCCGCTGGTCTTGAACTCCTGGGCTCAAGTGATCCACCTACCTAGGCCTCCCAAAGTGCTGGGATTACAGGCATGAGTCACTATGCCTGGCCTGGGTACCAGTCTTAATTCAGCCCCCCAAGTCACTCTTAAGACCTTGGAGAAATCACTAATTTTCTGTAACTTGGTTCCTACATAAGGAAGAAAGCCCTGTTTGTCCTGCATGCTTCGTTGAGTAGACACTGAGATCAACGGAGATGATGAAGGTGGTGGCAACTTCAGTCATGTGAAATGATACATTGGCTGCAATGTGTTCATATTATCAATGAGTTGAAGTGGGTGACATTATTATTTAATGCTCCTTCATTTTTCTTGCTCCAGTCACCCTTACAAACCCTTCCTTTTCCCACTCATCCAAGAATTTCTTCTGTTTCATCAATTTTCCTGTGATGTAGGTTTTTTCTTCTTTGCCAGACCACCCAGAGAACAAAAGCATTCTTTCAATCTTCTTTAGCCTACAAAAAAAGTATATTTTTCTACTCTAAAGGCAAGATTGATTATTTTAACAGAATTATACAATTTTGAAGAAAAAAATAATCTGTGACCCCAGCATTCTAGCACAAACACTGATTGTTTGATTTTTTAAAGCTTGTTGTTAACATGAATGTGATGGGAATCTACAAAATAGACTGTGGAGTCCGAGGGTCCAAGCTCAGTTCCCAGCTCTCCCGCTTAGCGGCAGGAAGCTGTGGGCAAGGCTGCTCCTGGAAACCTTTTACTTCATTTGTAATATGGGGGTAATGATGCCTTTCACACAGGTCACTGTCAGGATTAAATGAGACGGTGTGCATCAGCTATGGTAGGGTAAACTGAGGTACATGGAGAAGCATCAGCAAAGCTACCCCAGGAAGCTGATACCAAGGGTCCCTTCAAAGGGTGTGGCATAGAGGAATGGAGAGAAGGGTGATCCAGGAGGAATGGAGAGAAGGGTGATCCAGGAAAAACCGGGATAGTTCACCCAGCACTTCCAAGGTGCCAGGGTGGATTCGCAGCTGAGTTTCCTGGGAGAGTGAGGGAGTCTTGGCAGAGATGGCGCTGGAGAATTGGGCAGTGGTCTGGTCACATAATATTGTGAACCATTTACTGAGCACCGTGTGTCAAGCACTCAGATTAAACCCTTTATATGCATCACTCATTCATTTTCTCCTGTATTTATTTATTTGACAAAAGCGTGGTGAACGGGCCAGGAGTGGGGACTCATGCCTGTAATCCCAGCACTTTGGGAGGCTGAAGTGGGCAGATCACTTGAGATCAGGAGTTCAAGACCAGCCTGACCAACATGGTGAAACCCTGTCTCTACTAAAAATACAAAAAATTAGCTGGGTATGGTGGTGCATGCCTGTAATCCCAGCTACTCAGGAGTCTGAGGCATGAGAATCACTTGAACCCAGGAGGTGGAGGTTGCAGTGAGCTGAGATCACACCACTACACTCCAGTCTGGGTAACGGGGCGAGAGGCCATCTCATAAAAATAAATAAATAAAAATTAAAAAGTGTGGTGAGCTCCTACTGTATGGAAATATTAGATGCCAAAGATGTGAGGGTAAGTTGAACAAAATTCCTGTGTTGTCGAGTCACTGCTTCCATCTGTCTCCATTGTCACGTGCCTTCTTTCCTGTTTGGCTCTGTCTCTACGTCACGCCATAAAACCAGCACAGACAATTTTTCCTCCAGAGCTGAATCAGACTTCAGGTGGTCCGTCTGAGCCCTGAATTATGGCTCCCTCTGTGCAGACGTGTTATCTGAAACCTGTTTATCCTTAAACACCAACATCAAACTCAGCTCAGCAACCTGCCCTAGGAGGGAGGGAAGGCACATGGGGGGAACATGGATTAGCCTGTAAACTAAGGAATGAGGAGGGACAGGAGCAGACGTAGGTTTGAACAAGATCTCTCTGGCTGCCGTGTGAAGAGTAGCCTGGGAGGGATAAGGGCGAAACAGTAGGATATTGCACTTAGTAGGATGTTACTAGAATCTCCGCCGGTCAACTAAGAATGTACACAGTATGTATATAAATGTGGACGTATTCAGATTCTGTATGCATGTTTTAGTCCATTTTCGTACTGCTATGAAGAAATACCTAAGACTGGGTACTTTATTAAGAAAAAGAAGTTTAGACTGGGTGTGATGGCTCATGCCTCTAATCCCAGCACTTTGGGAGGCTGAGGTGGGAGGATCACCTGAGGTCAGGAGTTCGAGACCAGCCTGGCCAAAATGGCGAAACTCTGTCTCTACTAAAAACACAAAAATTAGCCAGGCATCATGGTGGCACACACCTGTAATCCCAGCTACTCGGGAGACTGAGGCAGGAGAATCGCTTGAACCCGGGAGGCAGAGGTTGCAGTAAGCCAAGATCGTGCCACTGCACTCCAGCCTTGGCAACAGAGTGAGATGCCATCTCAAAAAAAAGAAAGGAAGGAAGGAAGAAAAAAAAAACAGGTTTAATGGACTCACAGTTCCACATGGCTGGGGAGGCCTCATAAGCATGGCGGAAGGTGAAGGAGAAGCAAAGGCACATCTTACATGGTGGCAGGCAAGAGAGCATGTGCAGGGGAACTGCCCCTTATAAAACCATCAGATCTCAGGAAACTTATTCACTGTGATGAGAACAGCACAGGAAAAACCTACCCCCATGATTCAATCACCTCCCACTGCATCCCTCCCACGACACATGCGGATTATGGGAGCTACAATTCAAGATGAGATTTGGGTGGGGACACAGCTAAACCATATCAATGCACATATATACACGCTTGCTCTCAGCACATACTGTTAGACAGGTAGCTTGTTTCCAGCATCTCACCATCATTGACAGCACTGCCGTGAAGTGTTTATTTCTTAACAGATCTTTCCCCGATTTTATTATATTAAGTAAGTAAATAAGCAATGACTTGGTGGATGGTGAGCATTTTACATCTTACCCCGCAAGGGTTTCCCAACAGCTGTCCCTCTTCAGAAAGGAGGCCACTTAATGCTGATGAAATTGGACAGGAGATGAATTTTTTTTTTTTTTTTGGTCCCGTTGCATGCTGGTGAGTCAAAGCCACAGGGTTTCCTGGTTCTGCTCTAACGATCATGATCTTGCTCTTGTAGTTCTTGCTTTCCATTGTAAGCCTCAACACAAGGCATGATCCCTGACATGTGACGAGAGCTCAACCAATACTTGATGAATTAATCATGAGCTGAGGCCCCAGAGAACATCTGAATGGTAGCTAAAGTCTCTGGACAAGGAGGCGAATGGGCTTCATACCCTCAAAAACCATCTTTATGTTTTCTCCTGAGTAGAGATTCCCTTTCCCCACCCCATGACAAACTAGGTTTTCCAGATTGAAGAGATTACCCAGCTAGTGACAGACACCTTGAATCTTTCCTGGATTCTAGCAACATCCTAGTAAGTGTGATATCCTACAATTTTTTTTTTTTTTTTTTTTTTTTTTTTTTTTTTTGTAGACAGAGTCTCTCTCTGTCACCCAGGCTGAAGTGCAGTGGTGCAATCTCGCCACACTGCAACCTCTGCCTCCCGGGTTCAAGTTATTCTCCCACCTCAGCCTCCCTAGTAGCTGAAATTACAGGCACCTGCGACCATGCCCGGCCTAATTTTTTGTATTTTTAGTAGCGACGGGGTTTCATCATATTGGTCAGGCTGGTCTCGAACTCCTGACCTCAGGTGATCTGCCAACCTCGGCCTCCCAAAGTGCTGGGATTACAGTCAGGAGCCACCGCGCCTGGCCTAATGTTTTATGATTTTTTTCAGAATGATATTTTCAAGATTTTGATCTTCTGGGATTTCAACATTTGGGATTATGGCATTCTGGATTGTGTCTTTTGGGATTATGATCCCAATCCACTCAAGGTCACCTTGAAGATTTCTTCCTGAGTTTAACAGCCCTGATCTGTCTCTGAGAGATTAGAAGTGGCTGCCTGTTCTCTGACACTCTTGGCATTGAGAGGTGGAGTCTATTTTCTGTCCCCTAGAAGCTGAGCCAGCCCTGTGACTTGCTTTGACCAATAGCGTGCAGTGGAGGTGATGCTGTGTCAACTCCAGGGCTGGGCCTTTGTCTTGTGTGCTCAGGATGTTCCCTCGTGGAACCCAGCCCTCAGCTGCATGGAGAGGCCATGTAGAGGAGAACTAAGGTGCTTAGCCTGGTCACGACCCCAGATGATGGCAACCCCAGCTGTCTCCAGAGAAAAGAACTGCCCAGTTGAGCCTAGCCAACCCACAATATTGTGACAGATAATAAATGGTGGTTGTTGCCAGGTCACTGTGGCTCACGCTTGTAATCCCAGCATTTTGAGAAGCCGAGGTAGGAGAATTGCTTGAGCCCAGGAGTTCAAGACCAGACTGAGCAACATAGCAAAACCTTTTCTCTACAAAAAATTTAAAAGTTAGCTGGGTATGGTGGTATGCACCTGTGGTCCCAGCTACTGGGGCGGCTGAGGTAGGAGGATCCCTTGAGCCTGGAAGGTTGAGGCTACAGTGAGCCATGATCACACCATCGCACTCCAGCCTGGGCAACAGAGTGAGACCCTGACTCAAAAAAAAAAAATTTCATGCCAATATGTAGTGAACGCATGACAGAGATTCACTTACCTCATTAATGAGAGCCCCACCAGGGCAGTCAAGTTGCTCCAAAGGAAGATACAAGAGACTGAAGTATACACACATGCTCCTTGACTTACAATAGGGTTATGTTCCAAAAAGCCAATGGTAAGTTGAAAATATCTTAAGTCAAAAATGAATTTAATGCCCCAATAAATCTATCGTAAATTCAAAAATTTGTTAAGTCAAACTGTTGTAAGTCAGAGGTGGTCTGTACAGTTAATGAAAGAAAGAATGCTGGAATAAAATTGTGAAGTATAACACAAGAAGGTTAACGCCCTACAAGGCAATAAAATGACAACATTGGAAATTATCTTTTCTTTCAGATGGAAATACTTTCCATCTGTATGGAACAAAAAATATTCTATGAGCTAACATCTAACTTTGCAGAGTCTAGGTCCTAAAAGTAAATAGTAAGTTTAAAAAATTACATTTCTTGGCTGGGCATGATGCCTCATGCCTGTGATCCCAGCACTTTGGGAGGCCAAAGTGGGCAGATCACCTGAGGTTAGGAGTTTGAGACCAGCCTGGCCAATATGGCAAAACCCCACCTCTACTAAGAGTACAAAAATTAGCCGGGCGTGGTAGTGGGTCCCTGTAATCTCAGCTACTAGGGAGGCTGAGGCAGGAAAGTCGTTTGAACCCAGGAGGCAGAGGCTGCAGTGAGCCGAGATCGCGCCACTGTACTCCAGACTAGGCAACAGAGCAAGACTCTGTCTCAAAAAAAATTACATTTCTCTAGAGCAGCAAAGTACTATGGCCTGTGGGCCAAATCTGGCCCTCTACCTGTTATTATAAATAAGGTTAGAACACAGGCATACCCATCTGTTTATATATTGCCCATAGCTGCTTTTTCACTACCATAGCAGAGTTGAGTCACTGCAACAGAAACCGTCTTGCCCACGAAGTCTAAAATCTTGACCATCTGACCCTTTTCAGGAAGCTTTCTAACCCTTGCCCCAGAAGATCTCAGAGCTGTGGTTCTTAAAGTGTGGTCCCTGGACCGGCAGCGTTAGCCCCCAAGGGCTATGAGAAAGGTAAATACTGGGGCTGACTTCAGGCCCACTGAATCGGATACACCAGGAGCAGGCCAGTACTCCGGGTTTAGCACGTCCTCCAGGGATCCTGACGTGCACTCAAGTTGGAGAAGCTCTGCCTTTGAGAGTCAGATGACTGTTGGGCTGACTTGAAGACAATGCAATAATTTGGTATGACATCTAAAGGGCATTCAGTATCCCAAGTTTGGTATAAATTTTCTTTATATGGCACATGGGGGAAATGGAGGATAGTGAGATTGAGGAGCTAGGCTGATGGCAGATCATGCCAAGGCAGGAAGTTCAACTGTCATCTTTCCACTGATGGCTTTGGCACAGGAATGGTGATCAGATTTTCATTTTAGAAAGACCTCTCTGTTTACATCCGTTGGGATGTAAACCAGACGGAACTAAGGGTGGGAAGATGGTGAGGTTAGAGAAGCACAAAAAGATGGGAAGGTTCGTAGCTAGTTAAGAGCCTGTACCTGAAATCCTGAATCCAGGCTGGAGATACTTTGTGAACTCCTGGATACAGCTATGCCTGAAGCTAGAGAAAATACATAGACTTCCCAATGAAGCCATCCAGAACAGGATGCTGCAGTGGAGATCAGTAACAGTAGAAGGCATGGAAAGATATTAAGGTCACGGAATCTGCCAAATGATATGAATGGTGAGAGACAGGAAATGTTATCCCAGTGGTATATTTCTGATTTGTTGGATTGGGTAGAAAGGGGCAGTCTAGGAGGAGTGCCTAACTCCACGGAGAACCTCATCTCTCACTGCTCTCAGCCTGATAGGAGACAGAGAGACACGCAAATGACCCCCAGCCAGGGGAAGGACTGCTCTTCTGCGGGCACTGCGGGCATGCCTTTCTCTCCTCCTTCATTTGCATCTGCATGCCTTTGTGGAAAGCATAGCAGGGAGGTGAAGTCCACACCCCTCCAGGCAAAGCAGCACAGTGGGTAAAATCCCCTGGCTTCCTTTAGGAACTTTAAATACGCAAGTCAAAGAGCCTCTGAGGCACCCCACGGATGACTATCAGATCATTCTTCCCTTTTATACATCCTATATTGCATCGCTTCATCACAAAGTCAGATTGATTATCTATCTATCTATCTATCTATCTATCTATCTATCTATCTATCTATCTATAATTTTGAGACAGGGTCTCATGTGTCCCCCTGGCTGGAGTGCAGTGGTGTGATCGTAGCTCACTGCAGCCTTGACCTCCTGGGGTCAAGCAATCCTCCCACCTCAGCCTCCTCCCCATAGCTGAGACTACAGGCATATGCCACCACAACCAGCTAATATTTTATTTATTTATTTATTTATTGGAGATAAGGTGTCATTATGTTGCCCAGGCTGGTGTTGAACTCCTGGGCTCAAGCGATCCTCCTGCCTCAGCCTCCCAAGGTGCTGTGATTGCAGGCATGAGTCACTGCTGCCGACCTCCCCTGGCTTCTGTGTTAAATGCTCCTCGCCTTAAATTCTATTAAGCTTGACAAGCTATTGAAATTTCTCTGAGTCTCTGTTTCTTTATCAGTAATTTTGTGATAACAAGACGCACCTCCCAGCACAGTAGCGAGGAATACATATTGAGATATGAAATGCGAAGTGCTTTTCGAGATGCCTGCTACATGGTAAGTGTTTAATCAGGGGTGGATATTACGATGTTCATTCTGGGACCTCCAAACAGACAAACATTTTTTGACTAACTGGCTTGTGACATGGATTGTTTCTTTCCAATTTAAAATGCTTTCTTTTAATGAAAGTTTAAAAAAATAATAAAAGCGTAATTACCACTTGATAGGTAATTACTATGCTGGGCTTGTGCTGTGATTAAATAAAACCGATTTGCATATAAGATCATGTTGCTGCTGGTAGCACTACTGATACATTAGTTATACAATAATTTTAAATTTAACTTCATGGGAAGATTCTAGGGATGACAGCCTCCTGGGAGAAGGGGAGGGGCATGCTACCACCTGTCATCGGCTGCCACCATGAGTACCATGATCTTGTACAAATTGGAGGAAGGGTTGAGGCATGGGACTGAGGCTCCATCTTACTTTAAAAAATTCAGTTTGTTTTAATTCTTTCCAAATATAGAAGCAATACACACTCAGTGTGGTAAAGAGGGTAAAACAAGGTGGAAAGAAGGGAAAAAAACCGATTTATTTTAAAAGACAAACACTGTTGGCTTTTTGGTATAATTTCCAAATCTTTCTTCTTGATATTTTGAATGTAATGCTGAGAATGTCATTTAGTTCAATGATGCACATAATATACCCAAGGCAGTGTCTGGCACTTCGTTCCTGCTCAGGAAAATGAAAGTGTTATTATTATTATTACAGGATATCTGATTTTTGTATTCTGGCCTTTCTATGGCACAAGTGCAATAATTTTTCCATTTGATTAAAATGAAAAAACCCTCATAAACATTATTTTAAGCAATTGTACCATATTCTGTTCTGTACAAGTTTCATGCATATAAATTATTTCAAATTGTTTGCTCTTATAAATATTAATGAACATCTTTATGCACAAGGTCTTCTCTGTGTTCAAGTTATCACATTATATTAGTCAGGGTTCTCCAGAGAAACAGAACCATTAGGAGATAAATGTATAGAAAGGCGGGGGTCATGCCTATAATCCCAGCACATTGGGAGACCAAGGAAAGGAGGATTGCTTGAGCCCAGGAGTTTGAGACCAGCCTAGGCAACACAGTGAGTCCTCCATCTTTACAAAAAAAAATGTTTAAAAATTAGCCAGGTGTGGTGGTGCACGCCTATAGTCCCAGCTACTCGGAAGGCCGAGGTGGGAGGATCACTTGAGCTCACAAGGATGAGGCCGTAGTGAGCCCATGTGACGGTACCACTGTACGCCAGTCTGGGCGACAGAGCAAGACTCTGTCTCAAAAAAAAAAAAAAAAAGAGAGAGAGAGAGAGATTGACTGTAAGGAATTGGCTCACATGATTACAGAGGCTGAGAAGTTCCAGGATCTGCCCTCTGCAAGCTGGAGAGCCAGGAAAGCAGGTGGTGTAGTTCCTGTTCCAGTCTAAAGGCTCGAAAACCAGGAGAGCAGATGATGTAAGTTACAGTCCAAGTGCGAGAGAAGACCAATGTCCCACCTCAAAGACAGGTGGGGAGAGAGAATTCTCCCTTTTGTTCTATTTAGGCCTCCCACTGATTGGATGAGGTCCACCCACATTAGGAGGACAGTCTGCTTTCCAGAGTCCACTGACTCAGGTGTTCCTCTTGTCCAGAAATGCCCTCACAGACACACCAGAGTAAGCTGTGTCCAGACATTTCGGCACCTTGATTCAGTCAAGTTGACAAGTGAAATTAACCATCATATACATGATTCCTTGCACTCTTGTCCAGTTCTAAAATTGAGGATTGAGACCAGCCATGGGCAACATGGTGAGACTCCACCTCTACAAAAAGTACAAAAATAGCCAGGTGTGGCAATTCATGCCTGTGGGCTCAGCTACTCAGGAGCCTGAGGTAGGAGGATCACTTGAGCCTAGGAGCTTGAGGTTGTAGTGAGCTATGATCGTGCCACTGCACTCCAGCCTGGGTGACAGAGGTGACCCTATCTCAAAACAAAACAAAACAAATTGAGGATTCTGAGATGGAGGACCCTTTGTGGAAGTCTGTTTGGAACCTATAATAGAGCTACAGGACTCAATGTCTGCTTCAACTGTGGGGACATGCATGCTCTGGTGGAAGTATGAGTTGGTTTAACTGTTCTGGGAGTCTGACAATATGCTTCAAAAACATTTAAATGAAATAGTCTAGATTGGACTTTTGCTTGCAAATGACAGAAGTGCATCTCTAGGGTAAGGAAAAAGAAATGTTATCATCTGTTGGACCTAAAAGTCTAGGGTTTCAGGCATGGCTGGATCCAGGGTTCAAATGATGTCAATGGGACTCCGTGTTACTTTCTCCTTCTTACATCCTTGCTTTCTTTTGGGTTAGCTCCATTCTTAGGCCAACTCTTCTCTCATGGTGATTAGATAGTGCTAGAAGCAGTCTAACAACATCCTTTTTGTGGCATCCCCAGCGGAAACAGCATTTCTTTCACCAACTATACAAACAGATGACCCAAAACAAAGGCTCATTTGGACTGACCTGAGTTATGTCCAGGTCTAGACCATTCTTCCTGCTAGGAAGATTTAATGCTTTGATTGCCTGGGCTTGGGTCCACAGAGTAAATGAAATTCCACCAGTAAAAGTGTGAATCCTGCCTCGAGATGTCAGAGAAAATGATGCTCTGTCAGCAAAACAATGTCCTGCACATTCTCTGAGCTTCCAAATTTATTGAGATATAATTCGCATACCATAAAGACTGCATGCTCAGCCTTTTAGAGTATATATTCAGTAGCTTTTAGTATATTCACAGAATTGTTCAACCATCAGTACTATCTAATTCCAAAACATTGTCATCATCTCCCCATAAAACTCTGCACCCATTAACAGTCACTCCCCTTTCTTCCATCTCCCAGCCCCTGGCAGCCACAAATCTACTTTCTGTCTCTATGGATTTACCTGTTCTGGACATTTCATACAACTGGAGTCACACAATATGTGTTCTTTTGTGTCTGGCTTCTTTCGCTTAGTATGATACTTCCAAGGTTCCTGGTTTGTAGCGTGTATCAGAACTTCCTTCCTTCTCATGATGCAATAATATTTTATTGTATGGAGAGACCACATTTTTGTTGTCTATTCATCAAATTGATGGACATTTTGTTTTCTCCCACTTTTGTCTACTGTGAATAATGCTGTTATGAACATTTGTGTACAGTTTTTTTGTGGACATGCATTTTCATTTCCCTTGAGCATATCCCTAGGAATGGAATAACTGGGTGGTAGGGTAACGCATTGTTGGCCTTTTTGAGGAGCTGCCAGACTGTCTCCCCCAGCGGCCGCACCACTGTTCCCATTACATTCCGATGAACAGAGCAGACGGGTTCCAATTTCTCCACATCCTCACCAACACTTGCTATTATCTATCTTTGGTTCTAGCCCTCCTAGTCCCTGTGACGTGGTCTCTTATTGTGGTTTCATTTGCCTTTCCCTAATAACAGCCTGGGACTTTCCTTTTCCTGCCTGGTGACGGCTAAAGTTGGGATAAAGCCCTGCACATGAGTCTCGGTTTATGCGTATGTGCTGGCTTTTGTGCACAGCCAATAGTGAGAATTTGACCCTAGTGACTTCAGTGCACAAGGATTTGCCCTAGACTGGTGTCTGCAACAAAACGCCATAAGCTGAGTAGCTTATAAACAACAGAAATTTATTACTCACAGCTCTGGAGGCTGGAAGTCCAAGATCAAGGCTCCAGGAAATTCAGGTGAGGGCTTTCTGGTTCATAGATGGCTCCATCTTTCTATGTGCTCACATGGTTGGAGGTTAAGGGGTCTCTCTCAGGCATATATATACAGAGAGAGAGAGAGAGAAAGAGAGAGAAAGTGAGAAAGTCTTGCTCTGTTGCCCAGGCTGGAGTGCAGGGGCGCACACACGGCTCACTGCAGCCCTGGCCTCCCAGGCTCAAGCAATCCTCCAGTCTCTGGCTCCCGAGTAGCTGGGACTACTGGGACTGCGGGCATGTGCCACCACACCCAACTAATTTTTTTTTTTTTTGAGTCAGAATTTCCCTCTTGTTGCCTAGGCTGGAGTGCAGTGGCGAAATCTCAGCTCACTGCAACCTCTGCCTCCCGGGTTCAAGTGATCCTCCTGCCTCAGGCTCCTGAGTAGCTGGGATTATAGGCACCTGCCACCATACCTGGCTAATTTTTGTATTTTTAGTAGAGATGGGGTTTCACCATGTTGGCCAGGCTGGTCTCAAACTCCTGACCTCAGGTGATCTGCCTGCCTCGGCCTCCCAAAGTGCTGGGATTACAGGCGTGAGCTACCGCACCCAGCCACACCCAACTAATTAAAAAAAAAACTATATATATATATATAGTTTTTTTTTTTTTTTTTAGAAATGGGGTCTTGCTATATTGCCCAAGTTGGTCTCAAACTCCTGGGCTCAAGCCATCCTCCCACCTCGGCCTCCCAAAGTGCTGGGATTACAGGCTTGAGCCACTGTGCCCGGCCCTCAGGCCTTTCTTATAAGGGCACTAATCCCATGATGAGGGCTCCAGTCTCATGCCCTAATCACCTGGCAAAGGCTCCACCTCTTTACACCATCACCTCGGGGGTTAGGATTTCAACCTAGGAATTTGGGGGAGGACACAAACTTTTAGACCCATAGCAATTGTATCTCCCAAAAACAGACTATGAGATTGCATGCAGGGAATTGGTTGGGGAATGTGCTCTGAGAATCAACACCTGCCAGGGCTGCGGGGAACAGGATTGAGCAGAGGGAGAAGGTAAACTGAGGTTTTATGGACAGCCCTGAACCTGGGATGGCCCTCAGAGGTGTCACATATTGGAGAAA
Organism: Homo sapiens; assembly: GCF_000001405.40. Lineage (NCBI taxonomy): Eukaryota > Metazoa > Chordata > Mammalia > Primates > Hominidae > Homo > Homo sapiens. The sequence continues at coordinate 84,678,876 of NC_000016.10, read as the reverse complement.
AGAGGCTGAGCTCTGAACTCCCGTGTTGGCCAGACATGGCATGGGAGCTTTCCCTGGGAGGAGGGCATCCCTGGGTAAGGCAGTTCCTTTGGCCAGGGGAAATGCCCAGTGAGAGACTCAGCCACAAACTGTCAGGGGCAATGTTCCCGGCAGCTGGGAGAATGAGCACTGCAGTCTTTTTTTTTTTTTTTTTTTTTTTCCTGGAGCCAGTCTCGCTCTGTTGCCCAGGCCGGAGTGCAGTGGCACAATCTCGGTTCACTGCAACCTCTGCCTCCTGGGTTCAAGCGATGCTTGTGCCTCAGCCTCCCGAGTTGCTCGGACTACAGGCATGAGCCGCCATGCCCGGCTAATTTTTGTATTTTTAGTAGAGACGGGGTTTCACCATGTTGGCCAGGCTGGTCTCGAACTCCTGACCTCAAATGATCTGCGCACTTCAGCCTCCCAAAGTGCCAGGATTACAGGCATAAGCCACCGTGCCTGGCCATGCACTGCAGTCTTGAAGGGTGGGGGCAGGGACGATGCCCCTGGGTTCTGTACTGTCCACCCCTTGCACTGTTAGATCACTTGTTTAATACACTAAGTTCAACCTACATGGAAACAGCTTGTTATGAGCTGAATTTTTTGTTCCCTGCACATTTCAAATGAAGTTCTAACTCCCAGGACCTCAGAAATGTGCCTGCATTTGAACATAGGGTCTTTAAGGAGGTGATTAAATGAGAATGAGGTCACATGAGCCCTAATCCAATACAACCGGTGTCCTTACAAGAAGAGGCGATTAGGACACAGACACACACAGAGGGAAGACCACGTGAGGACACGGGGAGAAGACGGCCATCTGCAAGCCAAGGAGAGAAACCAACCACGCCGACCTTGATCTCACACATCCAGGCTCCAGAAATGTGAGAAAATAGGTTTCCGTTGTTTAAGCCTCCCAGTCTGTCATGCTTTGTTATGGCAGCCCCGGGAAACAAATACACAGTCCCTCCAGGATCCCGGCTGGGAAATTTACTAGAGGAAAGAAAGTTCATGGAACCAACCCAGCTGTCTGGGGGCCACAGCTGATATTCTTCTCCATCCTCTACTAGGGTCCCCTCACCCTGACCCAGGCCCTCTGTTGGTCCCAGCAGGGTAACCTGGAACTGGGGGGTGACTCAGATTCTCATCCTTGGAGGGTCTGAACCCCTGGCCATCATGCCTTTTGCAGGCTGTGGCTGCTGCTGTTGCAATCTCTACGGAAGCTAAGCAGAGGAGGTCTGAGAGAGCCCCCCCCGTTCTGTGTGTAATAGCAGCCCTGCTGCCTCCTGCTGCTGCATCCCAGCCTGCAGACTGCTTCCATGAGGAGCCAGAAGTGACCAGGAGGAAGCAGAGCTTCAAGTTGAATGGGACCTCTCTGCATCTCTTGGTGGAAACATGAACTCTTCGGAGAAACTGCATCTTTAGACCTCCAGAGCGAAGGTGGCAGGAGTGGGAGGCACACCTCCTACGTGGTCATCGAGAACACACTCAGCAGGGCCGCACCTCCGGCCATCCCTTTGTTCCTAGACTAATGCTTTCTCCATTTTAGGAACACCGCATGCTATGTTGGTCGTTGATTTAGGGGGTATGTTACATTTCAGGAGGTGGTGCCCCAAAGTCTCAGAAACAAAAGAAAATTCGTGTAAAAGTAGACCACACAGTTCACAACCACACTGTTTAAGGTTCAGTTGTGTGTGTGTTTATATATAGACAGATAGTTTAGAGACGGGGCTTTGATCTGTTGTACAAGTTGGAATGTCTCTAGGCTGCCACGTTTACTGTGCTTTCAAAAGATCTTTCTATCACCTTATCACACTGGCAGCTTCTAGGCGGTAGAGTGATGGGACCGGGAATCCCAAGGTTATATGATCACCTTCTTATCTCCTCCTCCTCTTCTGCTGCTGCTTTTTTTTTTTTTTTTTTTTTCCTGTATAGACAGGGTTTCACCATGTTGCCCAGGCTGGTCTTGAACTCAGCCCAGACTGGGCTCAAGGGATCCTCCTGCCTCAGCCTCCCAAGTGCTGGGATTGTAGGTGTGAGCCAGCAGCACCCGGCCATACCTTCTCTTCTGTAAAGTGGGTCTCTTGTCCCAAGGTGTTGTTACGCAGGATCCCACGTCAGTGAATTAAACGCTGTGAAAGCCATCAGCTAGAGGTTCTGCAGAGACCCTGTGGGCAAGGGCAAACTATACCTGGAACAGTGTCAGTTCGGGGCAACATGATCTGCTGAGCCTTACAGGGTAGAAGGGGCCCAGTGGAACCAACTGGCCACCGAGTGGCAGGTGGGTCTCGAGGAATGGTGCCATATGGGCAGCTCAGCATTGCTCTGTGTTGGGGGTGGGAGCAGTTAGGTGAGCCGTGGTGCGTGTGCTGCTGAGCCCGGGCACAGCCCCCATCCCTGCTACCTCGGCTATTCTGTTCATGTGCCCACTGTACCAGCAGTGGGGTGGTAATTTCAGAGGCTGGCTGACATCTATGGGCAAAATCATCCTGCTTACTTAGTCGCTGAGTGCTTCTTGCATGGTGAATGTTCTCCAGTGAACATTAACACGGATTCAAAGATCTTCACACTCCGGGCCCATGTGAGTGAGCCCATCCACATGTCTCTTCTCCAGTCCTCCCTGTCCTAGACACTGTTTTTCTTCCAGGTTTCTGACCAAGCAGAAAAGCCATTGGCCCTGCCCATGGATCTATGTACATATTTACGTGTAACTGTATGCATATGTGTATGTGTGCATGGCTTTATGTATATGTGCCTGCATATGTGTATGTGTATGGATATGTGTATGGATATGGATATGTGTATGTGTGCATGCATTTATATATGTGCATGTGCATGCATGTGTATGTATATGCATATGTGCACGTGTATGTATATATGTATGTATGCATACATATATGTGCATGTGTATTATATGTATATGTGTGTATTTTGTGTGTATGCATATGCATGTACATATGTATATGTACATGTATATATATGTTCTAATCTCAACTCACTTCTCTCTCCATGTAAAGTGGGTGAGCAGGTATGTGAGGCAAAGCCCTGCCTCTTGGGAGGAGCTGCCCTCACTGCTGTCTTCTAGGGTTCGGTCCAGTTCCTGTTGTGTGTTCCCTGAGTCTGTTCTGTGGAAGTTGTACTAGTCAGATTTCTCCAGAGAAACAGACCAATAAAATGTGTGTGCATGTGTGCGTGTGTGCATGCGTGTGTGTGCGTGCATGCCTGTGTGTTTGCATGTGTGTGCATGTGTGTGCATGCCTGTGTTTGTGTGTGTGTGTGTGTGCGCGCATGCGTGTGCACGTGGACAACTCTTGAACGATGCAGGGGTTGGGGCACTGACCCCCTGCACAGTCAAAAATTTTAGTATGACTTTTGGCTCCCCCAAAACTTAACTACTAATAGCCTACTGTTGACCAGAAGTCTAACCAATAACATAAACAGTCGATTAACACGTTTTATATGTGACATGTATTATATACTGTATTCTTACAATAAAGTGACCCAGAGAAAAGAAACATTATTAAGAAAATCATAAGGCACGGTGGCTCATGCCTGTAATCCCAACGCTTTGGAAGGCCAGGGTGGGAGGATCGCTTGAGTCCAGGAGTCTGAGACCAGTCTGGGCAACATAGTGAGACCCCATCTCTACAAAAATGTTTTAAAATTAGCCAGGTGTGATGGTGTGTGCCTGTAGTCCCAGGTACTCGGGTGGCTGAGGTGGGAGGATCACTTGAGCCTAGGAGTTTGCAGCTACAGTGAGCTGTGATTACACCACTGCACTCCAGCCTGACTCTATCTCTTAAAAAAAAAGAAAGAGAAAATATATTTATTATTCATTAAGTAGAAATGGATCATCACGAAGGTCTTCATCTTGGTTGCCTTCATGTTGCATAGACTGAGGAGAAGAAGGAAGAGGAGGGGTTGGTTTTGCTGTCTCAGGGGCGACAGAAACAAAAGAAAATTCGTGTAAAAGTGGACCACGCAGTTCATACGCATATTATTCAAGGATCAATTGTGTGCGTGTTTATATACAGATAGATAGATAGTTGAGAGATGGAGCAAGGCTCCGTCGTACAAGCTGGAGTGCAGTGGCTCAATCACAGCTCACTATAGCCTTCAACTCCTGGGCTCAAGCGATCCTTCCACCTCAGCCTCCGGAGTAGCTAGGACTATAGGCACAGGCCACCATGGCCAGATGCGCGCACACACACATGCACACACACAGTGAGAGGGAGAGACAGAGAGAATGACTTTAAGTCAGCTGGCAGGCTGGAGACCCAGGGAAGAGCTGATGTTGCAGCTGATGTCTGAAGGCTGTCTGCTGCTCCCTCTTGCTCAGGAAACTCAGAGTTTATTCTCTTACGGCCTACAACCGATTGGAAAAGGCCCACCCACATACTGGAGGGCAATCTCAAAATCCATCAGTTTAAATGTTAATCCCATCCAAAAACACTTTCACAGAAACATCTACAATAATGTTCAAACACACAGCCGTGTGCCACGGCCCAGCCAAGTTACAAGCAAACTTAACCACTACAGATGCATGAACCAAATCAAGATTTTAGATCTGCAAAATCAAAAGCCAGGCCTTGGGCTGGGCTCCGTGGCTCACACCTGTAATCCCAGCACTTTGGGAGGCCGAGGAGGGCCGATCACTTGAGGTCGGGAGTTTGAGACCAGCCTGGCCAACATGGTGAAATCTCGTCTCTACTAAAAATACAAAAATTAGCCTGGCATGGTGGCAGGCGCCTATAGTCCCAGCTACTCGGGAGGTTGAGGCAGGAGAATCACTTGAACCCAGGAGGTGGAGGTTGCAGTGCACTCTAACCTGGGTGACAGAGCAGGACTCCATCTGAAAAAGAAAGAAAAAAGAAAATAAAAGAAATATGAACGTGTTCTCTAATGTTGAGTCTCCCAGAGGGGGAATGTATCTCCAGAGCTCCCCAAATGTTTCCTGACCACAAACTCCTTTAGGCAGCTGCTTAAAGGACCTCAGGCAGGTCCTTTAGGCAGACCAGGGCTCTGCAGATCACACCCAGAGGAGCGCTAATCTCCAACCATCTTATCCCATAGTGTGAGGAACTGAAATTGAACAAGATGAAGCCCTGGCCCAGGTGCACGTGACAGAGCCAAGGCTGCAACTCACACTCCCTGACTTATAGCCCCGTGCTTGGTCCACATCACAGAGACATGCTTTAGGCCCCATCTAAATACAGGAGATGCTGAGTGAGGCCTTGCTGGAGGCCCATTAATCATGGGCCTTATATTGGAATCCAGGCCTCTTGAATTTCAGCTTGGAGCATAAAAAGGCCCACAACACTGGTACAGTCAGAAATACAGAACCGCACTTAGGAGTTATGTATTTTTAGCACCTTTAGATGCCTGCAAGAGTGGGGCTGGGGCCCCTGGGGGGATGAATCACACTATTGCAGCATACCTGGTAAAAGGATCCCATCCGAACAGAGCATGAGGCTCTGAGCATGCTCTGAGCACACAGCCAGCGGATGCTGGACACCAGTTAAAGGGTTGGGCCATGCCACAGCCTTCCTGCTGCCATCAACAGGAAGGGCACAGAGGAGGTGACTTTCTCAGGGAGGCAACAGGTGCATGCCCCTGCAGAGGCTGACTCCAAGGCCTTTCCCAGACTTCCCAAGGCAGAAGATTCAGACCCGGCTGTGCTTAATCTGAAAGCTGCCCCTTGGTTCAGGTTTCGGCCGGAGCAAGCCAGGCACAGCTGTTGGCTATGGGCAGGGACTCATAGCTTAGGTAGGTCTGTGGGTGGAGAATGGAGACAGATACCTTTGGAGAACAGTGGTTCTCCGACTTGAGCAGGCATCAGAATCACCAGGAGAGGGCCAGGCACGGTGGCTCGCGCCTGTAATCCCAGCACTCTGGGAGGCCAAGGTGGGTGGATCACTTGAGGTCAGGAGTTCAAGACCAGCCTGGCCAACTTGGTGAATCCCACCTCACCCACCCCTCCCCTCCACGTCTCTACTAAAAATACAAAAATTGGCTGGGCGCGGTGGCGCACGCCTGTAATCCCAGCTACTTGGAAGGCTGAAGCAGGAGAATCGCTTGAACCTGGGAGGTGGAGGTGGAGGTTGCAGGGAGCAGAAATCACGCCACCGCACTCCAGCCTGGGCAACAGGGCAAGACTCCGTCTCAAAAAAAAAAAAAAAAAAAAGAATCACTGGGAGGGCTTGTAAACATTGTAAACACACGCATTGGCAGGCCCCCAGCCCAGGAGTGGCTGATTCAGCTGGTCTGGGGGTGGACCTGGCAGTTTGCATTGCTAAGTTCCCACTGTCACGGCCGCTGCTGGTCTAGGGACCGCATTTTCAGGACTGCTGCTCTAGCGCGCCCCCTGGAGGATGCCCTGAGCTCTGCTCTCACGCAGACTTGAGATGAATGTTGCCTCTAGTCTCACCGTTTTAACCCGTTTTAGAATCTAAGCAGGGAGGTTGAATTCTGCCTCTCAACCTGTACTGTCTAGGAGACCAATACACAGAACTCCGAGAATGGAGGGAAATATTGCTCTAATATTTTAAACAACTTGAGATATCATTCACATACCATACATTTCACCCATTCAAAGTGTACGATTCCATTTTTTGTACAGTCACAGATGCGTGCGACCATCACCCAGTTTTAGAACATTTTCATCACCACAAAGATAAATACCGTGCCCTTGAGCTGTTGCTCCCCATCCTTCCTCGTCCCCACCCCAGCCCTAAGCATCCACGAATCTACTTTGTCTCTATGAATTTGCCTATTCTGACGAATTCTGGACATTTCACAGAAATGGAATCATACAACATGTGGCCTTTTGTGTCTGGCTTCTTTCACTCAGCATCACGTTTCCAAGGTTCATCCATGTTGTAGCGTGGATCAGAATTTAATTCTGTATTACGGACTGGATAATAGTCCGTTGCAGGGACAGACCAGATTGTGTTTATCCATGCATCCATTAATGGGCTTTGATTTTTGTGAATAATTGGTTATTTGTTAAAATTCATAGACTTGGACACACACAAACACACACCCAGCAGCTGCCGAAGCTCTCCTTTGAAAACGAATCAGATCACCTCCTTCCCGAGCTCACAGCCTTCTGTGATGCGCCAGCTCCCATTTCTCACATTTTCAGCACTTTGCTCCTCTAACTTGCTGCACATCCTTCCCCTGCAGAGCTTTTTAAAAAAAGTTGTAGTTTGAGATTCACAAACTAATGTACTAAAATCCACTGACTTGTATACATTGAAAGTATACAATGTAGGCCAGGCACTATGGCTCACGCCTGTCCAGCACTTTGGGAGGCCAAGGGGGTGGATCACTTGAGATCAGGAGTTCGAGACCATCCTGGCCAACATGGTGAAACCCCGTCTCTACTAAAAATACAAAAATTAGCCAGGTGTGGTGTCCGGTGCCTGTAATCCCAGCTACTCGGGAGGCTGAGGCATGAGAATCACTTGAACCTGAGAGGTGGAGGTTGCAGTGAGCAGAGATCGTGCTACTGCACTCCAGACTGGGCGACAGAGGGAGACTCTGTCTCAAAAAAAAAAAAAAAAAAAAGTATACAACACAGCGGGTTTTAGTACATTCATATCACTTATCCCCACCTGACCTATGTATCTTGTTGGTCTGTTTCTGCCCCTGGGGGCAGGCAGCCTGCTTCTTTGTCCACCACCCGATCCCCAGCATCTAGTACAGCGCCTGTCTGGCACAGAGTGGAGGCTTGATGAGTACGTGTGTTGAGAGTGAACGCAGAGTTCATTCAGAACTATCGTGCTCCAGCGGGAAAGTGAGTTCTAATCGGTCTTGATTTAAGGCTGTGGGCAGGTCCTTGAGAGAGTGGCCCAGGCCTCAGCCAACAGGTAGCAACGATGGGGTCTGTGCGGGTCCTCCCTCCGCCCTCCCCTGACCCCACGAAGACGCCCTGTCCGGTATCCACTGCCTCTCTGTTCCCTTTGGGTGAGGTAACAGAAATCTCTGCCGATGGTTTTGTGGAAGTCCAGGGCTTCCCTGGTTAACCTCTCCACTCACACATTTGCATTGTAGTGGAGCCTTTGGGGACACAATTCTGAACCCTATACAGAGACTCTGGTGGTGGTTGTTTTAGAGTTGTTAAAAAATATGGCCAGGCGCGGTGGCTCACGCCTGTAATCCCAGCATTTCGGGAGGCCGAGGCAGGCGGATCACTTGAGGTCAGGAGTTTAAGACCAGCCTGGCCAATATGGGGAAGCCCTGTCTCTACTAAAAATACAAAAATTAGCTGGGCGTGGTGGTGCATACCTATAATCCCAGCTACTCGGGAGGCTGAGGCAGGAGAATCGCTGGAACCCAGGAGGCGGAGGTTGCAACGAGCTGACATTGTGCCACTGCACTCCAGCATGGGCTACAGAGTGAGATTCTGTCTCAAACAAAAAAAAATGTGGTCTTAGCTGGCAGACCTGGGTTAACATCTGCCCCTGCTGAGCAGCTACCCCTGGTGTCCTAGTGCAGGCCCTTGGCCCTCTGCTGATTCTAGCCACAGCGGCGCTGGGCACCCAGTGCAGGCTCGGGGTGGCCACGTGCTGACGGTGTCCCCTCCATCACACACTGCACTTCCGTCCCATGGCCACTCAGGCCCTGCTTGGCTGTTGGTTGGCTCTGTGTGTGCACGGCAGCCAGGAGCTGAAGTGCGCCAAGGCCTCTGGGAGCAGCCCTCACTGAGCAGCGCAGGCCCCATAAATGCTCTCCTCTCCAACCGACAGCATGCGGGCCCAGCAACATCAAACCCCTGCCGTCTGAGGCAGTGGCCTTAGGAACATACCTTCCTTCCACTGAGGGCTTTTTTTTTTTTCTTTTAAAGAACAGGGTCTTGCTCTGTAGCCCAGCCTGGAGTGCAGTGGTGTGATCATAGCTCACTGCAGCCTGAACCTCACAGGCTCAAGCAATCCTCCTGCCTCAGCCTCCCAAGCAGCTAGAACTACAACGATGCACCACCATGCCTGGCTGATTTTCCATTTTTTTTGTGGAAATCAGGTCTCACTGTGTTACCCAAGCTGGTCTTGAAATCCTGGCTTCAAGTGATCTTCTTGCCTTGGCCTCCCAAAGTGTTGGGATTACAGGTGTGAGCTACTATGCTTGAATAATTTTTTTTAAAAAAATTTTGGCTGGGCACGGTGGCTCACACCTGTAATCCCAGCACTTTGGGAGGCCGAGGTGGGCAGATGGCCTGAAGTCAGGAGTTCGAGACCAGTCTGGCCAACATGGTGAAACCCCATCTCTATTAAAAAAAATAATAATAATTAGCTGGGCATGGTGGCACACGCCTGTAGTCCCAGCTACTCGGGAGGCTGAGGCAGGAGAGTCACTTGAACCTAGGAGGCTGCAGTGAGCCAAGATCACGCCACTGTACTCCAGCCTGGGCAACAGAGCAAGACCCTGTTAAAAAAAAAAAAAAAGCCAGGCACGGTGGCTCACGCCCGTAATCCCAACACTTTGGGAGCCGAGATGAGCAGATCACCTGAGGTCAGGAGTTCAAGACCAGCCTGGCCAACATGGTGAAAACCCATCTCTACTAAAAAAATACAAAAATTAGCTGGGTGTGGTGGCGCATGCCTGTAATCTCAGCTACTCGGGAGGCTGAGACAGGAGAATCGCTTGAACCCAGGAGGTGGAGGTTGTAGTGAGCCGAGATCCTGCCACTGTATTCCAGCCTGGGTGACAGAGCAAGACTCTGTCTCAAAAAAAAAAAAAAAAAATTTTTTTTTTTGTAGAGTCAGAGGTCTCCCTATGTTGCCCCGGCTGGTCTCAGACTCCTGGGCCCAAGCAATCCTCCTGCCTAGGTCTCTAAAAGTGCTGGAATTACAGGTGTGAGCCATCACACCCAGCTCCTCCCATGGTTTGCAGATAGGGTTCCAGGGTCAGGGACGGGACACGGCTGACACCTCTCGCAGGGCCAGCAACCTGGGGGAGTTTTCTGATGGCCTCAAGAGGTGAAATGCAGCAAACTGACTCCCTGACTTCCCAGGAGGTTCTGGCAGAAGCCACGTGGCCTCTGCTCATCACACCTGGGACGTTTGCTCTGGGAGCCTTTGGCTGCCATGTAAGAAATCTAGGTGAGGCCGTGTGAAGAGACCAGAGAGAGCCAGACCAAAGTGAACAAGGAGAGAGAGAGAAAGAGACTGGGGGGGCGGGGAAGAGAAGGGGAAATGAGAAGGCAGGGAGAGAGGGAGAGAGAAGAAAGGGAGAGGGAGATGCTGGAGGAGCTGTGTGTTCTCACTCACGCCTTCAAGAGCCACTACCTGTCCATGACCATGTGACCGTGCAGGAGCCTCAGGGGAGAGCCTCTGAGCCAAGCCCAGTCAACCTGCAGAGTGGTCCGCCATGATATTGTTGGAAGCCGTGGCTTGGGGTTACTCGGCAATAAAGCACCTTCTCGTGGGCCTTCTCTCCTTCTTCATGGCATTCTGGCTTCCCGGGGACCACCTCTCTGCCCTACCTGTGTCCAAGTCCTTGTCTAAGGTTCTGCGTTGAAGAGAACTCAAACCAAGGCAACGACTGACTGGCTGGGCGGGGAAGACAATACAGTTGGGGTAAGGTAATTAACCTGAGCTTTGGATTCTTCACCTGGAAAATCGGGAGACTATCAACCTAACCTGAGATGCTTCTGAAGCGGATGCGAAAGAACCCAGGTGAGGAAGTCGGCACCGGGCAGCGGGTCCCGTTTGGGGCTCACTGGCTCAGAGGCAAATTCTAACCACCTTATCAGGTATGATGGCTGCGCAGACACCCCTCCCCAACCCTCCCGATGCTGACCTGCCGAAGGGACAAGGAAAGGGTGCACAACCGTGCCTGGGCTTCTCTGCTGGTGGCCTTGCAAAACCCCAGCAAGGCAGGGGAGCGCCCGAAGGAAAACAGAGCTGGTTCTTAGAGTATTGTGATTGCATTTTTTCTGATAAAGATAGCACACTGCTTGTCATAAGCTGTTTCCCTTGGTTTCTGTGTTTCTTTTCTAATCAAATTACCCCAGTTGACACACATTTAAGCAAATAGTTTCATTTCAGGTCACGGGGACTTAGCCCTGCAATCAAGGAACTGAATGAAATTCCTGGCAAAATACAGTAATTAGAAACACAATGAAAGCAGAATTGAAATGTCCCAGCCTCCCCACAACACCAAAAGGAAGTCTGGTTAATTTCCAAATTATATTTAGGATCAACAGGCAAGGGGTTCTTTTTCATACGGGCAGAGAAATTAGGACCAGACATCATTACAATAACCACACAAGACTAGGAATGTAATTATAAAATAAACCATACCCTAGCAAGCAAATTATTTTAATGTGTTTCAAGAATTGAATACTCTGTATGGAATTAAAAACAAAGAGAAAAAAGCAACGTGCAGAAAATTAATTAAAAAGAGTTAAGACACAGAAACTTCGAAATGTCATAAAATTACAAATACAAAAGCAACAAATTAAAAAACATACACGATTGCAGATTTCAGTAACATCAGTAGCCAGAACATACCCAATGAATCACTTAATCATCAAATATCTCGCTGATTTTGAAAGGGGGCTAGTGGTTGATGATTTAACCTCAATCAATCCAAAGGACATGACTCTTTCCTTACATTACAAGCAATCTGTAAAGATGGCTTTAAGTACCTTTGAAAAGGTGGAGTGTCCTTTCTCAAAGGAAACAGACAAGGAAGGGGTTATCCGCTCTGCCCCCCCACTACCGAAATGTGTACATTCATTCAACTCTGGTAACTAAGGCAACCAAAGGACAATTTCTTTTCTTTTTTTTTTTTTTTTTTGAGACAGTCTTACTCGGTCACCCAGGCTGGAGTGCAGTGGCGCAACCTCGGCTCACTGCAACCTCTGCCTCCTGGGTTCAAGCGATTCTCCTGCCTCAGCCTCCGGAAGAGCTGAGATTACAGGCGACCACGACTGCCTAATTTTTGTATTTTAGTAGAGACGGGGTTTCACCATGTTGGTCAGGGTGGTCTCAAACTCTTGACCTCAGGTGATCCGTCCCCCTTGGCCTCCCAGAGTGCTGGGAGTACAGGCGTGAGCCACTGCGCCCGGCCCCAAAGGACAATTTCTTGAGACCCCCACACACCTTCAGAACCACACATTCTGTTCATGTTAAAAACAAGAAATTAACAACCTCTAAAGCTAAGGACAATGATTCTGTAAAGTGCAAGAATGGTTCATTGTTTCCGCTTTTGTGGATTTCATGTTAAGAATACTTTAAAAGAAAGGGTGGGCGGGAGTAAACCAGGACCCCAGTCATATATTTGATCAAGAAATGACCCGTATGGCAAAGGTGAGACGTGGACCAGCCCTCAGGTGTCTCCAACTCTGTGCACACCACTGAGGTAGGAGCTCTAGAAGAAACGCAGACCCTCTCAGGGGGGTTAAGGTTTCCTCTTGGCAAATGAGCTGGGGGCCTGAGACAGTCATACCCACGGGCTGCATGCAACTTTGCATGCAACTTCACGAAATTCTAGAGCTGTATCACATCAGCGATGGAGAAGGGCAAGATCCAAGACAAAGCCACATGAGGCGAGGTCCTGGTGCTGCCATTTGTTGTCCAGCACAAATCAAGGGGCCGGAGGAAAGGGATGAGGTGGAAAACCCCGGCAGGCATTCTACAAAACAGTTATTAGCAAATTGTATCAAAAAGTATCAAAACATTTCAAAAAACTCTAAAAACTGCCAGGCTTGGCAGATGCGCAGGACAGGGTCTCCAAGTGCCCGTGGCGCTGCCCTATACTCCAGGCATTTATCCTAGAGGCCAGGATGCCACCCCCTCCCCTCCCCTCCTGGGCACTCAGAATCCACGGAGACACCAGGAGGTCTAAACCTCATCTGCAGCTGCCCCTCCAGGTTTGGGACCAGTGGACGGGGTTCCAACCACGGGCTCTGACAGCCACAAGGCCCATGAGATGCTGCTGCACCATGGAGGACCAGGGTGAAGGATGAAGGTCAGTGACTCTACAGGGGGTGGTGGGGGGTGTGGCAGGGGTCCCCTCACTTCCCACATTGCTGCAAGTCACTGAACGATCACTTGGCTTAGGGGCCGAGGTACACTGAACCACAGGTGAACACAACTGAGCTCACAAAGTAGGCCCCTGGACCTCAGAGGATGGACCCCACTTCCCCTCAGCATCTGGATGCCCACCTCAAAGGTGAACACCCCTTAGGGTGAGTTTCTGGGTCTCCATGAAGTCACCTTATCATGAGTGAGGGCACTCAATATAAATACACACGTGTGGTCCTGCTCAGAGCCAGGTCTGAAGTCCCACTTGATAGCCTCAATAAAATGGCAGAACAATAAAAATACCAATTGCGTGCTAACCACAGTTGATAAAATAATCTCTGTGCATTTAAAACAGCAGGAAGTTTGCTATAAGTAACAAGGGTTCATCAGCTTTCTACTCCCTCCCTTCTATTATTATAATACATCTATGTCTTAAGCAAACAGCTTTCCAACTTGGGTGAGGACCAAACCCCAAACTTACAACTAATATGAAGTTACAACTCTAATTCTTTAGAAATGAGAGAAGTCCAAACCTCAATAGAAGCCTGCCATGCTTATTTTGAAATGTTAAAAAAAAAAAAAGATCCAGGTGTCTTCAAAATTCAAGCAGAATAGCTTGAAACACTGAAAGTTTAACATGATGACATGTGTGGCTGTTTCCCTCTCAAAATGGCAGCCTGCAAGCACCTGTGCCTTCATCACTCTAGTTTAAAACCCCACATTCGTGACTGTGCGGTTCAAATGGCCACTGCATAAGCACAGCCCAAACTCTGCCCATCTGAGTTAAAAAACATTTTATTCTTTTGAGACAGGGTCTCACTCCGTCACCCAGGTTAGAGTGCAGTGGTGTGGTCATAGCTCACTGCAGCCTCAACCTCCCAGGCTCAGGTGATTCTCCCACCTCAGCCTCCTAAGCAGCTGGGACTACTGCATGCCCCACCATCCCTGGCTAATCTTTTGTAATTTTTTTGTAGAGATGGGGTTTTGCCATGTTGCCCAGGCATGGTCTCTTCCATTTTCAGTTCCATTTTCATGCACAGTAGGGTGAATTTTCAACTTAAAAAGACAAGTAACAAAAACCTGGCCCGGGCACCACCACTGGGTGCCCTTGTGCCCATCCACTGACCCCAACAAGCTCAAAAACCTTTCTTGTCACAGTGTAGCCACCATCAAATATTAGAAGTTGACCCACAAGATGAAACTTGTTTATCCTCCCTTTAAAAGGGTGGTCCCAACCTTAGTAATATTAGGGTCAAAGCCATGTCAATTACAAACCACCTTCATAGTATCAGGAGAGACACCACAAAATATGAAGCGCAGGACGTCGTATGTAACTCATGAGGCACAAGAAAATCAGAATAGAGGCCAGAAGCTCACACATTTCCAGGGACAAGTCCCAGAAGCAAAACATAAAAGAGCTGGCTTAGGCTGAAAACCAATGGCTCTCCTCTCTCCAAGGTCAAAGCTATCCCACTCCCCAAATCACTCACAGAGTCTTTCTATGTGCTCTCCCCAACTTGCCCCGAGATTCAGGCCAAACAACTGCCCGTTTGTTCATGACCCAGGCTGAGATGGGGAGAACAGCCCACGTACACCCTACCCTGCCTTCTGAGGGGTCTACAAGCAATAAAACCTTTCCCGAATAGGAAGGGGGTAAGCTATCCCAAAGTTGGCAGAAGTTCTGCAAAACATGTTTTGTGGGGGTCTGGGACTAGGTATGAGACAAACGACTTTTAGGCTCAAAGAAGTTTGGAAATGCTGGGTTGAGACTTCTCGGAACCTTTCATACACCGGAATGCTGCAGAGCTCCAAGCAGAGTTTCCAGCCTTTTGGTCTGTTTGTTTGTATGCCTCGCAGAACCTCTCAACAGTTTGTAAGCCTCCAGGGACTTCACATGCAAATAACTAGCTAGCTGAACATGCAGACTGCCCTCCTCACTAACCACAGAGGGCAGTAAGTTGGCTATTGAAGCTTTCAGTCCCCAAAATGCTCTCATCTCTTCTGGATGGCTACATAAACAGACCAGTGAGAACCACAGTAAACCCTGAAGGGAAGGGAAAGGAGGGGCAGCAAAGAAGCAGAAGAAATGGAAATTAAAGTTAACTAAGATTTTTTTCCTAGTCTAATATCAATCTTAACACATTGATCCTCATCCACTCGAGCAGCTGAGAGCCCTCTTAAAGGGCAAGTGACATCGAGACCTGCTCTCGGAACTGTCTGCAGGAAGACTGGTGTTAGACTAGGATTGAAGATGAAGCACATCTTGAAGTTTACTGATCTCTGCCATCGGATGCTGGGTGAGGTACAGCTCATTCATGCCTTCCTTGGCTCATGCTTAAAACCCATCACACTCCTATCCTCCCATAGTTCTGCACGTTTCTCATCCACTCGGGCAGCTAAGAGCCCTCTTAAAGGGCAAGCGACCCTGACACCTGCTTTAGGAACTGTTTGCAGGAGTCAGTGCAGGCCAGCTCCACATCCTGAAGGGGATGCCATCCGGGTACGAACAGCTCAGAGGCTGAATGGCCCTATCACCCGGGAGGAGCCTGGAGGGTATTCCATCTAATCCTGTGGCTAAGCGGGGTGGATGAGGGAACACACGGACTTGTTCGAGAATTTGCCCAGCAGCACGAAACTACTTAGAAGCAGAAAACTGGGGCAGGACCTGGCGTGGGAGTTAGGGAGCCCTCCACTGCCTTCTCAGGGATCCACATGTGCTCCTCTGTGCAGGAACTTTCAACAGCGCCTCAAGATAGAGTCACAGAGAACGATGGCAAATTCCATAGCACTCACTTTTTCTTTCCTGAGAAATAAACAGATTTGGGAGCTCAGTACATCAGTAATATAAAAGACAGTGGGTTCAGAAAAAAAAAAAAGGAAAAAAATGCACAAATTACAAAAAAATATGTATAAAGAGCTTCATACCTTTTTTCGTTTTTGGTTACCTGTAACGTTTTAGAATTCAAGAAGGTTTCCAATGAGGAAAGACGGAATTATTCAGAAACAGCGTTCACCTGATACGGAGAACAGCTCCCCAGCGGGAAGTCATCATGTCTCATCTGACAGTCTAGCGAGCTGCGTGGCCCCTGGTCACTCACTCACTCACCCTCATGGGTGGTCTCTGTGCACTCATTTATAAAACAAACACACTGGACCTTGCCAGTGATTCCCAGATGTGACTAATACCCAGAATTCCAAGAACTAGTTAAAATACAGCTTCTGGGCACCACCTCCTCCCCGTTCCTGGTGGTTTTGGATTCCATAATTCTGAGCGGGGCTCACGCATCTGTATTCTTAAAAGTTCAGCCAGGTTTGGGGAGGCTTGGACTAGGTGGCCTAAGAGAACCCTTTGAGGCCCAAGCTTCACTACAGAAATTTCTGTGTTACCCACGTGCCAGCTACTCTCAGGGGGACAGTCAGCAAGGACCCATGAGGAATCATAACACGGGGCAAAGACCTGTGAAGATACAAGGGGTTGCTCACTGCCTGGGCCCAGGGTTAGTTATTCAAGCAAGATATGTAAAGTTACAGATAGTATTTAATTGGTTACTGTGATATCATAGAAATACCAAGAATCATAAAAGTAAAAAAAGCTGCTAAGTTGTACATAATGTTTCCGGAATACTAAGAAGTTGCTGCTGGTCTACAGAGCCCTGGGAGGTGACGGTGAGGATGGTCCCAAGAGGCGCAGCTAGGGTCACTGGCCCCGGTCCTGGTGCCTCTTGCCTTTGCCTTTCTTCTTCTTGTCCTCTGGCCGTGGCTCCAGGGCGCAGACACAGGCGGACCCGCCAGCGATGGCCTTGGGCAGGTCGACGCCCCTGCTCCACTTGTCGGCCTCGCGGTCGTACACCTGCACGGTCTTGGAGAAGGCAGTGTTCTCCCAGCTGTAGCCGCCCAGGATGTAGATGCGGCCCTCCCACACTGCCACGCCCGACTCGCTGTTGGCGTGCAGCAGCGGCGCCACGCGGGTCCACTGGTTGCACTGCGGGCTGTAGGCCTCCACGCCCAGCACGTCGAAGCGCTCCATGGACTCGATGTTGTCATCGCTGCCCCCGATGGAGTAGATGCTGTCACCCAGGCTGCACATGCTGTGCCAGCCGCGCGCCGTGGTCATGGGCCGCCGCTCCTCCCACACGTCTGTCCGGTGGTCGTAGCATAGCAGGTTCTTGCGGTAGGGGCCAATTTGGTAGTCGTGGCCCCCCGAGATGTACACGAAGTCTTTGTAGATGGTGCCCGCGTGGCCGTACGTGAACCTGCAGGGTCGACGGGCAGAGACAGAGGGAGAGCTCAGGGCTGTGCCAGGCTTACCCCCTCCGAGCCGGGGAACAGCCTGCCGTCTTAGAGGGCCATGAGGATTTAAGAATATAGGGAGTGGGCACCCCATGAACACTCTATAGACAGTAGCCGTCATTAGCAAAGAAATGGCAGGGCAGGGCGGGGAAGTGGACAGCTTTGCAGTCAGGCCGCCTGGGCCAGAACCCAGCTTCACTCTCTCTGAGTCTCCCTTGCCCCATCTGGGAAATGGGAATAATCACAGGACCATCACCCTTTTCACAATGGCTGGAAACGACTAGAACAATGAGCTAGCAGGCACACATGCACCCGATGAATCACACATCAAAGAGGAAATACGACATACAGTCCAATTCTAACTGTGCTGGCACTCGGGAAAAGTTTTGCCTAAAACCATAGAGACAGCAAAATCAGTGGCTGCCAGGACTGTGGGGAGAGGGGAGGGAGGGATGGACAGCACGCACACAGTGGGCTTTAGGGCAGTGAAATGATTCTGCGTGATGCTGTAATGGTGGATTCATGTTGCTTTGTGTTCCTCAAAACCCACACAACTGTGCCAGGAAGTGGGAACCCTGATGTAAACCAGGGCCTTTAGTGAATAAGAAAGGATCAATATGGCCAGGTGCAGTGGCTCATGCCTGTAATCCCAGCACTTTGTGAGGGTGAGGTGGGTGGATCTCTTGAGGCTAGGAGTTCAAGACCAGCCTGGCTAACATGATGAAATCCTGTCTCTACCAAAAATACAAAACTTAGCTGGGTGTGGTGGCAGGCGCCTGCAGTCCCAGCTACTCAGAAGGCTGAGGCAGGAGAACTGCTTGAGTTCAGGAGGCAGAGATTGCAGTGAGCCGAGATCGCGCCACTGCACTCCAGCCTGGGTGACAGAGAGAGACTCTCTCTCAGAAAAACAAAAATACGAGCGCTTACCCCACACACTTCTAACTCTTACGGACACCTGGATGTATTCCACAGCAAAGACTGGTTCAGAAAGTGCACTGCTGGGTGCGGCAACAGGGAACTGGTGGAAAAAATGGTGTGCACCTTCTGCTAATCCCATGGAGATAATAAATGCTCGATACATGCACATCGGAACGCAGGGGAGACTGAGGAGGGTGAGGCGGCCACCCTGGGGCACTCCCTGCATGTGGATGCAGGTTTCACAAGCAGCACTGCATCTGCTCTGCACAACAGTGCTGTGGGGTGGGTATCATTATCGTCTACCTCTACAGATGAGGAACTAAAGGCCGAGCGGGGTGAAGACCCATGCCTGAGGCTTAGATCTAGCACATATACCCCCATCTCTTTGAACTCCTCCTGCCCAAGCTCAGGGAGATCCTCAGGTCAGGCCTCACCCTCTGAAGCTCAGCAACTGCACACACTCAGCCATGGAGGGATGTCCGTCATGGCGGCAGAGCTGACCCTTGCCCTAAGTCTGAAACCGGAGCCCGGACTGTGCACCGTCACGCCCTCCGCCCCTCATGGTGTACCCACTCTTCCTGACAAGCCGGAAGATTTCATTCCTGGAATTGGAGGCCAACATGCCCAGAAAGTGAGGCACGTGGACTGAACTATGTCCCTTAAAAACATCCCATTTGGAGAACCTTCCACCAAGCCCCAGATCACCTTGGCAAGCCGGCCACATAGGACCAGGAGTCAGTCTTGGGACTGTACGTCTCTACTGAAGAGAGCGCTCCGTTCTCATTCCGGCCGCCGATGGCCACCAGCATGTCTTCGATGGAGGCAAGGTAGAAATCCACACGGCGCTGGTTCATGGAGGCCACCTGTGGAGTTGAGATACCTGTACCTTCCCTTCCCCGAACCCGGGACAGCATCAACATCTGGCGCTGCGGTTCCCAAATGTGTCTGCGGAATGCACAACCCCGGAGAATGTTTGGGAAAGGGAACTGCACCTGAATAAAGAGGGCTTCTTCAGGTGGGAGCTCTGAGCCCCCGAGGTTTCACCAAGATGCTCTGAATCCCCAAAAGTGGGATGGAGACGCTCTGAGTCCCCAAAAGGGGGATGGAGATGCTCTGAACCCCCGAACTTCTCTGGTCATGTCGTTAGCCGCGTGGATGGGAACTCTGTGGTCACAGGGGTCAGAATTGCTGATCTAGTGGCTTTATGAAATAAAAATTCATCTTTCCTCTCCCCACATCAGATTTGTAAAGTTAGTGCTGCTCTGCCACTCCGTGTTAACAGAGCAGGACGTGGCATTCGACAGGAAATTAAACAGAAGAGGCTGGGCGCGGTGGCTCACGCCTGTAATCCTGGCACTTTGGGAAGCCAAGGTGGGTGGATTACCTGAGGTCACGGAGTTCGAGACCAGCCTGGCCAACATGGTGAAACCCCGTCTCTACTGAAAATACAAAAATTAGCCGGGCGTGGTGGCAGGCGCCTGTAATTCCAGCTACTCAGTAGGTTGAGGCGCCAGAATTGTTTGAACCTGGGAGGCAGAGGTTGCAATTAGCCGAGATCGTGCCACTGCACTCCAGCTTGGGTGACAGAACAACTCTGTCTCACACACACACACACAAAAAGTAGAAGAGCCAACTTTTTTTTTTCTTTTTTTAAACGAATCCAAGGCAAACACACTGCTGCCACTGCTGCCAGGCTTCGGGAGGAGGCTCCAAAGCCAGGGACCCTTTCCAGTGGTGACACTTCGACCTTGGAGGGCAGTCTCAGATTTCTGAGAGTAAAATCAAAAGGTCAGCTGGAGTCCATTCTGACTGGGTTTTGAGCTGAGAACAGCACTGAGCTGGGCGCGACGCTGAGGTGTGAGTATAGAGGCTGAGATGGACTGTCCCGGGGACCGAGTGGCTGGAGAGCGCTCCCAGCAGAAAGGAGACACCTTCCCTACGCCAGGGGCTTGCCAGTCAACATGAGCTACTGCACTCCCTGTCCCCCACGTATTCCCAGAAGGGGAATCCAAAATGTGGAGAGGACAAGAATCTGAAATTTCCTAGCTATGACTTAGCCAGGCTGGGATGAGACCTCAGGTCTGACATCAAGGCCCACGCTCTTCCCAGAATCAGGACACAATACATGCCCAAGGGCCAGGCGTGAGCACTAGTGGTCTCCTTAAACTATCTCCCAAAATGCTTCCAGAGGAGCCCCACAGAGACTCCAGGACCTGGGGATGTTGAACCATGGATCAAACATCTAGACCCATGCTACTGTCCAATAGGGTAGCCACGCCTCGTGCGGCCACATACACTTACACGTCAATCGGTTAAAGTGAAATAAAATTGAAAATTGACTTCTTCAGTCGCACTGGCCACATTTCAAGTGCTCAGTCGCCACATGCGGCTGTGGCTACCGTATCGGGAAGTACAGACAGACCCTTCCATCTGCACAGAAAGCCCCGCCAGGCAGTGCTGCTCTGAACGATGACGGACCCCTCGAAGGGGTGGGTCGGCTCTCCCTCTCCCTGTCCAGGATGTAGGCCCCGGGGTATTCTGCTCGTCACTTTATCATCACACCTCATTCAGAAGCAGGATAGTTGTCAAGGCCCCAGAGAGGTAAGGAAAGTCAAGGCTAGGTTAAGGAAACCGAGAGAGTCCTCAAGAGAAAAGAAATAATCTGGCTTTAATCTCACCTTGATCCACTGTTTACAGCGGGGGTCATACCTATAAAGAAGATTGGAGGCCGCATCCCCTCCGTTGTCCCGTGAGAAGCTGCCGCCGGCGATGAAGATGAAGCCCCCCAGCACCGCGACACAGTGGTGGCTCCGCCGGGCGGGCAGCGGCGTCTCTTTGACCCACTGCTCGCTCTTGGCGTCCAGGTAGCAGGTGTCGTCACTGAGCTCCAGACACCGCTCGGAGACCTCGCCGCCCACAAACAGCAGGCGCTCCTGGTTGGTGCGCAGCGCCGTGCGCTTGGTCTGCATGACGGGCTGGGCCGCCAGGTTGTTGTGGTAGCGCACGGCCTCCTCGATGAAGCCCTCGCAGTTGGCCTCCTTGGGCAGCAGCGAGCACACGGCCGGCTTGACGCGGTGCAGCAGGTCGTTCTTGGGGATGAGCGGGAAGTGGATGTTCTCCAGCACCTGGCGGGCGTGGGCCTCGCGCTCGGGCTGCTGCGTCAGCCACTGCAGGGCGGCCTGCAGGAGGTCGTGCTCACACTCCCGCTGCACCTCGCTGCTGCTCAGGTAGACACACAGCTTCTGCATGGAGACGTTCTGCAGGAAGTCGGGCGTAAAGGACAGCGTGCCGAAGTGGTTCAGGATGAAGCCATCGATGAAGGCATCAAGCCGCTTGAGGCTGTAGATGGAGGCCAGCTCCTGCAGGTACAGGTAGTTGTCCTCGCTCACCTCCTGCTCCAGGTACTCACAGCAGAAGTCTACCACCGTCCAGATCTGCAGCAGGTGAGCCGTCTCCAGGACGTAGTCAATGTTGCCGCCATCCAGCACCAGCTCCCCGCCGTACAGGAAGTCCACCACGGCCTTGAGCCCAATGTAGGAGGCGCCGATCAGCTCCACCTCCTTCTGGAAAGCTTCCCGCATGCCGATGGTGAACATGGAGTTGAAGTAGTCGCTGCACACGGCCAGCAGGTTGCGATGGGCTGGCACACGCTGCTCATCGGCCACCAGGACGACGTCGCAGAAGAGCCCGCGGAGACGCTGCTCGTTCAGCCGCTGCAGCACCGTGCTTGAGTGGTCGGCCCAGCGGTATACCTGGACAGAGAAGACACATTAGAAACGGCGCAGCAGCCTGCTCGGCCCTGGTCCAACCCAGTGGGTCCTGACCAGCATTTTCAACAAAATGAAACTGAAGAAAACAGGAAATAAAATGCTGCATCAGAGGGCACTGCAGGAAGTACAGGTGTTTCTGAGTATGCCTGTGTATCGTGGTTTTTTTTTTCCTTCTCTTATTAATATAACTTCTTTCTTTCTTTCTTTCTTTTTTTTTTTTTGACACAGAGCCTTGCTCTGTCGCCCAGGCTGGAGTGCAGTGGCACAACCTCAGCTCACTGCAACCTCTGCCTCCCGGGTTCAAGTGATTCTCCTGCCTCAGCCTCCTGAGTAGCTGGGACGACAGCCCGGCTACTGGAGTTTGAGAGCAGCCTGGCCAACATGGTGAAACCCTGTCTCTACTAAAAATACAAAATTTAGCCAGGCATGGTGGCGTGTGCCTGTAATCCTAGCTACTCAGGAGGCTGAGGCAGGAGAATTGCTTGAACCCAGGAGATGGAGGTTGCAGTGAGCCAAGAGCACACCACTACACTCCAGCCTGGGAGACAGAGCAAGAACTCCGTCTCAAAAAACAAAAAACAAACAAACAAAACAAAACAAACAAGAAAAAACAAAAAACAAACCAAAAAAACCCAAAACCAAACAACACAACAATTCAAGCCAGGCATGGTGGCTCATGCCTGTAATCTCAATGCTTTGTGAGACTGAGACGGGAGAATCACTTGAGGCCAGGAAGTTCGAGACCAACCTGGGCAACATAGCGAGATTCCTGTCTTAACAAAATATTTAAAAATTAGGTGGGCGTGGTGGCATTCGCCTGTAGTCCCAGCTGCTCAGGAGGCTGAGGCAGGAGGATCGCTCAAGCCCAGGAGCTTGAGGCTGCAGTGAGCCATGATTGTGCCACTGCACTCCAGCCTGGACGACAAAAAGAAACCCTGTCTCTAAATAAATAAATAAATGAATTCAACATAGGGAGAAACAGGTAACTGAAAACTATCACATAGATAGCTGGTCTATTCCAGGGTGACTGAGGTGAAGAACTGGCTGGGCACTAGCCTGAAGAGGGGAAATGTGGTTGGAGGAAGAAAACTGACCGAGGGCTATTAGGTATTAGCAGCTATGTGGTTCGACTTTTTTTTTTTTTTTTTTGAGACAGGGTCTCACTCTGTTGCCCAGGCTGGAGTGCAGTGGCACAATCTCGGCTCACTGCACCCTTGACCTCCTGGGCTCAAGTGATTCTCCCACCTCAGCCTCCTGAGTAGCTGGGACTACGGGTGTGTGCCACCATGCCTGGCTAATTTTAAAATTTTTTTGTAGAGACGAGGTCTCACTATGTCGCCCTTGACCTCCTGGGCTCAAGTGATTCTTCCGCCTTAGCCTCCTGAGTAACTGGGACTACAGGCACACGCTACCACGCCTGTCTGATTTTTATAATTTGCAGGGACAACGTCTCCCTAAACTGCCCAGGCTCTGAATTCTTAAAAGTTGCTTCTTAACATGTGTCCTACAGCAGTGGGTTTTATTTTTTTCTTCCCTTTCAAATCTTCTTTTTGTTGCCATACATGCGTTTGTCATTGAGACACTTTATTTCCCTGTGGTATTTCCACATCCAGTCAATTCCAACAGCAACTTCTCTGTCCATGCTACAGGAGCAGGCCACATTCTCACAGCCTGTGGAGGATGCCAGACAGATCCGACTTGGCATTTCCTTCTGAGTTCAGAGGACGGGCTCTCCCGCTCTTCCATTCCAGGCTGGCTTTTCAGTTCACAGGTCACACACGTGGAGATCTCTATTTATCCTGGTTACCCACAAAGAGAGCCAGGCTGGCCTACACCGGGCTTTTAAATTTTTTCTCATTTTTAGAAACAGGGTCTTGCTCTGTTTCCCAGGCTGGCATGCAACAGTAGATCAGAGATCACTGCGGCCTGAAACTCCTAGGCTCAGCCGGGCGTGGTGGCTCATGCCTGGAATCCCAGTACTTTGGGAGGCCGAGGTGGGCAGGTCACCTGAGGTCAGGAGTTCGAGACCAGCCTGACCAACATGGTGAAACCCCGTCTCTAGTAAAAATACAAAATTAGCTGGTTGTGGTGGCGGGCGCCTGTCATCCTAGCTACTCAGGAGGCTGACGCAGGAGAATCACTTGCACTCCGGAGGCGGAGGTTGCAGTGAGCCACTGCACTCCAGCCTGGGCAACACGAACAAAACGCCATCTCAAAAACAAAACAAAACAAAACAAAACAAAACAAAACAAAACAAAACAAAACAAAACAAAACTAGTCTCAAGCAATCCCTCCACTTCAGCTTCCTTGGCAGCTGGGACTACAGGTGTGTGCCACCATATCCAGCTATTTTTTACTTTTATTTTTTGTAGAAATGGGGTCTCACTACATTGCCCAGGCTGGTCTTCAGCTCCTGAGTTCAAACGATCCTCCTGCCTCAGCCTCCCAATGTGCTGGGATTACAGGTATAAGCCACCGTGCTAGGCCTCAGCTTCTAATTATGCAGGAATGGTCAGTGCTTCTACAGACATTGACTGGAGGCCCCTCTTGGGTGTGAGCTGAAGGAAGGAAATTAAAAAGTACTACAGTGGCGGTGATCAAGTCATAGTACAGGCTTAGCGGCCTGAGAGACGCATATGAGGGCATGAGGCGGCTATCTGCCACCCGGGGACCCTGGCTGTCTCCACGCTGGTGAGGGTGCTGGCCCTACCATGCTTAGACGGAGATACACACAACCCCAGACTGCAGTGTCAAAAGGGAAAGAGCCCAGGGGGCAGGACTGGGGAAAGCCCCAGTGAACGGCTGCCGAGGGGAGACACCAGCTCCAGTGAGCTGGGGCAGGGGGCAAGAGCAGTGTTGTTTCCAAAACTGGGTTTCTGCTCTAAGTGGGCTGGAGTGATGCTGTACCCGGGTACAATCAGCTGCAATCTGCTTCTGGTGTTTTAGCACAGCTGCATAGACAACTTTCCAAAAACACAGGCACACGAGTTCCCTTTTTTTTTTTTTTTTTTTGGATACAGAGCCTCCCTCTGTTGCCCAGGCTGGAGTGCAGTGGCTCGATCTCGGCTCACTGCAACCTCCGCCTCCCAGGTTCAGGCGATTCTCCTGCCTCAGCCTCCTGAGTAGCTGGGACTACCGGCATGTACCACCATGCCCAGCTAATTTTGTCTTTTTAGTAGAGACAGGGTTTTGCCATTTTGGCCAGGCTGGTCTTAAACTCCTGACCTCAGGTGCCACCACTCCCGGCATATATACATATATCAGTAGAGACGGGGTTTCACCATGTTGGCCTCGAACTCCTGACTTCAAGTGATCCATCCACCTCAGCCTCCCAAAGTTCTAGGATTCCAGGCGTGAGCCACTGCGCCTGGCCTATTTCCCAATTATAAAGGGACATTGGTAACAGAGTTTCCGCATTTCAGGTAACTTAGAAGCTCCAATCCACAGCATTCTCTGATGATATGAGTCTTGTTCATTTCTTTATTTCCTATTTCAGTGCCTTAATCAGATGCAAGGCCAAGTAGAGGGAGAAACTCAGGTTGTCGGGGGCTTACACCTGGGAGGAGGCGGCAGGTACCAGGTATTAGACGTGGAAAAAGAATTTAGCATCAAAAAGGAACAACACTTTTTTTTTTTGAGACAGGGTCTCGCTCTGTCACTTAGGTTGGAGTACAGTGGTGCGATCATAGCTCACTGCAACCTCTACCTCCTGGGCTCAAGTGAGCCTCCCACCTCGGCCTCCTGAGGAGCTGGGACTACAGGTGTATGCCACCAGGCTCGGCTAATTTTTGTATCTTTTGTAGAGATGAGGTTTAGCCGTGTTGTCCAAGCTGGTCTCAAACTCCGAGCTTACGAGATCCTCCCGCCTCGGCCTCCCAGGGTGCTGGGATTACAGGCGTGAGCCACTGTGCCTGGCTGAGCAACACATCTTAGGGCAGACAGGTGAACAGACACTGTGGCCACACAGTGGGAAGACACCAACATGCTGAGAAAGCAAAACCTACCACTACCAACTACATGCAGCAACACGGGTGAGGCTCAGAGGCACAATGTTGCACAAAAGAAACCACACACAAGAGTACCCGACCTCGGATCCCGTTTAGACAAAGTTCAAAAGCAGATCAAACCACAGCGGTGGGGTTGGGACAGCGACTATCTTGAGTGTAACAACTGGGAGGGTTTGGTAGTATTCTGTTTTTTACCCATCTGGGTGCTGGCAACATAGGTGTGTTTAATGTCTAGAAATTAATGGGTACACTTTTTAAAAATAAAAAGTTAGAAACAGGCCAGTCATGGTGGCTCGCGCCTGTAATCCCAGCACTTTGGGAGGCCAAGGCTGGCGGGTCACGAGGTCAAGAGATCAAGACCATCCTGGCCAACATGGTGAAACCCCGTCTCTACTAAAAATACAAAAATTAGCTGGGCATGGTGGCATGCACCTGTATTCCCAGCTCCTCAGGAGGCTGAGGTGGGAGGCTCACTTGAGCCCAGGAGGTAGAGGCTGCAGTGAGCTATGATCGCACCACTGTACTCCAACCTAAGTGACAGAGCAAGACCCTGTCTCGAAAAAAAAAAAAAGTTAGAAACATCATCCAGTGATACAGAAGCCTAGTCCTAAGAGATTCAGTTCAGACAGAAACAAACTCAGGGTCCTGGCATTAATGGACAAAGACTTCCAGTGCTGTCAAACTTAGAAAGCAGCAGTGTCTCCCAAGCTAAGCTCCCAAACAAAGCCCTTGTGAGCGAGCGGCGAGACCTCTCTGGGTTTTCACAATCGATAAAGCTGGGCTTGGCAGGAACCTTCTTGGGGAACTCACGTGAGAACAGGAGGTCATATCTCAAGAGAGCCAACCTCTCTTGAAAATGACAGCCAGTTTTTCTTTTAGAATCTGTAGAATCTCTTTCCCCCTTTTTCTCAACTCTATAGGCTGCTGCCAGCTCCCTTCATCTAAAGAAGTGTTTCTGTATCTTTTTTCATTATTGCCCCACAAGAAGGCTTTTAAGATTTTTTTCCCTAATAGCCTCCCCAGCAAAATCTTAACATCACAGATGCACTGTATGTCTGCTCATGTACTGTATGTATAATTGTGTCTTATGCATAAAAGGAGTAAAATTCCTTCCACCCTCCCGAGAACCAATTTTCTCCCACTTCAGGGCAATATCATACTCATTGAGAATCCATGATCTGAGGTAACCATAAGATTTAATCTCCAAAAGGGATACCTCTAAAGAACAGAGGGCATTACGAATATTTATAACGGGGAAACAGGTTACCAGGAACCTCATACCAATGGCTCCCCCACTCTTTACCAACAGCAGCTGTGGGGACAGGAGTTTGTGGAAAGTATAGCAGCCGGGTCTGGCTCTTGGATTTTAATGTGGCTGGTGGGAACAGGCTACATATTTCTAATTAGAACTCCCCCAGTAGCCTGGCTCTGGGGAACTTGCCCTCACTTGCTCTTAGGTCGCAGGGAATCATGACCAGGGAAGACGACTCCAGGCCCTTGGGGTCCGGGTACACGGTGTGTTGCCCTCACCCTAAGGTAGAAGGCTGGGTTCTCAATGGACCTGTCCTTGGAGTTTTTGAGCCCCCAAGCAGGCATGGGAATCCCAGTTTTCTTCCTGTCCCATCCACCTCCTTGGGTTAACGAATGAGTCAAGTTGTCACAAAAAGAAAGCTCCGGAATGTCACATGGAAAAATGAAGACATCTGGCCATAGCGTCTCTACCATCCCTCATACTTCCCACTGTCTGATTTTATGACAATTTCTGCTCCTTGCCCGTTTCCACCTTTACTTGTCATTAAGGAGACTGACAACACCAATGACAAAAAAATCAGTCTGTGATTAGAAATGAGTGAATCAGAAAAAGGATCACACTTCTTAGGCAATTTGCATAGGTGGTGAGTGAACATTCACAGACCTTTGATGATTCGCTGATCTTGTATGGCCGAGACACTCGCGTCTGCCTGCTTCCCTCCATCATTAAAGAGATTTCAGCCCTAGGAGAAGAACAGGATTTCTGAGCATGCAGTCATAACTCTAGGTCATTCATTAATTTCAGGCCCTGCTAGCAGATACCAAGGATGACAGTGAAAACAGTCACACGGAAGAAGGAGGGAGGGAGGACCGTGCACTACAAAGAACTCTTTTACACCGAGTTGAGAAATCATCGGGTTGTTAGAATTGGACAGAACATTTAACTCCCATTCCTTTATCATCTAAAATCTGATATCATGTCATTTGGTTCACTTCCTACAAATAATTACCTTTTGGCTACATCAAGGTTATAATGATAAGTTATCATTTCGGAGCCCAGACTACAGCCCTCGAACCAAGCTAAGTGACTTAAGTGTGCCATCTCATTTAACCCCCACAAAGATTATACTTGGCCAGGCTGATATCACTTATTTCATTTCACAGATGAGGATATTGATCTCATGGTCACAAAGCTAGTAAACGGCCGAGAATCACGCCTCGGTCTGTCCAGCTTCAAAACCTGGATCCATCACCATGACACGCTGCTGAATGAGGCCCGGGTTCGAGAGTATCACACTTTAAAAATATCATGATGCAGATGAGGATGTGGTACAGTGATGACTACCATGTACACAGTACATTCTAGACACACACTGTCCCCAAGTGCTTCTCTGCATCTTCACTTAGTCCCCACTGCAACCCCATGAGGCCAGCACTGTGACTGGAGGATGCTGAGAGCAGTGAGGTGAAATAAGCTGCCCGGCGTCACACAGCTGGGAACTGGCAGAATTGGGATTCCAGCTCAGGGAAGCGCCCATGCTCTTAACTCTTAGGCTACACTGCCTGGCTCTTGGGTGGGGGATCACTGCAGACAGAGTTAAGCTTTGGTGTGTGGGGGGCGGGGGAGGCAGGGGGAGGGGCAGGTGCTTCAAAGATGGAAGGGAACACAGAGAAGGGACTTTGCCAACTAATATTAGCACAAGTCACATACTGAGACGAAGGTTTTAAAGAGGATTTTTTTCCCCCGCTATTTGAGTTCATGAGAAGAGTTTGTTACCTATTGAACAAATAGTCTTCACTAATAAAGAACAATGTGACAAGAAGTCAGCACTGTTCTTAGATAACTGGGGACACAGGGAGGGCACTCCAGTGTTCCCATGGAAGGAATGAATTCGGGCACAGTCCGTCCCGTGCAACTCCCCTAGGGAGAGAAGGGGCAACTGGATTCCTCTCGACAAACTAGAAACTTTGTGACAATGACAAGCTGTTCCCACCCCGGCCCTCCCCTAGGATGCTGGAGAGCCCAGAGAGGGAAGAGAAGAAACCCAGCGTTGGTGCGGTGCCCACCGCGGACTCGACTTCATTCCACCTTCACGCTGAGAGGTGACACCGTCGTTCCCACAGTGAGACCTGGCGCTCGGGTGCCCCAGGGGGGGTTGCCCAAGGTCACAGAACAGCAAGCAGCAGGTGCCCTCTCTCTCCACCGCCCCAGGCAGCCTGCCCAGAATCAACCAGGCCTTCTAACGCTCAACGCTTTATTTTCTAGGCCAAGATACCTAGAGAGAGTTCGCGGGGCCGGAGGCTCCCTGCTGTCTCCTGCAAGTGCGTGGGGGTGGGGTCTGATTTCCACCCGTGTTGGACGTCAGCGGCCTCCGACGCTTTTTGGAAGCAGGTGAAGGGTCAAGGCCACCCCCAAGCACAGTGACAATCCCAGGTCACTGGAAAAGGTCTTCCAGTAAACATGGGACCGCAGGCCCCGTCCGGCCGGGGGTTTCCCAGAGCGCCTCCTCCCCAAGCTCCCTCCCGACCTCAGCGTTGGAGAAAGCGACGCTGCTGACACCGGCTCGCCGGCGGGGTCTCCGGGGACGCCGCTGTCGTTCGCTCGGACCCCGCAGCCCAGGCGGAACTCAGCGCAACGGCCGCCCAGCAGGCTCCAGCCGGCGGCGAGGAGGCGGAGTCGGGACGGCCCGGGGCGGGGGCCACTCACCTGCCACGCGCGGGGCGGTCCGCACAGGCCGCACCTGTGTCACCTGCGGGGGCGGCGGCCCCTCCCCCGGCCGCGGCGCCCCCACTCGCCCACCCGCCCGCCCCGGCACCAAGGGGCGCAGGGGGGTCGCGGCTCGCGGTGGCCGGGGACCCTCCCGATCTCCGCCAGCTCCCCGCCCCGGCCGGGCGCGGCTTCCTGGCGGTCCCGGGCTGGAGGGTGGGCGCGCGCGGAGGCCCACCTGGCAGGACGCGCTACGGACGCGGCGGGGACAGCCCCGGCGGCGGGGCCGGGCGGTCGGGGCGGCGGGGCCCGGGTTCAGGAGACCCCCGGCCAGCCCGCTGCGCAGCCATGGCTCCGCCAGGAAGTGCGAGGCCGAGGGCGGAGGCGGCGCGCGCGGCCAATGGCGGCGGCCGCGGGGAGGCGGGGCCGGGCGGCGCGGGGCGGGGCCTGCGGCTGAGGGCGGGACGCGGGGGCCGTGGGGTGAGCTCGCAGGGTGGACGCCCCCCTCGTCCGCGCCCCGGGGATCCCCGGTGTCCACCCCACCACGACGCCCGACTCCGTCCCTTCAAAGGCAGGCCCCAGCCCCGCCGCGCGAAATGCTCCCTGGTGCCACCCACCGTCACGGACGCAGGGCCACGGCGGGGACCAGACACGCAGGGTCCCGGGCCTCGAGGCACCGACGCGTGCGCTGGGAGCTCTTTGCTGGCCCAGAGTCGCCGGGACGGGCACCGCGCCTCTCGCCTCCTTCCGGGCTGAGCGGGAGCGTCCCTGCGGCCACCCTGCGGCGAGGCCTTTGCTGACCGCTCTGCTCGAAGTCACAGCCCCTCTCTCTGCACCCAACTTCCAACCCCATGCTTCACTTGAGCTCTTATCAGCGTCTAATATTCCAAATAATGTACTAGTTTATTCGGTTTATTGTCTCTCCTCCCTACCAGAAGCCCTCCAGGGCAGGGTTTACTGTTAGTTCTATTCCTGACTGGGTCGTCGCCAAGACTGGCACACAGTAGGTGCTCAGTAAATGTGTATGGAATGAATGAATGTAACCTTCATCGATCCATCTATCAATTGTCACACTTCGCTCATGCTACAGCGGGATGAACCTTGGAGATGTAATACTTAGTGAAAGAAGCCAGACACAAAAGACCACACACTGTATGATTCCGTGTATGTGAAATGTCCGGAACAAGCCAATCCATAGAGACAGAAAGTAGATGAGTGGTTGCCAGGGGCGGGGAGTTGCTGGAGTGGGAAATGGCTGCTGAAGGATCAGCGATTTCTTTTGTGTAGTGCTCACTACAGCCTCCACCTCCCAGGCTCAAGTGATCCTCCTGCCTCAGTCTTTCATGCAGCTGAGACCACAGGTGCCGGCTGCCACACCTGGCTATTTTTTTTTCTTTGATTTTTATAGAGACAGGGTTTCAGTTTGTTGTCCAAGCTGGTCTTGAACCCCTGGGCTCAAGCGATCCTCGTGCCTCGGTATCCCAAAGTGCTGGGATGACATGTGTGAGCCAGCACACCCAGCCCACTTACAGGATCTTTATTTTTTAATTATTTATTTATTTATTTTATTTATTTATTTATTTATTTTTTTTCTTTTTTTTTTTGAGACGGAGTCTCGCTCTGTCGCCCAGGCTGGAGTGCAGTGGCGGGATCTCGGCTCACTGCAAGCTCCGCCTCCCGGGTTCACGCCATTCTCCTGCCTCAGCCTCCCAAGTAGCTGGGACTACAGGCGTCCACCACCTCGCCCGGCTAATTTTTTGTATTTTTAGTAGAGACGGGGTTTCACCGTGTTAGCCGGGATGGTTATTTATTTTTTTGAGACAGAGTCTTTCTGTCACCCCGGCTAGAGTGCAACGGCTCAATCTCAACTCACTGAAATCTCCACTTCCTGGATTCAAGCGATTCTCCTGCCTCAGCCTCCTGAGTAGCTGGGATTACAGGCGCCCACCACCACGCCTGGCTAATTTTTGTATTTTTAGTAGAGATGGGGTTCACCATATTGGCCAGGATGGTCTCAAACTGCTGACCTCGGGTGATCTGCCTGCCTCAGGCTCCCAAAGTGCTGGGATTACAGGTGTGAGCCAAGGATCTTTAAATGATGTTCTCACTGACTGGATTGCTGTCCCCCATCTCTCTCTCTCTCTCTCCCCTTTTCTTTGGGGACTGTACACATTCACCCTGCCAAGCCTTACTTGCCTGTCTTTGACCCTTCCTGGACCTGTCCCTACCCCAGACAAAGCTAATCCTCCTGTTATTCTGTCTCCATACCGACATGTGGATGGATCTCTGTTCTGACATGAATTCATGCACTGCCTCTCATTCATCCAACAGACTTTTCAGGAACACCTGCTGTGTGGCCGGCACTGTAGTAGGTGCCAGGGATACAAAGAAGAAACTTTCAGGGCTCTTAGGAAGACAGGAAAACAAGTCAATCAGCAATGGTCCTAGCGTGGTGAGTACTGTGTTGGGGCAATACACGGAGCACCAAGAGTTGGACATATTCTTTTTTACAGCTAGAGTTAAAGATTCTCTTGATAAATAGATATAGGTAGATAAATAGATACATGCCCCTCTATATATGGGTATCTATCATATCTATTTATCTGTCTAACAAGAGATTTAGCTGTAGATATTTTAAGAGCCTATAACTCTTATATAGATAAATGGATACATGCACCTCTATATATGGGTATCTATGCTATCTATCTATCTATCTATCTATTTATCTAACAAGAGATTTCGCTGTAGAGCCTATAACTCAGCATGAACATCGGCCTTCCGGGTGTTGTGTTCATCATGAATGAGAAGACGTGCAACCTGGTGTATGGGGGCCGGAGTAAGGGCCTAAGACAAGCTCATCCACACATGACCTTGACATGAAAACGGTGTGGACTCGGCTAACTTGGCTTCACCCTGCGTTCCCCAACAGCACTTTGTGAACCACTCTCTCAGTCTTTTTCTTTCAGTAACGTTTTGTGTCCTCCCAAATTATAAAAGTAATGCATGCTTTACTCAGCTACTCTCAATACAGAAAAGTTCAAAACAAAAAACCAAACAGCCATGTGTAGTGGCTCATGCCGGTAATTCCAGCACTTTGGGAGGAAAAAGGATCACTTGAGCTCAGGAGTTCGAGACCATCCTGGGCAACATAGCAAGACTCTCGTCTGTACAAAAAAAAATTAAACATCAGCCAGTCATGGCTGCATGCATTTGTAGTCCCAGCTACTTGGGAGGCTAAGGTGGGAGGATTGCTTGAGCCCACGAGGTCGAGGTTGCAGTGAGCTGTGGTTGTGCCACTGTACTCCAGCCTGGGTAACAGAGCAAGACCTTGTCTCAAAAACAAAACAAAATAAAACAAACACTCATTTCTACATCATTCAAAAAAATTGGTTCATATTGTTCTCTCAACATTTTCCTCTTACACAATTTCTTTGCCATAATGATAATTCCAGTTTTCTAAGCACTAGGCAGTGCTGTAAGCCCTCTGCATGTATTAACTCATTTGATACTATCTCTGTACCCTGGGATGTGGATCTCCATCCTTACATGAATTCATGCACTCCCTCCTTCGTTCATTCAGCAGACTTTTCAGGAACACCTGCTGTAAGCCTGGCACTGTGGTAGGTGCCAGGGATATAAAGAAGAAAATTTCAGGGGTTTTAGGAAGACAGCCAAACAAGTCAATCAGCCATGACCCTATCATGGTGAGTTAATACCTTGATCCTTTGAGGAAGGTATCATTACTTTCCCTGTTTGCAGATGGGGAAGCTGAGTCCTGGAGAAGTTAAATCCCTTGCTCAAGGTCCCAGAACTCGTAAGGAGCAGAGCTGGGCTTTGAACCCAGGGAGTCTGCCTCCAGTGTCTGCAGCCCTAGCCTTGGCCACTGCCCAACAGTACCTCAGTGCACTGATGACAGTGATGTGTGCTCAGTGCAGACAGTTGGAAAACAGGCCCAGAAGAGGAAAACATAACCCACCTGAGGAGAACAGCTATTGGCATTTAAGGATAAACCAGCTCAATATTTTTCTCCTGCATATATTCCCTGCACGCCTATGCAAATGAGATCCTATGGTGCACACTCCTTGGTAGCTGACTTTTTCCCCATTTTGCAAATGTCATGAGTTTTTCACATGTCAGTAAGTCCTCGTTGATGACATGATGTTTAATGGCTGTGCCTGATCCTTCAGTATGGATTGTGCCCTTGACCTCCCCCCATTGTTGGGCATCCAGCTGGTGTCTCTATTATGAATCATGCCGTGGTGAACATCCTTGCTCACACATCCATATGCACATCTCTGACAGTGAAGGGGAATTGCTGGCTCCAAAGGTCTGCATATTTGTAAGACCCTAAACCATGCCTCTCCCCTGAAAGCCTGTCCTAATTGGTGCCCCCAACAGCAGCTCAACACTGTCACTTCTGAGATTCAGGCACCATCCGATGGAGCCAGCCAGCTATATGTTTTGCATGGCCCAGTGCAGGATGAAAATGTGGGCCACCTTTTGTTCCAAAAAAGCAGGAGAAAAGCTTGTTCCTTTCTTTTGCACACTCTCTCCCCAACATGGTGCCTTTTTTCCTTTTTTCTTCCTTTCTCTCTCCTTCCTTCTTTCCTTCCTTCCTTCTTTCCTTCCTTCCCTTCTTCCTTCCTTCCTTCTTTCCTCTTTCTTTTCCTTCCTTCCTTCGTTTCTTTCTTTCTTTCTTTCTCTCTCTCTCTCTCTCTTTCTTTCTTTCTTTCTTTCTTTCTTTCTTTCTTTCTTTCTTTCTTTCTTTCTTTCTTTCTTTCTTCCTTTCTTTCCTGGGTGGAACAATTGCCACTGTCACCAAAGACGACCACTCCAGGCTTAGGTTATCTCCATCCTCAATACCTCTGTGCAGAAACAAATGTCACAGAAGAGTACCCAGTGAAAGAGGCACACCATCTGGAAGCCCAGAATAGCAAAAACATGGGGCGGGGCCTGGGCAAGTTAGGCCTAGTTTGATCATAATTCATGCACAGGCCCTGTGCTAACTGCTCTGCTCCCTCCCCTGTCTAATCCTCACAGTAACCTATGGTCAATGCTATTGTTCTCCCCACTTTACAGATGAGGAAACTGAGGTTCTGAATGATTAGATGACTCACCCGATATCACACAGCTGGTAAGCACGTGAACCAGGATGAGAAACCCAGGCTATCTATGCCAGTGCCCAGTTAACCAGTTCACCAGAACACCAGAAGCCGCCCCCAGGGCTGCAAGCTGACCATGCCTGGGACACAGGAGGTTGCAGTGGTGAAGATCAACAGGCGGGGCGAGGAGCATCTCCGTCTCCCTCTGAAGACCATTTGGAAGAGGGTGTGAGAGCTGCCGCCAGGCTTTCCCAGAGAACAGCTGGGCCTGGAAGGGGCGGTCCAGGTCCCATAATAACTGCTACCTGCTGCTGCAGCAATTTTCCCTGCTGGGTGTTTCCAAGTCCGAGTCTCCTGGGGGAGGAGGCTGGGAGGAGGAGGAGGAGGAGGGCTGATTCTCTAAACTCCCCCTGCTTCTCACCAAAGGTCTGTCCTTGGCCCAGCTTCCCTTCCGAAGGTTGAGTAATCTCAAAAAATTGCAGCCTGGCATGAAAGAGCAGGCCTGCAGGCCAAGCCAGATCACGTCCGCACGCGGGATGCTTGGCCCACATGCTCCTGTACACTTGTAACTGTTAAACCAGAGGACAAGAAGCAACAGATGTCCTCAGATCACCAAACCAGCAAATGCGCAGAGCCATGGTGGGCGTCTGGCCCCAGTGCTTGGGTGGCCCCTAACATCAGATTAAGGAAAAAAGACCTCTCCTCAGCTGGAACG
The DNA here is from genome assembly GCF_000001405.40 of Homo sapiens. Taxonomy (NCBI): domain Eukaryota; kingdom Metazoa; phylum Chordata; class Mammalia; order Primates; family Hominidae; genus Homo; species Homo sapiens. Next base: position 84,643,070 of record NC_000016.10, on the reverse strand, counting down.
TCCCACTTCCTCCTCCCTCCTCCTCACCAGTATTTTTCTCTCTGCTTTGCCTGGATTGGAGTCCTGACCTGGCTACTCCCAGCTGTGTGAACTGGGCCAGCAACTTAGCTCCGTTGTGCCTCAGTTTCTCCATCTCTAAATGAAGCGCTTATTCCTCTCTCATGGAGCCGTCGTGAGAATTACGTGAATGAATACAGGCTGACTACTTTGAACAGTGCCTGGTACGTAAAGCCCTGTACACTGTAGCTTTTGCTGATGGTGGTAGACACTCTGCTATTTAGAGAGGTGTTCTTTCTCTCGAGGCTTTGATTCCTGCTAAAACAGAAATCATTTGGAAATGGACACTTTTTCTGCCATTTAGAGAGGTATTCTTTGTCTTGAGCCTTTGATTCCTGTTAAAATAGAAATGATTCAAAAATGAATACCTTTTCGTAGTCATTTATACCATAGCGTTCATCAGGTTCAGGCACTTTTTAGAGATCATGTTTGATTGGAATGAAAGGAAGACACCAGCCCCCCAGACAGAGTGATGGAGAAGGAGGGAGGGAAACAGGTAGGAGGCTTCCTGTGCATCACAGTTTTGCCTGAGCTGACTCTTGTCGTGGGGTCTGTTGGGTCAGAATTACTCTCAAACAGAATGGTCACTGAGGTCCCCAGCCAGGCTGGCATTGCCCACAACCTGTTCCTCCAAGGCACGCTGGACCTGATTGCATGTCTCTCTGACAACTATAGAAATGAAGTGGCTCAGGGACTTAGGATTTCAAGGTTGCAAACCTGGCTGGACCCCAGGCTCAGCAGGTAACCCTGTGTGAGCCTCGTTTCCTTTGGACCCGTCAAATCTCTCATATATAAAACAAAGCAACTCAGATCAAAGCCCTCCCAGCATTGTTGCCGCAGGAAGGGCACACACGCAGCTGCTTGCAACTTGCTGGTTACTTGCTGCCACTGCCAGTCACACACACACATCTCTGTATCCTGGAAACTTTTCTGTTTTGCTCTGAGATAGTAAGTTACGTACAACTCTGGGCCTCAGTTTCCTCATCTGCAAAATGAGAGTTAATCTATTTGCCAGCAAATACTTATTGAGTGTCTGCCATGTGCTAGGTACTATTTTAGGTGCTGACAACACAGCATTAATAGTGCAGATTAGAAAATTATGTTCCTCATGGTGCTGACCTTCTAAAGGAGGAATAATAATAGCATTCCTCTCCTAGGGTTAGTTTAAGGATTAAATGAGATAGAGCAGGAAAAGCATTTAACATGGTGCCTAGTACATTCTAAGTGCTTAATACGCTGCTGATTGCTAGTAATTTACCCAGCTCCCTTCTCCCATGGCTCTGCTACTCAGGATGGGGGACAGTTAACATGCATGCCTTCACTCTCCATCCCATGCCCATGGAAGCCATTGTTAGTTGATCACAGCAGACCCCAAGCTCAGAGGTCCCCATGGGATTCTAGGAGCAGAGCAGCAGGCAGCAATAACAGACACATCCTCTCAGAACTCACAGTCACCCTCTTCAACGTCACCTCCTGCATCACCTTCCCTGACAAGCTGCCTGTCCCACACAACTCTGGAGGCTGGGACCCCTTAGGTCCTGTCTGCAGAGTTCAAGCTGGAAGTCCAGGCCAGGCCTACCTCTCCTTAGGGAAATAGCAAGTGCACGGTCAGTTCCTCGTCAGCTGAGCAGCTGCTCTGACACTGACCTGGTGACAGGAAGTGGCTTCTTGCTCGGCTGCCTCTGGAGTGGATCTGGCTGTGTTCTCACCAGGGCTCCTAAAGTCTTGAATCCTGTTCTCTCCTTTATTTAAGAAAAATGGGGGCCAGGCACAGTGGCTCATGCCTGTAATCCCAACACTTTGGGAGGCCAAGGTGGGCAGATCACGGGGCCAGGAGTTCGAGACCAGCCTGACCAACACGGTGAAACCCTGTCTCTACTAAAAATACAAAAATAAAAATAAAATAAAATTAGCTGGGCGTGGTGGTGCATGCCTGTAATCCCAGCTACTCGGGAGGCAGGGGTTGCAGTGAGCCGAGATCGTACCACTGCACTCCAGCCTGGGCAAAAGAAAAATGGGGCCTAGCGTGATGTCTCACACCTGTAATCCCACACTTTGGGAGGCCGCGGCAGGCAGATCGCCTGAGGTCAGGAGTTGGAGACCAGTCTGGCCAACACGGTGAAACCCCGTCTCTATTAAAAATACAAAAATTAGCTGGGCATGGTGGTGGGTGCCTATAATCCCAACTACTTGGGAGGCTGAGGCAGGAGAATCGCTTGAGCCCTGGAGGTGGCGGTTACAGTGAGCTGAGATTGCGCCATTGCACTCCAGCCTGGGTGACAAGAGCGAAACTCCATCTCAAAAGAAAGAAAGAAAGAAAAATGGGTTGTTTCTAGGCGAGGCAAACAGTCCTGGCTGAAAGGGCTGAGTGGAACCCTGGCCCTGCGTCTGAAGTGGGAGAGGCAGGCGCATGAACATGCAATTGCAGTATCGTGAGATATAGGAAGGCAGAGGCTGGCCTTTGGCCATGGGAACCCAAGCGAAGGAGGACTGCAGGGCCCTGGGAGCCTGCTTCACACAGCAGGTGCCCATCCTCGACTGCCATCTCTGCCATCTGTAGCCAGACCCTTTAACTGGCCATCCAGGACCTTCTCTCACGCTGCAGGAACTGGCTCAGTAGGGCTCTCTTCTCTCTAGATCTTGCATCATTTTGGTGTTGCTGGTTGCATTAATTCAGTCATTCATTCAGTACAGCATGCTGGTGTAAAGATGGTCTGAGATCGACCCTTGCTTCTGCCGCTTGCCAGCTGTGTGAGCTTGGGCAAGTTACAAAGCCTCTCTGTGCCTCCCTTTCCTCCTCTGTGAGGTAAGGGTTACAATAGGGCCTACCTCAAGTGTTGCAGGGAGGATTTAGCAAGTTATGACATAGATCTCAGCACGGTGACTGAGGTGCCATAAACAAGTGACTGATACAGGCTTGCTGCTGCTGTCAGTCACACACACATCTCTGCCTCCTGGAGACTTTTCTGTTTTGCTCTGGGGATGGTAAATTCTACTAACTTTAAAAAGAAACCCTACACTTTCCTGGAATCCCTGGGATAAGGTGAATTTACTCATGATGTATAAACATTGAGGAGAGTTGTTGGAATGGTATTTGAAAGTGTAAGTGGGGGATCACCCTGCAGATGAGGGAGAGAAGGGATCCAGGTGAAGGGAAGAGCATGTGCAAAGGCCTGGAAGAACGAAGCAACATTCTGAGCCCATGAAGAGCCCAGACTGTCTGGACCACAATATGCTTGCAGGGAATGGTGGGAAATGGGGCGGAAGCAGCAGACCTTGGATTCCATGAGAGCAGAAACCACTCAGCACTGAGTTGGGTGTCTGGATGGGGTGATTAAAGTAGCTATATTTTATTGTATTTTTGTATTAGTCTGTTATCATGCTGCTGATAAAGACATATCTGAGATTGGGTAATTAATAAAGAAAATGAGGTTTAATAGACTCACACTTCCCTGTGGCTGGGGAGGCCTCACGATCACAGTGGAAGGCAAGGAGGAGCAAAGGCACATCTTACATGGTGGCAGGTAAAGAGAGAATGAGAGTCAAGCGAAAGGGGTTTCCCCTTATAAAAACCATCAGATCTTGTGAGATTTATTCACTACCATGAGAACAGTATGGGGGAAACTGCCCCCATGATTCAATTATCTCCCACCAGGTCCCTCCCACAACGTGTGAGAATTATGCGAGCTATGATTCAAGATGGGATTTGGGTGGGGACACAGCTAAACCATATCAATTTTTATTTTTATTTTTTTTTGAGACAGAGTTGCTCTCTGTCCCCCAGGCTGGAGTGCAATGGTATGATCAGAGCTCACTACAGTCTCGACCTCCCTGGCTTAAGTGATCCTCCCACCTCAGCCTCCCGAGTAGCTGGGACTACAAGTGCACACCACCACACCTGGCTAATTTTTAATTTTAACTTTAATTTTATTTTTTAAATTGTTATTTTAGGTTTGGGGGTACATGTGAAGGTTTGTTACACAGGCAAACACATGTCACAGGGGTTTGTTATACATATTTCATCACCCAGGTATTAAGCCCAGTACCCAATAGTTATCTTTTCTGCTCTCTCCCTCCGCCCAACGTCCCCTAATTTTTTAATTTCTTGCAGAGAAGAGGTCTCGCCATGTTGCCCAGGTTGGTCTCAAACTCCTGGGCTCAAGTGATCCTCCTGCCTCAGCCTCCCAAAGTGCTGGGATTACAGATATGAGCCACTACAACCAGCCAGTAGCTGTATTTTAAACTCCACAAGTAGATTGTAAACTTTGTAAAGATGAAACTCACATATTCTAACTCTTTGTCACATTCAATATACATTTGTTGTCTGCTTAAAAATCTCAGCAGCTGAGAGGCTCCTTTTTCTTATCACTTGCAAGCCACAAGCAGAGGATGCTGTCCAGGCCTCACCCACATCCCTAGTTCTGGACCCCTGCACCCATCTCCTGCCTGCTGGGACTTTCCAGCCCCTTGGGTAGGAGAATACTGAAAGTGCCTGAAAGCTTCCAGCCTCGCTCCCTGGTTGCCGAGGGCAGCGTGCAGCCGTGACTGGCCATCAGCAGGGTATAAAGGTCTGGCTCCCTTGCCTCAAGGTAGAGAGGTCAAGCGTGTGGCCCTAGCCATGCTCCACAGCTCCCTGGGGATCAGGCTGAGGCCAGGATCCTGCAGCGACGCGTCTGTGCCAGGCTTTCTCCCTGCCTTGTCATGCCCTATTTCCCTCTTCTCCCTATACATGTCTCCTGAGAGCCCCTCCTCAATAAACCACTGCACAGGAATCCATATCTCAGGTCCCGCTTCTTAGAAACCTGGCCTGGCAGGACACGGTGGCTCATGCCTGCAAGCCCAGCGCTTTGGGAAGCCCTGGCAGATGGATCGCTTTGGCCTAGGAGTTGGAGACCAGCCTGGGCAACATGGTGAAACCCCATCTCTACAAAAAATATAAAAATTAGCCAGGCGAGGTGGCATGTGCCTGCAGTCCCAGCTACTCAGGAGGCTGAGGTGGGAGGATCACTTGAGGTCAAGGCTGCAGTGAGCAGTGGCTGCATCACTGCACTATAGCTTGGGCCACAGAGTGAGAATCTGTCTCAGAAAAAAAGAAAAGAGGAGAGGAGAGGAGAAGAGAGGAGGGGAAAAGAAAGGGAAAAGAAAAGAAGAGAAGAGAGGAGAGGAGAGGAGAGGAAAGAAGAGAAGAAAAGAAAAGGAAAGGAAGAGAAAGCTGACTTAGGATGCCACAAATGAGTGACTGAATGAGTAGGCGGGGCTGGGGCTGACAGTGACTGGTTCTGTCTTCCTTCCCGCAGAGCGGTGACCCCTGCTCCCACCAATCCAGTTTTCCTTAGTCTAGGCTCCCCCTAAAGCCGCCCCTGAAGTTGGGCCTCAAGTTTGAGTAGTTAATTTGGAAAGTGCCGGAAGCACTGATTGGGAGGGGAAGTGAGACAGGGGAGAGAATGGATCCTAAAGGCATGATAAAGCGTGTCACTGATGAGGGTAACAGGGGCCTCATACCATAGAGAAGAGCCATCCCACCCAGGGGGGCGTCGGGGTACTCACACATCCATCCTGGCAGTATTGGCTGACAGCTGCTCACAGGTATTAATTAGCCCCCACTTGCAACCTGCTGGATAATTGGGAGAGCGATCTTCCGTGATTTTGGGGAAAAGCCCTCAGGCCCAGAGTCGCAGATACTGGCAGCCAAAGATTAAAGCCTAAGGGGTATGGATCAACAGCTGCACCTCCCTTTAGGGAGCTCTTTCTCCTCAATGCCTTTCCAGAAGTTTCTGTTGCAGCTGCTAATCTCTGTTGAAGCTGTCCATCTGAGAACCCCTCATAACACACCCCCATGGGCACATGGCCAGGTCCAGCCAATCATAGGCGCCTATTCCTTGGCTACAGTGATTGGCCCAAAGAATGGACATGTAGTCCCAGCAGGGCCAATCAGAATCCTTCCCTAGGATTTGTATATAGTTGTTGGGAGACAGACCTCTTCTTTCCATCTGTCACTGACTGGGAGTGAGGTAAGCTCAAAGTTCTCTGCATGGAAGAGAACTGTAGGTCATCTGTAGTAGAAGTGAATGTGGCCGGGCACGGTGGCTCACGCCTGTAATCCCAGCACTTTGGGAGGCTGAGGCGGGCAGATTACGAGGTCAGGAGATGGAGACCATCCTGGCTAACACGGTGAAACCCCGTCTCTATTAAAAATACAAAAAAATTAGCCAGGCGTGGTTGCCGGCGCCTGTAGTCCCAGCTACTCGGGAGGCTGAGGCAGGAGAATGGCGTGAACCCGGGAGACGGAGCTGGCAGTGAGCCGAGATCGCGCTGCTGCACTCCAGCCTGGGCGACAGAGCGAGTCTCCGTCTCAAAAAAAAAAAAAAAAAAAAAAAAGTGAATATGAGGCCGGGCGCAGTGGCTCATGCCTGTAATTCCAGGACTTTGGGAGGCTGAGGCAGGTGGATCACCTGAGGTTAGGAGTTCAAGACCAGCTTGGCCAATATGGTGAAACCCCATCTATACTAAAAATACAAAAATTAGCCGGGCGTGGTGGTGCATGCCTGTAATCCCACCTACACGGGAGGCTGAGGCAGGAGAATCGCTTGAACCTGGGAGGCGGGGGTTACAGTGAGCCAAGATTGTGCCACTGCACTCTAGCCTGGGCAACAGAGTGAGACTCGGTTTCAAGAAAAAAAAAAAAAAAGAAAAGAAAAATGTGACCAACACAGAGAAACAGGACTGAGAGATGAACAAGACAGAGGGAGAGAGAGGGTGAAGATGATGTTGCTCAAGTCCCCAGGTCTCTCTGTACCTCTCCTTTCTATGGGGTGTTTACCTGTGCCAGTAAATCCCCCATCTTCCCCCTGCTCCCCAAAACTGTTGGCTTAAGCTGACGTAGCTTCTGTTTCTCTCAATTGTGACAAGTGCGTCCTGACAAATGGAGGATCTAATGATATTTTAATCCCCCAAACTCAGAAGTGGCAGTATTTCAGGGATTAAGACATATTTGTCTGCTGAGAGCCCTGAGTTATGGATCTGTGTACTTGAGGCCAGTCCACGCCATTTCCATGCTGTTGATTCCCGGAAGGAAACTGGCATGCTTTGTATTTTTCTTTTCCAAGTTACATAACACGTGTAACTTGGAATGCGGGATGTGGGTGTGGAACAGGGTACTGGGGAATCCAGTCTGGGATGCACTGTCATGCCATCCAGTGTTCGGGTGACCGAGTGGTCAATCCTGTGGGAGCTCCTGGGGAGTGAAATGCATCTCAGAACTGTCCAACCAGGAGAGGAAAGGGGGACATATTCGTGTTTTTTATTCGTTTGCTTTGTTTTGTTTTTGAGATGCAGTCTCACTCTGTCACCCAGGCTGGAGGGCAGTGGCACGATCTCTGCTCACTGCAACCTGCGCCTCCCAGGTTCGAGCGATTCTCCAGCCTCAGCCTCCCGAGTAGCTGGGACTACAGGCACCCGCCACCATGCCTGGCTAATTTTTGTATTTTTAGTAGTGACAGGATTTCACCATGTTGGCTAGGCTGGTCTAGAACTGCTGACCTCAAGTGATCCGCCCGCCTTGGCCTCCCGAAGAAAGGGGGACACATTTGATTAACGGCTTTCACACTCCCATTGGTCAAGGGCCCAGCCCTGTCATCCTCTGGTTGTGCATGTATAAGTCCCTGGAGAGCTCTTCACAGTTGCACGCCATGGGGTCTGGGAAGTCCTGGGGCAGAAAACAAGAGTTCGGTGGCCCTGGCTGGTGGTCCCTGCCATTTTGCCCTTGCACAAAATATCGAGGCCTGCTCAGAGCCGCTAGCTGTGCGGCGACAGGAGGAAGATGCGAAGGATGTGTGTTTCGCCAGGACACTGTGTCTCATCTAACAGATTGACGATCACAGTCCCATGCCTACTGGGACTGCCTTGAATCAGGTTGGGAACTGTAGGGTCATCTCTGCCATCCCCTCGTGTGCCTTCTTGACCTTCAGTCTCTTCTCTTGTCTAGGTGTCACCATTAAGAACATTCCTAGATTTGTGAATTAGTTCCCTGACCCTGCCCACTGCCGCTGACCGGCTGAGAGTACTGGCACCAATAGTGGTACTGCCCTGGCTGGCATGTCCTCCTCCTGCCCCTGCCATGTCTCTTGGGTCAGTCTCAGAGAATTCTTCACATTTTAAGAAAAAAAAAAGAGGCCGGGCACGGCGGTTCACGCCTGTAATCCTAGCACTCTGGGAGGCCGAGGCAGGCAGATCACCTGTCAGGAGTTCGAGACCAGCCTGGTCAAAATGGTGAAACTCTGTCTCTACTAAAAATACAAAAAATTAGTCAGGCATGGTGGCGGGCGCCTGTAATCCCAGCTACTCAGGAGGCTGAGACAGGAGAATTGCTTGAACCCGGGAGGCGGAGGTTGCAGTGAGCCGAGATCGCGCCGCTGCACTCCAGCCTGGGAAAAAAAAAAAAAAAAGAAAGAAACCTGACTCTATTTATTAAGCAGCTTACACCACTCTTTGGCAAGCGGTGTGGGCTAGTATTCCCTGTTCACTCCCCATTTTCCACTTTCTCTGACCTTGTCTGACTTTGAAGGATGGCATCACCTGGGCTGCTCCTCCTATGACTTCTGGTTGGGTTCAGCCACTGGGAGGCACCGGAAGGAGACTGGAGGCCGGCAGGAGAGAGGTTGGGGCATTTCTCCCCAGCACACTCCCTGCTTCGGGCTGAGGTCAGCCCGTGGCCACATCCTTCCATGACCACTGCTCCTGCTGGGCGATCTTCTAACAGACAAATTATTCTGATGCTTTATTCAAAACTATTGCAATGGGGGAGAGAGACTGAGCTCAAAAACAAATGTAGCAAAGACAGCGGAGATTGGTAGCTGGTGAGCAGAGTGAGGGGTGAGTGGATGAGAAGTCACTAAGGGAAGACATTGGGGCGAGGGGAGTCCTGCTAAACCGACTTCACAGGATTCTTGCTACAGACAGACCAAGAACTTAAACAGCAAGGGTGGGGAGGATGGGGGATGTGATCAGATATCAAGGGTTGGGGCATCGTCCCTGAACTGACTTAGCAGGATTCTTTACTAAAACGGGACTCAGCAGACCAAAGACTGGATGGGTCCAAGGTCAAGGCCGAGTGGAGAGGCAGGCTCTGAGGAACTTGACTTTGGTCCAGACAATCCCTCCCCCGCGACTCCAGCTCCGCAGGCTCCAGGCACAGGCTTTCCTCCTGATCTGTCCTGCCTAGCGTGGGAACAGCGCCCATTCTTGCTCCCCTGGGTGTCTCAATTGCTCTTGTTGGCTCTTCTAACCCAGTTCTCTAAACAGTCCCTTGTTTACAGTCCCTTCAGAATTCCACCCGATATGCCTTCTGCTTGGTTTCAGCATCCTGACTCTCTACACTGGACACTTTGACTTTCAATCCATTTATCTGTCATTCTCCGGAACGGCTGCCAGGATGGCCTGTTTTCTAGGTGTCAACTTGGAGAGCCTGAACTTCTGTTCTAAAGGGAAGGTCAATCTGAACCCACAACATTTCATAGAGAGCGTATCAGGATCTACAATCAGGAGTCCTGGCTTCAGGGGCTGGCACTTTTACTTACTATTTTTCTTACTTTATTTATTTATTTATTTATTTTTGAGATGGAGTCTTGCTCTGTCACCCAGTTTGGAGTGGAATGGCACAATCTCAGCTCACTGCAACCTCCGCCTCCTGAGTTCGAGTGATTCTCCTGGTTCAGCCTCCCAAGTAGCTGGGATCACTGGCATGCACCATCATGCCTGGCTAATTTTTGTATTTTTAGTATAGACGAGGTTTCAGCATGTTGGCCGGGCTAGTCTTGAACTCCTGACCTCAGGTGATCCACCCGCCTCAGCCTCCCAAAGTGCTGGGATTATAGGCATGAGCCACCGCACCCAGCCTGCTTTTACTTACCATGTGTGTGACAATGAACAAATGGCCGAGCCTTAGTCTTACCACCAATAAAATGGGCACAGCAATACTGACCCTGCCAATCAGCCTGCAGCAAGCACTGTGTCTAGTGTTGTGAGGTCCCCAAGGGGATATTTGTTGAATGAAAAAAATGAATAGATGGGCCAGGCGCAGTGGTGCAGGCCTGTAATCTCAGCAGTTTGGGAGGCTGAGGCAGGAGGATCACTTGAGCCCAGGAATTCGAGACCAGCCTAGGCAATACAGGGTGATCTTGTCTCTACAAAAATACGAAAATTAGCTGGGCATAGTGGCATGTACCTGTTGTCCTAGAGACTTCGGAGGCTGAGGTGGGAGGATCACTTGAGCCTGGGAGGTCGAGGCTGCTGTGAGCCGTGATTGCACCACTGCACTCTAGCCTGGGTGACAATGAGACTGTGTGTCAAAAACAAAAACAAGCAAAAAGAATGAATGGATGATTGAATGAAATTAGCCAATGCATGAAAGACACCTCTAACTTCTAATGTCTAATCAAATTTTAATTATTAAGCCTTTATTTAACACGCTGTCTTAACCAACTTCTGCTGAACTCACTCACTAGATTAACAGACTTGTCCCATTTCTCCTGTGAAACATGCCAGCAGCTGCACACAGTGTGCTGAAGCCTCCTCCTGAGCATCTTCCCTAACCACCCGGGCTCTGTGCTTATCTAGAACTAGCCGCGTTTGCTCCCAAAACTGTTCGTGGCAGTTGTGTTGATTATGGTCATTAATTGATTTAATTAAATGTGACTTAAGTTGTGGGAACATGAGGATAAACAGAAGGAATATAATCGCTATAAAACTCAGATGAAACTTTGGATGACTTCAAGATGTAACTAAGACAACTGATACCGAATTAATTGCAGAAACTGGGGAAGGCTGGGTGGAGGGAATTGTGAACCCTGGAATGATTCTGCACATATATGATTTTGAAAGTGTCTTTGTGTAAAGAATAGGAAGTGGGAAATTGTAGCAGAAGGGTTACGGTTGTGGTCTATGGGAGAAGAGAGACACAACGCCTATTTCAGCCAGGCCGCTCTCAAAGAAAGGACACACTCATAAATACTAGGGCAAGAAAAAGATATACGATATAAATGAATTTAAGGTGTCTCCCTGACTTAACTGACTTTTTAGATTCACAATTAGCTGACTGACCAAAGTCCTGATTTCACAGGACAAGAAGGCTTCCACATCTTTCTGTTTTGTTTTGTTTTGTTTTGAGACAGGGTCTCACTTTGTCACCCAGACTGGAGTGCAGTGGTGCAATCTCGGCTCACTGCAACCTCCACCTCTGGGGTTCAAGCAATCCTCCCACCTCAGACCCCTAAGTAGCTGGGACTACAGGCGGACACCATCACACCTGGCTAATTTTTGTATTTTTTGTAGAGACGGGATTTCACCATGTTGACCAGGATGGTCTCGAGCTCCTGAGTTCAAGCGGTCTGCCTTTCTTGGCCTTCCATAGGGCTGGGATTACAGGTGTGAGCCACTGTACCTGGCCCCACATCTTTCTGAAGGTCTGTCTTGTCTTTGCTCCTATTCTTTCAATTTCTTTCTCTCTTTTCTCTGCTATTTTCTCTACCTATGCCCAAATATGGAACTAAAGATCATTAATTTATTATATTTACTGAATTAAATGGGGTATTCTGTGTTAATTAACTTAAACAATACTTCTTTACCTACTGCATGCCGCTGTTATAGGCTTACAGTCAAGGGCAGGCTTACTTTAGAGCCAAAGGCATGCTCGCTCACTTTAGCAAATGCTGCAGATAATTGTGGCCTTTTATTTGCACGTTGCTCACATTAATTTCTTCCTCTCTGTGGGCCTCCCCAGTGTAATACTTTCTCCTTCAGCATGTAGTAAGTGTTTCAGAAACAAACACGTATGAACCTAAAATTATATTTTTATTGTTCTGGGAAAAATTACTGTTTAAAGGACTTCTGCGGTACATTTGTGTGGTTTTGGTAAAACCAAAACCTCAGATTTTCTTTCTCTCTTGCTTTTTTTTTTTTTTTTTTTTTTTGCCTAAAGTCACACAGATAAACAAGTCTGTCTGCGGGAAACTTACAGCCTGGTAGTGGGAAATAGAACAGAGAGTTTTTACAAAGCAAGTGTAAAAACTCAATGAATGATACAAGATCCTTTGTGTCACCGTAACTTCTTTGATCCAGCAAAAGGAGAAACCAGTTCAGAATGGCCACAGCCACTAAGTCAAGAATTGACTCCTGGCTGGGTGCCGTGGCTCACACCTGTAATCCCAGCATTCCGGGAGGCCAAGGTGGGTGAATTGCTCGAGCCTGGGAGTTCGAGGCCAGCCTGGGCAACATGGTGAAACCTCGTCCCTACAAAGAATACAAACAATTAGCTGGGTGTGGTGGTGCACGCCTGGAAGGCCGAGGTGGGAAGATCACCTGAGCCTGGGAGTTCGAGGCTGCCATGAGCCATGATGACGCCACTGCACTCCAGCCTGGGCAACACAGTGAGACCCTGTTTTAAAAAAAAATTCTTTCCAAAGTACTATTAGAGGCTGGGCGCAGTGGCTCATCCTGTAATCGCAGCACTTTAGGAGGCCAAGGTGGGCGGATCACTTCAGGTCAGGAGTTTCAGACCAGCCTGGCCAACACGGTGAAACCTGTCTCTACTAAAAATACAAAAATTAGCCGGGCGTGGTGGCACATGTCTGTAGTCCCAGCTACTTGGGAGACTAAGGTAGGAGAATCCCTTGAACCCAGGACGTGGAGGTTGCAGTGAGCCCAGATCACACCATTGCACTCCAGCCTGGGTGACAGAGTGAGACGCAGTCTCAAAAAAAAAAAAAGAAAAAAAAAGCAAAGTACTATTAGAAGTAAAAATAAATAAATAAATAAATAAATAAATAAATAAATACATAAATAAAATTCTCAGAGCCCTTTGCTCTCACCGGGAACTCACTACCTCACAGAGGAGTGTATTTGGTCTCAATTGGAAAGACCTTCTTTATGTTGACCCCAACACTGTCTCTCTGTAACTGGTTTTGTTCTGCTCTCCAGAGGTTCATGCAGGAAGATGACCATCTGCGGCAAGAGAGAGCGCCTCAGGAATGGGGAGACGGTTCTCAGGTCTCATGGACCACACTTTGGGAATTGTGTTCTGATGTGCTTAAGCGGGGACTTAGCTGACACAGAGCGGGCTTAGGAGGGGAGGAGAAGCTATGGGTGTGGGTTTATCGTGCAGAAGAGAGGCTTCCTGAGGCCCTGAGACCTGAGAACCGTCTCCCGTTTCTGAGGAGCTCTCTCTTGCCGCAAAGTGTGGTTCAGCAGCTTACGGTACAGCACCCTTGTTTGGGGTGTGAGTCCCGCTATAGGGCTTGTTAGACCTGCTCCTCCCCCTTGCCCAGCCTGCTCTGCTGGGAATTGCTGTGATGCTGGGGTCTGCGGTGGGGAGGTGGAGGGGTGGGGAGGTGTCACCCTTTCAGGCTGTGTTCCTAAGTCCCTGGTCAGTGGCTCCCGGCTGGAGGGCAGGAAGGAAGAAAAGGCGGGGGTATTTCAACCTCTCTCTGGAGCAAATCTCCAGCAGCCACAGCTCTGCACTCCAGCAATCCCTGGGTGACGCTAGGTCCTGGTCTCCAGGGTCCCCCCTCCTTCCCCTGTTCTTCTGGCTGAGGGTCATTTGCTAATCTCTGTGCTGTGGCCAGTCTTGGGGGGCTTCACCAACCTGCTCAGCTTTTCAGCTTGCTTGTCCCTGATGTAGCCAATGCCAATACCTTGCATTCATTTTTTCCTAGTTTTGTTTGTTTGTTTTTTGAGATAGACTCTTGCTCTATTGCCCAGGCTGGAGTGCAGTGGTGCAATCTAGGCTCACTGCAACCTCCGCCTCCCAGGTTCAAATGATTATCCTGCATCAGCCTCCCGAGTAGCTGGAATTACAGGTGCTTGCCATCATGCCTGGCTAATTTTTGTATTTTTAGTAGAGATGGGGGTTTCACCATGTTGAACAGGCTGGTCTTGAACTCCTGACCTCAAGTGATCTGCCTGCCTCGGCCTCCCAGAGTGTTGGCATTACAGGCGTGAGCCACCGCGCCCGGCCTCCTACTTTTATATAGTTGATAGTTTCTGTTTTCCAGGGTGAAGTCTAGCATGGCGTGCTACTTTCGGTAATGTAGTTGAATACAGATATACAGGTTTGGGAAGTTGCATACAGATATACTGGTTTGGGAAGCTAGCGCTTAAAACACCTGCTATCATTACATATGTTTACATGAATTTTTTACTGTGATCCTCAAAAAATAAAAACCCTCCATGAGAGATGCTCCATTCACAGAAGAGAAAACTGGAGCTCAGGGGTATGGCAGAGCCAGGGTTTGGGTGAGCAGCTGCCCTAGCCCCTAACCATTGGAGCACACTTCCTGGCTAAGCGACCTGGGCTACCTGTGACCCCTCCCTGCCCTTCCTCACTGGAGGCTGAAGCCCCAGGTCGTGGTGCCTGGGGAGGAGCACTCAAGAGTGCCGTTTGACACTCCCTCATTCAGGGGCTCCACATCTGCATCTTCCACTGTTCCTGCGAGCCCCTTTTCAGAGATTTGACAGTCAGTGAGATCAGCACAGATTGCATAAATATCATTTTCTATAAATAGCCATTTCGTGTAAGACACCTGCTTCAGAATGACAACTACCTTGCTGAGAAAAGCAAGTTTCAGGGTTATGTTTTATTCCCAGGCTCCAATTACAGCTCAGGTGTTGTTTTTTTTTTTTTTTTTTTTTTTTAATTGGTAGCCCGAAAGAAAAAGTGGAAACCAGGACGCTGACCTTAAAGAGTCTGTGAGGTTTTTGCAATGAAAGAAATAAAGTCCATGCAAAAACCAGGTTCTTAAAAAGCCGGCACAGATTTTTCAGTTGCTTCAGGGCACATGTAGTGAGCCACCCTGGTTCAATGTCAAGGTCCCCAAACGCTACTTCTTGGTGTAGAGGCCAAGACCCTGGGTTCAAAAATGTTCAGACATGCGGAGGTGCCTTCCTGTCTTGAGGCCTGGGTTCCTTCATCTGTGTTGGGGGAACAGTTGCAGCATCTCCTCGGGTCGATGTGAGAATTCACTGGGAACATAGCCATCAGGCACGTAGCATGCAGCCTGGCACATAGCGCACAATATAGAGGAAGACGTTTCTTTTTTTTTTTTTTTTTTGAGACAGAGTCTCGCACGCACTGTTGCCTGGGGCTGGAGTGCAATGGTGCGATCTCAGCTCACTACAACCTCCACCTCCCGGGTTCACGTGATTCTCCTGCCTCGGCCTCCTGAGTAGCTGGGATTACAGGCGCACACCACTGCATCTGGCTGTTTTTATTTTTAGTAGAGATGGGGTTTCACTATGTTGGCCAGACTGGTCTCGAACTCCTGACCTCATAATCTGCATGCCTCGGCCTCCCAAAGTGCTGGGATGACAGGCGCGAGCTGCTGTGCCCAGCCAGGAAGACATTTCTATTATTAGTTTTACATAATGTGGTTACTATATAACATATATGATATGGAATATGGTTACTATTACTAATATATGTTATAATTATATAATTTTTTTTTTGGATGGAGGTTTGCTTTTGTTGCCCAGGCTGGAGTGCAATGGCGCGATCTTGGCTCACTGCAACCTCTGCCTCCTGGGTTCGAGCGATTCTCCCGCCTCAGCCTCCCAAGTAGCTGAGATTACAGATGTGTGCCACCACACCTGGCTAATTTTTGTATTTTTAGTAGAGACAGGGTTTTATCATGTTGGTCAGGCTGTTCTCGAACTCCCGACTTCAAGTGATCCACCCGCCTCAGCCTCCCAAAGTGCTGGGATTACAAGTGTGAGCCACTGCACCTGGGTGACAGAGTGAGAATCTGTTTCAAAAAAAAAAAGGAAAAAAAGTCTTCCTCCCCCTCTGGACAATCCTGTCTTCTTTGCAGGCTCCTTTCCCCATAAATGCTGGTGTTCCCTGAAGCTCTGCCCCAGACCTTCTTCTTCCACCTAAGCATCCTCCATGGGCCAACTCACACACCCTCGTGGCCTAATCACCACCGAGAGCCCTGTGGCTCCCAGAACCATATCTCCAAGCCAGGCTCTGTCCTGAGTCTCAGACCCGTCTGGCTGCTGGACGTCTCCACTGTCATGTCCTACCAGCAGCTCAAATGCAGTGACCCCAAGCATGATGCAGCACTGCCACCCCATCAACCTCCCACCTGGATGCTCAGCCCAAAACCTGGGAGCTTTCTGTGATTCTCTTTTTTTAGTTCAAAAATATAATTTTGGGACTAGTATTTTGCTGAGCTTAAAAAATATATAAGACTTTGGCCAGGCGTGGTGGCTCACCCCTGTAATCCCAACATTTTGGGAGGCTGAGGCGGGTGGATCACTTGAGGTCAGGAGTTTGAGACTAGCCTGGCCAACATGGCAAAACCCAGTTTCTACTAAAAACACAAAAATTGGCTGGGCCTGGTGGCTTACACCTATAATCCCAGGACCTTGGGAGGCCAAGGCAGGCGAATCACCAGAGGTCGGGAGTTCGTGACCAGCCTGGCCAAGATGGCGAAACTCCGTCTCTACTAAAAATACAAAAATTAGCCGGGCCTGGTGGTGTGCACCTGTAATCCCAGCCACTAGGGAAGGTGAGGCGGGAGAATCGCTTGAACCAGGGAGGTGGAGGTTTCAGTGAGCCAAGATGGCGCCACTGTACTCCAGCTGGGCGACAGAGTGAGACTCTGTCTCAATAAATAAATAAATAATAAAACATAAATAATAAAAATACAAAAATTAACTGGGTATGGTGTTGCACACCTGTAATCCCAACTTCTTGGAAGGCAGTAGAATCGCTTGAGCCCAGGATCGGAGACTGTAGTGAGCTGAGATCACGCCACTGCACTCTCTCTCAAATATATATATATATATGTATGTATGTATGCATATATATATATGACTTTTAAGTGTACAATTCAGTGATTTTTAGTGCAACCAAATTCACAAAGTTGTGCAGCCATCATCACTATTGAATTTGAAAACATTTTCTTCAACCCCTGAAGGAAACCCCACACTCACTAGCAGCCACTCCCCATTCTTCCTCCCCCGACCCTGCAGCCACCAATCGGCATTCTGTCTCCATAGATTTGCTTATTCTGGACTTTACATATAAATGGAATCATACGATGTGTGGTCTTTCGTGACTGGCTTCTTTGACTTAGCATAATGTTTTTGAGGTTCGTACATGTCGTAGAATGAATCAATACTTAACTCCTTCGTATGGCTGAATAATATCCTATTATACAGATAAACCACTTTTGTCTATCCATTCATCAGCTGACAGATATTTAGGTTTCCACTTTCTGGCCATTATGAATAATGCTGCTATGAACATGCACATACAAGTTTTCATGCGGACATATGTTTTCCTGTCTCTTGGGTATATTCCTGGGAGTGGAATTCTTGGGCCACATAATAACTCTATGTTTCACATTTTGAGAAACTGGCAAATTGTTTTCCAAAGCAGTTGCACCATTTTCCATTTCCAAAAGCACTGTGTGAGAGTTCCAGCGTCTTCACATCCTCACCAATACTGGTTATTGTCTGTCTGTCTTCTGGTGTGAAGTGGTATCTCTTGTGCTTTTTTTTTGAGATGGAGTCTTGCTCTGCTGCCCAGGCTGGAGTGCAGTGGCTCACTGCAACGTCTGCCTTCTGGGTTCCAGTGATTCTCTTGCCTCAGCCTCCCAAGTAGCTGGGATTTCAGGCACCCACCACCACACCTGGCTAATTTTTTTTATTTTAGTAGAGACGAGGTTTCTCTATGTTGGTCATGCTGGTCTGGAACTCCTGACCTCAAGTGATCCACCGGCCTCGGCCTCCCAAAGTGCTGGGATTACAGGCGTGAGCCACTGCTCTCGGCCTCCTTGTGCTTTTGATTTGCATTTCCCTAATGACCAATGACACTGAACATCTTTCCATATGCTTAGTGGCCATTTGTAAAACTTCCTTGGAGAAATCTTTCTTCAAATTCTTTGTGTATTTTTAAATTGGGCTATTTGCCTTTTTATTGTTGAGTTGTAAAAGGTTTTTGTTTTTAATATTCTGGATACTAGGCCCTTATCAGATATGATTTTGCCCGTACTTTCTTCTTTTCTGTGTATTGTCTTTTCACTTTCTTAATGGTGCCCTTTGAATCACAAAAAGTTTTTGTTTTGGCTGGGTGCAGTGGCTCATGTCTGTAATCCCAGGACTTTGGGAGGCCGAGGTGGGTGGATCACCTGAGGTCAGGAGTTCAAGACCAGCCTGACCAACATGGTGAAACCCCGTCTCTACTAAAAATACAAAAACTTAGCTGGGCGTGGTGGCAGGCGCCTGTAATCCCAGCTACTCGGGAGGCTGAGGTGGGAGAATCTCTTGAACCTGGGAGGCAGAAGTTGCAGTGAGCCGAGAGCAAGCCATTGCACTCTAGCCTGGGTGACAAGAACAAAAAACTCCATCTCAAAAAAAAGAAAAAGAAAAGAAAAAAGGAAAACAATTTAGTTTTGATGAAGTCCAATTTATCCAGTTTTTTTTAATCACTCCTGCTTTTTGTGCCACAGCTAAGAAATCTTTGCTTAATCTAATATGACAAAGATTTATGCCTATCTTTTCATCTAAGGGTAACTCTTATGTTTACGTCTGTGATCCACTTTGAGTTAATTTTTGTATATGGTGTGAGGTAAGTGTCCAACTCCATTCTTTTGCATGTGCTATCAAGTTGTCTCATCACTGTTTATTGAAAGACTGTTCTTTTTCCATTGAACTGTCTTGGTACACTTGTCAAAAATCAATTGACCAGGCCGGGCACGGTGGCTCATGCTTATAATCCCAGGACTTTGGCAGGCCAAGATGGGTGGATCACCAGAGGTCAGGAGCTTGAGACCAGCCTGGCCAACATGGTGAAACCCCATCTCTACTAAAAATACAAAAATTAGCGGGACATAGTGGCGGCTACTCAGGAGGCAGAGGCACGAGAATTGCTTGAACCCAAGGGGAGGAGGCTGCAGTGAGCCGAGATTGCACTGCTTCACTCCAGCCTGGGAGAAAGAGTGAGACTTTCTAAAAAAAAAAAAAAATTGGCCATAAATGTAAGAGTGTATTTCTGGACTCTCAGTTCTATTCCATTGATTTCTATGCCTGTGCTTTTGTCCATACCACCTTCCTTGGCTCTGCACTCCCTGTCGCTCTGCATCCTTCCATTCAACAACAAGTTGTGTGTCTGTCTGGGACTGGTGCTGTGCCGGGAACTGGCATTCAATGATGAGCAAGATGAACGTTATTCCTGCCCTCATAGACCTGATGTTCTAGGAGTGGATAGACAATATTCGAGTAAAGGGATAAATGAAAAAGGTAATTTCAGATAGTGATTAGTGAGTACTACGGAAAACAAAAAATGGTTATGGGATAGTGGCTGGAGGAGGGTTACAGAGGGGGACTTTTAAACTTTGGGATGCTGGGGAAAGCCCCTCTGAGGGAGGGGGTAACATTTGAGGTCAGAATGAGAAGTTAGCCATTCAGATTTTGGGATGGGGTGTGCCAAGCAGAGGGGTAGAATTTGCTTGAAGATGAAACTGATACACAAAGGAGGGCAAAGTAGAGACATGCAGAGCTACAGAGCCAGGAGTAAACCATGCCTGAATTCCACCTTCATCTGGACTCTTGTCAGCAGGTCTTTACTTTTTTTTTTTCCATTGTTCAAGCCCATTTGAATTGAGTTTTCTGTTGCTGACAACCAACAGTGTCCACAGTGAAGTAAATGCTTGTCACCCATAATAGACTTTAAGCCCTGAGAGGACTGGGAGATATTAGTCTAGTTCACATTTGCACACAAATAGCTCTTGTGTGCATTTTTATCACCAAAATGTAGGAATAAGAGATTTCTCAGAGACATCCAGATTTTTTGCTTTGCTGAAACAACCAGAAGCTTGGCATTGTGCATAGCAACTATGGCAGAGCTGAGAACCAGTGACTCTCTTTGGATGAGGAAGCTGCTCTGAGCATGAAACTTTCACCTGGAGGAAGACAGAACAGAGAGGATCACCTTTTCCAGAACAAATTTTCTTACATGGTCTGTGCTTGGTTCATTTACATTCCATGCCTGCCCCCTACAGGCAAGTAAGTTTGTGACCCCGCCTTGGACACGAAATAGGCTCAGTGCCAGGAAAGAATGAATGAATGGATGGATTAATTTATAGCAATTCCCAATTCCTTTTTTTTTTTTTTTTTGAGACAGAGTCTTGCTCTGTCGCCCAGGCTGGAGTGCAGTGGCCTGATCATAGCTCACTGAAGCCTTGATCTTTTTTGGTTCAAGCAATTTTCCCACCTCAGCCTCTCGCGAGTTGGGATTACAGGCACCTGCCACCATTCCTGACTAGCTTTTATTTTTATTTTTATTTAGAGACAGGGCTTTGCCATGTTGACCAGCCTGGTCTCCAAATTTTCGGCTGAAGCAACCCTTCTGCTTCGGCCTTCCCAATTGTTGGGATTACTGCGCCTGGCCTACTTCCCCAGTTCTTAACACAGTGCATAGCACATAGTTAAGTGTCAAATACTTTGATTTCTCTTAAAGAAACATGAATTGAATTAGATTGTTTTATATCACATGGATTGCAATTTAAACAAATATTTACACAGAATATTTATTTCTGATATGAGGTTTATTTTTCTCCTTTAGCTGGGCAAATGGACAGCAAGGTGCTCAAAATCAGGGTTCTCTTTCAAACCAATCCCTTACACTTTCGGTCCAGTAGAGGGCGATCGCAACAATGACTAGAAAGAGAACAGCAATGAAAGGAGGACTGAAGTGGGGCTTCCCAGTTCCCTACACATTCATAGGATTCCTCCAGGAACGCTGAACCATGGAGACTGAGGATTGAATTCAGTATGGCAGCCACGTTTCTGGGTGGTAGTTTAGCATTCTGAACAGATAATACATTCACGTGGTCGAGAACTAAACTAAAACAAGAAGGTATGTAGTAACACCCACCACCCTCCTACCCCAATCCCTAACCCTTTTTGCCTGACTTTCTGCTTCACCTCCACCACAGGTACTGTTAGTTTTCTCTTGTGTTCTCTACCAGAAGTTTCAATGCCAATGCCAATATAAACAAATGCAGGCTGGGCGTGGTGGCTCACGCCTGTAATCCCAGCACTTTGAGAGGCCAAGGCGGGCGGATCACCTGAGATGAGGAGTTCGACACCAGCCTGACCAACGTGGTGAAACCCTGTCTCTATTAAAAATACAAAAATTAGCCGGGCGTGGTGACGTGCACTGTAGTCCCAGTTACTCAGGAGGCTGAAGCAGGAGAATCACTTGAACCCGCGAGGCAGAGATTGCAGTGAGCCGAGATCGCGCCACTGCACTCCAGCCTGAGTGACAGAGCGAGACTCCCTCTGAAAAAAACAAAACAAATACAATATTAACACCCACCCCATTTTACCCAAAAGGTAGTGTTGTTCTGAACACACTATTCAGTAGCTAGCTTTGCGTATTCATGATCTATCTTGTAGAATGTTCCATACCAGCATCTAGAGAGGGTCCTCATCCTTTCTTTCTTTTACAGCTTCATAGTCGTGCATGGTTCACCAGCGTTATTACCTATTCATCTAGCCCCTCACTGATGGGGACTCAGGTTAGCCCTCACCTTCTGCCTTAAAAGTAAAGCTCAATGAATAACCCTGGATATATTTTGCACACATACAAGTGTATCTATTATCTATAGCAGTGACTTTCAGCCCCAGTCGAACGTAAGCATCACTCAGGGGGCTTTACAAAAATCCCCATACGGGTGGCACACAACTCTAATCCCAGCACTTTGGAAGGCCAAGGCGGGCAGATCACTTGAGCTCAGGAGTTCCAGACCAGCCTGGGCAACATGGCAAAAACCTGTCTCTACAAAAAAATACAAAAATTAGCCAGGCGTGGTGGCACGTGCCTGTAGTCTCAGCTACTTGAGTGGCTGAGGTGGGAGGATCGCTTGAGCCTGGGAGGTCAAGGCTGCAGTGTGCTGAGATTGCACCACTGTACTCCAGCCTGGGTGACAGAGTTTTTTGAGGCAGGCAAGACCCTGCCTTTAAAAAAAAAAAAAAAAATGCCGAGTGCGGTGTCTCATGCCTGTAATCTCAGCACTTTGGGAGGCCGAGGCGGGCAGATCACGAGGTCAGGAGTTCAAGACCAGCCTGCCAACCCCATCTCTACTAAAAATACAAACATTAGCCAGGCGTGGTGGTACGCACCTGTAACCCCAGCTACTCGGGATGCAGAGGTTGCAGTAAGCCGAGATCACGCCATTGCACTCCAGCCTGGGCAACAGAGTGAGATTCCTTCTCAAAAAAAAAAAAAAAAATCTCCATACCCAGGGCATATCTCAGACCAATTATATCAGAATGTCTGGGTGTGGGATCAGGGGACCCTGGTGATTCCCATGTCCAGCCATGGCTGGGCACCACTGACCCTATAGGGTAAATGGATTGATCAAGGGCACACAGACTTGTAAATTTGCTAGACATTGCCAACTGGCCTCTACGGCGGCTCCATGGGGGTTGTGTCAATTCACACTCCCACCAGCAATGTACAAGAGGACCTGGGTCTTCCACAGCCTCCCCAGCAAAGTAGGCTTGTCAAAGTTTTTTATTTTTACCAAACTGCTAGTTTATTTATTTATTTTTTAAAGGTATCTCAATTTTGCTTTAATTTGCATTTCTCTTACTAGGAGTTGAGGTTGAGCATCTTTTTGCATGTTTAAGATCATTTAATCTGTCTGGTCATATTCTGTGCCCATTGTTCTTTTCATTTTCTTTTTTTTAAGTTTGACTTCTCTATATTTTAGCAAGACTAATTCTTTACTTGAGTTGCAAACACTTTTTACTGCTTTGTCTTTTTATGTTTACACTTTGCATGAGGTGGTATGGTATGTTTTTTTTTTTTTTTCCTGGATCACTTTTTATGTGTTTGAATGTATTCATCTTTTCAATGGCTTTTGGATTTGGATTTGGGTAACATGGTTTATGGTTAGAAGGAAGCTCCCCATATTTTCTTCTGGCACTTTTGTGATTTCCTTTTTTTGAGACAGAGTCTCGCTTTATCGCTCAAGCTCGAGTGCAATGGTGCGATCTCAGCTCACTGCAACCTCTGCCCCCCGCCCCGGGTTCAAGCGATTCTCCTGCCTCAGCCTCCCAAGTAGCTGGGATTACAGTCGTCTGCCACCACGCCTGGCTAATTTTTGTATTTTTAGTAGAGATGGGCTTTCCCCCTGTTATCCAGGCTGGTCTCGAACTCCTGAGCTTATGAGATCCTCCCACTTCAGCCTCCCAAAATGCTGGGATTACAGGAGTGATCCACTGCGACTGGTCTGATTTCCTTTATTTGTGTTTAAATTTTTGATCCTTTTGGAATTTTCCCTGATCAAAGGATCCACCTTTGTTCTTCTTTCTAATGGCCAATTGTCCCATTACCCTTGTCAAGGAGTAAGGTAGGAATGGCTTTGTGGGGTATGAAATGTGAATTTCTTTTTGTCTTATTTATAACAGCATCTGCCTCTACTCTTCTGAAACTGTGTTCCTGTCCACCCACCCATTCAACTACCCATTGATTGACTGATTGATTGATTCATTCAATTTCTCGTTTTTGTTTTTTTGCTTGTTGAGAATTCTAACATTAATTGGACATTGTCCCTGACCTTTTGGGTTTCTATTTAGGATTTGTTTTTATCACTTAATAACCAACAATGATGACATTTTATCGAATGTCTAGTATATTTGTTCCAAGTATCATTTCAATTACACTTAAAACAAAGCAGTGATGTCAGTTATACTATTTTTCCCATTTGAGGAGTCATTTAAAAGAGGTTTTGAGGCTTTCCAATGGCCCCCAGTTGGAAAGTGGCAGTACTGGATGCAATTCAAGAGCCCAGTCTTCAGGATCCTGCCTTTTTACCTACCTGGACGCTGTAACTGGTCTCTGTGGAATGGCTGGATGAGGGAATGAATGAATGAGTCAGTGAAGGAATGAGGAAGACAGAATGAGTCAGCTCGTGCTTTCAGAGGAGCCCAAAGGGAGAGGTTAAGATAGGAATGCAAATGACCAGAATCCAGAGTAAACGCGAGCCCACCAGCGTTTTGGAAGCAGTCCACTTTCTACCCCCTCCTATTTAAAATGCTTCATTCTTTCCAGTTCCTCCCCACCTAGAATCCATGGAACCAAACGCTGGGGTAGGGACAGTGGCCAGCCTGTCTCCTTGGGTTTGACGCATTACATCATCCACGTGGAGGTCCCCTGTGGAGCTCTGCAGCCCTGCAGCCTCAGGGGCAGGGGGGTGGGGAGAATGAGGAAGGGGGAGAGGGGGAATAGGAGGAGGGAGTAGGGGACAGGGAGGGAGGAGATGCCAGGAGGGTAAGTGGAGAAGAGGGAGGCGAAGCCGGGGGCAGCAGGGGAGGGGGTCAAGGAGGAGGAAAGAGGAGAGCTTGGGGAGAAGGAAATAGGGAGGATGGAGAAGTTTTGGGCTGGGATAGGCAAGAAGAGGGAGGAGGAGAGAGGAAGAAGAATAAAGGGGGAAGGGAGAAAGAGGGGGAGGGAAGGGAGGGGGAAGAGGTCAGGGAAGTGGGGGAAGCAAGCAGTGGGGGAAGAAGAGGAAGGAGGAGGGAGAGGAGGAAGGCGGGGTGGGAAAGGGGGTTGGGGTAGTGGGAGTTTCCAGGGAGGGGTCGGGAGGGGAGGAGGGGAAGTGAGAAGGAGAAGGAGAGAGAAGAGGGATGTTGGGGGAGAAGAGAGCGGGAGGGAGGAGGGAGAGTGAGAGGGAGGAGGCAAAGCCCCTACTCCAGCCCCCACCGCGGAGTTGCGCAAGCCTTCCGGTCTGGGATTGGCCGCCAGAGAATCAAGACGCTCCGCCCCCGCAGCCCGACGGCCAATGAAGAGGCGGGCCGCCGCCTGGGCGGCCAATGGGCGCGGGGGGGCGGGGCGGGCCACGGCCTGGGGTCCCCGCGCGCTCTCCGTCCGCAGTGGAAGCCGCCGCCGCGCTCGCAGCTTGCAGGCGCCGCGTAGCCGTCGCCACCGCCGCCAGCCCGTGCGCCCTCGGCGCGTACCCGCCGCGCTCCCATCCCCGCCGCCGGCCAGGGGCGCGCTCGGCCGCCCCGGACAGTGTCCCGCTGCGGCTCCGCGGCGATGGCCACCAAGATCGACAAAGAGGCTTGCCGGGCGGCGTACAACCTGGTGCGCGACGACGGCTCGGCCGTCATCTGGTAGGAACTTTTCATTCGTCTCCACGCCCCGCTCCCCGGGCTCGCGCGGGGCCTCGTGCACCGAGCCGGCCTCCAGGCGGGACGGATTCGGGCCTCCCGCGCTGTCTTCCTCGCCTTATTCCGGGACGGCGTGCCAGGCCCCCGCGGGCTTCTCCGTGGCCAGCGCGTCTGTTAGATTGTCCTCTGCAAGCGCCGCGTCGCGCGGCCACCAGCGCTGATGTGTGTGTGTGTTTTTTTCTTCTCCCAACCCAAAGGGTGACTTTTAAATATGACGGCTCCACCATCGTCCCCGGCGAGCAGGGAGCGGAGTACCAGCACTTCATCCAGCAGTGCACAGGTAGGGAGGCGCGCCTGCCGGGCGGATGCGCGGTCGTTGGGAGGTTGTCTGCACCCGGGGAGCCCCGGCCAGAGCGAACCCGGGAGGAACCGGTGGCCACATGGGGTGCCCCTGGCGCATGGCGTGGGAGGAACCCGGTGTGAGCGTTTTAAGGCCTCATAAAACCTTCTCCCCTCTGGACATCCGAAGCAACAGAAGTGACCCACCTGCCTCCGCCATCCTACAATGCCTTCTCCAGGCGGGGCAGCTCTTTTGCCCCCTGCGGTCCACTGGTTTTCTAAGGTCAACTCCTGTGTTTCCAAACTCCAGTGTCCATCCAGCTCTTCCCACTGTCCCCTTTGATCAGTCACTGAGCCCAAATACGAACAGGCTAGGGGGCTGCTTGGAAGGGAAAGAAACTCAGCCGCGCCCTCCTTTCTCCCGCTATCATTGTCTGCCCGTGTGCTGATTTTATGTGATTTTTAATTTGACGAGTAGAATCAGATGCAAAAGAGTACACACCATATGATTCCATTTAGAAATCCTAGACAAGGCGAAACTAATCTATGGTGTGAATGTCAGAATCGAGATTAGCTTTTGGGGCTAGATAGCCACTGATGGGGAGGGGCACACCACCCGGACTGCTGGGAGCTGAAAATGTCTCTGTAGACATTTGTTGATCTGGGAGGGGGTTATGCAGGTGTGTACCCGCGTGAAAAATCATCAGACTGTATACTTAAGATTTGTGTGCCTTAGGCACTTCCCTGTGGCTTGTGAACCATGAAAAGAAAGACCACGTGGCAGGCATCGCCATAAACCCTTCGGTAGTGGCAGAGGCTCTGTGATGTTGGTAATGGGACCTTTTAAAGAGATTGGAGAATGCGACTCCCTCCCATCTCTGGTCTTTAGTTGGAAGCAAGCTTTCGGACAACGGCAGCACAGCCCGGAGGTTACGGCGTGGACCCTGAGCCAGACGGTGTGGGTTACTTATTTATTTATTTATTTATTTATTTATTTTTGAGACAGAATCTTCCTCTTTTGCCCAGGCTGGAGTGCAGTGGTACAATCTCAGCTAACTGCAACCTCCGTCTCCCGGGTTCAAGAGATTCTCCTGCCTCAGCCTCCTGAGTAGCTGGGATTACAGGCGCCCACGACCACGCCTGGCTAATTTTTTGTAATTTTAGTAGAGATGGGGTTTTCACCATTTTGGCCAGGCTGGTCTCTAACTTCTGACCTTAGGTGATCTGCCCACCTTGGCCTCTCAAAGTGCTGGGATTACAGGCGTGAGCCACTGCGCCCGGCCGACGGTGTGGGTTCGAATCCCTGAACGGCTGCTTCCTGGCTGTGTGGTTTGGAACGAGTTCCTTAATCTCTGGGGGTCTTGGTTTCCTCACCTGCACTCTCACAGTGCTGTTGCGAGGATAAGTGAGTCAGTATGTATAAAATGCTCAGAACAGTGCCTGTACAAGCTACATGATTGTTTGCGAAATAAATAAAAAGTACAAAATTGTGCCAGGGATCATGTGGGTGTTTCTTTCCTTAACTGCTTCCATAATCAAATTATATTTTGCATTTAGTTCAATTCAAAGGGTATTTGTGGTGTGACTACTAGAGGATGGGTGATACTGAGAACCCGCGTGCGCGCACACACACACACACACACACACAAAACTAAAATTACTCCTTGAGCGCTGCCTGTAGACATTCATTCATTGCTTTTGTAAACAGTTGGCCTAAAATCGCAGCATAAAGCACTGCAACGATGTGGAGAGTTGGCAGGGCAGGATTTGAACCCAGGCCTCCGTCCCTCCGCCTCTGTAGTTGAATGCTTTTGCAAGTGGAGTAAGTGCAAACTCTTAACTTTCTCCCCTCCGGTCCGTGAACAGCCAGGAGAGTCAGCAGTATTTCTGCTTTGCCGGCTCTGAGGCTATGCTTTACAGACCAGCTTCCCTCCCTAAATTCAGCTTCTTTCCTCCCGCTGGTCACCCATCCCTCCCTTCCCCCATCAAACCATGTTCTGCCTCTGAAGCTACTGTTCTCTCCAGCAAGTAGAAGGGGATGAGGAAAAGAGCATCCATCCCATCAGGAGGCTCCTGGCAGGTGCTCCCAGGCCTCAGCCCACTCTGGTGTAGTGGGAGAACACTTCCCTCCTCCCACAGGCTTGTGGTTTTCTGCTCAGACCCACCTCCTGCCCCCCAGGGATGGGAGTGGGGAGTGGCGCGTGTCTGGCGAGGAAGCTAAAAATGCTTCCCTGCTGTGTGTGGATCCTCATGAATGGGCCATGGGAGCTTCAGCTGCAGTGCTTTCTTTCCCCAGCCATCTGTTGGACAAATGCATAGGAGAATTATGGTTGCCGTGTCTGCTCTTGTTCCTCTCGGAAACGCTTGTTCCTTCCTGTCGTCGTGTCCTCATAACCCAGGGACAATGGACTCAACACTGGCACTGGCTGGATAGCAGTCACCACGCTCGACGTGCCTTATCTTGGTCATACCTCAGAACAGCCTGGTGTGGCAGGTACTAAGGTTACTCCTATTCTACAGATGAGGAAACGGAGGCCCAGAGAGGTTAATAGGCTTCCTGCATTCACCCAGCTAGAAAGTGGCAGAGTTGGGACTTGAACCCAGGCAGGCTGGCTCGGGGCAGGTGCTCTTGGCTTCTGAGGAGGTTGTTTAGATTCTCACCTCTCGTGGGATTGCTTGCAGGTTGCAAATGACATGGTTGCCCACTTGTGACTCAGAGAGGGCTCTTTTGTGGCCCCAGTTCCCTGCCAGGTATCCTGACAGGCCTGAGAAGAAAGGTTCCACTCTGGTTCGGGCTTCCTGCTTCCAAACATCTCACAAGGTGGCCAGCAGACTTGGAAGGCCAGAAACAGCACCCAGTTTCTTCCTTATAACCTCAGGGTGTGGGCCTTCCTGGGGTCCTGCTCTTCTCCCAACCCTCCCCACTCTGGCACTCAGGCATTCTCTCTGAAACACCCCCTTCCCTGGCCCTCCCACCTCAGGCTACTGTCCCTTCTCCCCTTCCTCCCCCACGGCTTTCCAGAATGGGATCTCTCCACCCAGCCTCCCCTCCTCATTTCTTCCCAGCCTCCTGGCCTGGCCTTTCCTCCCTCAGAGCTGTTTTCCAGAGGGCCACGGGGTGTCTGTGCTGCCAGGCCAGTTCCCTCCCACCCCCGCACTCATCCTCCCAATCTTTCTGCCTGCTCTGGGTCTGCGCTGCTTCTTCCCGAGCTTGCCTGGCTCCCGGCCTTCCTCGCTGCCTGCCCCTCCGCTACCTCCGCTCTTGCTTCTTGCTCCATAGCTCAGTTCGCCTGGGATGGTCAGAGACCTTGCGAGGGCGGTGAGAAATGCCCAGTGCAGATTAATGTAAGCAGAAAATCCACTGTGGCCTCTAGCCTGGAAACTCCAGGGGAAGTCCTAGCAGCAGCAAAGACTGCCCGAACTCCAAACAGCCTCTCCTCCTCCTCCTAGCTCTGTCTTCATCCTTCACCTCCATTCTTGCGGGGAGGGGGGAGGTTTAGCCCCTGGGCAGAGCCATCTTGGTGGAAAGACGGAGCAAGCCTCTTTGCCAGTGATTTTGGGGGTCCCTGGACTGTCTTTGGCCCTGAGGTCATGTGCCCATCCCTAGACCAATCATGGAGACTCTGCGTGGCCAGGCCTGGATCACATGCCCACCTCTGGAGTGGGTGGGGGGCGGGGCAGCCCCACTCAAACCAGGAGACTGACTTGAGGAGGTGGCTTCCTAGGGAAGAATGGCATGCCACTTTCACAAAAGTGTCCATTTGCCCCTTAACATCTCTGCTTTCCTCTTCATAGCAACAGTCTATTTGCCCTTAATCTTCCTTGTCTGGTATCCACTCTGTCCTCCCTTGCTGGGGTAATTCTTTCTACAGTACATTTCTAATCAAGTCACTCCTCTGCTCATTAACCTTCTATGGCTCCCTTCTGCCCCATTGGATTACACTCATGCTGTCTGCTTGGCTTTCTAGTCGGTTTGTCCCCACCCATATCTCCTCTCTAGTAGCTCCACACACCCTCCCTCACACATCTGCAGCCCAACACTGTAACATTTCCCGTCTTGGTGCTTTTGATTTTGGAGGTTTCTACCATGCGGTATTCCTCTTCCCCATCTCAACTCATTTAGGACTCAGCCACCCACCTAGCTTAGTGTGATTCCTTCTTCATTTCAACTCTGAGTACACTTTGGAATCAGAAACACTCTAGTCCGGGCGCCGTGGCTCATGCCTGTAATCCCGGCACTTTGGGAGGCCAAGGCAGGTGGATCACTTGAGGTCAGGAGTTCGAGACCAGCCTGGCCAACACAGTGAAACCCTGTCTCTACTAAAAATACAAAAATTAGCCAGGCATGGTGGCCGGCGCCTATAATCCCAGCTACTCGGAGACTGAGGCGGGAGAATCACTTGAACCCAGGAGGCAGAGGTTGCAGTGAGCCGAGATCGCGCTGTTGTACTCTAGCCTGGGCAGCAGAGTGAGACTCTATCTCAAAAAAAAAAAAGAAAGAAAGAAAGAAAGAAAGAGTCATTCTAGATTGACATCTCCGCTCTGCTTCTCACTCATTGTGTGTGTGGCCTTGGGCAAGTGCCTCCCTCCCTCTGTGCCTCAGTTTTTAGGTCTGTAAAATGGGAATCCTGACATGCCTACCTCTGAGGGTGACTGGGAGGGTTCACTGAAGTAATGCACCTAAAATGAGAGCACAGGCCACGGTGTGTGTTGGCTACCCCTACCACTGCTTTTCTTTTTTTTGAGACAAAGTTTTTCTCTGTCGCCCAGGCTGGAGTGCAGCCTCTGCCTCCCGGGGTCAAGAGATTCTCCTGCCTCAGCCTCCCAAGTAGCTGGGACTACAGGCATGTGCCACCACACACGGCAAGTTTTTGTATTTTTAGTAGAGACGGGGTTTCACCATGTTGGCCAGGCTGGTCTCAAACTCCTGACCTCAGGTGATCCACCTGCCTCAGCCTCCCAAAATGCTGGGATTACAGGCGTGAGCCACCGCGCCCGGCCTCAAATAATTATTTTTACTCTGATAGCACTCGTAGAGGCATTATGCTTTCCACTCGGAAGCTTTCAGTACACGTCCCCACTCAGCACAAAGTAGGCACCTGGCCCAGGCTGGTATGCAATAGGCATTTGGCCCCATGTGGACACGCATTAGACCCTTGGCCCGGGTCTGCATGAAGGAGCATGATGAGAGGTGCTTAGCTCAGTAGTTCAAGGTTTGGGTTTTGTCCGATTGCCTGGGTTCAAATACCTGCCATTCATGTGCTCTGGAGCAGGTGAGTTACCCATCTGGTAACCTGCTACAGTGTGGTCATTAGGAGGATTAAGGAAGCAAGTCCTTATGCTGCTTGGGACATAGTGAGCACTCCATAAATGTCAATTACTGCGATTGCCATTTTTGTTTTTGGAATTCAAGTGATGTGGAAGTAGCGTTCAAGAGCACCAAGAAGATGGAAGGGGGAGAGATGATGGGAAGGAAATGGGTGCTGAGCTGGGCTGGAGGGTCACAGGTTCACCTGACAGAGCCACTGGGAGCCTGGAGCAATCAGGGCTCAGCTGGCAGAGGTGGAGGGAAAGGGGCCATTTGCCAGACCGGTTGTATGATCTACCTGGCCACAGCAGAAAGGGCTTACAGATCACGTATGTGTGGCGAGGCAGTGGCTGGGGCTGTCTGTGAAATCACATTTTGTTTCTGCACCATTCAGATAATACATATTCTCTGTGGCATACTCATAAAGCAAGACTAAACCAAAAGAAGAGAATACCAAGTAGATATAGTTCAGATATAGTTTTGCAAACACTCAGGAACTTGTTCCTTCCTGTGTTTATTCCTTCATTCTCCTGTTTATTCATTTAATTCATTCGACATATGGGACTGCTACTCTGTGGGGCACGACTGTAGGCACTGAGGATAAATACAGAAGCAGAAAAGGCGCCTGTCCTCGTGGAGCTGACATTTTATTGTCATCTCCCAGGACAGACCGCTGGTCTCATTTTTATCTATATTCTTGAAATAGTTTTCTGTATGTAATTCTACTACAAAAGGGGATCATAGATATTTTAGAGCCACCTCCCACAACAACTGTAATGCCAAAGTTTCTTCCCTATCTTCCCCTCTTCTTCTGCAATACCAGTTTAAAAATGGCTACGTAGTTTCTCTCATACAAATGTGACATTGTTAAAGCAATCCTCTATCCATGGACCTCAAATTATGTGTTGCAAGCAGTTTTATTTTAGAAGGAATCCAGGCATCTGGGAATGAGTCCAGTTTTCTGTTGGTGCAGATTTTAGAGCTGATTGGTTAAGAGCATCAGTGGTGAGGCTGGGGCGTCTTGCTTTGAACGATAGCCTTGCTGTGCTGTGTGACCTTGGGCAGATCTCCCAGGGTCTGTGTTTTCTCGTCTGTAAAGGTGGGGATAATGATTGCATGTAGGTTGCTGTAAGGATAAACTGGCTTGTTCCATATAATGCTTGTAGAGTACTGCCTGACACAGAGTAAAGCTCAATAAATGTGGTTATTGTTAAAGTAGCACCTTCAGAAGGTGTTACATATCAATGGATAGGTTGAAATAAATTTGAGATGTGGGGTGGTTACCAGAAAAGGCTTCTTCATGAAGGGCAGCATCATGAAGATGCTTGGTTGGAGGCAGGTGCCCTGTGACATTTGTTGGATGATGGTCTGGGTGGAGATGATATTCCCATGAGGCTCTGGTCAGCCAGTAGTGTTTAACCCAAAACACCACAGAGAGAGATGTAGAGATTGATGTTTTTTTTTCTGTCCAGCATTCCCTCCTTTGGGGGAACCTCTCCCTTCCATTTCATAATAATCCTGGTCAACCAATGTAGTTCCTGTGAGAGTGCACATAACCCAGACCTGTCCAATCAGAGCAAGCCACTCTTCTGCTAACCGATTGGTTCAAGGGCCCTTGTGACTCAAATCTAGCCAATCAGATTCATCCCTGAGACTTTGGACAGAGTTGTTGGTAAAGAGTCTTTTTATCTTTCTCTGGGATTAAAACAAATAAGAATAATGAGGGCTTGGAGCTCACAGGGCATGTCTACCATTTATAGAGAGTACCTGTCTGAGAACTCAGGAACAGAGCCTGGTGGTGGGAGTGGAGACAGGTGACGTGCCAGAAAACTCTGGGATCCAGCCATGCCTGAAGCTTTCTCTTTAGACGGTTCACTTTCATGAGCCAAGTAATATTTTTTCTCAGGCCAGTGTGAGTGGGTTCTGGATTTAGTTTCCATCTAAAAGAGTCCTGGCCATAGTCTCCAGGTTAGGCAGCTGGACACAGTCTCAGAGGAGAGGAGAATCCAGGCTGGACAAGGAATTTAAAGCCTCTCATGTGAGAACTGACTGAGGAAATTGGGCATATTTAACCTTGTGAGACCAAGAGGAGAGATCCTTGGGAGACACCAGTGTTGTCTTCAGATGTTTGAGGGGCTGTCATGTGGTAAGTGTGGACTTCTTGTGTTCCTACCCCCACACCAACCCTATGTGGTAAATGGGACCACGCAGTAGGAATTCAGGGATAGTGTGTTAGTCTCTTCTCACGCTGCTATGAAGAAATACCCGTGACTGGGTAATTTATAAAGAAAAGAGGTTTAATTGGCTCACAGTTTTGCATGGCTGGGGAGGCCTCAGGAAACTTACAATCATGGCAAAAGGGGAAGCAAACACATCCTTCTTTACGTGGCAGCAGGAGACAGACTGAGAGCCAAGTGAAGGGGGAAGCCCCTTATAAAACCATCAGTTTTGTGAGAACTATCACCAAAACAGTATGGGGGAAACTGCCCCCCTGAGTCAATTATCTCCACCCCGTCCTGCCCTTGACACTTATTACAATTCAAGGTGAGATTTGGGTGGGAACCCAGAGCCAAACCATATCAGATAGATTTTGGGTTGACCTGGAGAGGAAGAGGCCCTTAAGGTAGAACGGGCTACCAGAGGAGAAAGTGAGGCCCCCATCACAGGAGGTATGTCAGGAGAGTCCGACTAACCACTTGGCATAGATGTTGAAGAAAGGATTGAAGGAGGCCTTCCTTGCCTCTGCACTCTCCTGTCTCACAGCCCCATTTTCTGGCCTGCTATGCCTCCAGGAAGACTGACTGGCCTTAGTGCAGGCCTAGGGGATGCCTCTTGGAGGTGGCATCAGCCCTACCTGGATGACAGAGACTGAGAGTGGCAGAGAGGTGGTTCCTACGGAAAACTGGAGTATAGCGACCAAAAGAAGGGAGCTGGAATGCGAAGGAGTCAAATTCACTTGCTGTCCATGACCTCTGCGTATATGGCAATACAACACACAGAGAGCCGGCAGTCTATTTATCGTGCTGTTTTGCACCTGAATATTTTTTCCCTAGCTGAACATACACACCCGGGTTTCAGAAATTTGGGCGAGAAGGGAAGGAGAGAAATTGCTTTCTTTCCTAAGGTCTAAGGGAATGTGACATCAAAAAGAAGCTCCAAATCTGTGACAGGGCTTTGGGCAGTTATAAAGTGCTGAACAGTCTGTCCGTTAATGCATGCGACAAACATTTTATTGGGTTCCTACTTTGCTCCAGAAACAATGTTGGGTTTTTAATTTAATTTAATTTTTGAGACAAGGTCGTGCCCTGTCACCCAGTCTGGAGTGCAGTGGCACGATCTTGGCTCACTGCAACCTCTGCCTCCCAGCTCAGGCGATTCTCCTACCTCAGCGTCTCCAGTAGCAGGGACTACAGGCGCCTGCTACCACGCCTGGCTCATTTTTGTATCTTTTGTAGAGACAGGGTTTCACTATGTTGTCCAGGCAGGTCTCGAACTCCTGGGCTCAAGCGATCCACTTGCCTTGGCCTCTCAAAGTGTTGGAATTACAGGCGTGAGCCACCCCGCCCGGCTGGGTTTTTGTTTTTAAGTGGTACCCTGAAGGGCTGCGAAAACATTACCTTTGTAATTTTCTGCACTATCCAGTCTCCCATTGCCTTCTTTGCCCACAGATCTGTTGCTGGGAGGCCCTGAGCCACGCTGCATAGCTTTTTTGTGTGTCCACAGGGGCGTGGGCTTTGTGGTAGCTCTTTCAGTCTACTGCATGGTGATGTTTGTGCTTTCTTTTCTGTTTGTGGCTGTGTCACCACAAACAGAAAATGATGAAGGATGATAGATGTGTATCTTCCTGGTAAGTACAGTGTCTCAAGTTCAAAAAAAGCATTCCCTAAACACTAGGTGAATTGGGTTTTTGTCCCTTGAAAATATTCAGAAGTTAATGCAAACTTTTTGAAAGCATCCCTTACAGATTTTATAGGTGTTATAAATACCTCCTTGTCTCCCATCCTTTCTTTACCCCATTTCATTCTGGTGCCCACCCACACCCAGAGCATGGAGCTCTATGTCTAGGTCTTTGGTAAATATTCCAGTTGCCAGATTTAGTGGTCATTTCTTTGTCTCTGATCCACTTTACCTCCCTCCAGCATTTGCCAGTGGCCAGCACCTCCTGAAAAGATAGTCCCCCTCGCTTGTGCTTCTGCTTCTGCGTGGCTAGACTTGCCTAGTTCTCCTTTTATGTCTCTCTCCTGTCATTCTCACTTCCTTCTGCTGCTGCTTCTGCTTCCTGCCCGATAAGTCTAGGCGTTTCTTAGGGCTCCACCCTTGATCATGACCTTGTCTTCTCCGGGACATTTCTCGAGCATCTACTATGCCCCAAGCCCTTTGCCAAGTACTGAGTTGAGTCCTTTCCCTGACCCCAGTGAGCTTGCAGTCCAGGCTAGGGGTGGCTTTCTAACCTTCAGGTCAGATTGCTCCCCCGCCTCCCACTTCCAACACCTTTTCTCCATAAGGTCCAAACGCTCAGACATGACATGGGGTGCCCTTTATGACAGGTGCTGGCCAGCCGACCCCTCCAGTGTGTGTCCCCAACACACACGATGCTGACCTTAGGGATGCCCAAGTCCCAGGCCCTACGTAGGAGCTCTGCGTGTGTTAGTTTATCTAATTTATCTTCTCTCTGAGGGAGTAATGAGCAGAGTGACACCCACAAGTAGAAATTATCCCCACTTCACTGAGGAGGAACCTGACATTTTCCTTGGAGAGCCAGAGTCGCTTGCTGGAGATGCTGCAGTTGGGAAGAACTGCACTTTGAATCCAGATCTGTGTCCGAGGCTCTCAGCTCTTCCCCTGTGCCGCGCTGGCCTGCCTTCCCGCTTCCCTAGGCCTGTGGACTCTCTTCCCTCTGCCTGCACTGTCTTCATCTGTTTCGCCTTCCTGGAGGACTCCTACACACCCGTCAAGGCCCGGTGTGAATGTTCCCTCTGCTCGGATGCCCTCCTTGTCTTTGTGGTGTTGGTGTCCCGTATGGTGGTCGTGTGCATGTCTGTTTCTTCAACTCCTTGGCGAAGTCCTCCTGGAGAGAGGGACTTTGTCCCTTTGGTGGTGGTATCCTTGGCGGGGAATCCCCATCCTTCATGGTTAGATGGCTGCCAATCTCTTTCCCCCATGGGTGTGTTGCTCCCTTGAGTGGGCCCAAGTCATGGGCTGAATCCTGGGTCATAGGCTTTTCCCAGCACGTGCTGGCTGTCCACTCCTTTGTCTCTTGCTTATAGAAGAGAACCCGTAATGCCTGGGTTCAAATTTCAGCTCTACTTCTTATGGGCTGTAGGCGCCTGGGACAGAATCCTACAGTTACTGCTGTGGGCACCTGGGACAGAATCCCTCAGGGACCCTAAGAGGAACATGGAGGGTGCAGCCCTGGGAGGCGGGGGCACGTAGCCACCGACTCTTATCCCCCATTGGTTGAGGGGTCCTTTAGGGGCTTTAGGGTTTCTGCACTCCAGGCTGTGCCTCTGTGAGGTTGAGCAGCTAGACGTGGCAGGATGTCATGGTGTACCCAAGTGGCTACGCCCACTACCACTGAAACCAGACATGGCCTTGGAGAAGGTGACAAGGAGTCAAAAAGCATCTCCTTGCAGCATTTAGCAGTGCCTAAGATCATAGCCACATGTGCAGTTATGCACCTGTTTATCTTGTGACTTTCCTGGGAGCATCCAAGCCCCGTGGGGCAACCAGGTCAGCTTTGTTCTCTGCAGTATTGGCAGCGCTGGGAACAGTACCTGGCAGCCTGCACAGATGTTGTTGAGTAGGCAAATGAGTGACAGTCCATGTAGATGTCTGAGAGCTAAGCTCACACAGGAGGGCCCGCCGTCCCCTCCTCCAAAGTAACAGCCCAGTGGCCCACAAGGCTCCCGGCCGCTACCACTGGCCATGTGACTGCTCTGGCCCCAGGCCTCTTACTCCAGAGCCCAGGCATCGCCACCTTCCTCTCCCACTTAAGCAAGTGCCTGTGACTTTTCTGATTCAGCTCAGTGGCCTCAGCAGTGGCAGGTCCCCAGAGGCTGGTTTTTGAAGGCAGGCATGGCACGTCAGCATTTAATATTTTATTTCATGAGTGCATTTTGAAATTAACCTGCCATAGATCTTGTTTTTAGTTCTGTACTTAGTTTATGGTCATCACGCTTTTCTTCATGCACTTATTCTTACTTTGTCTTCTAGGTACTTAGGTAAGCTTCCTTGCGAGCAATAAATAAATAAGTTGATAACAACAATGGTTAACAGTGGACCTTTATTAGGCCAGGCATTAGCCAGGGTCATTGTGTTACTTTCCTATGGCCACTGTAACAAATGACCA
Organism: Homo sapiens; assembly: GCF_000001405.40. Lineage (NCBI taxonomy): Eukaryota > Metazoa > Chordata > Mammalia > Primates > Hominidae > Homo > Homo sapiens. Next base: position 84,605,844 of record NC_000016.10, on the reverse strand, counting down.
CAAACTTGGTGAATTAAAACAACATAAATGCATCATCTTATAGTTCTGCAAGTCAAAAGTCTGACATGAGCCTCACAGGACTAAAATCCAGGTGTGGACAGGGCTGCTTTCTCCTGGAGGCTCCAGGGGAGAATCCATTTTCTTGCCTTCTTGTGCTTCCAGAGACTGCCTGCATTCTTTGGCTTGTGGCCACTTCCTCTGTCTTCAAAGCCAGTACTGGCAGGTCGAGTCCTCATGATGCCAGCTCTCTGGTTCTGGCCCTCTTCCCCACCCTTCCCCATTTAAGGACTGCAGTGATCACGTGGGTGTCACCCAGATAACCCAGGAGAATCTCCCATCTCAGGATCCTTACCTTAACCACACCCTCAAAGCCCTTTTGCCATGTGAGGGACATATTCACAGTTTTGGGGTTTAGGACATAGATGTCTTAGGGGCCGTTGTTTTGCCTGCCGCAGTCACTTGTGATTTCATTTAATATGCCCAGTGACCCAGCATCGCGGGCCCTGTTGTTATCCCATTTCACAGCCGAGGCAGTACGCAGGCCAGGCTGCAATTCTTACCTGGCGTGTGTGCTTCTCGCCCCCACTCCTGACACCCCCTGCACCCCAGCTTGCAATGTAAAATCTTTGTGAAACAAGAAGGGAAGACCACGGGAGGCTCTTCTGTGGAACACCGTGGGGCAGACCTAAGGCCCAGGCCCAGGCCATGGGGGGCCGTGGGAAGTGTTTAGAGGCCACTGTTGTTTAGAGGCCATTTCTGCCATTGTTGTTGACACAGAAAGCCTGTGCGTGTGTCTGGGGAGCAATGCTCCTTAATTCCTGAACCCGAGTGTTCCCTCCTGCCCTGGAGAGACTTTCCCAGGAAATCCCGATTTCCCTACTTTTGCCTGCAGGGCTCGCCTTTGGAGGTCTGCTCTGACCCGGAAGCACTTTTCTCCCCGTTTCTGGCTAGAATTCTACGCTGCTTATAAAATGGAGTGTATTGTTCATGGCTTGCAAATAAAAGCTGCTGCTGCTTCAGGCGGGCCAGGGGTCAGCTGGAGCTGGGGGAGGGGTGAAAAGAACCTGGCTTGAGATGCAAAGAGCCAGGCTCCTGGCGGCCCCTGTGTGACCCCTACAGCCACAGCCCCCTCTGGGCCCCTGCCTAACAGAGGGACAGAGAGAGGGCTGTGTCCACCCTGCAGCTCTCTGGATTTGGCCAAACCTGGCTGCTGTGTGGCCCATTCTTGGGAACACCACACTCTCTTCCTGGGTGACTTTGGTCACTCATCCCCCCAACACATATAAACTGAGCACTCACGGTCTGCTGGGCACTCGTGCTGGGAGAGCTCAGTGGGGTGCATCACCATGCACAACCTTGTGAATGGACCGAAACCCACTGAAATGTCCACTTTCACAGGGTGCAGTTCATGCTGTGTAAATAATATCTTAGGATGAAAAAGCATAAAGAAAAAAGGAGGATGAGGCTCCTGGGTGGGCAGGAGGACAGGAACCTAGTAGGGCCATGGGGTGGGGGCCGTGGGAGGGGAGCGTGGGTGGGGAGTGAGGGTGGAGAGCAGGGGGTGAGGGCTGTGGAGGGTGAGTGTGGGGTGGGGAGCAGGGGGTGGGGACCGTGGCATGAGGGCTATGGCCGGTGAGTGTGGATGGGGAGCGCAGGGGTTGGGGAGTAGGGGGTAGTGTAGGTGGGGGCCATGGGGTGAGGGCTGTGGAGCAGGGAGCATGGGTGGGGAGTGGGAGGGGAGCATGGGTGAGAAGGCGGTTGGGGAGTATGGGGTTGGGCCGTGGTGGGGCAGCGGGAGGGAGAGGGGAGTTGCGGGGGTAGTAGGGAGTGGGGAGCATGGGGTGGGGGCCATCAGGGAGGGAGGTGGGTGGGGAGTGGCGGGTAGAAAGTGGGGGGAGGTGGGTAGCTGGCAGGGCCCAGGGTGCAGTGGCCCCGGGAGCCATGTGAGGCCTCTGGGTTTTCCTGGAGCAGTGCGCATTTTATTCTGATCACTTTTGTTTCATGTCCTCCTAGAACTTTGCCTTGGCCCTTTCTGTGGCTCATTCCCAGCTGGGCAGGGTCTTATTCTGCCACTTCTTCTGGGTCCCCAGGCATGATGCGCCAACCCCACAGGCCCTGAGCAGCCCTTTTCCCTGAGCACAGCCCTGCCTCTCCCCTCTGAACTCCCGGCTCCCCCACTGCCTCCATTCGCTTCATAGTCTGTTGCCATTGTCACCGTTGGTCCCAAGGCCGCCTTGTCCTTATCATCCTCACCTAGCGCTTCCCAACACTTCCTGTGTGCCAGGCCCGATTCCCAGGGCATCACCCCCTCAGCTGGCTGATGAGGATCAACGTGCTGTGTCACCGATGAGGAGACCTCCAGGGGGAGGCTTGCTGGTCCCCTGGGCTCTCAGTGGGTCCCCCTGTGTTTACGGCAGAGCTGTGACGCCGTGTTGTACCCACGGCCGGGTTTCCAGTGTGTTCACTCAGAGCCTGGCGCAGAGCCCTGGCTGAGTCACACTTCGTTGCCTCAGTCCTTTGGGAAGAGGGGAGGTTCTGCCTCGGATGTTGCATGGGGTAATGAATAAGTGAATCCGTAGAAGAGTAAAGTGAGTCAGCTGTCCCCGTGGGGGCTGGTGTGCGCAGGCTTGCGGGCTGGAGTGTTGTTAAAGTCCACGGGGAAGGAAAACTGGCTGCGAGTCTGCCCCCACCAACCAGGGGCTCCCAGGCAGAGATGGAGAGGCCTCCGGGGAACTGGGGGGCAGAGAGGGGAAGTCGCTGGGCCATTGTTACATGGGAGGAAAGGGGCAGAGCCAGGACCTGAACCCTGGTCTCCAGGCTCTCATGCCGCTGAGGTTTCAAGCCAGCTGCGTCCCTCTGGGCTACCGTTCTTGGTGCATGTGAAAGGTGGAGAAGCAGCTTCCTTGTTACGCAGGCATCACTGACTCTGGCATCGCTGACTCCAGCAACACTGCCTTTTTGGCCTTCCCTTTCCATGCACTTTTTTTTTTTTTTGAGATGAAGTCTCTGTCGCCCAGGCTGGAGTGCAGTGGCATGATCTCAGCTTACTGCAACCTCTGCCTCCTGGACTCAAGCAATTCTCCTACGTCAGCCTCCCGAGTAGCTGGGATTACAGGTGTGCACCACCATGAATGGCTAATTTTTGTATTTTTAGTAGAGACAGGGTTTTGCCGGGTTGGCCAGGCTGGTCTCGAATTCCTGAGCTCAAGTGATCTGCTCGCCTTGGCCTCCCAAAGTGCTGGGATTACAGGCATGAGCCACTGCGTCTGGCCACATGTGCTTTTATTAAACCACAAATTTGTCAAAACAAATCAGTTGTTATGTCTGTCCATATCCATTCGTTCCTGCCTGTCTATTCATTCCTGCTCTCTGGGGGTGGAAGTCACACTTTAAAAATCCTGACAAAGAATTGGTTTTATTCTTTTTTTTTTTTAATTAAAAGAAAAAAAGTTTTTTGAGACAGAGTCTCACTGTGGCCCAGGCTGGAGTGCAGTGGTGCGATCATAGTTCACTGCAGCCTCAACCTCCTGGGCTCAAGCAATCCTCCTGCCTCGGCCTCCCAAAGTGTTGGGATTACAGGTGTGAGCTGCTGTGCCCATCTGCTTGGTTTTACTCTTATAAAATGGCACCCCCCCCACCCCCATTGAACTGAAACGCAGCTGCAAATTTGGAACTGAAAAGCCTCTGAGAAGTCAAAGATGCCATGTAGATGCCCTTCATTTATTCGGGAAGTATGTATTGAGTACATGTGGGGCATCGTCTGGGTGCTTTGGATGTGCTAGGGAACGAGATTCCTTCCCTCCTGGAGTAGGGCTGAGCAAGCTGAAGGAGGCCTGTAGCTCATTCTGAGCCTTTAAGCTCTTAGTTTGCACACAGTTATCATCAGCTGCATCATATGCCCTTCTGGCTTGTGGTGAGTCGGAAAAAGAGAGAAGGGCTGGTGGAGGAAGGCGTTTTGAACTTGCCAGCAGAGGCTGTTGCTTTGTCTGGAGTTCTGTCACAATCTCCCTCTCAAATTGTCAACAAGAACCCTCTTTGTCCTTACCCTGTTCTCTGGAGGAACTCTGAGTCATCCTTCAAGACCCTGATCAGGATGGGTGCGGTGGCTTATGCCTGTAGTCCCAGCACTTTGGGAGGCCAGGATGGGGGGATCACGAGGTCAAGAGTTCGAGACCAGCCTGGCCAACATGGTGAAACCTGGTCTATATTAAAATACAAAAATTAGCTGGGTGTGGTGGAGCGTGCCAGTAATCCCAGCTACTCGGGAGGCTGAGGCAGGAGAACTGCTTGAACCCGGGAGGCGGAGGTTGCATGAGCCGAGATTGTGCCCCTGCACTCCAGCCTGGGTGACAGAGCAAGACTCCGTCTCGGGGGGATAAAAGAAAAAGACCCTAATCAAACATCACCTCCTCTGCAAAGCCAGTCCTGGTCACAGCTGCCCAGGCAGAGCGGATTTCCTTCTTTCCTTGATGCTCCTGTAACTGCCAGTCACAACTCTTTGCCATAGCAGTAATTTCATGGTATTCACACACTACATTTTTGTTTGCTATGGTAGACTGTATATTTTTTGAAGGTAGGGATTGCATTTTCAGCAAAATCCCTGTATCACAGATTGTCAGTAAGTGTTTGTCAAATAACCAACCCACAGCGATGGAAGAGGCAGCACAACAGTGAAAAGCAGACACAAGAGTATAAAGCAGTGTGTGCCAGGGCTGTTCAGTGATTGGGAGCCAGACGCTGAACCCCTCAGTGGCGCAGCGTCTCCTTATAGATGCTATAGATACTGTAATAAGGTCCTCAGAGCCTCCAGGGACTGCTTTACAGCCACTCTTCTCTAAGTCAGAGGGTGGAGTCAGGTCTAACACACTAACTCCCATTTAAGGAAGTAGAGAATTATCATGAAAGAAAGTGCTAGTGCTTTGTCATAGGGGGAAAACCTTTAGCTCTCGGTTTAATTTGGGTATCCAGATCAGCTTATACCCTGGAGGTTCTGCCGAAGTAATCATCTTTCTTTTCCTCTGGCCATCCTGTACTTCATTTTCTTATGTTCTCTGTCAAGCTAGGAAAGCTGGGTCATTCACACCTAGTGAAAATGCAATGAATCGGGGATCATTTGAGGAGTCTCCTGCGTGGGATATCAAACCGCATTTACAGTGTGAGCTCCAATGCAGAAACAATGTGCCTACACGCAGATACCCACACAATGCGGATCACATAAAGAAACAGAGCCTTGGCCGGGCGCAGTGGCTCGCGCCTGTAATCCTGGCTCTTTGGGAGACTGAGGCGGGCAGTTCACCTGAGGTCAGGGGTTCGAGATCAGCCTGGCCAACACGGTGAAAGCCCGTCTGTACTAAAACTACAAAAATTAGCCGAGCATGGTGGCAGGTGCCTGTAATCCCTGCTATTCAGGAGGCTGAGGCAGGAGAATCGCTTGAACCCAGGAGGCGGAGGTTGCAGTAAGCTGAGATCGTGCCACGGCACTGCAGGCTGGACAACAGAGCGAGATTTCGTCTCAAAAAAAAAAAAAAAAAAGAGCCTTTATTCATGCCCTATAAGGAATAAACCAAAAGGAGTTTAGAAATAAACAGAGTAATGGGTTTCAGTTTTTACACTTTTTAATACTTTTGCAAAGTTTTTTGAGCAGGACAGGAGGGTGTTTTTGGTTTGGTTTTGTTTTTGTCAACTGCAGGGAGTTACGAAAGTCACTCTGAAAAAAGACAGCAAGTGGTATAGTGATATCAGGCCTCTTAGTAATGAGAGCTCTCCCTTCAACTTCAGCAACGAACCTGGCCCCTTCCAGCCCCAGCCTCAGGCCCCCTCCCTCTTACAGACGTGGGCGGCCACTGAGCCCTCCTTCCTCTTTGGTGGCAAGAAGACATTTCTCCTTCCCCAGCCTTGCCCTCTCTCCCCTTAGCAGCCTGCTAGAAGCCAGCCGCTGCCATGGCGACTGCCCAGCTGTCCCCTTGCTCTGGGCAGCAGGATGTAAGAATTCTTTCCCATTTCCTTTCATCCTCGCTCCAGGGAGCTCCCTCGGTGGAAGCTGACAGCTCAGCTTTTTGGTGTGTGGGTTGTTTTTTCCCTTCCTGAGCCGTGTTTGCATAACCTCTCCGGAGTCTCTGTAAAGTTAGGGCAGCTTTAGAGTGAGCTGCAATCTTGCCGCTCTCTGGGGCAACTTCCTCCTGTCCTCCCCTTCCCCCTTTCTTTGGCCTTGCTCTAAAGTTCAGTGTTGGGTGGAAATTCTGAAATGATTCTTTTTTCTTTCCATTGGCCCACAGATAACGTATAAGGTGCCTATGACATGCCTGGCATGGTGATCAGTGCTGGGGCCATAACAAGACCCAGACAGATGTGAAAGTAGCTGAAAAGATCCAAAGGACTTACGCTAAAAAGTTTCTAGGGTGGTGGGGGATCCTTAATTTCTTCATTTTGCTTTTTTGTGTTTCTCATTATTCTACACCTAGTATGTGTTTTTGTAATGAAAAAAGGTTGTTCAAAACATTTGCAAAAGTGTTAAGAAAGTTACACAGTGCTCGACCCATAGCAGATCCTCCTTCCTCGGGGGTTTGGTCCTCCAGCCAGGACTGGCTTTGGCGATACGCAGAGGAGACTAGAATCTCTTTGGGGAAAAGGCAGAGGCCCCCAGTCAATGTGGATCCTGGGTGGGGGCCGCCCTGGTGAGAACACTGGGTGCCTGGTCAGAATCTCTTCCTCAGTGCTGACCTGAGCCTGAGATTTCAAGTTTGGGTGGGAGGGGGAAGGGGGGGAGGGGCAAGCCTTCAGAGCTTAGTGGGGACCATATGCCGTTTGTAACTTTTGGGGAGTTATTAGAGCGGCTCATCCTGGTGGCTTTGGTGATTACAGGTAATTCTTGCCTTTACCCCCCTCCCTAGCCCCTTTGTGGTCATCCTCTGTTTCTGTTGTCACTGGGTTTTCTCCCACATCCCCATCCCTTTGACTGCCCAGCAGCTCCAGCCTGATCACCCCCGACCCCGCTTGGACCCCCCCTGCTTGCTCCCCCCCACCCCTGCCGCTTGGTCCCCGCCGCCCCCACTTGGTTCTCCCGCTTGGTCTCCTGCTTGGTCTCCTTGTGTGGTCCTTCCCACCCCCACTGTCTCTCCTTTACCCCCTCTGGCCTTTCCCTGCCCCATCCCTCTCTCTTCCAGAGAGGTCGGGGTTGGTGGGGGGGGTTGGGGGGGAGAAGGGGAGGAGGAGGCACAGATGGGGAGGAGGTGGGAGAGGCGTAAAGGCACCTCCAGGACCCAGGGGAAAGGTCAGAGGAGAGCCAGGAGAGGGAAAGGCCAGAGAAAAGAGCATGTAACAGCCACCAGGGCCGGCTGCTGAGTTCACAGCTCTGCGCCAGGCGGTATCCTGAGAACGTTAGGATGCTGATTTGTTGACACAGATGAACTTACTTAGTAAATGAAGGCAGAGAACCTTGAAGAGATGACCTGGGCATTGGACTGAGGCTCCCTTTACCTACCTTCAGGGCCCTGCCTGGGGCTTCTAGGTCCCCACGGGTCCTTTGCAGGAGCCAAAGCTCCATCATTGGCTTCTGATGAGGCTTCATAGACCAGTGGAAGGAAGGGTCCGGCTCTTTTGAGAGTGAAGTTTTATTAACGTTAAACATAACAGCTGTGTCTTTTCATGAACAAGACTCTCTCTGGGTGGGAAGGGGAGGGCATCCATAGTCTTCAAATCAGGGACATCCAGCGTGCAATTGGCCTGGGCTCTGAGTGCATGACACCGACCAGAAGGAAACCACCGTCCTCAGGATGGGGCTCCTGACCTTGCTGTATCCTCAGTGACGGCAGCCCTGAGATGGGGCTCAGTGTGATGCTATGATATGCATCTGAATCCTCGTGGCTTATGGGCAAGCAGAGGAGCTAGAGGCAGCACAGGCAGAAAGGCCTCCTGGTACCCAGGGCTGATAGTCAGTAGCTCTCTTGCTAATGATGGCTGTTCCCTCTCTTGGGGTGTGGGATTTTGGGGAGGGAGCACTGGAGGGACTGTCCTGGTGGTCTTTGATGGGCGTGCTCAGGAACCACGGACTCTGCAGGAAGCTGCTTCATGCAGTCATTTGCTTAAAATAAAAGGCAGACAGGCAGCAAGGAGGGCGTGGGGGCTGAACTCTGAGCACTTCAGCTTTTCTGTCCTTGAGACCTTTGTCTCGTCCCCTCTCCCAACAGTGAGTTCTCACCATTTCCTCTTCTCCACCTCTTCCTCTAAGTCAGTGGGTCTCAAGGTTTGGCAGCCTCAGAATCACCCTGGGGCTCATTCGAGCACAGTTTCAGAGCTCCACTCCCAGCGTCTGGATCAGTAGGGCTGAGTGGAGCCTGAGTACCCACATTTCTAATAAGTTCCCGGGTGCTGTGGTGCTGCTGGTCCGAGGACCACACTTTGAGAACTGCTGCTGTGGACTTCAGCAGCTCTGCAGCGGGCAGGGAGAATTGTGTGGCTCATTCTCACTTCACCTCTCCAAGCCTCAGTTTCTTCATCTGTGAAATGGGACTGCGATCTGTGCTGCCCTCACAGAGGAGAAGAATCTGCAGTGTGCAGATTCTTAGAGTGGGGACTGGCCCCTCATAAGTGCTTAGTAGACTTGGGGCTCAGTTACCTCTCAGACCTTCACTGTCTTCCATCTCTCCTCAAGAAAGACTCACAGAAGGAGTGACTCCGTGACTGTGTGCCTCGGAGTGCCTCACTCTGAAACCCAGAGCTGGATGCAGAAAGTGGTCCCCATTCTACAGCTGGAACAGCTGAGGCTCAGAGCATGAAGCACCCTCATCTGATGTTCCATAGCTAGAAGGAAGCCGGCTGGGATGCGGCCCCTGCTAGGATGCGGCCCTGGCTGGGATGCGGCCCTGGCTGGCTGATCTCTGGAGTTTGTGCTCTTCTAAGTGCTCCAGATTGCCTTAGCGAACAGTTGTGTGTAAGGGGTGCGAGGTGCCAGGAAATGGCGAGAAACAGAGGGCAGACTCTGTCCACCTTGTTAAGGACAGAGCAGTGGAGAGTTGTGAGGGCAGGGGCTGGTGCGTCAGTGTTCTGTGGTGGTAGCTGAGATCTCCCAGGGAGAGAGTGTCAGGGGAAAGGAGAGGATGAGGTGGAACCCTGGGGAGTGTGTGTGTGGAGACAGAGGGGGTGGAAGAGCCGGGGAGAAAGTAGAAGGCGGGATCAGTGCTCTGAGAACCAAGATGGCACCATGCCCTGGGTGCCGTGGGAAGGGAGAGGTTCAAGGAGGGCAGAATTGATAATGGCGTGAAACGCCACCAGTGGGCATGGAGAAGATGCTGTTGGCTTTGGCAATTAGGAGGCCCCTGTGGACCCCTGAGGGCAGTTTCACTGGAGAGGTGTTGGGGGTCAAAAATCAGCAATGATTCCCATCAGCCAACCCTTCAGATCTCATTTCTTTTTCATGTAATCCTCCCAACCACTTTATGAGGTAAGTATTTGACCCATTTTGTGGATGAGGAAACTGAGGCTTAGAGACATTCAGGACTCTGGGCTGGGTCACAAGGCTAGTACATGTGGGGGTAAGTTTCTAAAGGATTCTGGAATTTGAACTTGCACCCTGGACATTGCAGAGAAGGTTAAGGGTATAGACCACTCCCCTGTGCTGAGGGCTCCAGCAGAAGGAGCTCATGGCATCTGTCTCTGGTACCTGTGTTTGGGTGAAGTCCTGGGTCCCCCGTCCCCCACTGGGGTTGCCCAGTCTCCCTGTCTCCTCTGCGTAGACCTGGACTCTCAGCTTCAGTTTGAAGAGATGGACCATTGGCCCTGTTGGGGACCAAGTGGCACAGTGAGGGTGATGGAAAGCCCAGGTACCAACCTTCTTCTGGGCAGTTTTGCCGTCTTAGTGCATACACACACACATATACACATACATGTATATATAACACACATACACATACACATACATGTATATATATAACACACACATACACATACATGTATATATAACACACATACACAAATACATGAATATATATACACACATATATACACCTGTACTCACAAATGTATGTATATACACACATATACAAACACACCTGTACACATATAGACACATATTATACACACAAATATATGTATATATACACATACACAAATATATACGCACACACATATCACACTAATATATACAGGACAGCGTTTCTCTGTGCCCTTTAGTAGATATGCCAGTGTTCCCGCGTACAGGAGTGACAATAGCCCGACATAGACGAGGGAGCCTAGGGCTCCCCACTGCTGATGTGGGGCTGTGACTGCCACTGGGGTTTGTGGACCCAATTTGTTCAGAAGAGGGAAAGTAACTAAACCAGGGATGAAGAACTAGCGATTCCCCTTCCACTGCCCAGTGTGAGGTCAAAAGGGACCGAGAACCTCCTTCAGGGTGAGCAGGGTTGGGGAGAGGCCTCCAGTCTGCCGGGCAGCTGCAAAAACGGTGCGCAGACCAACAGGTTTTCCGTCTCCGACTCAGCTGACCCGTCACTGTCGTGCCAGATCTCTAGCAGCAAACATTTGTAAGCATAACGTGACTCGGATTTTCAAAAACAGGCCTGTCAGCAATCTTGTTGACCAAACCATTGTCGGATAAGCACGCAGCAGTCACCTAGCAAACCACGTCCCTCTTTACCCCGCTCCCCCACGATCATTTAAATGACATCAGGCTGTGGTTCTGGAAGGTTCCCAGTGTCCTTGGGGTTGTGGGTGTAACTTACTTATTGTACATCTATCTTGTGCCAGGCCCTGGGCTGGTACTTGGGACACAGGGACAATGCCTGTGGTTCTTCAACAAGAATCTGTGACCCTCCGGGGGCAAAGGGTGTTGCCCAAGGTAGACCTGGGGAGGTCTGAAAGAGGGGAAGGGTGGATGTGGAGGGTTGGAGGTGCGCAGAGCATGGCCGGCATGTGGAGGCACTTGGCAGCCAGCAGAGAGGGCAGACGCTGGAAAAGCCATGGAGCTCCGCAGAGGAGCCAGCCAGAGCCGTGGGAGGGGGCGACACTGAGAAGAGAGAGAGGCTGGGAGAGCTGGCTCAGCCCGAAGCCTTGGCCATGGGCTGAACACATGGTTGAGGTCCCCAAAAACTGCGTTGGCCCAAAGCAGGGCTGGTAACTTACCTCCATGGAGGCTTGGGCCAGGGATGGGTAGTTTGGATCCAAGTCCGGGCTGACCAATGTGGAAATGGGAACCCGAGAGCGGTTACCATGGAAACACACTCACCGTGTTCTTTTGCTTGTGAAATGCAGTCGGAGGCGGATGTTCAGCCCCTCCTCCCCCTCAGGTCAAGGCTGCCATTTAATTAAGCACTTTGGTGTTGATGCTCTGACGACACTCCTCAAAACAGAGCCCTGGCTTCCCAGACACCACGGGGACTGCTGAGAAATGCTCTCGAGCTAAAGCGCTGCTCCCCCACACTCCAAGTCTGCACCAGCCGCCTGTGGCTGCGCACTTTGCACCTTACAAGTGAGGAACTGCCATCTCTTGCACCAGTCTCGTTTCCTGTGCGCTGTGGCCACCTGGCAGCCCCGCCCTGTGTCAGGAGCTTTAGGTTGGAGGTTCCACCCTGATGGGCTAGGTGGGTTTTGTAGCTTTCACTTTCAGTCATCATGGTCAACTGATAAGGGAGGCGTGAAATCACCCCATTTTGGAAGGATCCCAAATGTCTATCAACTGATGCACTGATAAGCAAAATGTGCTCTCTCCATGCAATGGAGTGCTGTTCAGCCATAAAAGGAATGAAGTGGTGACCCGCACATGCGGCAGCAGGGATGATCCTTGGAGATGTGACGCTGAGTGAAAGCCAGACCGCAGAGGCCACATAGCATATGAGTCCATTTCAATGAAATGTCCAGCACAGGCCAATCCATAGAGACAGAAAGTGGAAGAGTGGCTGCCAGGGCCTGGGGGAATGGGGTGGAGAATGGGGAGTGACTGTTCTTGAGGACGGGAGTTCTCGTTGGAGTGGTGAAATTAGATAGTAGCGATGATGGCACAACATTGTGAGTGTCCTTAAAGCCACTGAATTGGATGCTTTAAAGTGGTTAAAATGGCCGGGCGCGGTGGCTCACGCTTGTAATCCCAGCACTTTGGGAGGCCGAGGTGGGCGGATCACGAGGTCAGGAGATCAAGACCACGGTGAAACCCCGTCTCTACTAAAAATACAAAAAATTAGCCGGGCGTGGTGGCGGGCGCCTGTAGTCCCAGCTACTCGGGGGGCTGAGGCAGGAGAATGGTGTGAACCCGGGAGGCGGAGCTTGCAGTGAGCCGAGATCGCGCCACTGCACTCCAGCCTGGGCGACGGAGCGAGACTCCCTTCTCAAAAAAAAAAAAAGTGGTTAAAATGGTGAATTTTGTTATGTGACTTTTATCTCAATAAAGAAAAGAACGTGTTTTACAGGTGAGGCAGCCCAGGCTGATGTTTGGGAATTCAGGCACAGTCCCCGGGGCATGGGAGGTGGGGCCCTCACCCCTCGGGGTCTCCTGTGCCCTGGACTCCTCTGTCCTCACCTTCTCACATCCAGTTGGTCACCAGGCCCTGTGGATTCACCTGCGCAGTGTCCCTGAGACCATCCTTCCTTCTATCCCTGCTGCGTTGTTACCTACTGACCCCCAGATAGCCATGGCCTGGTGGGGCATTTCCCTGGAGAAAGGGGGCTGAGCACACACACCCAAGGTGTCCAGGCCCTTGGCTCTGGCCTCGTGTTGAGAGTCTGGCCACATCACGTGGCCTCTGAGCCTCCAGCCCTTATCAATGAAGGTGATTTGGATGTTGATGATGAAAGTGGCCATGACGTCTCTACCTCATCTGCCTCCCAGCGTTGTTACAAAGACCAAATGAGATGAAATAGAAGCATGTTTTGTAAACTGAAAAGTGGTGTGCCAATGTGAGTGGTGATGACGATCAGTTTCCTTTAAGAAGTAAGTGTTGTGGAGTCCCTGACCCTGGACTGCAGCTAGGATCACGCATTCATGGTCTGCTGAGAGCTGCGTGTTCCTTAGCTCCCGGGGACAAATGGATGACCCGTTAGACCACCCGGCTTCTTGTTGAAGGCGAACGTGCTGGTTACCCCCTCCGGTTTTGAGATAATCACCAGGAAGTGAGCTTGTCAGCTGCAGGCCAGTATCTCCTGTAGACAGGTGGTTTGTGTCCTTGGGTCTTGGTGCTAACCTACATGCTTCGTGCGGGACTCTGCAGGGACGTACTTAGATTCTAGGAAGAAACGCAGATTGATTTTTTTTTTTTTTTTTAACTCAGTGTGATCCTTTGACCAGTAGCATCAGCATCACTGGGAAGCTTCTTAGAAGCGTAGACCCCAGAGCTGTTTAATCAGAAGCTGCGTTTAAGATTTCCCCAGTGATTCAAATCCACACAATGTTTGAGAAGCAAACATATCGCTCTACGATATCATTAGGTGCCTGAGAAACCCTCACACCAGCAACTAAACGCCCTGAGAGAGCATCAGTTTATGCAAGTGGCTAATACAAGGTGAATGACTCCAAACCAGTGGCATCCCTATGTGCCAGCAACCACCACTTAGGAATTGTAATGAGATCTTGGTGATAATGGCAGTTAAAATATGAACTGTTTGTGAAGTAAGCTGAATAAGGATATGTGATCCCCTCAAGAGGCACAGAACTTTGTTGGAAAACACAAAAGGGGTCCCAATTAAATGGGGACACCAACGGTTTACAGCAGAGGTTCTCAACTGGGGGTGTTCTGCCCCCTTTGGAGGACATCTGCAATGTATGGAGGCATTTTTGTTTGTCATAACTGGTGGGGCCAGGTGAGGGGTGCTGCTCAGCACCCTGCAATTTACGGGATGGTTCCTACCAGAGAGAATGATCTGGCCCCAGATGCCAGTTGAGCTGATGTTGAACAATTTTGGTTTATCCTAGTGGGGTACACATGCACCCGCATGCACACGCACACACATGCAATGCACACATACACATGCACGCACATATTTTTATTTTATTTTATTTTATTTTATTTTATTTTATTTTATTTTATTTTATTTTATTTGAGACAGGGTCTCAGTTGGCCACCCAGGCTGGAGTACAGTGGCGTAATCTCTACTCAACTGCAGTCTCAACCTCCTGGGCTCAAGTGATCCTCCCACCTTAGCCTCCCTGGTAGCTGGGACTACAGGTGCCTGCCACCGTGCCCAGCTAATTTTTTGGTTTTTTTTTTTTTTTTTTTTTTTTTTTTTTTAGAGAGGTGATTTCTCCATGTTGCCCAGGTTGGTCTCAAGCTCTTGGGCTGAAGTGATCCTCCCACCTTTGCCTCCCAAAGTGCTGGGATTACAGGGGTGAGCCACCATACCTGGCCAATACACACATCACTTTAAAAATTCAAAAAATCAGGCTGGGCGCGGTGGCTCACGCCTGTAATCCCAGCACTTTGGGAGGCTGAGGCGGGTGGAATACAAGGTCAGGAGATCAAGATTCATCCTGGCTAACACAGTGAAACCCCATCTCTACTAAAAATACAAAAAATTAGCCAGGTGTGGTGGTGGGCGCCTGTAGTCCCAGCTACTCGGGAGGCTGAGGCAGGAGAATGGTGTGAACCCTAGAGGCCAAGCTTGCAGTGAGTCGAGATCGCGCCACTGCACTTCAGCCTGGGCGACAGAGCGAGACTCTGTCTCAAAAAAAAAAAAAAAAATTCCAGAATATCAAATGATATTTTGATAATACAGAGCAGTGGAGGGTGGGGGAACTTAGCATAGTGGATTGTGAAACAAATTTTAAAGTCATGATAATAAAAACAGTGTGGCATTGAAATAAAACTTAATGTGGATCAATGGAACAAAATAGCCCTCAAAGCCATTTTAATAAAAATGACTATATAAGATAGAACAAGCATAACACAGCCAATGGAAATGTGTTCAGAATTCATTGTTGACCTAATTGCCCTAGTCATAAGTGAAATATCCTCGGAGCCATATCCCGGGCCAAATTAAGAGCCATTTTCTTTGTTTCCTCTTCATACCCAGCACCCCCCTTGCCCCTCCTGTCTCTCTACAGTGTAGAGTCTCATTCCAAACTGCAAAGATTGAGGCAAAAAGAGTTGATGAATTTCTGGTCTACAAAGAGGATGAATTTCTGGTCCCTAAATAAGATCCATAATTTGAGCCTTTTTAAATTTTTATTTTTAAATTTTTTTTGGCTGGGCCCTGGCACTGCTGGCGGCACCCACATCTGTGCAATGGGCCCACCCAGACTTTGAGCCTTGATTGTAGGAAGGCTGTAGGCGTTGCAGCCAGAAAGGCCTGGGTTTAAATCCCAGCATGACCTTGAATTCCCTCACAACCTTGAAAGTGCCATGTGACTTCTCTGAATCTCCATTTCCCATCTGTGAAATGGGCATGAAGCCTGCAGCACTGTTGCCAGGATTCAGGGGAGTGTGACAAGGGCAGCGGATGAGTGCTTCCCTCCTGTCCTCTGCACATGGTGCTCCCAGGGAACTGCACCGGTCTCCTGCTGTGCTGCTCCAGGCGCACTCGTGGCTCACAGCCTCTCCCCAGGGACATGACATGGGGGTGTTTTAACGCAGCACCATGTTCTCTTTTCGCTTTTGGCCACAGATGACGTCCGGTTGTTTGCCTTCGTGCGCTTCACCACCGGGGATGCCATGAGCAAGAGGTCCAAGTTTGCCCTCATCACGTGGATCGGTGAGAACGTCAGCGGGCTGCAGCGCGCCAAAACCGGGACGGACAAGACCCTGGTGAAGGAGGTCGTACAGGTACTGAGTTCCTCCAGAGTCTGGAGGTCAAAGCTCGCCAAGGGTCACCATCCTGCAAGGAGGGAGAGGGCTGGGTTCGACTCCTGGGTCTGTAGCTTAGCTGTGACTTGGGACAAGCCATGCTATGTCTCTGCACCAGTAAAGCCATTGGTGAAATGTCACCAGAATTGTTTCAGGATGCTGGCTAGGAGGAGTTAACTGTGTTTACGATCCCACCTATCCCATAACAGAAGCTTGGCAGCTGGGTGCCTGCCTCCGTGGGTGGGGCAGGTTGCTTGCTTCTAGAGACGGGAACTGGTGGGGGGACCAGAATAGCGGCCACTACCCTGTGGTGTCCTGGCTGACTGTCGGCGGTGGTCGCAAGGATCCCGTGGGAGAATTCATTTGTACCCTCTCTGAACAGTGCCTACTTTAAGTCTTTTCCATTCTGGCCATTAAAGAAAATGGACATTTGCAATGTCAGAAACTTCCAAGGTTGTTCACTTGGGGTACGGGTAACACGGTCATGTTGAGAAAAGAAAATCTGAACTCCAAAAGGTAACCCCGGGGTAGGGTAGATGAGGGAGAGAGGTCTTTCCCTACTAAAGGGATCTCCATTTCGCAAAAGGATTTCTCACAACCCATGAAGTAGGGAATCTCTCCCTCTTACTGCGCCTTTAAACTGTTGTTCAGGTGACCAGAAACAGTGTGTTACACGTCCCTTCAGCAGCTTGTCTGTTACAGAGGGCGGGGGGTACCACTGCCCATCCTCCACCATGCACATTATTTTAAAGATTCAAAGCAATGTAATTGGTCCATGATAAAACAAACGTTTAAAAACAATAGACTCAGCTGGGTGCGGTGGCTCACGCCTGTAAATCACAGCACTTTGGAAGGCTGAGGTGGGAGGATTGCTTGGCTAAGGAGTCTGAGACCAACCTGGGCAACATAGTGAGACCCCATCTCTACAAAACATAACAAAATAAAATGAGCCAGGCATGGTGGCACATGGCTGTAGTCCCAGCTACTTGGGAGGCTGAGGCGGGAGGTTCGCTGGAAACCAGGAGGTCAAGGGTGCAGTGAGCCATGATCGCACCACTGCACTCCAGCCTGGGCAACAGAGCGAATTCCTGTCTCAAAATAAATAAAAAACAAATAAAAAATAATAGTCTAATGATGGAAGTGGGTGATAGCTAAAGACACAGGGTTTCTTTTTGAGGTCATGAAAATGCTTTAAAATTGACTATCATGGTGGTTGCACATATCTGTGAATATACCAGAAATCACCAAATTGTCAAAAACAAAAACGGGCTGAGCACAGTGACTCACACCTGTCATCTCAGCACTTTGGGAGGCTAAGGTGGGAGGATTGCTTGTGTCCAAGAGTTCAAGACCAGCCTGGGCAACATAGTATTAATAATACTCCATCTGTACAAAAGAATAAAAAATTAGCCCTGTGTGGTGGTGCATACCGGTAGTCCCAGCTACTTGGGAGGCTGAGGTGGGAGGATGGCTTGAGCCTAGGAGGGCGAGGCTGCAGTGAGCCAAGATCTCGCCACTGCACTCAGACTGAGTGAGTGTAGTCAGACTGAGTGAGACCCTGTTGCAAAAAGAAAAACAAACAAAAAAATAGGCTATCTGCAATGTGCTATCTTGAATTGGACCTTAGAACAGAAAAGCTGTTGAAATATAAATAAAGTCGGGAGTTTAATTAATTGTAATGTACCAATGTTGACGTTTTCACTGTGACAAATGTACCACAGTAATGTAAGATGTTAACAGTAGTGAAATATGTATGTGTGTGTTAAGAGGAAGGTAATATGGAAACTCGGTGCTACCTCTTGCAACTTTTCTGTAACTCCAAAGCTCTTCTAAAATAAATTATTATTATTATTATTATTATTTTTAAGAGAGACAGGATCTCACTATATTGCCCAGGCTGGCCTCGAATTCCTGGACTCAAGCATTCCTACACCTCAGCCTCCGAAAGTGCTTGGATTATAGGCCACCACGCCCAGCCCCTAATAAAACTTTTATTTAAAAAATAACAATATGGCCAGGTGTCATGGCTCCCTCCTGTAATCCTAGCACTTTGGGAGGCCAAGGCAGGCGGATCACGTAAGGTCAGGAGTTTGAGACCAGCCTGGCCAACATGGCAAAACTCTGTCTCTGCTAAAAATACAGAAATTAGCCGGGTGTGGTGGTGGGCACCTGTAATCCCACCTACTCAGGAGGCTGAGACAGGAGAATCTCTTGAAACCAGGAGGCGGAAGTTGCAGTGAGCCAAGATCTAGCCTTTTTTGGAGCGAGTCTCCAAAAAAATAAATAAAATAAATAAATAAATAAATAAATAATGATAGGACATAATAGAGTCCTGTGGTCCCCCTGTCAGTTCCCGCTTTTGGACGTCCCTCCTGGCCACTCTCTGGACGGGCTCGCCTCCTGCCTTTCGGCTTTGCTGTGGTCCCAGCCTATAGGTCACACTCTCATCTGCAGCTGCTTTTTTTAAGGTTAATGTAATTTCATAAATGATATGGATGCACCACCTTTGTAATTCATGGTTTTCTGGTAGCAGAGTGTCCTGGTTCACAAGTGTACCGTCATGTACTAAATGTTCCCCTGTTCTTGGCCTCTTAAGTTGCTTCCAATTTTTATTTTTATAAAGAATGTTCCAACCAACATTTTAATACATGCAGCTCCTTTCTGTCTTCTGTTGAGTTATTCTTTTAGAAAACAATCTCGGGAGGTGGGGTTCCGGAGTTAAGAGGCGAGATAATCATTTTTAAAAGGTATGGGCATCAGATTGGCTTTGAGCAGTGCTAGCACTGTGCCTGGGACCGAGGAAATGCTGACAAAGGCCATTTGTTTCACATGTAGTCAGCGTTCCTGGTTGACACTGCTGTCTGCACCCTGTCTGGCCTGGGAGCCCTTGTTTTGGAAAACCACTTATTCAACCCTACAGGCTGTTTTTCTCCAGGCCAGTTGGGTTTTAATGGTTAACCAGCTTCCAGGGGTCTTCCGAGTGGCAGCAGGATGGAAAATGAAAAAGAAGTCCTGTTCTGTGGCCAAAGGTCTCCTGCTGAATTCCGCCCGCCGTGCTTGGCCCACTCCTGGACGTCGCCGGGAGGAAAGGGAGCAGAGGGAGGGGGCTCGCCAGGATGTGTACACGGGGCACCACATTGCAGATCTTGCAATTCTCTTTTGTCTTCCTATTTAAAAAACTGTGGTAAAATACAGGCCAGGCGTGGTGGCTCATGCCTGTAATCCTAGCACCTTGGGAGACCAAGGCAGCCGGTCACCTGAGGTCAGGAGTTCGAGACCAGCCTGGCGAACATGCCAACACAAACCCCGTCTCTACTAAAAATACCAAAAAAGTAGCCAGGCATGGTGGCACGTGGCCTGTAGTCCCAGCTACTCGGGAGGCTGAGGCAGGAGAATTGCTTGAACCCAGGAGATCAACTCAGGAGACTGAGCCGAGATTGCAGCAAGACTCTGTCTAAAATAAATTAAATAAATAATAAAAAATTGTAAAATACAATAACATAAAGTTTACCATTGTAGCCATTTTAAAGTACAATTCAGCTACATTAAACAGAGTTCCAATGTTGTGTAGCCATCACTGCTGTCTAGTTCCAGAACTTTCTCATCACCCCCAAAGGAAACCTCATACCCACTAAGGCAGTCTGCAGAGTTTCTTTCCTCTCTAGAACTCTTTTCAGTTTGGGTAGGTGCGCCGGTGACTGAGGGGGATTGGAGGAAATTAATTCCCTGCTGGGAACCTTTAGGTGGGAGTAGTGGTGATAATTCTTACGTTTGCAAGCTCAAGTAAGTTGAAGCACAAAGAGGAATTGCTTGGCTCTTGGTAGTGGGAAGTGCAGGGGTTTCGGCTTTAGGTGTGGCTAGATCGAGGGCTCATGCAGTATTTTCATCTCATCTCTCAGTTCTGTTTTTCTCTGGGGTTGGCGTCAGGCAGCCTCTGCACAGCCAAAGAAACGGTCCATGCTATGGTGGTCCCTCTGGGTCAGGATCCCAGAAGAGAGAGGCCTCTTTCCTCAGTGTCCGTCAATCTCTTAAGAGGACCCTGATTGGCCCAGCTTGGGTCACGTGCACACGCCTTTGGGCAGGGAGGCGGGGTTTCATGATTGGCAGCTCCAGCGTGATCCCAGTTGTTAGAGAAAGGGATGCTGGTGAATGAAGAAGCGCAGATGTGCATTGCAGTGGGGGAGCTGGAATACTGGCCTGAACTACAGGTGCAGGCTCATATTTTGACCATTATCATTTGCATTTTCCACCTCTCCACTTACGAATGTTAATTATCTGAAGCTGCTACAAGACCTTACATTTATACTGCAGTTGCAAATATAGCCATTTAGGTGACAAAGGGTCCATTCTGCTGGTATAATGCTGTCTTTCCACGGCCGCTAAAACCATGCAGAGACTGGCATGCCTATCAACTTCCCCTCTGCTTCACGGGGATTCAGAGCGGATGTTCTCTAAGGGACCTTCCAGATGGGCCCATTCCGGGTGCCATGTCTTGGGGACCAGGTCACTTCCCCAGCTGCACTTTTTGCCATCATTTCCATATGAAGAAGAAGTAGATTGGCTTTTAGTTTAAGATTACTGTATTAATAAACCCTTGACTTTTTGACAGTAATAAAGTAATGCACATGCATTCTTGTGCTTTGTGTGAAACGTGGAGGGTGTAAATTAATTGCACGGTCATTGATGTGGAGGAACTTGAATCCAGGGGGGCGATTTTTTTTTTTTTTTTTGGAGACAATCTCACTCTGTCACCCAGTCTGGAGTACAGTGGCACAATCTCAGCTCACTGCAGCCTCTGCCTCCCATGCTTAAGCAATTCTGGTGCTTCAGCCTCTCGAGAAGCTGGGGATTACAGGTGTGTGTCACCACACCCAGCTAATTTTAGTGGAGGGATCTGTATGTCACTAACCACCTGCCTGACCATGGGCAAGTCTCTCCCTCCCTGGGCCTCAGTGTCCTCATTTGTAAAATGAAGAATGGGATGAGTTGACTTGCTGTGTCATATTCTATTTTGGCGTATTCTGGAAATTTTTCTTTTCTTTTGTTTTAATGGAGTAATTTGTTTATGAAGGCATTTTACCTTTAAATGAACCTTATTTTACTTTGCCAAGGGGGAAGGTGTAGTACGGTGGACTTTGGAGCCAGATGGCGTGGGTTCAAATTTCAGCTCCATCACTTACTGTGTGGCCTTGGGCACATGGCTTACCCTCTCTGGGCTCAGTCACCTGATGTATAAAGTAAGGGCAATATAGTGCCTGCCTTGTAGGGTTGTGGTGGGGATTAAATGAGCAAATATAGGGAAAGTGCTTAGAACAATGTCTTAATTTCTGGGACCCGGAAGTAGTAGCTGTTATTTCCAGTTTTCTGTTTAGACAACACCGTGATGCACAGTTCACGCAAGAAATGTTTCTACACTGTAGATTATTTCCTTAGGAGATGCTAGATACAGATGCTCAGCTCCAGGACACAGGGCGTGAATCTTGTTGTTCACGGATATTGCCAGCCGTCAGCCACACAGGAAGGGTCTGGCCTCACCCACACTTGCCAGCGCTGACCTCAAAAAGCTCATACTTCACCTGTGGCCGGCACACAGGTGCATCAGCATATGGGGAAACTGAGGCCCACAGCAGTGCTAGGACCTGCCCTAAACTCACAGTTAATGAGTGATAGAGCTGGGGCTAGAGCCTGGAAGAATTAGGAGTGAAGTTCAACTCTGATCCTCTTTAATCTGTATTCAGAGCCTGAGAAACTGAGAGGCGTCTGTGGCTGGGGGAAAACAAGACAAAACAAGACAAATGCCAGCAAGGCCACGGGGCAGCAGGGGCTGCCAGGCAAGCTGGGCAGGGCGATTGCGATGCCCAGACTCCAGTCCGGGGAATGCGCTGAACGCACAGCACGCACGGCTGGCTGGCCACAGCTGTTGTCTGCCACACAGAAGTACCCGGCTGGTGCCCAGGACAGAACCTCGCTCCTATCGTTCTCGTGTCTCTGCAGGATTGTGGGGACAATGCAGTGACCGCTGGTAGTGACCTGCGATGTGCCAGGGCCAGGCTCTCTTGATTTAGAGCCATGCTTGGTCAGTGCTGCATCATGCTTGTCTTGCAGGATGGGTTCATTCACCTGATCCTTTTATTGATTCTTTAACATAATATGAACGTTCACGGAGCCAGGAATCCAGAAGGCATGCAGCTCAGCTTTCAGGAACAGAGGACAACAGAGGCTGCTGCCTCCAAGGAGAAGTGGAGGTGGGAAGGATGGACGTGCCAGGGATGGTGTGAACTAGCCAATTGGAGTCTATTCTGATAGCTTCTGAGCCCCAGGACTAACCAGGCTTAGTGGCGCACACCTGTAATCCCAACATTTTGGGAGACCAAGGCAGGAGGATTGCTTGAGCCCAGGAGTTGGAGACCAGCCTGGTCAACATAGTGGGACCTCGTCTCTACTAAAAACAAAAAAAAATTAGCTGGGGCATGGTGTCGCATGCCTGTTGTCCCAGCTACTCAGGAGTCTGAGGTGGGAGGATCGCTTGAGCCCAGGAGTTGGAGGCTGCATGAGCTGTGCTCGTGTCATTGCATTCCAGCCTGGGTGACAGAGGAAAACCCTGTCTCAAAAATAAGTAAATAAATAAATAAAAATAAACCCCAGGGGCAGGATCGGCTTCATTTCTGGGACCAGATTTAGCCACCCCTCCCCTCTGAGGGCCTCTTTTGGGTACCAATGTGGCAATAATATGAATAACAATAGTTTTATTGTGGCCCTACTATGTGCCTGACACTCTGTGAAGGACTTTCCGTGTATTAAATCATTTGTCCTTCACGAGGCCAGGTCTGCCACTTGCCCTGTTTTATAGATGAGGAGCTTGGGATCCGAAGAAGCTGAGTAACTTGCTCAAGGTCCGGGTGCTTGGACATGGCAAAGCTATGCCTGGAATCCAGGCTGTGGGCTCAGAGCCCCGACACGGCCACTTCACCACACTGCACATTTCCCAAGGCTTCTGGCACCAGGGAAGAGGTTCGAAGGCCGCAAGCAGGGCTGGATGCTCCTTTTGTAGACTCGTGTTGCACATGAAATTAGTTTTTAAATTTCCTGATTCTCGATCTTCCTTGATGGTGGAAGCTTTAAACTGGAACGTGAACTTTTTTGCTCTGTGCTTACTTTAAAAAAGTGCTGCTGTGTGAAATGGAGAAAGTTACGGCGTGTAGGGGAGTGAGACTCAAGTTGATATTCTGGCGCCATCAGCTCACAGGTGTAGGACTTTGGGCAGGTATTTATCACTAGAATTTCTGTGTTTTCACTTAGGAAAAAGAGAATGTAAAATTTCACAGAGTGGTTGGAATGATTAAAGAAAAGCAGTAGGTGTGAAAAGGGCTTCTCCATTTTGATGCCTGGTGAACTATTCATCCTTCAAAACCCGGATTTCTTACCCCATTCTCCTACCAGCCTCAATCAGAATTAATTGTGCCTATATCTGTATCTACTATGGTCTAGATAGTATTATAATTAAGGAATTATAATTAAGTAACTAACAAGGAAATAATCTCCTAAAAGGCAGAAGCCATGGCTGCTTTGTGATTGTACTCCTAGTGCTGGAAGATTACTGTGTGCTAGCACATAACAAGGGCTAAGAAATGAAGAAATGAGGCCGGGCGCCATGGCTTATGCCTGTAATCCTAGTACTTTTTGAGGCTGGAGCAGGTGGATTGCTTGAGCTCAGGAGCCTGAAACCAGCCTGGGCAACATTGTGAGACTGCATCTCTGTTTTAACATAATTTTTAAAAATTAAGAAATGGGCTGGGCGCAGTGGCTCATGCCTGTAATCCCAGCACTTTGGGAGGCCGAGGTGGGTGGATCACTTGAGGTCAGGAGTTCGCGACCAACCTGGCCAACATAGTAAAACCCCGTCTCTACTAAAAATACAAAAATTAGCTGGATATGGTGGCATGTGCCTGTAATCCCAGCTACCAGCTACTCAGGAGGCTGAGGCACGAGAATTGCTTGAACCCAGGAGGCAGAGGTTGCAGTGAGCCGAGAGATTGCACCACTGCACTCCAGCCTGGGCAACAGAGCAAGACTCCATCTCAAAAAAAAAAAAAAAAAAAAAAAAAGAAGAAATGTATCTGCTCATGTAGGCTCTTTGTGTATTACCAGGACAGAAGCTTATAAATGCTCAGTAACTGTTCTCTGCATTAAATTAAATTGTGGAAGCTAATTACACTCAGGGGACTTGGGGCTAGGTTGAAATTTCCAAATCTCTGCTTCTGTTTCAATAGAAAGCAGGAGGCTGAGCGCAGTGGCTCATGCCTGTAATCCTAGCACTTTGGGAGGCCAAGGCGGGTAGATCACCTGAGGTCAGGAGTTCGAGACCAGCCAGGCCAACATGGGGAACTCTCATCTCTACTAAAAATACAAAAATTAGGCTGGGCATAGTGGCACACGCCTGTAATCCCAGCTACTCCGGAGGCTGCGGCAGGAGAATCGCTTGAACCCAGGAGGAAGAGGTTGGAGTGAGCCGAGATTGTGCCACCTGCACTGCAGCCTCGGTGACAGAGTGATACTCCATCTCAACAACAACAACAAAAAATTAGAGAAAGCAGGAGTGAGAGCTGACTGGGGCAGCCGGGAGAACCTACAACCCTCCATGGGATGAGATTTACGAGGCTGCTGCTCCCCCTTGCAAAGCATGAGTTACCACTTAGCACTCTGCGGACCATCCACAGACTGTTCGCTGCCTTCAAAGGGTTTCAGCTGTTTATTTCTATGTGGCGTGTTTACACTTCCTTAAGCCAGTGGTTCATGGAAGGACGGTATTTGCATAACCAGAAGGGCCTTTTTGGCCTGATGCATTTCACCTGGGCCTGGGCTCAGGCCGGGGGCACTTCTTGTTGCTCATGTCATACATACATACATACATACATATATTTATTTGTTTGTTTGTTTGTTTTTAGATGGAATCTCACTCTGTTGCCTAGGCTGGAGTGCAGTGGCGACATCTTGGCTCACTGCAGCCTCCGTCTCCTGGGTTCAGGCGATTCTCCTGCCTCAGCCTCTCAAGTAGCTGGGACCACAGGCACCTGCCACCATGCCCAGCCTAATTTTTGTATTTTTAGTAGAGATGGGGTTTCACCATGTTGGCCAGGCTGGTCTCAGACTGACCTCAGGTGATCTGCCCGCCTCAGCCTCCCAAAGTGCTGGCATTACAGGCGTGAGCCACCATGCCTGGCCTCATGTCATATATTTTTAAAACACAAATTGCACAATTGAAAAATAAAAAGCTCCCATGCAGCCTGTGAATGGTGGGATCAGGTATCGTATATGGAGGGCCAGGCTTATTCATCCATGAGCCGGGGGCTGTACTGACCCCAATATACAGATGAGGAAACTGAGGCTTAGGGAGGACTAGTTCTTGAGCCAAGGTGAGTGTTCAGGTGGAAGCCAGATGGTGGGGGACTGGAGGCCACTTTAAATGTGGGGCTTTTATAATGGGAGGGCAGTGAGGAGCCCTGGGAAGATCTGAAACTCAAAAGCGATGCATCTGCTTTGTTGATCTTTTACTAAAGAGGTTAAGAGCCCTTAGGGGAGCTGAAGTGGGAGGATTGCTTGAGCCCAGGAGTTCCAGACCAGCCTGGGCAATATAGTGAGACCCTGCTGCTACAAAAAATATATGAAAAAATTAGCCGAGCATGGTGTTATGTACCTGTAGTCCAAGCTACTCGGGAGGCTGAGCCCAGGAGGTCAAGGATGCAGTGAGCTATGATCACACCACTGTGAGGATGCAGTGGCACTCCAGTGTGGGCGACAGAGCAAGACCTTGTCTCAAAAACAAGTCTTAGAGGGAAAAACAGTCTCCTAGGAGAAAGAAGGAGATCCCTGCACCCTAGGTTTGGGCCTGGCATGTAAATAAAGCCACCTGAATAAGCAAAGAATTCTGCCCAGCGGGCTGTGACCTGGCTGCCCTCCACCAAACTCCAGACCAGTGCCAGCCCTTGGCCAGCCTGCCCTAGCCTGGTACCTGCCCCAGGCACCTGCCAGCAGCTGGCCTCCGGACGCTGTGGTGCAGTGATTCCCGACACAGTCGCTAGCACGGTATACAGTCGCTGTGCCGTGAGGATGCAGCATTCGAACGTGTACAGGTCTTAACCTGAAGAAATGAATCTGGAGAGCTCTTTGTGTGTGAAGTGCATGTTTCCCAGCCTTCATGAAAGGCCGAAGGCTCACTGCACTCTACATCTTGCCCCTGTGTATGAGTGTCTTTCCTCCCCCTCTTCTCTTCCTCTTCCCTGGACCACTGCATACTTTTGTCCACCTCTTGTCATTCTTTATTCTCGGACATCTTGCCTCGTGAGATTCCCTTATGAAACAAGCACACACGCTTAGTCTTCGCCCCGTGGTGGTTTTATTCTAAGTCGCTGTGGTTTGCCGAAAGGGTTCCGACAAAATGCAGGAGCTAAGTGATCAGCCACTACCCCCCACCTCACACAGAGGGGTCTGCCCCTTCCCGTGGAGCCCTTGCCACAGCCTTTAGCAGAGCAGAGATATAGCCTGTGTCCTTTCTCTTGACATTTCCTAAATGCTTTTTGTTTTTATAATTTGTTTTTGAGATGGCATTTTGATCTTGTCACCGAGGCTTGGAGTGCAGTGGCACGATCTCGGCTCACAGCAACCTCTGCCTCGTGGTTCAAGTGATTCTCCTGCCTCAGCCTCCCAAGAAGCTGGGACTACAGGTGTATGCCAACACACCCAGCTAATTTGGTATTTTTAATAGAGATGCCATGTTGGCCAGACTGGTCGCGAACTCCTGACCTCAGGTGATCCACCTGCCTGGGCCTCCCAAAGTGCTGGGATTACAGGCATGAGCCACCATGCCCGGCCTGTTTCTATTATTGTAATGGCCAAATATTATTTTGTAAGTGGATGTAGTACAACATATGTAAGTCTGTGATACCCATTTTGTGTGTGTGCACACCTCTGTATGGTGGTGTGTGTGCATGCCTGTGTGTGGGAGTGGATGTGTGTGTGCCTGTGTGTATATATGTGTATGTGTGTGCACTACTGTGTATGAGGGTGGATGTGTGTGCATGCATGTGTATATGTGTGTACGCATGCTTGGATGTGCATGTGTGTGCATACCTGTGTGCACCTGTGTGTGCATGCATGTATCTGTGTGTATGCATGCATGTGTCTGTGTGTGCATGCGTCTGTGTGTATGCATGCCTGCATGTGTATGTGTGTGTGCATACCTGTGTTTCTATGCACCTGTGTGTGTATACGTTTGTGTGGACATATCCCTGTGTGTCTGTGTGTGTATGTCTGCACATGCCTGTATGTGCATGTGCATGTATGTGTGTGAGAGGGTGTGTGCATGCCTGTGTGTGTGCACCTGTGTGGGTACATTCCTGTGTGTGTGTGTGCACACTTGTGTGGGTGCATGCCTGTGTGTGTGTGTATGCCTGCGTGTGTGTGTGTTGGTGTGTGCATATCTGTGTTTGTGTGCGTGCATGCCTGTGTGTGTCTGTTCCTCCACCTGGTGAGTTCCCTGGCGTGGAGTGAATCCTGTGATCTGCTGGCTACTTCACTTCCTTTGTCCTCAGTTTTCTCATCTGAAAAATGTGTATGATAATATCTCATGGAATTGTGAAAATTCAATAAGATACCATGTATAATAATTGCCTGGCGTATATGAAGTGTTACGTAGATAGTATTTACTTATTTATCCAACTTTTGCTGAAAAATGGAAACAGCCTGGTATTTACTGGCAATGAACATCTTTGAGTATGTATGTTGTTATTTTTTAAAAATTCTGTTATTTCTTTGGGAAAAATCCCCAAACATGGATGTGGCTGAGGAATAAGAAATGCTGGGCACAGTTTTGATGGGGCAGAAGTTGAAGATCTGAACCTGGATTTAATCTCTAGCTTGTCAACTGATCAATAAGCTTGGGCTATTTGGAGCTCCGGGTTAAGGGAGATTCTGAGGTTAAGCCTGGACTCGGTGGGGAAAGTGCCATGATTAATTTGTGATGTCTCCTGTGGACACCGGAGAGAGGAGAGTATGTTTCCCACTTGCTTTCCATGCCTGGTCTAGATGAAGCCGTAGTTAGAAATTAGGCAAGGTGCGTTTGGGGCTTCTGTAAATCTCTGTGGTCAGGAAAGCCGAGCCTGAGACTCCAGGCAGTTGCCCAAATGCTGAAGAGGTCAGGGGCCCTGTCGGGGTCACAGATCCAGGCATAGGAACAGCCGCCTCTATTTGGTTTTGGCCAAAACACTCACAGCGTGCTTCTAGGACATCACAGTGTGCTTCTAGGACACCATGCCTTCCATCTTCATTAGATGGTTACCCTGTGTCCACCCGAAATACAGCCGTGTGCCTCTGTCTTGGCTTTTGTTCCTCAAGTACAGCAGGGTCGCGTCACTCCTGAGCTACGAGGGTTTGACACAGGTGCCTTTGTTCCTGAATCTGTCAAACCCGAGCCCGTGCCATTTTGATCTGTTAGTTTTTCCCTTTATCTATAATGACTCATGCCTATTATAAGAACCTGTTCCGGCCAGGCATGGTGGCTCGTGCCTGTAATCCCAGCACTTTGGGAGACCGAGGCAGGTGGATCACCTGAGGTCAGGAGTTCAAGACCAGCCTGGCCAACATGGTGAAACCCTGTCTCTACTAAAAATACAAAAAATAGCTGGGTGTGATGGCGCATGCCTGTAGTCCCAGCTACTTGGGAGACTGTGGCAGGACAATCGCTTGAACTTAGGAGATGGAGGTTGCAGTGAGCCGAGATGGTACCACTGTACTCCAGACTGGGCAGTGGAGCAAGACTCTGTCTCAAAAAACCAAAACCAAAACCAAAACCAACAAACAAAAAAGAACCCATTCCTTTTGAGTAAATTATACCTTGCTGGTAGAGTTTTTAAAACCTCGGTCTTTCAAGCACTTTGAATAGTTGTGGGAGGGAGGTGTAGGGGCCTCGGTGGGGTTGGCAGCAGGTGCCCAGTGGGTTTCATAGCTGTGTGTTTTCATTTGGCTCCTCTTCCTTGGGGATTGCCTTGTCTCCTAGCAAGATTCAGGGTGCTGGGGACTGTGGCTGTATTTCTTCAGCAGTTCAGAGTCTTTGGTTTATTGGTCATCATCACCCACTTGTGGAAAAGACACATTCATGTGTCCAGCACATGTCTTGTCTATCCCCGGCTCCATCTTATGCCTGCGGGAGGGGAGATTCTAGTCCCCACACCGTGTTGTGAGGGTTTGGGAAGGACCTGAAGCCAGCAGGCAGCCTTCATTGTGAGAGCTATGCTCTGATCCCAAAGCTGACTTTTCCATGCCAGGTTTCCCCATTGCCCTAGGATCTGGTGTCCCTGGTGGAACTTCGTCCCGTGTCTATGTGCTCTGGAGGCTTAGGTGTAGGATCCCTGGATGACTGGTGGGGAAAGGCTGGGGGACCCTGTTGTCCAGCCTTCTTCTTTCACAGAGGTGGAAACCAGGGCCCAGAGCCATTAAATACTGCCTTCCGGGCATTTCAGAGCCCGCTGCTTCTATTTTTCTATTCTCAGTCTGTCAGAGAGACCAGTAAGTACCAGAATTTTGACTTCCCAGAGCCTAGGAGAGTGTATGGCATATGACAGGTGTTTATTAATGTGTGTTCGTGGGAAGAACAAATTGTGTCGCTTTCATTGTCTTTCAATACAATGAAGATCAGTTCCTCTCCTGGGCCCCACTTCATAGAAATATGCATTCCTGACTTCACAAATGGAACTGCCCAAGAATCCCCACTCATGTTTTCTCCCCGGAGCTTCCCCTGCACCCACATTCTCTGCATTGGTTAGGAATATCCTCATAGGCGCAACACTCCTGAATAGCAGACCTTACACTTGTACCCCGACAGGCCTCCTTGTTCCCTGAAGCTAACCCTGGGCCTGGCTTTGGGGTTTGCAGCCGGATTTGTCATCTTCTGTCTGCCAGTTTCACTGACTTGGTTATTCCAAGGAATTCCTGGGACTTCCCTTTGTTAAAAAATAAACGTTAGGAATGAGAAGAGGAACTAGCTACTGCCTGTGTCTTCACTCTGAGTGACTGAGGGAACTTCATTAAATCTCAGATTCCCCTAACGATCCTGAGAATGAAGGTGAACCCACAGTCCTGTAGAACATTCTCTCTGACTGTTGAGCACTCCGCTTTGTACCAGGTGTTCTCATCAAGTGTGCAAGCCCCTTTTATGCTCATACGACCCTCCCAACAGCCCTAGGATGTGAAGCTGCTATTGTCCGCATTTGCAGATGAGGAGACTCAGGCTCAGGGAGGTTGAGTCCCCAGGGAGGCTCAGGCCACTGGAGATGCCTGTGGACAAGGGTGCCTGTTTGTATTTGGCCTGGACCTGCTCCCAGCATGCTGGGGTTTAAACCTGGGCAGTTGGGAGCCATTAAAAAATGAAAAGGGGTCAGGTGTGGTGGCTCATGCCTGTGATCCCAGCACTTTGGGAGGCCAAGGGGGGGAGATCACTTGAGGCCAGGAGTTCGAGACCAGTCTGGCCAACATGATGAAACCCTGTCTCTAATAAAAATACAAAAATGAGCCGGCCGTGGTGGTACGTGCCTGTAATCCCAGCTACTTCAGAGGCTGAGGCAGGAGAATTGCTTGAACCTGGAAGTGGAGGTTGTGCTGAGCTGAGATTGCACCACTGCACTCCAGTCTGGGCGACAGAGTGAGACTCCGTCTCAAAAAATGAAAATAAATAAAAATAAAAATGAAAAGGATGGGCTGGGCGTGGTGACTCACCCCTGTAATCCCAGCACTTTGGGAGGCTGAGGCGAGTGGATCACCTGAGGTCCGGAGTTCAAGACCAGCCTGGCCAACATGGTGAAACCCCGTCTCTACTAAAAATACAAAAGTTAGCCAGGTGTGATGGTGGGCGCCTGTAATTCCAGCTACTCGAGAGGCTGAGGCAGGAGAATCGCTTGAACCCGGGAGGTGGAGGTTACAGTGAACTGAGATTGCACCACTGCACTCCAGCCTAGGTGACAAGAACAAAAACTTCATCTCAAAAGATAAATAAATAAATGAGAAAAGAATGATTTAAAACCAAGACAGGAGAACATGCACTTTAAAATCCAGCGTGGCAAATAGATGGCTAGACTCTGTACAGAGCCCCTGTACCTAACCCGTACCCTCTGCTATATTACCCTCCTCAGAAAGGTGGAGACAGGTTTCAATGGATGTTTATTTTGCATCTTTGAGGCATGAATCTATAAGCACTTGAGAAAGGTCACAGGGACAAAACTTGTCTTCATTCATGACCAGCCTGGCCAACATGGTGAAACCCCGTCTCTACTAAAAATACAAAAATTAGCCAGGCGTGGTGGTGGTTGTCTGTAATCCCAGCTACTCAGGAGGTAGAGGCAGGAGAATCACTTGAACCCGGGAGGCAGAGGTTGCAGTGAGCCGATCGCACTATTGCACTCCAGCCTGGGCAACAGAGTGAGAGTCCGTCTCAGAAAAAACAAAAACAAAAAAACTGGTCTTCCACTTGCTGGTTGCATAATTCCAAACCATTCAAGCAGCTTCAGCCGCTTGGAGTGAGACTTCGTCGGATGAGGCCCTTGGAAGAAAATCCTGCTTTGGCAAGAAAAGAGAAGTCCCCCGTCTGGCAGCTATGAGAGAGCGACACCGAGTTCCCAGACAAAACAAAGAGCTTTCTTCAGCCACAGGTGACGGTGCCCCCAGACTGACACATGTTGCTGTGCAGTCTCTGGCAGGTTGTGGCAGCTGCCTCGAGGGCTTGGCAGTCTAGAGCAGCCCCTGGAGGCGGGATGTGGGGAGAAAGTGGGGCTGGCACCAGGAACGCATCCCCAGGGCCCTGCCGGGAAGTTGCTGTGTCCCCTGGGATGAACTGCGTCCCCTCTCTGGGTTGTTGCTGGTCCTCTACATAATGAAGAGGTGAATGGCAGGTCTCAAGGGTGGAGTGCAGTGGTGCGATCATGGCTCACGGCAGCCTCGACCTCCCAGGCTCAAGTGATCTTCCTGCCTCAGCCTCCCAAGTAGCTGGGACAACAGGCGCACACCACCACTGTTGGCTATTTATTACTATTATTATTATTATTATTTGTAGAGAAAGGGTCCCACTGTTCCCCAGGCTAGTCTTGGAACTCCGGGGTTCAAGCGATTCTCCCTTCTCGACCTCCCAAAGTGCTTGGGATTACCGGCGTGAGCCACAGCGCCCCACCTCCCTTCACTATTTTGTTCAGCTGAAACACAATTTACATAGAGTAAAACGCAGAGATCTTCGGAATACTACTCGTTGAGTGTGTGTGTGTGTGTGTGTGTGTGTATGTATATATATATATTTTTTTTTTTTTGAGACAGAGTTTCGCTCTTGTCACCCAGGCTGGAGTGCAATGGTGCGATCTAAGCTCACTGCAACTTCCGCCTCCCCGGTTCAAGCGATTCTCCCGCCTCTCACACCCAGCTAATTCTTTGTATTTTTAGTAGAGATGGGGTTTCACCATGTTGGCCAGGCTGGCCTTGAACTGCTGACCTCAGGTGATCCACTCACCTCGGCCTCCCAAAGTGCTGGGCATGAGCCACTGCATCTGGCCCAAGTTTTGTGTATTTTGAATGTTCATGATGCATACCTTTGAAGCCACCACCCAGATCTGGACATGGCGCAGATGTCCACCCCTGTCGGATGGGCTCTAATGCTCTGCGATTCATGATTCTGTTTGCCTGATCACATTATTCTTTCAGACGCTTTCGTGTTCTGTCTAGACCTGCGCTGTTGCTGGCCACGTGTGGCCACTGAGCGCCTGAAAGCGCACCCAGCCATATCAGTGTGTGCCGTATACCCGGAGGGCACACAGCGTTTCTAAGGCTGGGTTCAAAAGAAATGAATGTAAAGGACCTCGTCAGTACCTTTTAGCATTGATTACATTGTGGAAATGACAATATTTTGCATATATTGGATTAGATAAAATACTATTAAAATAAATGGCACTGGTTTCTTTCTTACATTTTTCAATGTGGCTAGTAGCAAATTGAAAATTCCCGGCCAGGCAAAGTGGCTCACGCCTGTAATTCTAGCACTTTGGGAGGCCGAGGTCAGTGGATCACTTCATCTCAGGAGTTTGAGACCAGCCTGGGCAACATGGTAAAACCCCATTATCTACCAAAAAAAAAAAAATTAGTCGGGCATGGTGGTGTGTACCTGTAGTCCCGGCTACTTCGGTGGCTGAGGTGGTAGGATTGCTTGAGCACAGGCGGTGGAGGTTGCAGTGAGCTGAGATTGCACCAGTGCCCTCCAGCCTGGCAGCGTGGGTGACAGAGTGAGACCTGTCTAAGAAAAAAAAGGAAAGAAAGAAAATTCAAAATTCTGGCCTTTGGGAGGCCAAGATGGGTGGATCGCTTGAGCCCAGGAGTTGGAGACCAGCCTGGGCAACATGACGAAACCACGTCTCTACAGAAAAATACAAAAATCAGCTGGACGTGGTGGCTTGTGCCTGTATTTCTAGCTATTAGGAAGGCGGAGGTGGGAGGATCGCTTGAACCTAGGAGGTTGAGCCTGCAGTGAGCCGAGATCGCACCACTGCACGCCAGCTTGGGTGACAGAGTGAGACTGTGTTTCAAAAAAAGAGAAATTAACATTCTGTGTGTGTCCGCATTGCTCTAGGCCCTGGAAGTCTCCTTCTGATGAAGGACTTGCCTCCTGAGTCTTGCCACCTGCCCCTGCCCCCGTGGGTGTTGGTGGCATGTGGGTGCTGGCAAGTGCTGTGTCTTGAGGTGTGTGTGGTGTAGGGGTGGCCACGCTTTGCATGCATATGTTCCCTCTGGTTTCCAGCCTCAGGTGCAAGGCAGACTTCAGCTGCTCCACGCAGGCTCCCTCCAGTTTCAGGCATTGCTCCCAAGTCAGAGTCTGTCTGCCCAGAGCTGTTTTGCTCAGCTTCTGCCTCGTTTTGAAAACATGCAATGAAGCCCACTCCCCAGTGGTGCTTGCAACTCCCTTATCTCATGGGAGCCGCTGGAAGGCGTGGAGGTGGAGAGGTGTGGAGGTTGTTGTCAGTTGGTTTTTAGGCTGAGGCTCAGGTTAGACATTTTGGGGACATTCTGTGGAGTCCACGCCCTGAATGGAAGGTGCTGGCTCACCTTTGTAAGCCTCTGGGGGCTTGGGAGCACCCCGTGTAGGATGGAGGCCTGCTAGTACCCCCTCCATGCGGCCTGACCACCTGGGCCCCTGCAGAGTTGCTGCTGGCCCTATAGAAGGTGGGAGCGGCTCGGTGTCCACTCAGGAGCAGGCTGGGGTCCAGCTCTGGCTGCAAGGGAACTGACCACTGTTGGTCACAGGCCCGTCTCACCGTCTCACCCATGTGTCCACGTGACGTCCAGGCAATGGGCCCGTGCATGACCAGTCTGCCGGTGAGGTGACAGCGGGGAGCCGATCCCAGGGGGATGATTGGATGGAGATGTAGACACTTTATTTGGAAGGTGCTAGGAGTCACTGCCAGGCTCAAAGAACGGGGAAGGGGTGGACAAGACACAGGAGCAGCACGAGGAGGAGACACAAAGAGGGGAGGGAAGCTGATGGGCAGGGGGGAGAGATGAGCGGACCCAGGTGCAAGGGTGGAGAGCAGTGGGCTGGGGCATGACTGCCGCTTAACCAGCCTCATGGTGTCACTCGCCGAGCCTCAGTTTCCCCTTCTGAATTGAGGGGCAAGAGATGACCTCTAAGGACCACCAACCCTGCTGTCTATGAGGCCATGGTGATACTAAGGCCCAGAGGGAGCCCGGACCTCCAGTGTCCTCCGTCCATCCCTTCTCTCTGCTCGGCTTTGCACTGGCGTGGGCTGCATCGAGTCCCAGGCTGTACACCTTGGCAGTCACGCGGCGGGGGCTCTCGTGTGAGGACGGGAGCAGAGCCAAATGCACCAGCTGTCAGCCAGACTGAAGGTGAAGGGAGCCAACAGGCTCATGTCTGAATACAAGGTCTTCAGCCCACCCCTGGAGGCAGTATGTCAGGATTCTTCCGAACAGAGAATCTGGGGTCTGTTCTAAAGGGGCCTAGAGCATGGCCATGGTCACTGTATCTTCAGAAATGTTTAAAGTTTTGTCTTTCTTGGTCATTGGAAGAGGCAAAAAAGGAAAAAAAAAAAAAGCAGGAATGAGGGAAGACTCAATTTTGCACATTCTCTCTGTGTTCCCCTGAGGATAAATTGGAAACGAAATAGGAATACAGGACTTTTAGGTATGAGCCAGTTCAGTGTGTTAAGACACTTGCTTTCTAACCCTTTGCTTTTTGGCAGTAATCGGATTGCTGGACGACTTGTCTTTTAAGACCTCTCTAAGTACTGATGATAAAAACAGCCCTTCAACAGGGAAAATAACCTTCCATTCTATTTTCTACCGAGCAGAGAGGAAAGAACATCAGCTGAGCCAGGAGGGTTATCAAGTTGCAGGATGACCCTGTTTATCTTGTGAGACTCAGTTTGCTTTAAATGTTTTCAGAGATCATATGGTTGCTTTTGTATATACTTTTGTTTGTATAACTTGGAATCATTTTTCTGCTAATCTTTTGATTTTAAATATGTCTCTGGTATGTAGTACAAGGTTTGAGGGTTTTTTTTTTGTAGTTTGAAACATAGCATTTTTAAAGATAATTTTGTTCATTTACATTTATTGTTATGTTTTACTAGATCTGCTGTCTGTTTTGCTTGTTTTTGTTTCATTATAATTTGATTTCCTAAGTACTTGTGGTTTTAGGTTGACCTGTGCCTAGCTCCATGTATCTTTCATTTGAGATTTCTTAGACCTTATCAAACTTATTTTTCTTTTTTTGAGATGGAATCTCGCTCTGTTGCCAGGCTGGAGTGCAGTGGCGCCATCTTGGCTCACTGCCATTTCTGCCTCCCAGGTTCAAGCCATTCTCCTGCCTTAGCCTCCTGAGTAGCTGGGATTACAGGCTCGCGCCACTACACCCAGCTGATTTTTATATTTTTAGTAGATTAGGGTTTTCACCGTGTTGGCCAGGCTGGTCTCGATCTCCTGACCTCATGATCTGCTCTCCTCAGCCTCCCAAAGTGCTGGGATTACAGGCATGAGCCACCATCCATGGCTCTCAAACTTATTTTTCTTAATCTAAATCTTCTAATAGCTAACCGACTGGAACTTCAAGTGTTCTTATTTCTGTAGATTGCCATATATAGCTATCACAAAGCAGAGGAACTTTGGACTTTTCTTCTATAAGCATCTTAAGCTGTTGGCTTCCTCCTTCTGAAAGCTCTCTGCCCCTCCCTCATGCCGTGGGGCTCAGGGTTGAGAAATACATTAATTCTCAATTCTCCTTTCTGGCTCTTACATCCAACTTGTGTTCTTTCATTGCACGGATCACATACACTTAGTAACACACTGTAGTGGGGTGGGAACAGAAAGGATCTCAAGGGTGTTCTGTCATTCTGGGCAAATCTCTCCAAGCCCAGCCCATGAGTCTTATCTTCAAAAAGTAAAATAAAATAAAGTTAATATACTGAGGGCTGAACGAGAACATGAGTGAGGCTGTTCCTGGCACACATCAGCTGCTTGATAAAAATTAACCTCCCGTTCTCCACTTTGTTAGTGTTCTCAGTGGCTTTGCGCGCCAAATGCATTGTCTTTTTATTGTAAAGCTTGACTTCGGGATGCTCCTGGGCTCATCATTCTTGGCAATATGGCGACTTTTTTGTTTTTTATTTTTTAATTGTGGTGGAATTCATTTAACATAAAATGAACCTTTTTATGTTTATTTATTTATTTTGAGACAGATCTCACCCTGTCGCCCAGGCTGGAGTGCAGTGGCGCGATCTTGGCTCACTGCAACGTCCGCCTCCCGGGTTCAAGCGATTCTCCTGCCTCAGCCTCCCCAGTAGCTGGGATTGCAGGCGCCCGCCACCACGCCCGGCTGATTTTTGTAGTTTTAGTAGAGATGGGGTTCCGCCATGTTGGCCAGGCTGGTCTCGAACTCCTGACCTCAGGTGATCTGCCTGCCTCGGCCTCCAAAGTGCTGGGATGACGGGCGTGAGCCACCGCACCTGGCCTGAACCATTTTAAAGTGTACAATTCAGTGGCTTTCAGAACATTCACAGTGTTGTGCAAGCCCTACCTCTGTCTGGTTCCAAAACTTTTTCATCACCCCAAAAGGAGATGGTGGCTCTTTCAAGACGCCAGCTTTGGCATCAACTGGACCTTCTGGTTGTCTGACTTCGGACAAGCATTGTAATTTCCAGCCTTTGTTTCCTCACCTTTAAAATGGAAATAATGTTGATCACCTTACGGGCCTTTTTAAAAAGAACTTGATTGAGGTATGATGTATGTACCTCAAAATCAAGTCATCCTAAGTGTACTTTTTCAGTACTTTTTCGTGAATTTGTGGAGTTGTGCACCCATTACCACAATCCCAATTTTAGAACGTCTCTATCATTTCCTGTTCCCATCTCCAGCTCTGTGTAACCACGAGTCTGCTTTCTGTCTGTATGGGTTTGCCTTTTTTAGACATTTATACCAATGGCAGCTGACAGTACATGGTCTTCATGCCTGGCTTCTTTCACTCAGCATCCTGTTTCCGAGGTTCATCCATGTAGTTGCGTGTGGCAGCGCTTCATTCCTCTCTGTGGCTGAGGAATATTCCATTGTGTGGACGGACCGTGTTTTGATAATCCACTCCTCTGTTGATGGACATAGGGGTTGCTTCCACCTTCCATGATTCATATTTACTACTGTGTGTCATTCTCAGTACTGTGGCACTGTGCTGGTACACATAAGTGCTTAATAATTGTGGTTAGCCGGGCGTGGTGGCTCACGCCTGTAGTGCCAACACCTTGGGAGGCCAAGCTGGGCGGATCACTTAAGGCCAGGAGTTTGAGACCAGCCTGGCCAATGTGGCGAAACCCTGCTTCTACTAAAAATACAAAAAATAGCTGGGTGTGGTGGCAGACGCCTGTAGTTCGAGCTACTTGGGAGGCTGAGACATGAGAATGGCTTGAACCCTGGGGGCAGAGGTTGCTGTGAGCCAAGATTGCGCCACTGCACTCCAGCCTGGGCAACAGGCTTTTCTCTCAAGAAAAAGAAAAATGGTGGTCATTGTTTATGTTATTTCCTTATGGGCTTTTTTTTTTAATGTGGATGATTTTCTTACCTTTAGACGTGTTATTTGTGGTTTTGATAGCTTTTTTTTGTCAAGCTGTCCGTCATCGTTCTGAAATTTTGTTTGTTAAAGTCTTATGATCCACATATGGCAGTAACTGTGTATCATCATGGCTTAAGGGTGTCTGATAAGCCAGGTCACCTGGTTCCCTCATTCATGCCACAAGCGTTTACTGAGTGCATCATGGGTGCCTGCGGGTTCTATGGGTGAAACCTGTGTACTGCAAGAGGAAAGACTGACTGCATCCATTTTGCTGAGCCCTGTAGCCCCACAGCCTGGCGTGGTATTTGTTGAAAGAAGGCAGAGCCTCTACCCTCGTGTAACTCAGTGCGGGTGGAGAGCCCATGGCAGACCCAGGACTGGAGGCTCCTGCGTCATTAGGAACATTGGTGGCTGAAGCTTGCTTGTCCCAGCTGGCGAGAGCCAATTACGCCTGTCTCCTTCCACCTCCACGTATGGTGACATCACTTTGATAGCTTGACGTCAGCCACTGGGGGACTATTTACATCATGGATATGGGCAAAAGACACCAATCTGAGCTTTTGTCCTTTTCTTTTTTTTGGAGTGCCTGCACACCCGTGAGCCTTTCCAACCTCGTAACCTATTATTTTCCTGACGAGATAGTTTTTTACAGATGAGAAAGTTGAGGCACAGAGAATTGAAGGGACTTGGCCAAGGTAACAGCCCAAATTCAAGCCCCAGCTTCCTCGGGCCATCCCCACGGACATGGGAAGACGCAGCATCAGATCTGCCCCACTCCCTCCTCCCAGTCAGGTTTTTTCTGCCAGATGACTCTGCTGTTCAATTTCCATTGACTCTGCTGCTGAATTTCCATTGACTGACTCTGCTGCTGAATTTCCATTTCCATCTCTCATCAGGGTTTTCAGTGCTTTGCTTCCCAGTGTGTTGCCTGAGCCACCCTCACATCCTGTGCCTTCCTTCTTAATAGGAACGCTGTGTTTTCCTTTGTTCTTGCAGAATTTCGCTAAGGAGTTTGTGATCAGTGATCGGAAGGAGCTGGAGGAAGATTTCATCAAGAGCGAGCTGAAGAAGGCGGGGGGAGCCAATTACGACGCCCAGACGGAGTAACCCCAGCCCCCGCCACACCACCCCTTGCCAAAGTCATCTGCCTGCTCCCCGGGGGAGAGGACCGCCGGCCTCAGCTACTAGCCCACCAGCCCACCAGGGAGAAAAGAAGCCATGAGAGGCAGCGCCCGCCACCCTGTGTCCACAGCCCCCACCTTCCCGCTTCCCTTAGAACCCTGCCGTGTCCTATCTCATGACGCTCATGGAACCTCTTTCTTTGATCTTCTTTTTCTTTTCTCCCCCTCTTTTTTGTTCTAAAGAAAAGTCATTTTGATGCAAGGTCCTGCCTGCCATCAGATCCGAGGTGCCTCCTGCAGTGACCCCTTTTCCTGGCATTTCTCTTCCACGCGACGAGGTCTGCCTAGTGAGATCTGCATGACCTCACGTTGCTTTCCAGAGCCCGGGCCTATTTTGCCATCTCAGTTTTCCTGGACCCTGCTTCCTGTGTACCACTGAGGGGCAGCTGGGCCAGGAGCTGTGCCCGGTGCCTGCAGCCTTCATAAGCACACACGTCCATTCCCTACTAAGGCCCAGACCTCCTGGTATCTGCCCCGGGCTCCCTCATCCCACCTCCATCCGGAGTTGCCTAAGATGCATGTCCAGCATAGGCAGGATTGCTCGGTGGTGAGAAGGTTAGGTCCGGCTCAGACTGAATAAGAAGAGATAAAATTTGCCTTAAAACTTACCTGGCAGTGGCTTTGCTGCACGGTCTGAAACCACCTGTTCCCACCCTCTTGACCGAAATTTCCTTGTGACACAGAGAAGGGCAAAGGTCTGAGCCCAGAGTTGACGGAGGGAGTATTTCAGGGTTCACTTCAGGGGCTCCCAAAGCGACAAGATCGTTAGGGAGAGAGGCCCAGGGTGGGGACTGGGAATTTAAGGAGAGCTGGGAACGGATCCCTTAGGTTCAGGAAGCTTCTGTGTAAGCTGCGAGGATGGCTTGGGCCGAAGGGTTGCTCTGCCCGCCGCGCTAGCTGTGAGCTGAGCAAAGCCCTGGGCTCACAGCACCCCAAAAGCCTGTGGCTTCAGTCCTGCGTCTGCACCACACATTCAAAAGGATCGTTTTGTTTTGTTTTTAAAGAAAGGTGAGATTGGCTTGGTTCTTCATGAGCACATTTGATATAGCTCTTTTTCTGTTTTTCCTTGCTCATTTCGTTTTGGGGAAGAAATCTGTACTGTATTGGGATTGTAAAGAACATCTCTGCACTCAGACAGTTTACAGAAATAAATGTTTTTTTTGTTTTTCAGAAAACAGTTTGGTTTCTGATTTGTCCTACAAAGTTCTTTTTTTTTTTTTGCTGTAATAACAGAGGCAGTCATCATCGCCTTCAGATTTAATAGGTGTTTGCGGAGCTGCTGAGGCGGGGCACATTCACATTCAATTGCTTATTTAATTCTTAGCAACCATAAGAAACAGGTGCTGCTTTTGTCCCCATTTCCTGAAATCTGAGGCTCAGAGGGATTCATTCACCCGAGGTCACCCAGATAGAAAGTGGCAGAGCTGGGATTTTTTTTTTTTTTTTTTTTGGTGACAGAGTCTCACTCTGTGGCCCAGGCTGGAGTGCAGTGGGGAGATCTCAGCTCACTGCAACCTCCATCTCCCAGATTCAAGAGATTCTCCTGCTTCAGCCTCCATAGTAGCTGGGATTACAGGTACCCGTCACCATGCCTGGCTAATTATTGTATTTTTAGTAGAGATGGAGTTTCGCCATGTTGGCCAGGCTGGTCTCGAGCTCCTGACCTCAGGTGATCTGCCCGTCTTGGCCTCCCAAAGTGCTGGGATTACAGGCGTGAGCCACCACACCCGGCCAGAGCTGGGATTTGAACTGAGATCTCTCAAAGTCCCTGGTGCTGTGGCTTGTGAGGGGAGCGGGGAGGCCACACATTTGGGATAGCGATGGGACCACAGGTAGTGATTCTTTTTGAGTGGCCAGAACTCCCCTGTCTGCCTGTTTAGGAAAAGCCAAGAGAAAGCATCTTCCTCGTTGGCCATGACATCCTTTCTGAGGTTATCCTACAGCTGAGAAACTGGACTTCCAGCACACCAGACCCTGTGGGAGCCCAGAATCAGGGCAGAGGAGTTTCAGACACAGACAGCGGGGCTTGGAGGAGCTGAGTGTGGGGCAGGGAGAGTGCGGAGAGAGGGCAGAAGCCGAAATCAGGGCAGGAAGGAATCCTACAAGGTATGGGCAAGGCCCTGATCATGCTGCCCAGGGTGGCAGGGGGCCATAGGTCACCACCCTCCCCAGCCCCAGCCCGCCCCAGCCACGTCTGGGTTCTAATTTCTGCTCATCTGTTCACAGCTGTGTGGATTTAGGCAATTTAGTTAACCTCTCAGCCTCGGTTTCCTCATCTGCAAAATAGACAACATTGCCTACGTGTAGAAAGGCTTAAGGAGCAGCGAGGATTGTGCAGGCAAAGGGCGCCTGTCAGGGTGCAGTGTTCTTATCTCACGCCTGCCACTGGTCTTGTTAGCTCTGTGGGCTTCCGTCTTTTCCTATACCCAGAGCTGAGGGAGCTAAACTAGGTCCGTTCCCAGTGCACGGGTTTTAGCTCCGTTCAGAACATGGGCTCAGTAGGTGCATGACTTCATGTCACTCATGCACTGCGTCCCGCAAGCCTTCCATCCTCTCCTGGAATCTCCTGGTCGGCCAAGCCCTCCTCCAGGCCCACTGCCCACCCCACTCCCTGCCCCAAAGCAGACTAGAAAGAATGAGCAGCTCTCAAATCTGCCCCTAGGCCTGTGGTCTCATCCCTGGCTGTGAATTAGGATCACTGGGAGCTTTGAAAATACAGATGAGGCCTCTATCCCAGACTAGTGAGTGAAATTGGAGTGCCAGACTCAACGAACGCCAGCTTTTCCTTTCCAGACAGCTGCAGAAGTGGCCCTGATCCCGGGCAGGAGGGGCTGGAAGGGAGG
The DNA here is from genome assembly GCF_000001405.40 of Homo sapiens. Classification (NCBI taxonomy): domain Eukaryota; kingdom Metazoa; phylum Chordata; class Mammalia; order Primates; family Hominidae; genus Homo; species Homo sapiens. Next base: position 84,563,927 of record NC_000016.10, on the reverse strand, counting down.
CCTGCCTCTCCCTCTGTGGGTTCCTCTCGTGAGTGGAATCTTGTTTGTTTTCATTTTGTTAGTTTTGAGACAGGGTCTCACTCTGCCACCCAGGCTGGAGTGCAGCGGCACAATCACAGCTCACTGCAGTCTCCATCTCCTGGGCTCAATCGATCCTTCTGCCTCAGCCTCCTGAGTAGCTGGGACTACAGGTGTGCACCACCATGCCCAGCTAAGTTTTGTATTTTTTTAGATAGGAGGTCTCCCTATGCTGCCCAGGCTGGTCTCAAACTCCTGGACTTGAGCGATCCTCCCACCTCAACCTCTCAGAGTGTAGGGCTTACAGGCGTGAGCCACTGCACCCAGCCATGACTGGAATCTTGAAGGGCAAGTGCAGACAGGTTTATTGAGCACCTACTATGTGCCAGGCACTGGCCTAGGTATGGGGATTTGATGATGAACAAACTCAGACAGCCCCCACCCTCAAGGAGGCTGAGTCTAGCAGGGATGATGGATATTAATCAGCTTGTCCCACCAGAGGGTGTGTGTTTCCAGATGAGGATAAGTCTCCTTCAGAGAAAAAAGCCCAGGTTCCATGAGAGCTCACAAGGGCCCTGGATCTGGCTAGGGTATGGGGGAGGGCTTCCCTAAGGAGGTGGTACCTGAGCTGAGAACGCGGGGAAAGGAGGGGAGGAACAGGAAAGCGTGGACATAAGCTCCATGGAATGTTTGCCCACGGGTGAGCCAGGGTCTGAAGCAGCTTGTTCGTGTGTCAAGGAGCTTGGCTTTAACTTGAAAACTGCAGCTTGGGCCTTTGCTGGGGATCCCAAGGGATCATGAGACCACTGAAGGCAGAGAAACCTTGCCTTTTTTTTTTTTTTCTGAGACAGAGTCTTGCTCGGTCACCCAGGCTGGAGTGCAATGGCGCTATGTCGGCCCACTGCAACCTCCGCCTCCTGGGTTGCAGCGATTCTCCTGCCTCAGCCTCCCCAGTAGCTGGGGTTACAGGTGCCCGCCACCATGCCCAGCGAATTTTTGTGTTTTTAGTAGAGACAGGGTTTCACCATGTTGGCCAGGCTGGTGTCTAACTCCTGACCTTGTGATCCACCCACCTCGGCCTCCCAAAGTGCTGGGATTACAGGCGTGAACCACCACACTCAGCCCTATTTCTCAGCTGTGCCAGGTGTTTATACCCCAGAGGTTATCTGGGGCTGGTGAGGGAGTCCAGGCCCAGGGTGCGGCCCTGGCTGGGGGAAAGTTCCCGTGCAGCTCCTGCCCTGAGGATGGGCTGCCCTCGTTGAAATCTTTCTGTTCCCCATTTCTTAGTGAACCATAAAAGAGAGAAACAAGAAGCAGAAAATGTGCATAGTCCAAGTGATGTAGAAAGAATTTTTTGAAAGAACCAGAAACGGCCGCGGCCACCAGATGACTCAGTAAGAGACAGTAGGCAGCACAGCCGTGGCTCAGAGCTCAGCCTTGGGCTCAGGTTTGAGTCCGAGGTCCGTGGTTCACCCGCCAGATGACCTTGGCCAGTAGTGTCACCTCTCTGAGCCTCAGTTTCCCCCTCTAAAGATCACAGCACTTCCCTCATGCATTTATTACAAGGACTAAGTGAGCTGAGCCTTGCCAGGTGCTTAGCGTGATGTGATCTGTTAGATTCCGATGGGGACTCTGCACAGTCCTGGGGGACCATCCTCGTTTGGAGCAAGGGCTGTGGCCATGAACAGCTCAGGCCTAACCCCGAGGCAGTGACAGAGCCGTCTGATCCTTCTACCCCTGCTTGTCAGTGTCGCCGCCCGTGGGCTGCTGCTACGAATCTAGGGCTTGGCTGGCATCACTTTGGGTACACAAATGTCTCCACCTGGGCAGGGTCTGGGAGGGAGCAAAAGACATGGCTCTTCGATCCCTGTTGGGAAGGTGGGGCTGGGACTGGGAGCCAGCACAGTGTGAGGGGAACGGTTGGAACCCGAGTTCCCCGCCTACAGGCCGTGTGACCTTAGGCAGGATGCTTGCCTCCTCTGAAGAGTTCCCAAGGTAAGTCACACAGCTATACGAGGTTCAGCCGGGCAGGGATGTACCAGTCTCTTGCAAGGGGGGTCACCAAACGTTTGTGAAGAGAAATACAGCCTACCACACACACCTAGGAAACAGCTGAGCCAGGATTTGAACCCAGGCAGTGCCGGGTTCAAGCATCTTTTCATGAGGTCATGCTGTAGGATTTCACAGAAGTGAATGAATGAGTGAGCCCTAACATTCTGTGCAATGGAAAGAGACTGGCTAGTCTGCCGGGGTCCTCAGCTGCCTCATGGACCAGGACAACAGCACTCCCCAGCACTCCCTCAGCAGGTGCTCCCTGCAGGCTGGAGGAAGGATGGAGCAGGAATTTCAGTAATCCAGGTTGCTATCCAAAGAGGAAGAAGGACCAGGCGGCCAAACTTCACCATGGCCAGGTGTCCCAACAGCATAAAAACAAAAGCTAGCCAGGCGCAGTGCGCACACCTGTAGTCCTAGGTATTTGAGGCTCAGGCAGGAGACACCTTGAGCCCAGGAGTTCTGGTCTGCGGTGCACTGTGCTGACCAGGTGGCATCAATACAGTGAGACTTCCTGGGAGCGAGAGAAGCTTGGGTTGCTTTCAGCTCCGAGATTCCTCCCAGCCTGACAGATGAGGCACCTGCAACATTCCATTTTTGTTTGAATGTAAATGAATTCCTTTTTTTTTTCTTTTCTTTTCTTTTTTTTTTTTTTTTGAAGCAGAGTCTCCCTCTGTTGCCCAGGCAGGAATGCAGTGGCACGATCTCTGCCTCCCAGGTTCAAGCGATTCTCCTGCCTCAGCCTCCCAAGTAGCTGGGATTATAAGCACCCACCACCATGCCCAGCTAATTTGTGTGTGTGTTTTGTTTTGTTTTGTTTTGTTTTGTTTTTTGCAACGGAGTCTCACTCTGTCGCCCAGGCTGGAGTGCAGTGGTGTGATCTCGCCTCACGGCAACCTCCGCCTCCCGGGTTCAAGCAATTCTCCTGCCTCAGCCTCCTGAGTAGCTGGGATTACAGGTGTGCACCACCACGCCTGGCTAATTTTTGTGTTTTTGGTAGAGATGGGGTTTCACCATGCTGGCCAGGTTGGTCTCAAACTCCTGACCTCAGGTGATCTGCCCACCTCGGCCTCCCAAAGTGCTGGGATTACAGGCATGAGCCACCACACCGGCTAAATGAATTCTTAAGGCATGAAACTAAGGGAAAAATATTTTTTAGAGCTTTTTTTCTTCAGGATTATGCCTTAATTTTGAGCCTTTCCTTGCCCATCAGAACAGTTCATCCTAAATTAAGAAAAGAATTTCACCTTTTTCCAACAGCAGCTCCATGTTAGCTTTTTGCTACCCCTCACCCACTCAGCATCCTGTGGTCAATGGCAAACTTCCGGAAGGGCTGGAGGGGCTCTGCGTGTCCCTCTAGCCAGGACCTTGTCCACCTTCCTCCTCGCATGCCCGCATCCGGGCCCTGACATCCTTCCTCTACTTTTCTGAAGGCTCCTCTCTTTCCCTCTAGAGAGAGACTGGTCTCTGCTGGTCTGCCTCTTCTAGAAGGTTCCCTGTGTCCTGTGAAGTGGGCTGAATCATGGCTCCCAAAAGATTTGTCTGTGCCCCAGAACCTGTAAATGTGATCTTATGTAGGAAAAGGGTCTTTATAGATATAATTAAAGATCATCCTGGATTTAGGGCAGCACCTAAATCCCGTAACAGGCATCACAGGGAGATTTTAGACAGAGACAAGAGGCAAGAGAGATGAGAGATGAGAGACAAGAGAGGCGGACACGTGAAGGCAGAGGCAGAGATTGGAGTGAGGCCTCTGCAAGCTTGGAGCCACCAGGAGCTAGAAGAGGCAGGAAGCTTCCCCTAGAGCTTCCAGAGGGAGCATGGCCCTGCCCACACTTTGATTTTTGAATTCTGACCTCCAGAATCGTGAGAGAATATCTTTGTGTTGTGTTGAGCCCCCGGTGTGGTGACTGACTGTGGCAGCCATGGGGAATGAGTCCGCCCTCTTCCCTCCCTCCTCCAGTTGCTTCTCCCCTCCCCCACTAACTGTGCGCCTCTCTGGGGCAGGTGCCCCATCCCAGTGCCTGGCGTGAGGCCTTGTACACAGTAGGTGCTCACTAAGTGGTCAGTGAATCAGCTTCAGTGGAGTTCCCCAGTCTGAAAGGGGAGGAGGTGGGGCCCTGCCCAGCTCTTTGAGCCACACCCAGAATCCATACCTGCTCAGATGGGGCTCGGACCTAGCCTATGCCGAACTAGGCAATGAGACCAGACGCCTTTCTGGCTTTCTCCGCCTGGGTGCTGGCTCTTGCCTCTGGCTCTGCCCCAGGGCTGGCCCTGGAGGACAGCTATCCCGTGCGCCTGTCCACCTGTCTGGCTCTTCCAACCCAGCTGCTTGACCCCGTTACCCTGAGTCCTCCACCCTTTTAATCGTCTCTGAGGGAGTCTTAAGATACCGCTACCAGGAGGGGGCTGTGGAGGCTGCCGTGTGCTCCAGGCTTTGGGTTCTGCCAAGTGCTCCCCAGGTGCGAGGTGTGGGACTTTGAATCCCTCTGGGTGGGGCAGGAGAGGCAGGTGTTGCCCTAAGGCTAAAGGCACACCAGGAAGTCTGGGGCAGGGGCTGTTCTATCTGCCTGTGCTGGGAACGTGTTGAGGGAGCTGCCACTGCAACTGGGGGATAAGCGAGTAAAGAGGCCCCTTTGGGCCTGGAGTGGTGGCTCATGCCTGCCATCCCAGCACTTTGGGAGGCTGAGGCAGGAGGATCGCTTGAGCCTTGGAGTTCGAGACCAGCCTAGGGAACAATGAGAGACTTTATCTCAGGGGAAAAAAATAGAGATGGGATCTTGCTATGTTGCCCAGGCTGGTCTTGAACTCCTGGGCTCAAGTGATCCTCCTGCCTCAGCCTCCCAAAGTGGTGGGATTATAGGTGTGAGCCATTGTGCCCGGCCAGAGACCCCATCTCTACGAAAAATAAAAATAAAATTAGCTGGGCATGGTGGCATGTGTCTGTGGTCCCAGCTACTCAGGAGGCTGAGGTGGGAGAATTGCTTGAGTCCAGGAGGTCAAGTTTGCAGTGAACCATGATCGCGCCACTGCACCCCAGTGTGAGCAACAGAGCAAGACCCAGTCTCAAAAAAAGAAAAAGAAAAAGAAAAACCCCTTTGAACTGAAGGCTACAGTCCATGGGTTATTTCTGGTAAACCTGAGAGAATGAGAGAGCAGGCACTGAATTCTTTGCTCCTTGGTTCATCCCCAGCAGTTCCCATGTCCGGTGTCACTGCGGAGGACAGGCCACACCACTGCGTGCACGCACAGGCAAGACAAGCTGTGATGGCTCTATTAAACCCCAGAACATAAAGGCAGGTATAAAAGGCAGCTTACAAAGTGATCGGGGAACAGTGATAACACTTGTGCTAAATTTCCAAACAAAATCCTCAGACCTTGGTTTTGAGTAGGTCCACCCGAGCAGAGATGCATCGGGCACAATGAAAACGAGAGGTGAGCCCTGGGAGGAGGGTGGGAGGAGGGTGGGAGGAGGGAGGGAAGAGGGGAAAGACAGTGCTGGAGTGGAGCTTTGCTGTGTCTTTCTGGGCTCATGTATTTTTTAAAAAGCTGAAGGAAATAAGTAAGATGTTAGCATCTGGGTAACAAACCTTACAGATGCATATAGTAAGATGTTATCATCTGTGTAATGGGTAGGTGGAAATTAGATAATTTTCCCTAGTTTTCTGTCTTTTTGGAGTATTAAAGTTAAGAAACGTTTTTTAAACACAGAAGGGAATTCATGTAGTACATATCAGTCAGAGGGAGGAATGTCAAACTGCTCACCTGGAACAGGTGATTTGGTTTAAAATACACCTGTTGGAAGAGTCGGCAGGATGCTAAGAAGAAAGTAATGAGGGTTCTTACAATGGGTCAATTAAGATCAGAGAGGATAGATTGCTGCTCAATGCACGAGTTCTGAGTATGAAGATTCAAACACTACCACAATGCAGCTGGTTGCTGCTGAGAACCAAATTCGTTGTCTGAAAGGTCAAGAGACTGAAGCTCCCAGTGCCCTCCTGTAGACTGCCTCCCTCAGCCCGGGAGCATTCACTGCCCAGGCCCTCGTTTCCTATACCCCTGTCCCCATCCCCCAGCCTCCTCAGATGCCTTCCACCTGGGTGCTGGCTGCCTCTGGCTCCCCGCAGTCCCTATCATCCCTAGTAGAGCCCAGGGCTGCAGCAGGGGCATGTCTTATACATCTGTCCAGCTCCTCCAGCTCCTGGCCCAGTGCCTGGCAAACAGTGGGAGCCCAGTAGCTGCTCACTTAATATATGGATGCCACCTAAATGAGTTCATACCACAAAGAGACCAGCAATCCCTCGATCCCATCTCCAGGTTGGCTTTTAGAACCGTGCTTCTCAAAGGCTGTCCCCAGAAACCACCTACAGCAAAACCACCCTGTATATTTATGAAAATGCAGGTTCCTGGGCACCGCTCCAGACCCCGTGAGTTTCAGTCTTTGGGGATGGTCCCAGGACTACATTTTAAACGAGTTTACCAGATGATTCTTAGATATTCTTATGAGAATATCTTTACAGAGGATAGAGCCTAATAAGGCTTTTGTTCCAGTGTTTGGAATGCATGGTCTGGGGACCCAAGCACTAGCGTCACCTGGATACTAGCTTAAACAGCACATTCCACAAGACCTATCCCAGGCACAGCCAGGGCAGGTAGTAATCTGTGTTTGAGCTAACTGTCCAGGGCCATGCTGAAATACGTTGGAGTTTGAAAAGCATTGCTTTTGGCCACAGTCCTACTCTCTTCCTTTTTGCTAGAAAACGAACTTTGATTTCATTTTAGAAGAATTATTGTTATTATTTTTTGAGACAGGGTCTCACTCTGTTGCCCAGACTAGAGTGCAGTGGCTCGATCATGGCTCACTGCAGGCTCGACTGCCCAGACTCAAGCGATCCTCCCACTTCAGCCTCCCAAGTAGCTGGGACTACAGGCGCAGGCCACCACGCCCAGCCTTTTTTTTTTTTTTTTTTTTTTTAATTTGTAGAGACGGGGCTTTGCCATGTTGCTCAGGCTGGTCTCCAACTCCTGGGCTCAAGCGACCTGCCCATCTTGGCGTCCCAAAGTGCTGGGGTTACAAGTGTGAGACACTGCGTTCAGCCATTAGAAGAATTTTTGGAATGAACTTAAATTTTTTAATTTTATAAGTATTTACATGCCATCAAAAAATATTGAGAAAACACAGAGATAAAGAAGATGAAAATAAAAATGACTTTATACCTCTCTGAGGTTACTGTTGTCACATTTGGGGGTGCAACCTTGCAGACTATTTTGAAAAATTTTAAGTTCTGGGGTACATGTACTGGATGTGCACGTTTGTTATATGGGTAAACGTGTGCCAAGGTAGTTTGCTACACCTATCAACCCATCACCTAGGTACCAAGCCCAGCAGGCATTAGCTCTTCTTCCTAATGCCCTCCCTCCTCTCTTTTTGCAGACTTTTTAATGCAACGTGTACATCTTTATTTTCAAAAACTAAGATTATGCTCTGTTTATATTTTTGTAATGTGCTTTTTTCACATGTCAATATATTGTGAACACCTTTTCACATCTATGAACGCTATTCACTATTTTTGGTGGCTTATATTGGTTAGTTGAACAATAATTTCTCTAGCCAGACCTCTACGGCTGGATACTTAGAATTGGAATTGGCACACTGGTGACAAGCCAAATTCGGCCCCCTGACATTACAGGACTACACACACCTGGCTGCGCAGTGTGCAGTTTACTGTAGGGAGCACTCCACACTGGAACAAACATGAAACCGACGTCCTCGGAGTCGTGCAGGGCATGACTTGCACAACAGCGCCTGGAAGTCCCAGTCCGAAGTTTGGATTGGGTGCTAACATTTAAAGATGCAAAGGTTTCACCTAAAAATCTAGCTTTCAGCTTTTCTTGACAAACCTGAAGATCCAGTAACCTTGGGTTTACATTCCTGCGGAGTAACAAGGGGCTATGATTGAGCTGCAGCTGCCTGCGTGGATGGGGGCAGGGGGAGGTGCACTACCCAGGGCCCTCCAGCCCCCAGCTACCCAATGAACCTCCCTGCCGTCCTTTCCTTAGCTCCTTTACGTTGTCTGTTCGCTTCCTGTGAGCATTTGCTTTTGCCACCCCTGGGTGACACTGTTAAACGTCTGCTGAAGGAGTCATTCTTCAAAGTCACAATAGTCTGCAGAGAGAAGTTGCTTCCTTTATTTCATTCAAATAGCCCAGATGGGGAGTTGCTATGGCAACTCTGGGACCATATTGTAGATCGCTTCAGGGAGGATCACAGAGCATCCTCCAAGAAGCAGGCCCTCCTCCCCCGAGCCCGCCTCCCACCCTGGCTCCACGGGTAGTAACTTCCAGCATGGATGCGGTCCCAGTTGCTACTGAACAGAGAATAAAGAGGCATGCTTGTAGAACAGAATGTTGGCTCTGAAATGGCACAGGGGTCACTGAGTACCACAGGCTCCGGTTCCTTCCCTACAAAGCATTCCTTTTACTATTCACCTCCCCATGCATTTTATATTTTGGGACAATTGTCTTCCAAACAAACTTGATTTAGGAAGCACAGATTTGTTTTCTTATTTAAAAATAAAATCAGAATGAATAGTGGCAGCCAATGTCATCAAGTGGTTCAGCAAATAGGTTCTAATCCTGGCTCTGTCATTTACTTGCTGTGTGACCTTGGGCAAGTTATAAAACCTCTCTGAGCCTCAGTTTCATCACCTTCTAAACGATAATAGTAACGACAGTCCTAATCATATACGGTTGCTGTAAAATACCTGATGCAGAGTAATGCACGATGCTCTCAGCACAGTGCTTGGCAAGCAACAGCCACTCAAGGCAGAACAGCCACTAAGATTGTGATGATCAATAATTACCAGAGTGCGAGCTTCGCAGGAGTGAATCTGCTCAGCTATCTGAGGTTAAAGCAGAGAAACTTGATCCCGATACTATGTTTAAAGACCACAAGGTCACCCAGGAAACCTAGACCGGGGACCAGGTCAAGGTGTCAAGGCTTTCGCTGCAGCTGGAGTGGTGATAAAGTTTGTATACTTGGCCCTGCTCAAATCTCATGTTGAACTGTAGTCCCCAGTGTTGGAGGTGGGGCCTGGTGGGAGGTGACTGGATCATGGTAGTGGATTTCTATTTTTTTTTTTTTTTTTGAGGCAAGGTCCCACTTTGTCACCCAGGCTGGAGTGCAGTGGCGCCATCTCAGCTCACTGCAGCCTCCGCCTCCTGGGTGGGGTGGATTTCTCATGGATGGTTTAGCTCATGCCCTTGGTGCTGTCGTTGTGATAGTGAGTAAATTCTTATGAGATCTCGTTGTTTAATTGTGTGGCACCTCCTCGCCGCCTCTCTTTCTTGCTCCTGCTCACGCAATGTGAGCTCCCTCTTTGCCTTCTGCCACGATTGGGAGCTTTCTGGGGCCTCCCCAGAAGCAGATGCCAGTGCTATGCTTTCTGTACAGCCTGCAGAACCATGAGCCAATTAAATCTCTTTTCTTATAAAGTGTCCAGTCTCAGGTGTTTCTGTACAGCAATGCAAGCGTGGCCCAGCTCAGACAGTGAACATGGCGTTGGACCTTGTAGCTTGATTCTCTCCCACCTCCTGGGCCCCAGTCTGAGTTCTTGGCCTCCCGTGGTGTAGTCCCCATCCTAGGTAGTGACTCTTGGTACTCAGCATCCATTCCCACTTCCTTCCAGGGCTTTCAACACTGAAAACTTAAAATGAATTACCCAGACTCTCTGACATCCGGGGTTTTGGGGGCACATTTGGTTGTGACAGTTAAGCACGTTCACATGAGATTTGGAAGACAGGAGGGAGGCAGAAGCATCTCTCAGTGGCCCATTTTCTCTTGGCAGGCAAGGTTGTGCGGATATGAGTGTCCAGTCTCCAGCTTCGTGGGTGCCTGGAGGCAGGTGCGGAGGTAGGTGCGGAGGCAGCTGTGGGGCTCCGATCCCTGGGGTGCAGCTCTGAGGGTGTGCTTGGCTCAACGGTCCCTCGGGAAGGTTTCTGATTCTCCGTATTCCTGATCATGGCAGCCTTGCTGGTGAGTCGGTTCTGCAGCATCTGGGGGGTCCTTACAGCCCTCCATCCAACCCGTCAGTTTCGTCAGCATCGAACACCTTGTGTTCAGTTGTCTTCTGCCTGAAATGCTTATGTAGGGAAGGAAATTGTTCATTTTCCTCTACCCATCTTAGGTTCCTTAACTGAGGCCCTGTGAAATGACAAAAGATTGAGGCTGCAATGAGCTGTGACAGTGCCACTGCACTCCAGCCTGGGTGAGAGTGAGAGCCTGTCTCAAGACATATTAACTAGAGAAAAACCAACAGAAGTTTATTAACATGTGTGTCACAGATACACCCAGGATCACCCACTGACAAGTAACTCCAGGGGTGGTGAGAACTTGAACTTGCATTCCACCTCAACCAAAAAAGCAACTCATCTGTACAGAAGGGACAAGACCAAAAGAAAAAAAGAGAAGGTCTTGAGAGTTTCTGGGGCAACAGAAGATTGGGGGAAGGCAAAGATGGGGAAACCGATAGAAGATAAGGGCCAGTTAGCAACATTTGTTGCGTAGATTCCTGTGGTGCCATCTGGGCAGTAAGGGTCTAGGGCTGTGTCTGGTGATGAATTTCTGCCCTTCCTGGTAGAAAGATGGCCAGGAGGCACTGTTAGAAATATATGTCCTGCTTTTAGGGCCAGGCATGGTGGCTCACGCCTGTCATCCCAGCACTTCGGGAGGCCAAGGTGGGCAGATCACTTGAGGTCAGGAGTTCAAGACCAGGCTGGCCACCATGGTGAAACCCCATCTCTACTAAAAACACAAAACATTAGCCGGGCATGGTGGCAGGTGCCTGTAGTCCCAGCTACTCAGAAGGCTGAGGCTAGAGAATCGCTTGAACCTAGGAGGTAGAGACTGCAGGAGCTGAGATCGTGCCATTGCACTTCAGCCTGGGCAACAAGAGTGAAACTCCATCTCAAAAAAAAAAAAAAAGCTGGACATGGGGGTATGCACCTGTAGTCCCAGCTACTCGGGAAGCTGAGGCAGGAGAATCACTTGAGCCTCGGAGGAGTTTGCATTGAGCCGAGATCACGCCGCTGCACTACAGCCTGGGCTACTGAGTGACACTCTGTCTCAAAAAAAAAAAAAAAAAAGAAAAAAAGAAATCTATGTCCTGCTTAAATAGGGTAGGGCAGAGCTTTTCCTTCATCTGCTTCTTCTCAACTGTCTTCAGCTCAAAATAATCCTGATGCCAGAATGGCATATTTTGGGGTGGCCTAGTCTGTGACCCTCTGGCAGAATAGAATCATTCCTACTTTGGGCACCAAGCCTGACTTATACCACCCTGCTGGGAACCCATCCCTGCTGCCTGGTGTGTGAGCCCACCCCGCTCCATCCTCTCCAGCTCTTGACCCTCAGCCTGATTCAGGTCTCAGGGGTGCTGCTGACCTCCAGTGTGGACAGTCCCTCTACCCTGCCGCTGTCTGCACAGAGGTATTTGGGCCCCTCTGAGAGAACAGAGCATCGGGTGTGGTTCTGGGTCCTCACCACGCTCTGATTTCTAGACCTCTCACTTAACAATGAGGAAGTTCAAGAGTCACTAAGAAATAGTTCAAAACTGAAAAATAACAAGTCTGGGCTGGACACAGTGGCTCATGCTTGCAATCCCAGCACTTTGAGAGGCTACAGAGGGAGGATCACTTGAGCCCAGGAGTTTGACACAAGCTGGGAAACATAATGAGGCTCCCCATGTCTACAGAAAAATAAAGATTAGCCAGATGTGATGGTATGCACCTGTAATCTCAGCTACTTGGGAGGTTGAGGCTAGAGGATCACCTGAGTCCATGAGGTTGAGGCTGCAATGAGCTATGATGGTGTCATTGCACTCCAGCCTGGGTGACAGAGTAAGACCCTGTCTCAAAACAAACAAACAAACAAACAAACAAAAAACAAAACAAAAGATGAGCTGGCTTGAGAATTTCTCCCAGTGAGGGGGAGGCCAGTCAGGGGGGACCAGCTTTCCTTTATGAACCTTAAAAATTTAGTGATTACATTGTGAGCTTGTTTTAAATTTAATGTTTCAATCTTTTTTTTTTTTTTTTTGAGACAGAGTTTTGCTCTTGTTGCCCAGGCTGGCGTGCACTGGTGTGAGCTCACTGCAACCTCCGCCTCCTGGGTTCATATGATTCTCCTACCTCAGCCTCCCGAGCAGCTGGGATGACAGGTGTGCACCGCCATGCCTGGGTAATTTTTGTATTTTTAGTAGAGACAGGGTTTCACCATGTTGGCCAGGCTGGTCTCGAACTCCTGACCTCAGGTGATCCACCCGCCTCAGCCTCCCAAAGTGCTGGGACTACAGGCGTGAGCCACTGTACCTGGCCCTTAATCTTTTTAACTGTGAAAGTAATACATATTCAATGTAACTAATTTTAATAATACAGAGTATATAAAATAAAAAGTGAGAATTCTGCTTCATACAGCCTCCCTTCTTTGAGGTACTTGCTATTTATAGTTTGGTCTATATTCTTCCAGACTTTTCTTTGTGCATGTACACATACACACACTTGTACAAGAATGCATAGATTTCTTTTTTTTTTTTTTTTTTTTTTGAGACAGAGTCTCACTCTGTCGCCCAGGCTGGGGTGCAGTGGCATGATCTAGACTCACTGCAACCTCTGCCTCCTGGGCTCAAGTGATCCTTGTGCCTCAGCCTCCTGAGTAGCTGGGACTATAGGCACCCACCACCACACCCAGCTAATTTTTTGTATTTTAGTAGAGATAGGGTTTCACCATGTTGCCCAGGGTGGTCTTGAACTCCTGAGCTCAGGCAATCTGCTTGCCTCGGCCTCCCAAAGTGCTAGGATTACAGGTGTGAGCCACCGCACCCGGGCCATGCATAGATTTTTTTTTTTTTTAACAAAATGAAATTTTATATATGTAAGTGAAATTGTACATATACAATTATACATGAAATTATATATATATAATAGGTATATGTGTAGTTTTGCAATTACATCAAGGAAACTGATGAAATTGCATCAATTATTTGCATGTCGTTAACAACACCTCAAGGAAAATGTTCATATAGAGATATCTCATTTATTGAAAAAGTCTCCAGTATTTGAGATTATGGAGATGAACTAGTCCCCTGTTGACAGACACTGTTGAGGCTGACGTCTATACCCCATAAAGGATCCTACCAACGTGATGGGGGTATCACTCTGTGATTAGATTAGAGTGTGTTTTATGACATTGTTGACTTTGAGAATGGGAGATGACCCTCAGTGGGCCTGACCCAATCAGTCGAGCCCTTAAAAGGGCTGGGATTCTTTCTGACAGGGAGATTGTAAGTAGGAGAGGGATTTGACTTCAGGGAACAGGGAAATTCTCCATTGTTGCGGGGGGTGGGTCAGAAAGGCCTCCAGGAGGTAAGGATGGCTCATGGCTCTCACAGTTGGGAAATACGGGAACCCCTGTCTTAAAGCCACCAAGTGATCTCAGAAGAGGCCCTTGGGCTCCAGGTGAGAATGCAGTGAGCTGGCACCTTGATTTTGGCCTTAGGATGCCCTGAGCAGAGAGTCCAACCGTGCTTGTCCAGACTTCTCAACTGCAGAACTGTGACATCACCAGTGACTTGGGTGTTTTTATGGGGAGGGAAGAGTGTTGTCTGAAGTCATCAAGTTTGTTGTACTTTGTTACACAACAAAAGAAAACTGGTAAGGCATTCCTATGGTTTCCAGCAATTGCGCTTTTAAGGAACACTTCTGTCTTGAACCTCCTTTCACACAAGTCTTTATTTCAGAATTTCTGTGGGGTGGATTTCTAAAAGATTTTTGGGCTAACCATTTAAATTATCGATGTGTGCTGCATGAGCAGTGGCTCATTCCTGTCATCGCAGCACTTCGAGAGGCCGAATTGGGAGGATCACTTGAGGCCAGGAGTTTGAGACCAGCTGGGGCAACAAAATGAGATCCCCGTCTCTACAAAAAATAAAAATTAAAAATTAAAACATAAAAAAGGACATTATGGATGTGAATTACCAAATTGTCCTCCCGAAGCCACGTGTTGATTGACAGTCTGCCCCCTTTCCCCTGCCCTCACCAACAATGGATATGAGTCATCTTTTTTTAACTGTGGTAAGATACACGCGACATAGGACTTACCATTTTAACTATTTTAAAGTGATCCAGTCCGTTGCATTCAGCACACTCACGATATTGTGCCACCCCCGCTGCTCTAGCCCCAGAACTTTCCTGTCACCCCAAAAGGAAAACTCGTATCAATTAGGCAGTCACTCCCCACCCCCTCCCTGGCCCCCGGCAGCCACTCATCTGCTTTCTGTCTCCTATCATTAATCTTTTACTTGTTGCCAATCGGATACACAAATAGGGGCATTTATTTCAAGCTGCTCTGATGACAGGATGTGCACACAGCTCTCTCTTCCTGGAACTCAGACAAGCGCATGTCCCGGTTGCCGACAGAACGGCCCCACCACAGGTCAGGGCTCCGGACGCATGGACACATTCTCTGCCTTTCCTGCTTCTCCCAGCAGGCCCTGTCTCTGCCACCTCCCCATCAGCCCCGTGTTCTCCAGCTTGAGACCTTGGCATGTCCTTCCTCCATCCTCCTGCCTCTCCTCCTCCACCCTCTGTATCACTGGTGGCTGATTCTAAGTGGGCAAGGCCTCCTGCGTCTCAGCCTGCCTCCCTGCTCGGTTGAGACTCTCGTCTGGCATGGGGTTGGCTGCCCCGGGGCATCTCTGGGCAGGGGACTGGGGATCCAAGGCCTCCGGGGCCTGGCAAGTACGGGGAGGAGGGCTGGAGGCTGGGCACCAAGGAGACAACAGGGAGAGGTGGGGACTGTGGCCAGGGGAGGGCGCGTGTCTTTCTAAAGAGGGCAGCTGCATGGTGACTGTGTGCTCCCAGATTTTCTTATTTTCTAAAGGAGTCCTAAATATAGATATTTATATACAAGTGATTGACATTTCATCAAAACAAGCACATTCTCATTACCCTGGCCAACCAACACGGAGGAGTCGGGGTGGTGGAAGCAGGCAGCCACTCGCCCCACAGGCTGGCTCCGTGTGAGAGGCGAGGCGTGGAGACAGCAGGTCTCCAGGTTGCTGGAGGCTTGAAAGCCTGAATAGATGCACCCGGCTGCATCTCCAGGTCCCCAGGCTCCTGCCAGGCCAGGCTCTTTGTGGATTCTAGAACATTCTCTTCAGCTGCCTGAGCCCCTGTGGCTGTTTCCATGGCCCTGCAGGGTCTGAGGGAAAAGTGAGCCCTGTGCTGCTTTTTTTTTTTTTTTTTTTGAGATCGAGTTTCACTCTTGTTGCTGCCCAGGCTGGAGTGCAATGGCACAATCTCGGCTCACCGCAACCTCCGCCTCCTGGGTTCAAGTGATTCTCCTGCCTCAGCCTCCTGAGTAGCTGGGATTACAGGCATTTGCCACCACGTCCAGCTAATTTTGTGTTTTTAGCAACGACAGGGTTTCTCCATGTTGGTCAGGCTGGTCTCAAACTCCTGACCTCAGGTGATCTGCCTGCCTCAGCCTCCCAAAGTGCTGGGATTACAGGCGTGAGCCACCGCGCCCAGCCGTGTGCTGCTGTCTTTAGAGCCTCTCGAGGCCCCGCTTTCGGCTGAGCACCCCCCCCCCTCCTATGTGACATGGAGATGCCCCAGGCCTGGGATTGTCCCCGTGGATTTGCGAGCATCTTGGGCAGATGCTGTGGGAGGGCCTGACCTCTCCTGCAGGGTGAATGAACTGTTTGTGTATGTGTGTGGGTTGGGCGGGTGGGTGCTGGGTTATTCCTGGGCTGACAAAGAGACCCCAACCCCAAAGCCCAGCCTCGGGAAGCAGGCTCAGCCCACCAGCTGTCAGGGAGGGATCCCGGGCTGGGGGAGTTGGAGGGGGCTGTCAGACAGAAGAAAATGTTGCCTCCCACAAGCCCCTGGGGGCCTTCAAACCCGGCCCCTGCTGAGATGTTTTTCTAAAAGGCTCTTCGTGGCAATAGCCATTAGGCCCAAAGGTCTGCAGTTGATACGACCTTAGGGTCTCAGGTTTCTTTGAGTCTCAGGTTTCTTTGACGTGTGGAAAGGCATTCCCTCTGGGCCTCCATGGAGCCTACAGCCTAAACAGGGGCCCCTGAGCCACAGCGCTGCTGCTGCAGAGGAGTTGGCTGGGTCTTCTGGGGGTAGGGGCAGGACAGAGGGAAGCTTCTGTTTTCACTTGGGACCTACGGAAAAAGCGCCGTAGTGGGAACTTTGGTGACATCATTCTCTCCTATGAGAGGCGGCGTGGTTAAACCATTTTACACAACAGGAGACTGAGGCTCAGAGAGACGAAGCTGGTTGCCTGAGGAGGTGGAGGAGCTGGGATTTGAACTCGTCAGTGAGCTGGACAATCTGGTGTTTCCCCTCTTCCCTCCTTGCTTTCCTCCCTTTCTTCCTTTTCTCTCTCCCTCTCCCCCTCCCCCTTTTCTCTTCCGTTACTCCCAGAACCGTCCACCGTGGCCTCTTTACATTCCAAGCTGGATTTTCTCCTGATCGCTCCAGTTCTCGAGGCGAAAAGCAAAGTCAGTGCTATGCAACAAGGCCGGCTGTGGTTGTGCCCCCAATGTCTCACTGGCTTCGTCGCCCACCACGGTCCTCATTTATTCTGTTGCAGGCCCTCGGGTCTCCTCGCTGGGCCTCCTGCTCACACAGCACCATCCTGCCTCAGGGGGACTCCTGCTGTGCCTGGAGCCCACTGACCTCTAAGTACCCATGCTGGTCCCTCATTCATGCAGCTCCCTGCTCAATGTCACCTTAGTGGAGTAGAATGTCACCTTGCCCTGACCCCATTCTAAAACAGCACCTGTGTCTTTTCGAGGTCCCCGAGCCCCACTTATGTTTCTTTGTAGCACTTATCACCACCTGATACCGTGTGTCTATTCGCTTGTTCATTGCTGTCTTTCCCCGCCAGAAGACAAAGTGTAATCTCCAGAGGGTAATCTCCAGTAGAGCAGAGACTTCATTTTGATCGTCGTTACTTGCTCAGCACCAAGAACAGTTCCAGGCATGGGGCAGGTGCTCAATAAAACTCGTTGAATGCATGACTCTGTATCTGTATCTATGTCTATATAGATAAATAGCTTAGCTTTATTTATTTATTTATTTATTTATTGAGACATGATTTTGCTCTGCTGCCCAGGCTGGAGTGCAGTGGTGCCATCACGGCTCACTGCAACCTCTGCCTCCCGGGTTCAAGCAATCCTCCTACCTCAGCCTCCTGAATAGCTGGGACTACAGGTGTGCACCACCACGCCCAGTTACGTTTTTCTATTTTTTAGAATAGAAATCTGGGATTACAGATTTGAACCACCACACCTGACCAGCATTGTATTTTTTTAATGCAGACAGTTCTGTAACTTTTTTTTTCATGTATTAGTCTGTTTTGGAGACCTTTATACTTCACTGCATATAGACTGGCTGTCCTCAACCACGGGCAATTTTGCCCCCAGGGAACACTCGGCAATGTCTGGATGCATTTCTGGGTGTCACACCAAGGAGGCTGGTGCTACTGGCATCTGGTAGGTAGAGCCAGGGATACCGCTAAACCTCCTGCAATGCACAGGACACTCCCCCCCCCAACCACAAAGGATGATCCAGCCCAAATGTCACTTGTACCCATGTTGAGAAACCCAGATATAGACATAGCATTCTTTCTTATGGTAACAGATTCCATAGTGTAAATGTACCATCATTTAACCACTCACTTACTGATGAGCATTTTAGGATATTTCCAATTCTTTACTGTTGCAAACAATGCTGCAAGGAACATCCCTGCATAAGCATCCATGCCTCTTCATGCACATGGGCAGGTATTTCCCGAGGACAGATAGCCAGCAGAGGGTCAAAAGAGGACGTGCACCATGTTTTATTTTTTATTTTTTTTGAGATGGAGTCTCGCTCTGTCCCAGGCTGGAGTGCAGTGGCGCGATCTCCGCTCACTGTAACCTCTGCCTTCTGGGTTCAAGTGATTCTCCTGTCTCAGCCTCTAGAGTAGCTGGGATTACAGGTGTCTGCCACCATGCCTGGCTAATTTTTGTATTTTTAGTAGACACGAGGTTTCACCATGTTGGCCAGGCTGGCAAACTCCTGACCTCAGGAGATTCACCCACCTCGGCCTCCCAAAGTGCTGGGATTCCAGGCGTGAGCCACCGCCCCTGGTCAGGACATGCACCTTTGACATGGAGACAGCCTCTGTCAAGTCGCCCTTCACACAGGCTGTAACCAAAGCACACTTCCAGCACAGCATGGCAGGGGTGCCAGCTTCCACCATCTGTGCTGTGGGTGATGGCTTTGAGACCTTCCCCAGGGGCCTCTCAACACAGTGCACTTAATCAGAGGGAGACTTGTCCTGAGCATGGAGCGAAGGCAATCCACTTTTGCTGTTTCTCTCTGTGCCAGCTCCTCCCCACCCTTCTCTGTGACACTTCAGATCCCAGCTCTGCCACTTATCGTCACCTCACCTCTCCGTGCCTTAGTTTCTCCATCTGTAAAATGGAGCTAACAATAGCAACTTCTGCTCAAGGAGAGTTGGGAGAATTACATAAGTTAATACTTGCAAAAACTTTCAGGCCGGCTAAGCAGTCCTCGAACATGAGCTATTATCCTGTGACATTCCTCCAGAGACAGCAGCGTGCATCATCTATAGTGCCGAAAATTGGAAGCAGGCAGGTGTCCCCCCTGTAACGGAAACACCAAGTGCTTTGCACGGCACCATGAAGCAGCGTGATATCCAGGCTTTAAAAATAATCCCAGGATTCAGGCTCAGGGGTCAGCCAGGAGGAGAGGACACCCGAGAATAGCCCCGATGGAATGCAAATCCTGAATTTACCCAGGAACTGGCCAAAGGGGCTTTTGAGCCTGAACGAGGTCAATTATCCTAAAGTGCCACCTTTCCGAGTTTTCTACTACTTCATAAGCACACGGAGTGCAGTTAGAAATTGAATTTCATTTTTGCACATTTAAACGAAATGATCCTGGGGACTCTGGGGCACAGAGGAAATGCCCAGATGGTGTGAAATGAGGGTGTGTGCAGCCCCTGATGCCCCCGGCCCAGGTTTCAGGCCTCCAGGCCCCTTCGTCTGCTTTATTTTCTTTGCAGGAGTCTCGGGCTGCAATGACATGGTTTGCTTCGGGTTCTCCGGCGCCGCCTGCCTCCTCTGTCAGATGCCGGTGTTCGGGGGTGGCTTCGTTGGCTTCCTTCCTTCTCTGTTCCAGACCTAAGAGGATGCCTGGGCCCTCGTGGGTGCTCGGCAAACAGGTGTTCCGTTCCCGTTGTAAAATATTGGCAGTGTGACAATGACTGCGGGGGAGTGTGGGGGCAATTCCGAACTGTGTGTAGATCAGGCTTCATGACATAAAAAGTGGGGAAAGTTGAGATGAGCTGTACACAGATTTCTCCAAAGGTCAAACTGGCACCTCCATGAGTTACGTGTACAGAAGTAAAAAGAATCTTTAATAAATCCAGAAAGGGAAGGTAGGGGACGGCCGAGGCCAGGGCACCAGGTAAGCAGGAAGGTGGCGTGAACGCTGTTTGTAATGAATGTTCCCCTTGGGGACACCTGGCAGGGAGGACCCTGTGCACACATCCCAGAGTGCTCTGGGAACCCCTAGGAATCCATTATAAGGACAAGACAGCTATTTAATTTCCCATGAGTCATATTTCTTTTCCAGTGTTTTTATAAGAGTTAATGTCAGAGGCTAGGCCAGGCGCAGTGGCTCGCGCTTGTAATCCCACTCTGGGAGGCTGGAGCGGGGGATCACTTGAGCCCAGAAGTGTGATATCAGCCTGGAAAACATGGCAAAACCCTGTCTCTATGAAAGAAATTTTTTTTAATTAGCTGGGCGTGGTGGCATGCCTGTAGTCCCAGCTACTCAAGAGGCTAAGGTGGGAGGATCACCTGGGCTCAGGGGTTCGAGGCTGCAGTGAACTATGATGGTGCCACTGCACTCCAGCCTGGGTGACAGAGCGAGACCCTGACTCGTAAAACAAACCAGAGAGTTAAAGTCAGAAGGCTTGTCCACGGTTCCTTAGGTTTTGTTCCAAAACGCACATCTGGGCTGTGGTCACAGAGTTGCTTATTTCAACCCTGGGATGACCTAGTGGCCCCTTTACCAAAACCACCTTTAGTGACCTCTCATTGGTAGCCTGAAATCAGCCACAATGGAAGTGTTTACACCAGGGAAATTGGAAATCAGTAAAGGCCTTCCTTCCAAGCCATTGTTAAACAGTTACCAGCACACCACTGCATGCCCACAGCTGTTCTAAGAACTCTACATAATTCACTCATTTAATCCTTTCGGCCACCCTGTGATATGTGGTATTATTATTATTCCCATTCTACAGATGGGAAAACTGAGGACCAAGAAGTTTAAGTAACTTGCCCAAAGTCACACAACTGTAGAGGATGCAGGCTTTAAACCTAGACATTCTGGATCCACTGTCTGTGTTGTTGACTGCTGAACTCTATAGCTCACTGAAACCCTGACTTCGTGGACATTATTGCTTAGAGTTATGCTGAGAAAGGCAGAAAAAAAAATCACACAGTAGGTTGACTTAAAAAAATATGGGCTGGGTGCAGTGGCTCACGACTGCAATCCCTGCACTTTTGGAGGCTGAGGCAAGAGGATCACTTGAGCCCGGGAGTTTGAGACAAGCCTGGGCAACATAATGAGACCCCTATCACTGTAAAAAAAAATTTAAAGGCTGGGCGCGGTGGCTCACGCCTGTAATCCCAGCACTTTGGGAGGCCAAGGCGGGCAGATCACCTGAGGTCAGGAGCAGAAGTTGGAGACCAGCCTGGCCGACATGGCAAAGCCCTGTCTCTACTAAAAATACAAAATTAGCTGGGCATGGTGGTGCATGCCTGTAGTCCCAGCTACTCGGGAAGCTGAGGCAGGAGAATCGCCTGAACCCGGGAGGAGGAGATTGCAGTGAGCCAAGATTGCACCATTGCATTCCAGCCTGGGCAACAAAAGCAAAACTCTGTCTCAAAAAAAAAAAAAAAAAAAGATTAAAAATTAGCTGGGCATAGTGGTGCAGGCCTGGAGTCCCAGCTACTCAGGAGGCTGAGGTGGGAGGATGGCTTGAGCCTGGGAAGTTGAGGCTACAGCCCCCACCCTCATCCCGAGCTGACCGCTGCCTGGACCTAACACCTGAGCTTGGCTTTGCTGGTTTGTGTTAATGTTTTACACACAGGGTGGACTTTTTGTCTGGCTGCTTTCCCTCCCCGTCGTGTCTGAACTCCATA
This sequence comes from Homo sapiens, assembly GCF_000001405.40. Classification (NCBI taxonomy): domain Eukaryota; kingdom Metazoa; phylum Chordata; class Mammalia; order Primates; family Hominidae; genus Homo; species Homo sapiens. The sequence continues at coordinate 84,542,568 of NC_000016.10, read as the reverse complement.
CAAATTTAGGGTTTAGTTGTAAATCATTCTTTCTCAACTTTTGCACAGTTTTTCATGGTTGGTTGTATATGTTTTGGGGAGACAGAAGACATCAACCAATACATGATTTTCACAAATTTACACCCCTATTTATTCACCCATTCCACTGTGATGAGTATTGGGGTGGTTTCTTATTTGAAGCTATTATGAAGAGAGCTGCTATGAACATTCTAGGACATTCTAGGCTTTTGGTGTGTACATTTCTATTGCGTATATCCTAGGAGTGGACTTGCTGGGTCATAGGAATACAAGCGTCCAGGGAAAGATGGAGTTTTATCTGAAATCTCCTGACTTTACAGTGACAGAGGCTAATGCATATATTTTTTTAAACAACAAAGACTCAGCCAAGCAAAACATTCTTCAGGCAAGTCAGACCTGCTAGTGGCCAATTTACAGCCTTTAGTCTAGATTAGACTTCGCTTTCTCTACTAGCCCAAGATCTGTTTCATTGTTTCATTTTGTTTTTTACATTTTTATAACTGTTTTCATTATAAAAGAACTATAACTGCATTATGAAAAATTCAGAAAATGGAGTAAAGAAAATAAATTCACCAAGAGTTCAGCCCCCTAAAGCAAACACAGTCATAGCTTCGTATATCTTGTTCTAGTGCTTTTTTCCTGTGCATATGTATTTTAAAATAAATTTGCAATATTGCTTCATATAAATTATATAAACTGCCATTTGATGTGATCATTTTTGCATTTGCCTGTTATTACACAGTCGTCATATTCCACTACGGTCGGTTTTCGATTCACTTAATTTTCTGAGTAGAGAAAACAATTCCTGTCTTTCTATTTTAGACTTATTAAATCTATAAATAAAAGGCTGCTGGAAAGAGGGCGTTTTCTGCTATAATAATAAGGCTTTATTCAAGGCATAAGGAATGTGGTTTTAAGAGGATGAAGCTGGACACAGTGGCTCATGCCTGTAATCCCAGCACTTTGGGAGGCCGAGGCAGGCAGATCACTTGAGGTCAGGAGTTCAAGATCAGCCTGGCCAACATGGCAAAAGCCCATCTTACAAAAATTACAAAAATTAGCCAGGTGTGGTGGTGTGCGCCTGTGGTCCCAGCTACTCAGGAGGCTGAGGTGGGAGAATCGCTTGAGCCCAGGAGGCGGAGGTTGCAGCGAGCTGAGATCACACCACTGCACTCCAGCCTCGGCAACGATGAGACCCTGTCTAAAAAAAAAAAAAAAGGATGGAGCCTGCAGCCACACTACTTGGATTCAGAATCCTAACTCTACTCAATCCCCACTGAGTGACCACTCCAGGCCTCGGTTTGCTTCATCTTGAAAATGGAGATGATAAACAGCTCCTGACTCACAGCTTGTCATGAGGATTAAATGAGGTGATACCTGTAATGTGCTCAGAACAGGGGTTGGAATGTTACAAACATATAGCAAGGGTTGGCTATTGATTACTAGGTACAATGGTCACTATTTTGTTCATCATAGAACGAAAGCCCAGCAAGAACCCCTGTGAACATTTGTGGGAATATTCTGCTGGGCTTGTATTAGTGCCTACGTAATATGCACATGCAGACACCAAATGTGCAGATTCACACATGTATACTGTTTTGTTATCTGTTTCTTGGCGACTCTAAATTTTTTCTTTTCTTTTCTTTTTTTTTGAGATGGAGTCTTGCTGTGTCACCCAGGCTGGTGTGCAGTAGAGCAATTTCAGCTCACTGCAACCTCCGGCTCCTGGGTTCAAGTGATTCTCCTGCCTCAGCCTCCCAAGTAGCTGGGACTACACCTCAGCCTCCCAAGTAGCTGGGTGCATGCCATGATGCCTGGCTAATTTTTGTATTTTTAGTAGAGACAGGGTTTCGCCTTGTTGGCCAAGCTAGTCTCGAACTCCTGACCTCAGGTTATCTAGCCGCCTCAGCCTGCCAAAGTGCTAGGATTACAGGCGTGAGCCACCATGCCCGGCCTAAATTTTCTTTCTGTGTCATTGTTGGGAGACAGTTCTCCATGGGTCTCTCAGGTTTCTACATGTCTTGCAAGTAGAAGAACTATCTTTACAAGGATGTTTATATAGCAAACAACTTTGTTAGACAGAGACAGTGTGTCCCCTCAGATCAAAGGGCAAATTTGTTTTCTGTCCAATATAGATAGATGTTTGCCCCCAGGGCAAGGATCAGGATTTCTTATAAGAAATTTGGGCTCCCTGAGCTCAGGGATCCTCAGCTGTGAGAAATGTGCTGTGTGCGCAACACCCACCCCTTCCGGGCCCCTTTGCATGGCCCCTGTGGGACTTGGGGACAAGGGAAACCGATGCAAACATAAAGCTCATGCTACTTGCTGTGCTGCGAGTAATAAAGTCACTTGTCTCTGACCCAGGAGGCTCGTGTCTTCTGCCAGCAACCATGGCACTGCAGCAGGCTCACCTGGGGGCTTTCACAGAGGGTCAAATCCCAGCTCATCCATGGGCCTTGAGAATCATGAAACAGTCTTCCCCAGCATCACTTCCAGGTTCTACCAGAGTCCCCTCATTTGGCCCCTCTATCATTCTTTGGGTTAATCTTCCATCTTTGGAAACGTAGCTTGCTTTCCATTTTGTCACTGTTTTAAACAATGCTGTAGTGTGCACTTGTAGCTGAGCTTCGTTCTCATGTGACTACCCCGATACTGTAAATCAGAGATTCTGAGGAGTGTTGGCAGGACCCCTGATGCCAGCAAGTTCAGCCTCTTGATGCCCATCGCACATTGAGGCCTAGTGGGTCCTGAGCCACTGGGAGTTCCCCTCACCCCTCATTCTCCACTGGCCTCTCTCCCTGGGCCTGTAGAATCTTCCCAGCCTCCCTCATCCTCCCGAGTCTCCCTGGGGGGCATTTAACACACTGGACTCTAATTGAGGGGTCCTTTCTCTCCAGATCCTGAGCTCTTTGAGGGCAGGGACTTCCTCATCCTTGTGTCCCCAGGACCTGGCACATTGGGTGCTCATCCAATGTTAACAGAACCTAAACAGAAACCATCAACAGATTCAAAAAGGACATCCAGGCACCGTACGTTAGGGCGTCGAGCCTACTGGTTCACTCTCGTACCTCTGTACTCCAGGAGGTATTCTGAGTGTCGCAGAATCACATCTACTGTCAGGGAGCTGCAGTCAAAGGAAACCAAGGACTGGAAGGAAGAGTTGCACTGAGGAGGGGCAGAGTCAGCTCCTTAACCTCCCTAAGGCTTCTCACAGTGAGCCCTCTAGAAAGGTTTATTTATTTATCTTTTACTTTTACTTTTTGATTTGTATTATTTATTTATTTATTTATTTGAGATGGAGTCTAGCTTTGTTGCCTAGGTTGGAGTGCAGTGGCGTGATGTCGGCTCACTGCAATCTCCACCTCCCAGGTTCAAGTGATTTTCCTGCCTCAGCCTCATGAGTAGCTGGGATTACAGGCATGTGCCACCACACCCGGCTAATTTTTGTATTTTTAGTAGAGATGGGGTTTCATCATGTTAGCCATGCTGGTCTTGAACTCCTGACCTCAGGTGATCCGCCTGCCTTGGCCTCCCAAAGTGCTGGGATTACAGATATGAGCCACCACGCCCGGCCTTATTTTTATTTTTTAAGCCCCCATTCTGAGAAGCAACTTTTATTTTTTATTGAGATACAGTATATACAGAGAAGTGCACACGTCTGAAGTGTACAGCTCCAAGAACACTCACACACTAAGCACAACCATGCAATGGCATTCAGGTCAATAACACACTAGTGTCAGCCCCCAAGCCCCACTTCATGCCCCCTATTGAGTCACCCTCAACAGTAAGCGTGACTCGAACTTCCAACAGCACAGAACCATATGCTGTGTACGCTGTTGTGTCTGGCTTCTTTCATTCCGTATTGTTTGTGAGAGTCGGCCATATTGTGTGTAGTTTGAAGCCATTCTTCTTTCTGTGTGGTTTTCCATCACTTGGACAGACCACATTTATTTAGCCATTCTACTATTGATGGGCATTTGGGTGGTTTCCAATGTGGGGCTATTGTGAACAGTGTTGCAAAGAACATTCTAGTTCAACTCCTTATCCACACACATCCCCCTTCTGGGTGTATACACAGTGAAAATGCTGGGTTATGGTGCAGATCTATGGTCTGCTTTAGTGGATGCTCTGAAATTCTTAGAAAAATATTTATTTAATGAATAACTTTCCTGAGTCAAAGAATCAGGGTGATGGATAAGTTGAAATTATAGCTACAGTCAGGGCCAGTCTCGTGGGTAATTATCTCCCAGGGCAGCAGCCAAGGGCCCTGCACTCAGAAGGGCCTGTGCTTGGGATTTAATTCTTTGAAATTCCTAATAATTTTACTGATGGGACAACAGAGCATGTCCCGATTACCCTCCGCATCCCCCGGTGGCATCGGCAGAAGGCCTGGCTGACATTTATGGCTGAGAGGTTGTCAGTCCCCTGGGGCTGGCGTGAAGGAGCCATGGGGGACATAGCCCTGAAGGGGCCAAGGGGTCTCCGACAGCTGGGCAGCCTAAGGCTGGGGAGTGGCCATTTCGGAGCGTGAAAAGCTTGTGAAATGATCTTGAGGCCCCATTCATAATGCATGAGAGGTCGGGTGGGGGAGCCTCTCTGGACACAGGGCCTTTGTTCCTGCCAGGACTATGGGAGCACTTTCTTCATAATCGTCTCAGAGAGGAAGGAAGCGAAGAAGATTTATCTCCCAGAGTCGAATCCGCTTCCTTGGGAGAGGCGGCTATCTGTCCCTCACAGAACTGAGTGCCCCCAAGAGAATTCTTTGCAATGAGTTACAAAGAGCCAGACTTTGAAGGGTCAAAGATATATAGCTTGCTGACACAGCCTTAGATAATATACATTGTGTGCATGGAGAGAGAGAGAGAAGCTTCTCCCCACACCAGCCTTTTTCACAGCTGTCTATATTGTGCGCCCTCCCAGCCTCCTTGTGAAGGAGTTTTGTTTGTTTGCTTTGCTTTGTTTTTAAACAGGAGAAAGAAAATGACAATAGAGGATAGGATTTTCTCTAAACCCCCAGCACAAAAGTCAATAGCTCAGCTAGAAATGGGCTTGAGGCCAATGGTCAATTAATCAATCACCAAACACATTTTGAGGGCATTTCTAGAAGGGGCGCCCATAGGATAGTCAGCATGAGATGGCTGGGCAGTGAGTCTGGGGCTGCTGCAGCGGGTGGGGTGGGGCCTGGCTAAATGTGTTTCCTGGAAACTTCAAGGCGAATCTGTTTTTTGCAAACTGCTGACTGTTTCCTGCTTCCATATGGGCGCCCTGTTGGCACTATGGGACCCTGCCCCGTGGGGTGGAGCTGATTGGACCAGGGCTGGACACCTGACCCAAGCTGGGCTAATCAGAGTCTCTGTCTCATGAAATTGCCATTGGGTCTGATATCTGGGACAAAGGAGATGGAGTCTTGGGTGGGGCCAGCAGCCGTGTTGTCTCTCTCAGAGAGAAAATAAGACAGAAATGGGCCAGGCACGGTGGCTCACACCTGTAATCCCAGCACTTTGGGAGGCCGAGGTGGGCGGATCACCTGAGGTCAGGAGTTCGAGATCAGCCTGGCCAACATGGTGAAACCCCATCTCTACTAAAAATACAAAAATTGATCGAGCATGGTGGTGTGTGCCTGTAGTCCCAGCTACTCGGGATGCTGAGGCAGGAGAATCGCTTGAACCTGGGAGGCGGAGGTTGCAGTGAGCCGAGATCACGCTACTGCATTGCAGCCTGGGCGACAGAGCAAGACATCATCTAAAAAAAAAAAAAAAAAAAAAAAAAAAAAACAGAATAAGACAAATGAAGCACAAGTAGAGACAGAGGGAGAGAGAGACTGTGAGCGAGTACCGGCCTCCTGGACTCTGGTTTTCCAGGCCCTGCTTCCAGTTCTCACCTTTGGGTTCTGAGAGACACCCCTTGTCCTTCTCGTAAATCTCCCCTTGGTAATCCAAGTTACCAGAATGGCTTTATGCAGGGCCAACTACAGAACTTAGAGGCTTAATGCAAAAGGAAATGGTGGGGCCTTTTGTTCAAAATGTGTTAAGAATTTCAATATGGCAGCAGCAGAACCCGAAACAAAGCATGAAGCCATTCTGAATGCGAGCCTGTGCGGCTGGTAGCTTGCGTGCCCGTGGAGGCCGCCGTGGGTTTATGTCGGCTGCAACCAAAAGAACCTTGAGCAAGACTGTCCTGTTTGGAAAGGTGGCCTTCCCGTGTGAAGGAAAGGCATTGAAATGGCTATGTTGTCTGGGGTATACACCCTGGGGTTGTTTGTCTCCTGCGGAGAAAGAATTCAGGACACGGACATATGTGGGTGAGTTAAGGAGTGGAAAGTTTAATAGAAGGAAGAAGAGAGGAGAGCAGCTCCTTGAGAGAGAACGTCGGAAAAAAAGGGGGAGGTGGCGGACCGCATCAGATTTTATAGGCAGGCTGGAGAAGGGGGTGTCTGATTTACGTAGGGCTTACAGATTGGTTCGATCATGTATGACGTTTACGTAGTGTACAGGGAAGTCTGGTTGCCCCACCCTAAACTTATTATACAAATGGACTTCCCAGTTGATTGTGCCATCTTGCCTGCTCCTTTGCACAGGTGGCTGACAAAGACAAAGGAAGATGGAGCCTCCATCTTTAAGATGATTGGCACAACTGCCAGTATCTATGTCTGTAACTCGATTTTACAGGCTGCTCTTTGTTAGAAAAGAAAATAATTTGGGGCTGCTTTTCGTTTAAAAGAAAAGCCTTACTGCGAACTCCCATACCGTTACTATCTGCCTAATTTCTTCTTAACTCCTATATCAGCATTTAGAAATCTTGCCTAGAATTACATCAAAGGGGCAGCTATAGGCAGTAAAACTTCAGAGGACAGAGAAAGTTCGGCATGACTAAACAACATGAAAGAAAAGGCATTCCTGGGGCAGGTGGTCAACAGAGAGCCTTTGGGGGGATGGGAGCAAACGCCTTTAAACTCCATGCTACTGGCCCAAGAGCAGACGGGGCCCAAGGCCCAGGGAGGGCTGTTCGTAGGGCAGATGGTACAGTCCAAGAATCCAAAAGGCACTAACACAGGCGGGATGATGAGGAGGAGTCCAGATCAGATCAGGACAAAGAGACATAGGCCTTTCTCTTCACCAAATGTATCAGCAATGCAGTGAGAGGGGCCAGGCAGGACCCTGACATTTCTTGCTAATGTGTCCAAACACTTGCAGCTTTGGCTATATTATGTTTAATTAACTGGAATTAACTGAATACCGTACTCATTCTCCATGGTGGTTTCAAATACCGCCCTCCAATTCTTTATAAACTCTTAGGTTAGAAAGAAGAAGAAAAGAAAAGAAGAAGGAGAAGAAGAAGGAGAAGGAGGAAGAGGAGGGGAAAGAGGGGGAGGGGGAGGAGTGGGAGAAGGAGGAGGGAGTAGGGGGAGGGGGGAGGAGTGAGAGAAGGAAGAGAAGTTGGGGGAGAAGGAGGAAGAAGGGGAGGGAGGAGGAGTGGGAGAAGGAAGAGGAGTAAGGGGAGAAGGAATAGGAGCAGGAGGGGAGGAGTGGGAGAAGGAGGAGGAATGGGGAGAGGAGGAGGAGGAATGGGGGGAAAAGGAGGGCGAGGAGGGGGAGAAGGAGAAAGAAGAAGATGATTTTGGATTGGATAAAACCGTTCTGTGTGCAGCATCCGAGTTGCTGGGGCTCCGAGTGGAAGGGGATCAGTCAGCGGTGACCATACAGGGGGCTCTCTTAGCTGGCTGTGTCTGCCCAGGTCAGGAGCACATTGCATCTAGGCACCATGCTGAGGGCTGATGGGGCATGGGCGTATCAGAGATAGCCTGCCTCTCTGCCTCTTTCCAGATCGCTCATTAGACTGTTGGCCAGGACATGCTGAGCCCATAGCCCTGTGACATGTCACCCCCTTGGGTGGCCATCAGTCCTGCCCATGAATCAGTAGGTTCCCATTCAGGGCTGTCTTGCAACAATTTGGAACCCACCTAACTGGATTAAATGTCAAGGAAATAATGAGAGACCTTGCCAGCCATCTGACATCCAGGTTCACTGTGTCTGTTGCCTTTTCCTGGTTGACAGCCTTTTGTAGCCTGTTGGAAATAGGTTGGCATGGTGCTCTTAGTGTCATGGAGATCAGGCTTAGGTTGTGAATGGGTCTAGATCTGAGTCACAGCATCTCCACTTATGGGCTCTGTAGCCTTGGGAAAGTCACTTAACCTGTCTGAGCTTCCCTTTTCCTCAGCTGGAAAATGAGAATAATAATATTTCTTTATCCCCCCAAGATGGCTATGAGGCATAGGGAGATAATTTGATCTTTAATGATCTGGAAATCATTCGATAAAGTTGCCTGGCATGTAGTGATGGAAATTACTAATATTATTATTAATTCATGTGACTTCGTCATGAACATGAATGATTTCTTTTCCAAGTGTTTCCCGCTTTCCAGGTCCTCCATTGAATAATCCATTCTAGAGTCCTGGCTGGGGCTCACATCAGGCTTGTTTGTTAATCATACCTGAAATAATGCTGTTTCCCCTGGCTCTTTAGTGACCAGAGCTCACCTAGTTTTTCAGGCTTGCACAATAGGTGCATAAAGAGTGAACATCAAAGAGACAACCATGCACTGTAATAAATCACAGAACATCTACTGAAGAGAACATCACTCATTTAGTAAATACTGGTGGGATGCGTGCATGATTTCAGCCACTAAAAGTTATGTTATGAGGCTGGGTGCAGTGGCTCACATCTGTAATCCCAGCTCTTTGGGAGGCTGAGGTGGGCAGTTCACTTGAGGTCAGTTGGAGACCAGCCTGGCCAACATGGCAAAACCACATCTCTACTAAAAATAAAAAAAAATTAGCCAGGCGTGGTGGCACGCACCTGTAGTCCCAGCTACTTGGGAGGTGGAGGCAGGAGGATCACTTGAACCTGGGAGGCAGAGGTTGTAGTCAGCCAAGATTACACCACTGCACTACAGCCTGGGCAACAGAGTGAGACTCTGTCTCAAAAAAAAAATTATGATATCAAGTGAAAAAAAATATAAAATTGTATAATTCTGTGTTGCTTCACTTCATGTGACAAGATTATAATTAAGATGTATAAATAGTCACAGGTTAAAAAAAGGAAAGAAAGGAGGGCGATTCACAGAACTGCTAGGGGTGGCCGTATTCCAGCTGCATATATGTGGTTGTGCAGACAGAAGTTAGTATAGCAGGCTTGAGACTGCTATCTTTCGGAAGACCTGCTTGCTAGGTTGACTCTTGGCTGGTGTCTGGGAACTTGGCACTTGAGCTGTTTCCTAAATGATAAAAGTGGTTCACTGTGCTTAGACCACAAACAATGTGGTTCGTGCTAAACACGTGCTTCCCTTCGGGAGCTGGGAATTTGGTACCTGCTAAGAAGAAGGTGCCAACTGACCAGCCCTTAGAAAAACTCTGGGGTGCTGAGTCTCTGATGGGCTTCCTTGGACAGAAGCCTTGCAGACACACAGCTGCATTTTTGTTGATGGGGACGGAATGTGCTCTGTGCAACCCTTCTTGGGGAGGGGAGGGCGTGAGAGAGCCTCATAATGGACTCCTGCAGACTCCAACTCTACGGTTTCGCCTTTTGAGCTGATTGTGTATCCTTACTGCACTGTTGTAAATAAATCTTAGCCACACATACAGCTACCTGAATATGCCGAAGCCCATATGAATTCTTTTAGCAAATCTATGAATGTGAGGGTGGTCTTCGGGACTCCCAGCATAATCTGTGTGAGGTTTCTTGCTTCTCTCTTCTGGAAGGTGGTTATGTTACTTTCATAAGGAAAAAAAATAAACACGCTTCTAAATTTTGCCAAATGAATGTGCAGCTATGATGTTCTGACAGTCATAAGGTTGTGTTCCTGGTGCCGCATCCTCAGCGGGAGTTTCCAGTAGCCGCTTAGCTGGCAGCTTCCTTCCTGCCCTGGCCTTGGCTCTAACATCCCTCCTATGGAGATTGTCAGAAGCCACCACTAACTCTCTTCCTACTGGGCCGCAGGCAGGAAACGACCCAGATAGCCTGGAGCTGAGGCCTTGCCCTGAAAGGGAACCGCACATGAATGCAACAAGACACAAGAACTCCCAAATATGGACATGAGATGTTAAGCAGCCAAGAATGTGCTTTTAGAAATGGTACCAAGTTCCTCGGCTGCTCCTGGGGAATTCCTCTCGGGAATGCGGAGGCGAATGGTCATTCTTTTCTGGAAAGGTCACTGCTTGTGTTAACATTCACCCTCCCAGTGAGTGCCCTGGCTGAGCTTGTGAATGAGAGAATCAGAATGGAGGGATTTCAGCAAGCAGAGGGGACTAAAGGGACATTTTGCCAAAAATGCAAACCCAGCAGCCAAGATTGCAGTCATTTTCAATAAATGTCAAGCTGCAATACATTTTCAAGTTGCAATCAGTTTGCAAGTTGGTAACATTTTTGGGTTCCTTTGTTCAGGTTCTGGCTTGTCTGCTTGGAGGGTGCGTTCATCTGGAGTGTCAAGACTGACCTGGGGGCGGAGGTGTGGGTGGCGCCGGGGACTTGTTCACCTGGGAAGGATACCACGTCTCTCAGCCTTTGGAAGGAGTGAATGGATGAGCAAATGAATGAGTGCATGAGCAGGCATGATGCTTAGAAACGCAGTGAACCAACTCCGATCCCAAACTGCAGCAGGCTTCATGACAAAGGGAGCAGAACGTACTGGTGAGAACAAGGGCTGTGCTGTCAGACAGACTTGGTTTCCAGACCTGCCTCCACCACAGTGAACTGGGACAAGCCATGCATCTGACTTGTGTATTGGCCACAGATATCTTGGGCAAGATCTCTGAGCATCTGTTTCCTCATCTGTCGCATGGTGCCCATCATTTCTACTTTGAGGGGCACTGTGAGATGAAATGCAATCATGCATGTCAAGTGCAGGCACTCAGGCAGCTACCGGCTCCTCAGGGTTTATTAGGAGGGCACATCAGGAGGAGGGTAAAGTTTCTACCTTCCAGCTGGGTGTGGCTCACACCTGTAATCCCAGCACTTTGGGAGGCTGAAGTGGGAGGATCGCTTGAGACCAGGAGTTAAAGTCCAGCCTGGGCAACATAGCGAGATCCCGTCTCTACAGAAAATAGGAAAATTAGCTGGGTATGGTGGCATGCGCCTGTGGTCCCAACTACTCAGGAGCCTCAGGTGGGAGGATCGCTTGAGCCCAGGAGGTTGAGGCTGTGGTGAGCTATGATCGTGCCACTGTACTCCAGCCTGGGCGACAGAGTAAGACCCTGTCTCAAAAAAAATAGTTTCTACATTATGGTGGGGGCAGAAAGGAAGGGTGGGGAAAGAAAATTAACCTTTATCAAAATCAAAATGTACCAGGAACTTTAAATTTTATTTAATCCAAATCGGAAGTCTTTTCAGGTGGGGTTGGCCTTTTCAAAAATTAATGTACACATGAATTCCTTAGAGATTTCATTAAAATGTAGACTCTGATTTAGCAGGTCCCAGGTTGGGGGCTGAGAGTCAGGATTTCCTTTTTTTTTCTCCCTGCCTGGCTAATTTTTAAATGTTTTATAGAGACAGGGTCTCATTATGTTGCCCAGGCTGGTCTCAAACTCCCGGGCTCAAGCACTTGTCCTGCCTCAGCCTCTCTAACTAAGTGCTGGGACTACAAGTGTGAGCCATGCCACTCAGCCCCACCTGCATTTCTGTCAAGCTGGAGGGTGATGCTAATGCTCCTGGTCTGTGACCACACTTTGAAAGACAAGAAGGTAGGCAACTCTTACTGTGCCCATTGCATAGATGAGGAAACCGAGGCTCAATGAGGAAACCCAGGACTGTCTGGCTCCAAAGCCCGTACTCTTTCTCTTGTGTGGCTCAAGGTTTCTCAGTGGCTGATGACCGTCTGATGGGCGTATGCCATCAGGGAAGGGTGACACACCCAGAGGATTGAAGAGTCTCTTCAGAGAGGATGGGCAGGTCAGAGGGACCAGAACAGGATGCCAGAGCACCCAGCAAGCTGCAGCAGGTGTGAGAGGAGAGAATGGTGTCAGGGAGTTTGCGAGCCAGCGACGCAGCATGGGATGAGGTTTACAGACAGGAGCCAAGACCATAGCAGAAGAATGGAGCCACTGCTGAAAGCAAACCCAGTGTGAGTGGCGCTGAGGGGAGGGTGACGGGTGCCCTGGCCTCTGTCTCCTGCCAGCCTCTGAGCTCCTGCTAGTGCCTCCCACTGGCCAAATCCAAGGGAGCCTAAGGGACGAGATCCTAGAGATCAGCTTTCCGGGCTGGAGAGCAGAGAAGAGAAAGATCGAGAATGGGTGGGGAAGGGCACACAGGAAGTAGTTGGCATGTCCTGGAATCCCAGATCTGCTACTTACTAGACACATGGTCTTGGGCCAGACATTATCATCTCTGAGCCTTGGTTTCTGTCACTGCAAAGTAGAGCAAATAATAGGCCCTTTCCCACAGGCTTATGGCAAACATCATCAAGGTACTGCACGTCACCGCCACTTGTAATAACCCTGCTGATCAGGAAAGAAGTTTTGGGAAAGGAAACTCAGATGCCAAGAGCTAAAGATACAGTGGTTCTGTTAAAAGTGTCAAGAGTTCAAGCTGGAGTTCTGCTTTGCAAATAACAAGACCTCCAGGCCCTCTGTAATGTAGTGGTGGATCAGTCCCAAATCACCAGCACTCTGCTCAAGCATAGCAACTGTCTCCACATTTTGATGGTTTACATACAGTGCAGAGGCTTTGAAGATGCTACTTGATGCAGCTTTGGCTGCATCTGATGACTCTGGTGGAGAAACAACTGAGTAGACAGGGAGCTGCAAAACAACAACCCGTTCCTGTCACTGTCTCAATGAAGGACCCCGCTACATTCCCAGATGTACATTCCAGAAACCCAGGAGGCATCTTGATGGCACCGAGTCCAGCTCCCTTCCACTTCCAGCCCTCTAGTCAAAGCCCCTGCCATCCTACACCTCCTCACTGGGTTCCACTCTTTCCATCTATTCCCATACAGCAGCCAAAGTGACGTTCCTACAATGCATAGCTCAGCATGACACTTACTGCTGAAACCTGTGAGCCCCTCCCATTGCTCTGAGAACGCGGTCCTACAGGCCCCTCCTGAGCTGGTCTTGCCCACATCTGTCCTGGCTTGCTCTTCTCCAACGAACACCTGCTTCCTTTAGACTCTCCACATGGCTCTTTCTCCTTCCCCAGGCCTCCCTATAGCCTGGACTGATGTCCATTCTCTCCCCTCATCCATCTTTTCCTCTCCATCTCCTAGGTCTCAGCTGGTCTTTCACCTCCTCAGGAAGCCCCTCTTCTCCCTGAGTGGTTGCCATCCAGCTGTTATATACCCTGTGGGCCCTGTGGTGTTTTTCTCCTCAGCACTTGTGACTAAGGGATTATGTGCATAATATGGGGTTTGCTGGTATCTTCCCTTTAGAGTGGCAGAAACCGTGTCCATCACCACACTTTGGCAGTGCTTAGCCTGGTGCCCAGCAAGGAGTAGGTGCTCCAGAAAGATTTGTTGGATGAGTGAATGAGAAAATAAAGAAATGACAGCCAGGTGCGGTGGCTGTCATGCCTGTAATCCCAGCACTTTGGGAGGCCAAGGCGCGGGAATCACTTGAGCCTAGGAGTAGCCAACATGGCAAAACCCCATCTCTACTAAAACTACAAAAATTAGCCAGGTGCGGTGGTGCATGCCTGTAATCCCAGCTACTCGGGAGGCTGAGGCAGGAGAATCACTTGAACCCGGGAGGTGGAGGTTGCATTGAGCTGAGATCGGGCCACTGCACTCCAACCTGGGTGACAGAGTGAGACCCTGTCTCAAGAAAAAAAAAAAAAAAAAAGAAAAGAAAGAAAATGAAGAAATGAGACACGCTCTCCATAGGCACCTTCTGTCTCTAGCTCCTAAGTCTTCACACTCACGGTTTCAGCACGGGAGGAGCTGAAACACTAGTTCCCTCTTTGAAGTCATGAACATCGAGGGTTTGGGTGTCCAAGTGAGAGAAGTAACCCACAGAAACAGTTGTGACCCCTTTATGACCTTTATAAAAGCCATAGGCAGAAATCACAAGCCCCCTGTGGCCCATATATGGATGGCGCTAAGTGAGCTTGGCAGCTTCTGCAGGCGGTGCAGCATCCCTGCAAATTCACTCCAGCTTTCAAAGAGGGGTCAGGTGGGGGTGGTCTGGCAGGTGTATGGAACTGGGCAGAAAGACAGGCCTATGAGAGATGCCCTGTTGCACCCTTAGGAAGAGCGGGCACTGTCCTAGGAGCTCTTGTTCGTTAGGTGCCCAAAGTCTGAAGCAGGTGTCACCCACCCACATCTTACAGATGGGGAGAGTGAGGCTAGTTAGATAGCTGGCTCAGGTCACACAGCCAGTGGATGTGCAGAGCGTGGCTCCTTGGCCCCAGCTCTTTGTCCCCACGCTCTGCTGCCTCTGGCTGATGGGGAGCACTTTACAACGAGCTGCCCCACGCACAGGCCTTCAGGATTTCTGCTCTGTCATGTGATTCAGTGAGTGACCTTGGGCATCAGCCCAACCCACTTCTCTTTTCTTGGTGTCTCCTTTCTGTTCTCTGTGATCTAGGGCAGTGGCTGAGGACATCAATTCTGGAGTTAGATCCGAGGTGTGAGCCCCCAGCTCCTCCCCTCCTGTGTGATTTCGAGCAAGTCAGACCACCTTTCTGTGCCTTGATTTCCTCATATATAATATTTGCATAATACCTGAGCTTGCTTCATCAAATTGTGGAGATGATGACATAAGTCACTGCTGGTAAAGGCCTTAGAATAGTGCTTGGCACATAGAGCAATGCGCATGCCTGCTATTAACATATTTTAAGATAACAAATCCACATTGGCTCAAAGAACGGAACTTTGTTGGAAAATTCTCTTAATCTGTTCCTGGGTGCCCTGCCAAGCAGTCTGCTCTGCTTAGAGCCAGGAGGCTCAGCTGGAGTCCCTGCCCACCCTGCCCGCCCCGGCCCCCCCTCGCTGTGTGCCCTTGGGCAAGTTGCTGGATCTTCCTGAGCATTCATTTTCACGCCTGTGAAATCAGGCGTCGTTCTTCTCCGCAAGAGGCCTCTGAGCATTCAAAGAAATACTGACTCAAAAGCAGCAAGTAGCTCAATCTGAGAGTCTTTTCTCTTCCTTCTAACCACGTCATCCAAGATTCACACGGGCACATCAAACATCCCAGGACTCACCCTGCTTCCGTGAGCGTGGCCGCCTGCCACCATTGGAAAGCCCTCGGAGTCATTAATAACATAGTCTCAAAAATAATAGCCACCGTCTTTTCCTGTTTTCCAGCTTGTGGGCTGACGAGCGGCTGGAATTGTCATCTCCACAGTGGGATTGGCAGAGGGACTGGAAGGACTTTGGGAACTCTAAGTCCTAACAAAGAAAACAGTCCGCCCGGGGCTCTCCGAGGCTGTGGCCTCCACTGTGGGTGTGTGCTGAGGCTTGGACCCGTTTGCCCCTTCCCGAGGCATCACATGACTCTCCTGAGCGGGAGAAAGGTCCCCCTTCCTTGTCGTGTGTGCAGGGGGAGCCCTTGCCTGGTTGTGCTGACCGGGTGGATTTGTGCTTTCTGACGGGGATTTGCACGAAATCTGCTTAGACCGTTAGCCCGGCTGGTGCTGCCAGACAAAAGGCAGCAGCAGAGGCGGGGTCCACGTGGCTGCAGGAAGGAGATGGAAGAGCAGAAGGAAACACCCCTCCTCCAGTCTGGAGCGGAGACACTGCCCTGCACACAGGGCTGCGGTGGGAGGCCTGATCACTTGCGGCTGTTGTGATTTTCAAGGATAGGCTCAGGGAGAAGAGATGGGGTCAGAGAGCCTTCGAGGCAGTTTCTGGAGGCAGGGGCTCTGAAAGCTCCCCTCTTAGGTTCTTCTGAGCAAATGGCCACCCGTTCCCTGGACCTTCATTTCCACAACCAAGGGATGCTTAGTAGTAATGCAGAAAGTGAGTTGTGAGGGTAAAGTATCTTAACCATTACGCTGGTGTCCTTGGGGCAGGGACAAAAATATTAACAAACAGGCCAGCATGGTGGCACACACCTGTAATCCCAACACTTTGGGAGGTAGATGTGGGAGGATCACTTGAGCCCAGTTCAAGACCAGCCTGGGTAACAAAGTGGGACCCTGTTTCTTTCTTTCTTTTTCTTCTTTTTTTTTTTTTTTGACTTGGAGTCTCGCTCTGCTGCCCAGGCTGGAGTGTAGTGGCGCAATCTTGGCTCACTGCAACCTCTGCCTCCCGGGTTCAAGTGATTCTCCTGCTTCAGCCTCCCGAGTAGCTGGGATTATAGGTGCCCGCCACCACACATGGCTAATTTTTTGTAGTTTTTAGTAAAGACAGGGTTTCACCATGTTGGTCAGGCTGGTCTCGAACTTCTGACCTCAGGTGATCCACCACCTTGGCCTCCCAAAGTGCTGGGATTACAGGCCTGAGCTATCACACCTGGCCAGAACCCTGTTTCTAAAAAACGAAACCAAAACAACAACAACAACATTAGCCGTGTGGTGGCGTGCACCTGTAGAACCAACTACCCAGGAGGCTGAGGCAGGAGGATCGCTTGAGCCCAGGAGGTTGAGGCCGCAGTGAGTCGTGATGGTGCTGCCGCACCCCAGCCTGCGTAACAGAGCAAGACCGTGTCTCCAAAAAAAATTAAAAAATTAAAAAATTAAAAGTTAACACGTCTCCATGTCCTCTGAGCTTCCAAGTAGGGCTGGTGAATGGATGAACGGTTTGGCAGGTCTGGGATCCTGGTGGCTCTGATCAGGTAGCAGCTTATGTTGACATCAGGGAGAGTGCCGTGGAAAGATCCACGGAAGAGGAGGTCATGCAGGGGTGAGGAAGAGGTGTTGGAGGCCCACGCTGGGCAGGCTGCTGCTTGGCGTGGGCCTCTGGGGCCACGTGTGAGCACCGAGGACGCTTGTTACATGTCTTTGGAATCCCATTCCTAGATTTGGGGGCAAGCACACATTATGAGTTCTGAGCTAGAAACCACTCTTTGCCAGTTCCAGTCTCATGGGAAACAGATTCGAATCCCGAGTGGGAGTTAGATGTGCCAGCAATGTACTGGATGTAATGCCCATGTGGGTCGAGGAACTGGGGAGAGGAGTGGGTGCTGAAGGGCTTCAGCCGTGGGACGTGTCTGACACTGACAGAGCGGAGGGGGAGGGAGGATGGCAGTTTGGGAGCGGGGAAGAGCCTCAGCCTGCAGAGCAGCAATGAGAAAGTCGGGGAGCCCAGAATAAAGAGGACTGAGCGGAGGGGGCGGAGTGGCCGGGCTCTAGGAGAGGACTGAGTGGAGGGGGCGGAGTGGCCGGGCTCTAGGAGAGGACTGAGTGGAGGGGGCGGAGTGGCCGGGCTCTAGGAGAGGACTGAGTGGAGGGGGCGGAGTGGCCGGGCTCTAGGAGAGGACTGAGTGGAGGGGGCGGAGTGGCCGGGCTCTAGGAGCCATGCCCTGTCTCACATTGGCTGGGAGCCGGGACACCACCAGATTCTGTCTTGCAGGGAGATCTGAGCCGTGCACCCCCATGGCCACCACAAACCCAAGAACACAGACACAGTAGCCCAAAAAGAGGGATGGATTCTGTTATTGGAGCTGGGGTAAGGTGAGGAGGGGGTCCCAGGCTGAGGGCTGCAGGGGGACCCATAGGATGGAAGCACTTTCAACACTGTTTCAAACAGGCTGCCACATGGGAACCACCTAGACCTGCAGGTTCCTAAAGCTGCCCTTTGGTGCCACAAGGCCCCATGTCTTCCCAAAGCTCCCGCCGGTGTGACAACAGATTATAGTTACATACCAGTGGTTCTTGGTGCTGCTGGTCATTGGAACCCCCGGTGCCTGCACCCCATCTCCCAGAGCTTGCCACTCAGCCGGTCTGGGAGCAGCCCTGGCAGCCGGGCTTGTCTAAGCATCCCACGAGATCCTGGCAGCAGGGCAGCGGGGCTCAGGGCTGCTGGCCACAACAAGAGCAACAGGAGGTCTGATCTTTTGACTCAACTAGCTGTTGGCTGCGGTCGACAGCGTGCGCTATCAAAGTCTGTGCATCCATGTGTGTGTCTCAGCTCAGGCGAGCTCTGAGGCTGCCTGAAGCCTGCTCACCAGGGCCATGGACCCTCCCATTCTGTGGGTCTCATCAACCCAACCCCCAGGTCCCTTAGCGTCAGGTGTTAGAGGTTTCAAAAAGCACAGCCAGATGAACGTTCTTTTTTTTTTTTTTTTTTTTTTTTTTTGAAATGGAGTCTTGCTCTGTTGCCCAGGCTGGAGTGCCATGGCGCAAACTCAGCTCACTGCAAGCTCCACCTCCCGGCTTCACACCATTCTGTCTCAGCCTCCCGAGTAGCTGGGACTACAGGCGGCCGCCACCACGCCCGGCTAATTTTTTTGTACCTTCAGTAGAGACAGGGTTTCACCGTATTAGCCAGGATGGTCTCGATCTCCTGACTTTGTGATCCGCCCGCCTCGGCCTCCCAAAGTGCTGGGATTACAGGCGTGAGCCACCGTGCCCGGCCAAACGTTCTTTTATTCAGGGCCAGATCATTTCCTGGTGGCCTCCCCTGGGTGTTGGTGCCCCAGATTAGTCCGTGAAATCTGCAGGACTGCGGGTAGGGCTGTGTCTGAAGGCCAAAGGATGCTCCCCCCATTCTGTGGGCCATCCGGCTGTGGTGCCCACATGGTATCCTTTCGAGGCGGGAGCTGCTGAGCTCCAGCCCCCTAGCTGCCCCTTTCTGCCCTCTGTTTCCTGGTGAGTGTAAAAAGCTGTCACCGGGGTTGTCAGCCAGTCATGGGAATGCACACAGCCTCCCTGCCAACTGGCAGAGGGCTGAAATCTCTTTAAAGGAGGACACAACCTTTCTTCCTTCCGGAGAAGAAAAGAGACCAAACAGATGTAAAACTGCCTGGAGAACAGTGACTTGAATACTCACAGGTGTGAGCCGCAGAGTAGGCCTGTCATGAGTTGAATGGTGGACATGTCCAGTCCTAAGCCCTGCACCTGTGGCCTTATTTAGACAGAGGGTCTTTGCAGATGAGATCATCCTAGATTAGGGGTGGGTCCTAAATCCAATGACTAGTGTCCTTCTAAGAGGCAGAAGAGGGCTGGGTGCAGTGTCTCACGCCTATAATCCCAGCACTTTGGGAGGCAGAGGCAGGAGGATCACTTGAGCCCAGGAGTTTGAGACCAGCCTGGGCAGCAAAGTGAGACCTTGTCTCTACTAAAAGTGAAAAAAAAAAAAAAAAATTAGCCAGGTGCGTTGGGGCACCTGTGGTCCCAGCTACTCAGAAGGCTGAGGTGGGAGAATCACCTGAGCCCAGGAGGTTGAGGCTTCAGTGAGCTGTGATCGTACCACTGCATTCTAGCCTGGGTGACAGAGTGAGATCCTGTCTCAAAAAAACCCACAAAAACCCAACCAAAACAGAAGAAGCAGAAAAGAAGAAGAGATGGACACAGAGAAGGCCACGTGAAGCTGGAGGCAGCGATTGGAGCAATGTGGCCACAAGCCTGGGACTGCAGGCAACCCCCTGAGGTGAAGCAGCGGAAAGGCTGGTCAGATTCTTCCTCACAGTGCTCAGAAGGAACCAGCCCTGTGGATGCCTCGTTTTGGACTTCTGGCCTCCTGAACTGTGACACAAAAGACTTTGTTGCTTTCAGGCACCCAGTTGGTGATACTTTGTTACAGCAGCTACAGGAAACAAATACAAGATCTATTCCAGAAGAAATCAAGCTCTAGCCCTGGAGCTTGAGCTCCAATACCGGTCCCCGAAGAAGGGGCTAGGCAGATGGAGGGCTGGGAGTGCCCATACCCAAGAGCGCCAAGGGTCCCCTCATCACCTCCAAGCCTGGGTCAGGGACATCCTTGGGCAGCGCCTAGTCAGCTTTAAGGTGCACACGAGTCTCCCAGGATCTTGTTAAAATGCGGATTCCGATTCAGTAGGTCCTGGCGGCCGGAGGCTGCCTTCCTAACAGGCTGTCTAGCGACGCCGGTGCTGCTGGTCCCGGATCACCCTCTGAGCAGTGAGGTCTTAGATTAGTGCTTCTTCCTGGGTGTTTCCTGGTCTACATATATCAATGTCACCCAGATGCTGGTTAAAAATTGGAAAATCCGCTGGACGTGGTGGCTCACGCCTGTAATCCAGCACTTTGGGAGGCCATGGCAGGCGGATCACGAGGTGAAGAGATCGAGACCATCCTGGCCAACATGGTGAAACCCCGTCTCTACTAAAAATACAAAAATTAGCTGGACGTGCTGGCACATGCCTGTCATCCCAGCTACTCAGGAGGCTGAGGCAGGAAAATTGCTTGAATCCAGAAGGCGGAGGTTGCAGTGAGCCGAGATTGTGCCACTCCACTCCAGCCTGGGCGACAGAGTGAGACTCTGTAACAACAACAACAACAAAAAATTGGAAAATCCAGGACATCATTCCTGACCTACAAAATCAGGCTGCTTGGGACTGAGCCCCAGACATTTGTGTGTTTAACTGCGTCCCAGGACAGTCATATAACTACCGAGGCTTAAAGTATTCAGGGTTGGGCTGGGTGCAGGGGCTCATACCTATAATCCCAGTGCTTTGGGAGGCCAAGTCAGGAGGACTGCTTGAGGCCAGGAGTTTGAGACCAGCCTGGACAACATAGTGAGAACTTCATGTCCACACATACACAAAATCAAAACAATTAGCTGGGCGTGGTGGTGCATGCCTGTAGTCTCAGCTATTTGGGAGGCTGAGGCAGGAGGAGCTCTTGAGCCCAGGAGGTCGACGCTACAGTGAGCCATGATCACACCACTGCGGTCCAGCCTGGGCAACAGAGCAAGACCCTGCCTCAATTTTTAAAAAAAGTACTCAGGGTCTTGAGAACATAAAATAGACATGCCACATCTTTGTGGGTTTCTAGGATGATCAAGGCTGAGACAGTGGCCTTTGGAGGAACCTGAGCCTTTCTACTGGAAGAGGCAGGGGAAGGAACCACCCACGTGTTTAGAGCTCCTGGTGCTGTGCCAGGCCCTGCGCCTTACATTCATTAGCGTATTTCATCCTCAGAGCATCCCGTGAGGCAGGTCCTGTCCTTACTCCCATTTTACAGACGAGGAGCCTGAAGCCCAGAGAGACAAAATGTCTACTCAATGTCGCACAAACAGAGGTGGCAGAGTCAGCTTTCCAGTCAGCTGCCTGACGAGGCACCCCTCCCAGTTTCACAGTGTGACCCCTGCCGCCTGGCTTGGTCTCAGTATAGCTCTGTTTAAGCTGGTGCTTCTCAAACTTCAATGTGGATGTGAGTCACCTGGTTAAAATGCAGATTCTGGCTCCAGGTGATGCCAGCCCTGTTGGCTTGGGACCAGGCCTTGGTTGGTACGGGGTTGCGAGCAAGCGTACCGCTCCACAAACCCTCAAGAGGCACCTATGATGGAGTGGGGGCAAGTCCTGACCTGGGCAACTCCGTCCTGTTTTCCAGCCATGGTAACACCTGGGTAATAGGAACCACTTTGCCTTGGAATTGCAGAGCAATTGGCATTTCATAGAGCCGAGAAGTTTATTTGCTTGGTGAGCACCTGCTAACAGATTTCTTTGAAAACCCGACAGCTGTCCAGTGGCCTGCTGGTCTCATTAGGCACCTGGATGGAATTACCTTCTCCAAGCACCCAATGAGAATGGACACGCTCACTCTAAATTAGAAGAGCCTGGGAAATCAGGGCGATATAATTGCAGACAGGATGGAGGGAGGCGGTAGGAGTTCCTCTTACAGAATTGTGCCCTTGGGAGGCGGGAGGGGGAGCAGCTACAGCTGGTGGGGGCTTGGGCGTGCTACTCATCTCATCTCCCCTTTTCCTTTGAAGAACCGTGTTGGAGAGCTGCAGATCCCTGGTCACGTGAGAAAGCGATGTGTTCACTTTGGTTTTTTGAATCTGTCTTTTCTAAGGTTTAGGTTAAAATGACTTTATTTTGTGAAACAGGCAATGATAAAGGGTATTACTTTTTTTTTTCTTTTAAATATCCTTAGTGGGTGAAATAAGAGACAGCTTTGGATTACTCTCTTGATGTTTTAACTTGCCTATGAAACCCACAGTCTGGGAACAATATTTAGCCATCTGTATGTAGGAAGATGTGCATACTAGGATGTTAAACAAGTGTTGTACATAAAAGCAAAAGACGGAGCAACTGAAGTGCCTCTCAACGGGAATTGGCTCAATAAATTATTATCGACTTAGACAGTGGCAGGTTAGGAAAACGTAGATTGGCGTGAGCTCCTAATATATTGTTAAACGAGAAAAAAGTCAAGGAGTAAGACAGTCGTCTGCTTCCCGTGTGTCCATGTTTAAAGGCTGTAGGTGGAGGTGAATATGCACCTCTAGAACTTTGGGAAAATCCACGGGAAGCTTCTCGTGGCGGTTGCCTCCAGGGAGCAGGTCTGGAGGAGGTGGAGAGGAAGTTGCCTTTTTCTTAAGTCTTTAGGACTTTTTGAAAATGTTACTGTGTTTGCGGATGATGAAGGAAACTCCCAGGTCAGGGGCTGTGGTTGTGGGATTTTGTTTCTTTACACCTTGTTGTAGACAGAGCTGATCACACTGAAACCCCTGTGGGTTGGTCCGGGGGCTGCCTGAGTGCACACAGCGTGGGGCCTGCACGTCTTCTCGTCCGGGTTCTCACTCTCAAGCCTGCATCGGAGCCCCCAGGACGGCTCCTCAAAATGCAGTCAGCAGCCCACTCCAGGAATCTCTGACCCAAGAGCTGTGTGTGCGGCTTGAGGATTTTTGTAGTTTAACAAGTTCCTAAGGGGCTGCTGTGAGTCAAAACCCACACTGAGGACCAGAGCTGCCGGGGTTCCAGCCCTGGTGTTGGGTATTTCTCTCTCCAAATAACTTACTACCCTTTCCCCGCAAAACAGCAGGCGGCAGATGAGGGTCCATCCTTTGTGCCGAAACCCCTATTAACCTCAATAGGGAAGGCACCAGGTTCAAGAGGCCAACGAAGAGACTCAGAGACAGTGAACGAGACACAGGTTTTACTGCGGCGTACGGACAGGGGAGAGCGGGCTGCACAGGAGAGCCACGGCCGTCTGCAAACATCGTGCAGTTTACCCAGCATTTTCATTTAACCCCCTCCCCCTAACGGCCTCCACCTGGCAACCTGCATTTAACCAAAAACTCAGGGCCTCAACCTCCTGTACAGCTCGTGTTCCACGGGCCAGGCTGGGGTTGGGGTGGGGGAGAGGGAACTGAGGCTCAGATGTGTCTCATAGACAAGGAACGGATCTCGGGGTTGGCCAACCCAGATTCCCTAGCTCGGAACATGCATCCGCGTGCATCTGCCATCCAGGGTCATCCCCACCTTCTCAGGTACACTTCAGTGACTGTCCTCAGGCGCCCTACACCACCTGGCTGCTGTTTCCTGGTTAACCAGGAGAGCAGCTTCGTGACTCCACGCTGGCCTTGCCTGCAGTGTAGTCTCAGTTTTAAAAGCACCCACACCTGAGCCCCGCCCAGACCTGGGACATCGGAATCGTTAGTGTGGGCTCCGCCATGGGTATTTTTAAGAAAACCACAGGTGAACTTTGGATAGGGACTGTGGATTCATTTCCTAGGTCTGCTGTACCACAAACTGCGGGCAGGGGGTTAAAATCACCAGAAATCGACTTCCTCACAGCTCTGGATGCCACAAACCCAAAGTCAAGGTGTCAGCAGGGCTGGTGCATCTCGAGGCCTGTGGACGCTGTCTTCCTGTGTGACTCTTCACAATACCTTCCCTCCGTGCATGGCTGTCTCTGTCCAATGAAAAAGAAAAAAAGGCCATGCATGGTGGCTCCTGCCTATAATCCTAGCACTTTAGGAGGCCAGGGCGGGTGGATCACCTGAGGTCAGGAGTTCAAGACCAGCCTGGCCAACATGGCAAAACCCCAGCTCTATTAAAAATATACAAAAAAAAAAAAAAAAAAATTAGCCAGGCGTGGTGGTGTATGCCTGTAATCCCAGCTACTCAGGAGGCTAAGGCAGGAGAATCGCTTGAATCTGGGAGGCAGAGGCTGCAGTGAACCGAGATCTCACCACTGCACTCCAGCCTGGGCAACAGAGTGAGACTCCACCTCAAAAAAAAAAAAAAAAAATACCAGTCACACTAGATCATAGGCCCAGTACCCTGCTGTGACCTCATCTTAACTAATTCCATCTGCAATGACTCTATTTTCAAATAAGTCACATAGTCATATCCTGGGGCACTGGGAGAAAGACTTTAACACATGAATTTTGTGGAGGGATAGAATTTAATCCAATGAGACTGAATATAAGGTTTGCTTCTGGGCTGGGCGGAGCAGCTCACACCTATAATCCCAGCACTTTGGGAGGCTGAGGTGGGTGGATCACTTGAGTCCAGGAGTTCCAGACCAGCCTGGGCAACTTGGCAAGACCCTGGAAAATAAAATAAAAATCAGCCAGGTGTAGTGGCATGTGCCTGTAGTCCCAGCTACTCGAGAGGCTGACGCGGGAGGATCACTTGAGCCCAGGAAGTGGAGGCTGCAGTGAGCTATGATTGCACCACTGCACTCCAGCCTCAATGACAGCGAGACCCTGTCTCCAAAAAAATAGTTTGTTCCTCCAACCATCATGAGTACATGAAGTACTCAGACCTTGTGAAGGTGCGGATTCTGATTCAGGAGGTCTGGGGTAAAGCCGGGAGACTCTGCATTACCAACCAGAGTCCAGCAATTGACGCTCAGGTTCTATGACAAAATGATTGTTAATGTTGTTAGATGCATTGACAGTTCTGTGGTTAGTACAACGGCATCATTTTTTAAAAAATGCGTCAAATATGTTGAAAGCTTAAATGTCAGAATTGACCCACTTCGAACATTCCAACGAACAGTAGGAAAGGGCAGAATGTTAGCAATGGCTGAGTCTGGGTGGTGGGTATAAAGAGGGCTTGTTTTTTTAGTCTGGTTTTCCGCATATTAGACGTTTTTCATAATCTCTTTGGAAAAGCTTTCCAGCGCCTGGGGCTGAGTATCTCTGGGACGGGCCCTGGGGGATGGGTCTCGTGGGGCCTGGTATCAGTTCCCAGCTGGCGGTCGAGTTCTCTAGGGGAACAGGGCCTGCATGTAGCAGTATTTTTATTATTTTCAACCGCAGTCGCTTCTTCCTGTTGCCTTCTGGGTACTGGGAGGCACCCGGGAAGAGCTGGGATTCTGGGGTCCCCCAGTATGGTTTACCTGCTCTGGGGCAACAGGGACAATTTGGGTTTCTAAGCAACATTCTGGCTGGGTGCCGTGGCTCATGCCTGTAATCCCAGCACTTTGGGAGGCCGAGGTGGGCAGATCACCTGAGGTCAGGAGTTCGAGACCAGCCTGGCCAACATGATGAAACCCCATCTCTACTAAAAATACAAAAATTAGGTGGGTGCGGTGGTGGACCCTGGTCATCCCAGCTACTTGGGAGGCTGAGGCAGGAGAATTGCTTGAACCTGGGAGGTGGAGGTTGCAGTGAGCCGAGATCGCGCCATTGCACTCCAGCCTGGGCGACAGAGTAAGACTCCATCTCAAAAAAAAAAAAAAAAAAAATTCTTTGTTTCTGCTGTTTATTTGCTGACAGTGCATGCGTTTCTTTTCCTTACTGTGTGTGGGGGAGTCTGTGCCATGTTCTTAAGTCCTCTCCCTTGCTGTTTTTATTTAACCCCTTCTGGGTCCCAACTCTACCTGGCGGTGCTTGTGGACTGACCCTTCTCACTACTAGCCCGTGTGTGAGCCTTTACAGGGCATCTCCTCTCCCTCTGGAGGACATGGTCTCTCTCGCTGCCTCCTGTGTCCCCTGCCTTTACGTGATGCCCAGCACATAGGCACTCAAGTGTGCCGAACAGTGACTCTTACAGGTCTGGTCTACTCCCACGGAGCCTAGCTCAGGGAGGTTAATTAACCCATCCAAAGCAACCGAGCTGTGGTCTGAACTTCGGAGCCGGTGCTGTCCAACATCCAAATACAGACAATGGAGGTAGAACACAAGCCCTGTGTGCGATTCTAAGGTTTTCATTGTTCATGTTTTAAAACGAGAAATGGTAACATTAATATGCTTTGAACCTAATATAGCCAAAATACTATTTCTACATGGAATTTCTATTTCACAATTATTTTGGGGCAACATGGAAGAGATCATCGTGGTGATGGAACACTTCTGTATCTTCAGCATAGATGGAATAGTTGTGTTTTGTAGTGATGGTCACACGACTCTACTACCCTCGTGGGGAAATGACAGAATTGGACACACACATTGATTGCATCAATGTCTCTTTCCCAGTTTGGATTAGGTGAGTTAGAACCACAGGGAAACTTGGTGCAGGGTATATTGGACCTCTGTGCACTGTCTTTGCAACTTTCTGTTGAATCTATAATTATTTCTAAATAGTAGTTTATTTTTTTGAGATGGAGTCTTACTCTGTTGCCCAGGCTAGAGTGCAGTGGTGCAGTCTCGGCTCACTGCAACCTCAACCTCTTGGGCTCAAGCGATTCTCCTGCCTCAGCCTCCAGAGTAGCTGGGACCACAGATGCCCACCACCACTCTTGGCTAATTTTTGTATTTTTAGTAGAGACAGGATTTCGCCATGTTGGCCAGGCTGGTCTCGAACTCCTGACCTTGGGTGATCTGCCTGCGTTGGCCTCCCAAAGTGCTGGGATTATAGGCTTGAGCCACTGCTCCTGGCCATAAAATAGTAGTTTAAAATGTGAGATTTTAAAATTTAAAAAAATCAACCAAGTCTTTGAACACTGCTGCGTCTTTCACGCTTATAGCACATCTAGGTTTGGACCCGAGACATTCAAGCAGCGGGTGTGGCCCGAGGCCACAGTGTCAGACAGCCATGTCCCTTGCTCCCTGCCCCAGCACAGCCTTCTTGAGCTGGGATTGCAGGAGGCCTGCACTGTCTCTGCCATGGACCGGTTGCCTGGTAGAGAAGCTACTGTCCTGCTTGGAGCCTCAGTTTGTGTATCTGTTAAGTGCGAAGAATGACAGTGCCTATCCCAGAGTGCTGGCTGCCAGGGTTAAGTGGGATGCTGCGTGTTCGGCACTTAGCATGGGCCTGGCCCATGGGCGGGTGATTGTGAGCCTGGACCACATCTACCTGTATTAATCATGTTTACAATCCCAAACGGCAGCTTCATCTGGTTGTACCTAGTGTTAGAAAGCCCTGCTGCCTCCCTCTGTTCATCTCCGCGAAACAGTCCATTCCTGGCCATGTCTTCTCCTTTGAACTGCTGGGCAGGAAGCAGAATGACCTGTCTGCATTTAGTCTGGGCACCGACTCCCTGGTTGCCCTCGATGCCTGGTGACTTCTGGAAAGGTGGCTTGCTGCCTGCCTGCCTGCTTGGAGGCCAGACCTTCTGTAAAGATCCGTGCAAAGCCTCTTTCGAAACTGAGGACTTCCGTCACCAGCCCTGGCTGCACGTTGTCACTGGGCCTGTTCACCATATAAGGCAATCCCTGCAGAGGCAGGGACCCAGGTAAGCAGGCGGCCCCACAAGCCTCGCTCCACTAAGCCACAAAGGCTCCCCAGCCGAGTGTGTGCACAGAGGACTTCAGCAACTAGGAGATTTTGTCACCTTTTATGGTGTTAGAAGAAGAAAAAGACCTGTGTACCACAAAAGCAGAAACAGAGCCTTAGCGCAGTGAGAACCGTGGGTTGAACTCACAGCGACTCTTACTGCAAAAGCAACGTTTTGTGAGAGGCCCAGGATGAAGCTACCTCTGCAGGGTGCCTGGTGCCCAAGATAAAGTGACAGGAGCTCTGAGCCTGGGGTTCCTGTGCAGTGGCAAGACAGCAGCGGCAGAAATCAGCTGCAGAATTTAAGTTGGTGGGGCTTTTGGATGGGGCATAACCCTCCCCCACGACCCCTCCTTAGCCTCGTGGCTCACCCACGGGGTCTTTCCCCACACCATCCTCCCCCAGATCAGGCTTCTCCACTGTCCTTGAAGCCTGTACTGTCGTCAAAGAACATCACCTCCCTCCACCCCCATTATTTTCATCCCAGTTCTGGGCTGCGGGCCACGTAAGCCAAGGTGGGGTGGAGAGTGGGCAGGAAGATCTTGGGGACACCTGAAGGATGAGGGAGGGAAGAACATGGGGACACGTGTTCCAGGCAAAGTGGAAAGGCCCGGGTGAAGGAGTTGAGCTGGGCCGTGCGCGTGGGGAGAGAGGACCATGGAAAGGTCGGGGTGAAGGAGTCGAGCTGGGCCCTGCATGTGGGGAGAGACCAGGCCCAGATGGTGGGGGCTGAGTGAGAGGGCAGCCTAGGGTGGTGGGCAGTCGTGGAAGGGTTTTAAAGTAGGTGAGAGGCAGGATCCATTTTACCTGGGGGAACTGAGTGGGGCAGGAGCAACCAACCGACCATTTGTTCATTCGGTAGCCATTTCTTTTTCTTTCTTTCTTTCTTTTTTTTTTTTTTTTGACTGGCTCTGTCACCCAGGCTGAAGTGTGGTGACACAATCACAACTCGCTTTAGCCTCTACATCCTAGGCTCAAGCAATCTTCCCTCCCCAGCCTCCCGAGTAGCTGGGACCAGAGACGTGGGCCACCACGCCCAGCTAATTTTTGACTCTTTGTAGGGTTGAGGGACCTCCCTGTGTTGCCCAGGCTGGTCTTGAAATCCTGGGCTCAAGTGATCCTCCCATCTTGGCCTCCCAAAGTGCTGGGATTCCAGGTGTGAGCCACCACTCTCGGTGAGCAGCTGTTTCTTGAGCCCCGGCTGCGGGCCAGACCAGGCCCAGGTGCAAGGGACATACACATGACGTCCCTGCGCTCAGGCTCTGTGTCTTGGTGGCACTTAGAGGACAGGGTGACAGTCTCCCTCAGCCTTTTGGACGCTGCTTTTCCTTTGCTGCCTTTTCCTGGATTTTTCTTGTTATCCGAAAGACCGCCAGGGTGGCTAAATGGTAGAAAGGAGAGCTTGGCGGGGGTATCAGTTTGCAAACTGGAAGAGACGGTCTCCAGTGTGTGCCAAAGGTAACCCCTCTTCCAAGAGGGGAGGAACAGGCTGGGTTTTATGCCTAACAGGGCCTGTAGCCCACAATAGTTGTACATATTCAGCAGGTTCGGGAGGAAGTGATATATATTTATGAAGGGAGCCGAGTGCATGGGCAGTGGGTAAACACATGTGACATACATATAACGTATATCACATGTTCACGTTGGAGTGAGGTTAGCATTAAAGAGAGGTGGAACTTGGCTCTTTGTGTGAAAAGGTGAACTGTAGGGCACACAGTCTGTGGGTAGCTTCTGTAAGCCGCCGAAACAGGCTTAAGGTCTGTAATTACTTATGGGAAAAGAATGTAAGTCCATTCCTTCGTCCGGTCAGAGTTGTAGCGGTTGGGATTGTAAATCAGAGTTAGGATAATTTGCCTGATAGCTCCAATTATTAGGGTGTTTTGCAAATGTGTTTTTTTTTTTCTTGCCGCCATAGGGATTTTAAAATTTGCCATGCCAGGCCAGGTGCAGTGGCTCATGCCTGTAATACCAGCACTTTGGGAAGCTGAGGTGGGCAGATCACGTGAGGTCAGGAGTTCGAGACTAGCCTGGGCAACATGATGAAACCCTGTCTGTACAAAAAATATAAAAATTAGCCAGGTATGGTGGCACATGCCTGTAATCCCAGATTCTTGGGAGGCTGAGGTGGGAGAATCGCTTCAGCCCAGGAGGCAGAGGTTGCACTGAGCCAAGATCGCGCCACTGCACTCCAGCCGGGGTGTCAAATAAATAAATTGGGCCAGGTGTGGTGGCTCACACCTGTAAACCCAGGACTTTGGGAGGCTGAGGCGGGCTGATCACGAGGTCAGGAGTTTGAGACCAGCCTGGCCAACATTGTGAAACCCCGTCTCTACCACAAATACAAAAATTAGCTGGGTGTGGTGGCGCATGCCTATAATCCCAGCTACTCAGGAGTTTGAGGTGGGAGAATTGCTTGAACCTGGGAGGCGGAGGTTGCAGTGAGCCGAGAGCACGCCATTGTACTCCAGCCTGGATGACAGTGAGACTCTGTCTCAAAAAAGAAAAAAATTAATTAATTTCCCATGCCAGCTGGGCCCTGAACCTTGAACACTGGAACCACAGGTAACTTTGTTTCCTTAACCTTATGGTCCATCTTAGCTGATACAGGGGCATCTATTTTGGCCTCTCAGATCACATTTCCTATCACCTCTGAAAGGATCCTGACTTAAGTTTTACCTGGGTAATTCAGAGGTGGGAAGAGGCAAGAACCCTAAGTTACTATTGGGTGCCCTAACTTTGAAAACCGCTGGGCCCTTCCCCCTGGTTGTAAGTTTCCACTTTGTTCTCACACCATGTGACCAGCACCCTGTCCCCCAATTCTCACCCCTACCTCCACTGTCCTAACCGAACTCAGTGCTCCAATGGCCAAGCGTTCAGGAAATGGTTTCCAAAAGCCAAAAAATGATCCAAGAGTACAGAATAGAAGGGGAGTGGAAGGGCAGCCTCATAGCAGGAGAGGCGGACAGGTGCCACCTCAGCCAGGTACTCAAGGGCGACATCGACGGCCGTGAGCCACACTGATAGTTCTGGCCCTTGAAACGATGTGACGAGAAGGGCCACTTCACCTCTGGGGTCTGTCTCCCAGACCCATACCCCCGTCCAATCACGAGGAGACCATCAGCTAAATCACAATAGTGGGGGACACTTGACTGAATCCCTGACCAGGACTCCTCAAATTGTCAAGAGCATCAGAAACAAAGAGTCTGAGCAACCGCGAGAGCCAGGAGCAGCCTGGGGACACCTGATGGCTAAATGTCTCGTGGGACCTGGGGTAGAAAAGGACATTAGGCAAACACGAAGGAAGAGTGAATAAAATGCAGGTGACTTACTCATATATGAATTGGCTCCTTCATGGTGACAGATGGACCAGAGTCATGTCAGATGTTAAGGCGCAGTGGAACAGGGTGCGGGTCGCACACGAACTCTCTATCATATTCTCAACAGTCCTTTATGTCTAAAACCATTGTAAGATTTCTTATTTAAAAACCATCACGGTAGCCATGTGTTTTGCGGTGATCGCGAGCGCCACCTGGTGGACACAGGACAGCATTGGCCGTGACCAACCTCCCTGGAAAGGAAGGAACCATTGCAGAGGATGCATGATGCGATGAGCCGCTGTGATTGATTCCGGTCTTGGGAAATGGAAAAGGCAGCTTCCTGCCCCGCAGTGGCTCCCAGTCCGGTGGAGGGAAATGGTGCAAGGCAAATTCAGGACTCCTGGTCACAGCCAGCATCTGTTCCATCTTTACCTGGGGTTAGGGACCAAGCTGACGGATCCCATCTTAACTCGTCCAAGGCAGCCTGGAGGGGTGCCACAATGCAGTCAGCCTTGTTTCCTGCTGCCCCTCAAACCTGCTCAGTGGGAACGCGGGAAGAGGGCTGCCCTCTTGTCCCTTCTTTCTACGCTATGAAAAGCCCAGACCTTTCCCGTGATTTTTTTTTTTTTTTTTTGACTATTCCTAGGGAATTAGTTCCTGGTACCACTTTAGATCAAAAGCAGTCTCTATTCATGAATTTAAAATGTTCGGTCCCAGGTAGTAAAATGTGGATGCTGACTTACCATTAGCTTTCCCCCATGCCCCCAAGAGCCTACTGGGGCAGCAGGGACTGTGGTTTTTCTCTTCCCTGCTACCCTCCTTCCATGTAGCTGCTGTTTTTGATGAGGATTGCCAGATAACAGGATGCCAAGCTAAGTTTGCATTTCAGATAAAGAGTGAACACTTTTTTAGTATAATTACATCTCATGCAATATTGGGGTCTTTTTCTACTAAAAAAAAAGTATTTGAAACTCAAACTTAGCTGGGCTTTTTTTTTTTTTTTTTTGACAGGATCTCACTCTGTTGCCGAGGCTGGAGTACAGTGGTACGATCATAGCTCACTGCAGCCTTGACCTCGTAGGCTCAAGTGATCCTCCTATCTTAGCCTCCCAAGTAGCTGGGGCCACAGGCTATTCATGAATTTAAAATTCATGCACCACCATGCCAGGCTAATTTTTGTCTAAGATACAAGGTCTCAATATGTTCTCCAGACTGGTCTTGAACTTCTGGACTAAAGCAATCCTCCTGCCTTGGTCTCCCAAAGCATTGGGAGCCACTGCACCTGGCCACTATCCTCTATTTTTTTTTTTTTTTTTTTTGAGTTGGAGTCTGGCTCTGTCACTCAGGCTGGAGTGCAGTGGCGTGATTTTGGCCCACTGCAAACTCTGCCTCCCGGGTTCAAGCAATTCTCCTTTTTCAGCCTCCTGAGTAGCTGGGATTACAGGAGTGCATCACCGCCCCTGGCTAATTTTTGTTTTTTAGTAGAGACAGGGTTTCACCATGTTGGCCAGGCTGGTTTCGAACTCCTGACATTGTGATCTGCTCGCCTCGGCCTCCCAAAGTGCTGGGATTACAGGCGTGAGCCACTGTACCTGGCCACCTATATTTTTATTTTTGGTGTCTGACCGCCTGATTTGTGACCCCCTTCCGGCTCGGAAGGAGGGATAGGGCACGGGAAGTTTTCACTTGCCCAGTGGGGTGAGATGTTGGCTTCCCATTGGTGCTATGAGAAATGACCCAAAAACTCAGTGGCTGAAGACACGTTAATGTGTTCTTACAGTCCCGCAATCAGAAGCCTAAAATCAAGGGGTCAGCAGCATGGTGTCCTCTGTGGAGGCTCTAGAGGAGATTCCCTTCCCTCTTCCATCTTCAGGGCGGTAGCGTGGCACTGTCCAGTGCCTCCTGCCCCCACCTGCTTCCCTACTTCCATCGCGGTCTCCTCCCAACCCTGAGCCTCCTGTCTTCCCCCATTAGGATTGCTGTGATTGCCTGGGGCCCACCTGGGTAATCCAGGATAATCGCCTCATTTCAAAGTCCTTAACTCAGTCGCATATGCGAAGTCCCTCTTGCCGTGTCAGGTAACATATGCGCAGGTTCTGGGGATTAGGTCATGGACGTCTTTGGGGGCTGTTCTGTGTCCCAAGGGGGTAAGCTGGCTTCAGGCGATCTGTGGCCCATGTTTCAAGTTGACTTTGAGCTTGTGGTCACTTGTGTGGATGTCCTTTGCGACTCTCCTAGCAGGCGGTGCCTGCTGCAGCCCTTAGCTGGGCAGTACCTGGCCTTTCACCCTCCTGGTTCACCCTGGGTCCTGGTTCACCCTGGGTCCTGGGTCACCCTGGGTCCTGGTTCACCCTGGGTCCTGGTCCTGTAGCCCCTCACTGCTGGGCTCCTGGTGTTCTACGGAAGGTCTCCTTCTGCGATGTCTCCAGGCTGCTGTGGCCACCTGTCCCAGATGCCCCACCTCTGACCTGCTGCTGGGAGGCAGGGCAGTCAGTTCCTGGCAACAGACCTTGCTCTGCTGCCCTGGCCCCTCAGCTGCCTCACGCGTGACATGGCCATTGGCTGGAGCTCTCCGAGGCAGGGCCACTGAAGCCCCCGAGCCCTGAGAGGCTGACCCTGCACTCACTCTAAGGGGAAATGGAACTCGGCCCTCTAGCAGGCCTCCACAGCCTTGACCCTTTCACACCACCATCTGTGTGAGGCCTCAAAAGATTGTGCACTTTCCTTGAAAAAAAAAAAAAAAAAAGAAAAATCTTAGTATCACTCCCATCGCATAAAATTAAGCATATTGAAGTGTATAATTCCATGACATTGAGGATAATACGTTCACAATTGCTGTACTATTGCCTCTGTTTAGTCCCAAAATATTTTTATTACCCCTGAAGGAGACCCCAGAGCCATTATTAGCAGTCACTCCTCATTCCTAACGCTCCAGCACTGGCAACCGCAATCTACTTTCTGTCTCTAAATTTGTCTTTTCTGAACATTTTACATCAAAGCTACAATATGTGGTCCTTTGTGTCTGGCTGCTTTCACGTAACCACAGTTTTTTTTTTTTTTTTTTTTTGAGGCAAAGTCTTACTCTGTCACCCAGGCTGTAGTGCAGTGCGCGATCTTGGCTCACTGCAACCTCTGCCTCCTGGATTCAAGCAATTCTCACGTCTCAGCCTCTTGAGTAGCTAAAATTACAGGCGCCCACCACCATGCCCGACTAATTTTTGTATTTTTAGTAGAGACAGGGTTTCACCATGTTGGCCAGGCTGGTCTGAAACTCCTGAGCTCAGGTGATCCACCGAGGTAGGTGATCCACCTACCTCGGCCTCCCAAAGTGCTGCGATTACAGGCATGAGCCACTGCGCCTGGCCATAACATCAGATTTTCAAGGATTATCCACGTTGTAATGTGTCAGTGGTTCATTCCTTTTTTTTAAATTGCCAAATATTATTCCATTGTGTGGATATACCATATCTTGTCTATCCATTCTTCAGATGGGCTTTTATCTTTTTTCCACTTTAGGCTATCGTGAACAGTGCTGCTTGAACATCCAGTACTAGTGTGTGTTTGAATACAGGTTTTCAGCTTTGTGGTGTATCTAGGCGTGGGACTGCTGGTCCTATGGTAACTCTGTTTAACTTTTTGAGGACTGATTTCCCCCATGGCTGAACCATTTCACCAGCAGTGCGGGAGGAGAGAACTACCTCCTCTCCAACACTCGCTATTTAAAAAACTTTAGCCCTCTTAGGCCGGGCATGGTGGCTCATGTCTGTAATCCCAGCACTTTGGGAGGTCAAGGTGTGAGGATCGCTTGAGCCCAGGAGTTCGAGACCAGCCTGGGCAACATCGCGAGGCCCCATCTCTACAAAAAATAAAAATAGCCTGGTGTGGTGGGGTACGCCGGTGGTCCCAGCTACTTACGAGGCTGAGGTGGGAGGATGGCTTGAGCCTGGGAGGTCGAGGCTGCAGTGAGCTGAGCCGTGATTGCATCACTGCACTCCAGACTGGGTGATAGAGCAAGATCCTGTCTCAAAAACAAAACAAAAACGTTAGCTATCCTAGTGGGTGAGCCGTACATTTATTTTTGATTTTCAATTTTGAATTGTTGCATGTGGTCCGGCAAGCACTGCACAATAGAATAACTGCCTGCCACATGTGGCCATTCAAACTGAAAATGAGAATAAATTCAATAAAATGAACTCGACTTCCTCTACTGCACAAGTCAGCCGTGGCTTCCGGCTCCATGCTGGCGGCACAGATGGATCGTTGCCCGCCTCACCGAGTGCTGCTGGAGGCTGCTGGTGGTGCCTCCTCAGGGCACGGCTGCTCCTGCGTTTGCTGCTTGGTGGTGGCCTCCTAACAGCCTGGCCCAGAAGGTGGTCCATGCAGCCCAAACTTGGGTTCCAGAGATGGGGAGTCGGGGGCAAGGAGCACATGGGGAAGAGAGAGTGGATGCTCAGCCACAATGGGGGCCCGGTGGTGGCTCAGCCTTTCTGTGGAGGTGTCAAAGCTGGACATGGAAAATTGGGCAGGGATGTCGCTAGCAGAGGCACCGCTGTGGATGGCAGGACCAGCCTGGTCAGGACCTCTGGGAGCCAAGGAGAGTTCAGTGCCCAAAGTCAGCATAAAAAACAGAAGCTGGTGCCCCGGGGGCAGTTGGACAGCCCATGGACATCCCCGGGAGCACCAGCTTGTTGAAATAGCATGATGTATATTTTTAAAAGAGTCTCACTTTATATGCAAAATGTCAAGCAATATAAATCTCTTATTTAAAAAAATTGAGAATACCAGGGGCGGTGGCTCATGCCTGTAATCCCAGCATTTTGGGAGGCCGAGGTGGGTGGATTACCTAAGGTCAGGAGTTCGAGACCAGCCTGGCCAACGTGGTGAAACCCCGTCTCTACTAAAAATATAAAAATTAACTGGGTGTGGTGGCCTATGCCTGTAATCCCAGCTACTCGGGAGGCTGAGGCAGGAGAATTGCTTGAACCTGGGAGGTGGAGGCTGCAGTGAGCCGAGATTGCGCCATTGCACTCCAGCCTGGGCAACAAGAGTGAAACTCCATCAAAAACAGAAACTTTCCAACCAGGCAGGTGGGCAGATTGGAGTGTAGGCTGTTTCTGGAGGGTATGGCCACGAGGTGGCGCCACTTCGGTAGCTCTCAAACGGCGCCGCTCCGCATTTGCTTCTGTGGTTTTCTGGGGGATTTTGTTTCACCGTTTTAATAACAAGATCTCACTTTCCTGCCCAGGCTGGAGTGCAGTGGTGCAATCACGGCTCACTGCAGTCTCGCCCTCTGAGGCTCAAGCGATCCTCCTGCCTCGGCTCCCTGAGTAGCTGGGACTACGGGTGTGCCATACCACGCCCGGCCAAGCTTTTCATTTTTTGTAGAGATGGAGTCTCACTATGTTGCCCAGGCTGACACATCGGCTCCGGTTTGCTCCTGCGGACCCCCCAGTACCTGCACCTGAGAGGCCACCATTGCTGTCCACCCTTGGTGTGCCTCAGCCTACAAAAAACTGTTGCTATGTCAAAAATGCCACTACCTCGGATGGCACTGAAAAAGACACACCTGGTTGATGTGTGCAGGAAGTACAGGGGTGTGAAGGCTGGAAACAGGGTCTAGTCCTTCATGTCTAAAGGCCCGTGTGTCTTGGGCATCAGGAGCCCTGGCTGCAGGTGACAGGCACCTACTCTAAGAAGCCGAGGTGAAGAGCTGGGGCTACTCGTGTCATTGGCATCCACAGCTGGGGGTACCCTGGCTGTAGATGCGTTAGTTTGTGGAGCTGCTTCTCCTGGGACATTGGCCTTGGATCTCAGAGCAATGTCTTGGTGAGGGGCCCTACCTTGTGCACTGTCACCAGCCAGGCCTGCTGCCCTCAGGCAGAAAGCCTTCTATTTTTGTTCCAGCTTAAAGAATAAGAGGTGACCAGCCGGGTGCAGTGGCTAACCCCTACAATTCTAGCACTGTGGGAGGCCGAGGCAGGCAGATCACCTGAGGTCAGGAGTTCGAGACCAACTCAAGCGGACGTTGGCGGGCGAAGTCACGGTTTTCCAG